>NC_000007.14:140631779-141256779 GCF_000001405.40 Homo sapiens | reverse complement strand
CCACTACTACCTGGTCCAAATCACCATCATCTCTCACCAGGCTAAGTACAATATCCTCCCAACTGGTCCCCTTCCTTCCATCCTTCTCCCTTAAGACAAAATTCTCCACCTAGAGGCCAGAGCAGACCTTTCAAGTATATATCTTATTATGTCAGTTCCCCATGCAAAACTCTCCAGAGCTTTCCATCACACTTGGAAAACATTCAGAGGCTCATCTTGCTGTAGGTTACATGAACTTGACCCTGGCTACACCCCCAACCCTACCCCTTACCACTCTCACCTTCAGCCACTGCGCTCCAGCCACTCTGGTCTCCTGAGTTACTATACATTCCAAGTACCTCCTGCCTTAGGGCCTCGGCACTTGCTCTTGGCACCACCTGTAAGGCTCTTCCCCCAAGTATCACTTTGGTTTTCCCATTAAATGTATTGGGGTTTGCCCTCACTTCATGGGAGAGCATTTTTCTGATTACTGTGTTTGAAATAAACACTCTTGGTTTATTTTTCTTCATAGCCCTATCCCTTCTTTTAATTTAAGTTTACTTGTTTATGGTCTTCTATTTATATTGGAATGTATCAGAGCTAAGAACGTCTATTTTGTTTACTGCTAAATCCCCAGCATATAGAATATGCCCTACCACAGGTAGGTGCTCCTTAAATATTCACTGAATGAATAAATAAGTGAATAGATAGACAGAGGGAGGGATGGATGGAGGGATGGAGGGATGGATGGAAGGATGGACAGACAGATGGAAGGATGGAGGGATGGATGAATGGATGGAAGGATGGATAGATGGATGGATGGATGGATGGATGACAGGTTTCTCTCACGCCTAGGTATGGGAAATGTAAGTATCCTCAGCAGAGACCACAGTTCTCTCGATGCCTGATCCATCCTGACCTTTTGCTTTAGTTAGAAGCCCCAAATGGCCAGGTGCAGTGGCTCATGCCTGTAATTCCAGCACTTTGGGGGGCCAAGGTGAGAGGATGGCTGGAGCCCAAGAGTTTGAGACCAGCCTGGGCATCATAGCGAGACCCTGTATCTTAAAAAAAGGCAGGGGTCGGGGACAATATCCAGTCTACAGATTCATATCGGTACAGGATTAGGTTTTTTACTCACCCTGAAAAAAAAAACTAGAAAAATAAGAATAATGTAGTGACTCTTTCATTGAACTTAATTTTTATAACTCTATTTTGAGATTGTCCTTATACTTTAAAATTCATGTTAAAATTCTCAACATTTTACAAAGCAAAAGTGATAGTAAGTGGTAACTAGGTTTTGGCAATTTCCTTACTAGTGATCCAATGTTGTGTTCCATTGTTTTAGAGGTACATATGTTTGTTAATGAAATCAAACGGTTAGAAACCACTGTTTCTGGTTACTCCTTTTCTGCCTTTTTCCTCTGAGCAAAGTCTTTAATAATTGCAAAGTCTTGTCAAATAACAACATGCAAAGTACGCTTGTTCCTTTAAGGCTAGAGTCTGGCCTTGAATTGAGCTGTTTCTCATACTACCTTCACCCCTATCCCACCCAGAAGTGGAATCCAACCTCTGTACCCCAGCTCTGCCTCTGATGCCTTGATCCCATTGGCAGGGACCTTGACAAGAGAAGGGAAAAATGAGAAAAATAGGCAGACCTTGCATCATGCTCCTGAAAACTGTGTGTAAAATAAGCTTTGCATATTAAGTCCCATCTTCCCATTGACCTCATGGTTACTTTTCTTCCTTCTTAGTTGTGTTTCAAGAGACAATGCACCCTAGCACAGTTAAGTTTCTCTCACCTCTACTGAGAACCAGTGATTCGAAACACTCAAGGGAGATAAGGAACTTTTCAGATTGTGAAGTGAAAAATTATTTTATATGGAGAAAGACTGCCCCCTGATTCATATATTTCTGAAAGTACAGATTTTTATTTATCACCTGCTGTTAAAATGGGGGTCACCTTTACTTAGATTCTGGTATCTAAGAACTGTGTACACTGAAAATCACTACATGACTCAAAAATCACCCCTTTTGAATTCTACTTGCAGTAAACAAGCTTTTTTGTTTGTTTGTTTGTTTTAGACGAAGTCTCGCTCTTGTCCCCCAGGCTGGAGTGAAATGGCGCCATCTCAGCTCACTGCAGCCTCTGCCCTCCCCCGGGTTCAAGCCATTCTCCTGCCTCAGCCTCCTGAGTAGCTGGGATTACAGGTGCCTGCCACCACGCCTGGCTAATTTTTGTATTTTCAGTAGAGATGGGGTGTCACCATGTTAGCCGGGCTGGTCTCGAACTCCTGACCTCAGGTGATCCACCCGCCTCGGCCTTCCAGAGTGCTGGGATTACAGGTGTGAGCCACCACACCTGGCCAGCAGTAAACAAGCTTTTAATTTCAAGTGAGAAGGAAAGCAATGAGACAAGCCGAGGAGGGCAGGGGGTGCTCTCCTGGGAACCCTGAGTAGCACCTGTAAGCAGCTGGGGTCATCTCAGCAAACGAGCTGCCCCACACCCAGGCAGCCTTGCTGGCATCACCTGTTAGGGCTTACCTCTGAAAGGCCATTTCCCACCCATGCTGCCTCTGTACTTTGGTGGGATGGCCCCATCCTCAGATGCCAATCAAACAAGAGAGAAACTGGTTATTTCTCACTTAGGAAACAAAGCAGATTCAAATAAATGTCCTTCCTTTCCACCGGGAAGATTCTCTTCTACTTTACTATCAGAGTCCAGGCAAGCCCCACTTTTGACACCTTTTCAAAAAGCAAAATTCCAAACTCATAAACAAAAAGTTGAAAGTGGGGAAACAGTAAGGGAACAGGGAGGCACATTTTCCTTTGCCAAAAGATGTATAGCTTTGCCCTGGGATACAAATGCAGGTTTTGTTATGTAGGGGGTCCTAACAAAGGTCCCTAGTGTTAGGAGTCACAACTCATTGTAGAGCCTTCAAAAATGAAGGGGGCCGGGCGCGGTGGCTCACGCCTGTAATCCCAGCACTTTGAGAGGCCGAGGCAGGCGGATCACCTGAGGTCAGGAGTTGGAGACCAGCCTGGCCAACATGGTGAAACCCCGTCTCTACTAAAAATACCAAAATTTAGCCGGGCGCTGTGGTGGGCACCTGTAATCCCAGCTACTTAGGAGGCTGAAACAGGAGAATCACCTGAACCTGGGAGGCGGAGGTTGCCGTGAGCTGAGATCCTGCTATTGCAGTCCAGCTTGGGCAACAAGAGTGAAACTCCATCTCAAAAAAAAAAAAAAAAAAAAAAAGAAGGGAAAATGTGTATCTAAAATGAAAATAGTATAGAAAAACAGGGACTCAACTAATAAATATTTAACTTAATGCAGCATTTTTGGAGCACAGCTATTTTGTAAACAAAGATAAACCTGCTACAGAGGATTTAAAAGAGCATAGCATGGAGCTGCTGAAGCTGCACATTTGCAGATCCAAACACCCCGGAGAAAGGAGGAACCTGGATCCATCAGGACCCAACACAGTGGGCATGCTCAGAGGGAGTTAACGGGAAAGAGTTTAAGGAAGGAATTCTGCATACAGCTGTGTTCAGAATTAAAGGAACCAATAAGGGATAGGGAAGCACAAAGGGACTGGCAACAAGGGGGAAGCAGATACTGCCCCTAGGCCTGAGGAACCAGGGGAGGGAATTGTGTGTGCCTGAGAGCCTGCAGGAGCCAAAACTGTGGAAGAGAGGCCACTTTGCACAAGATGTGCCTTAAAGGAGCATAGCACCACAGAACTGGAGGAGGCAGAGGGCGGGGCATGTGCACATACAGATTGCCACCTCTTTTCTCTTGCCCTCTGGTTTTCTGGTGGTGCCTCCCAATGGCCAAACCCAAGTGGAAGGCAGAAAGCCAGGGAGCTCAGGCAATGCTGTCCATGGAGATCAGCTTCACAGGGCAAGGAGAATGGAGCTGGGGCAAATGCAGCCAAGCCAGTAAAGAGCCCTAGACTGAGACCCAGGACACCTGGTGCTAACTGTGCCACTGCTGTATTGGCTTTCAGACTTTGGACAACAACACATCTAGACTTCTAGGTAAGAGACTGTACCATACAGTCTGTGGTCTCTTTGACTCAATTTCATCCAGGAGTTATGTAGATCCAGGAGCTGTATATATCCAGGAGATGTGTAGAATTAGTAATAACACATCAGCTACTACAGGTATCACAAGGCTTTCAACAAGAGCCCTTCAAACTATGTAACACTGATGTGTTTACTAACTCCAAAATTCAGATAGACATCAAATCCATGGGCACAGAAACTGGCCCAAGGAATTCTCATCTTCATTTCTCAACAACTTCATCACTAGAGTGACGTCTACATCGTGGCCAGTTTCCCTTGGGGTTATCGAAGAGTTCAGAATTTCACATGCCTCCCTCGTTTCTTTTGAGAACAGCAAATATGGGCACAATTGGAAGATGAACCATCCTGAACTCCAGAACCTGTGAGGCTGTGCCTGCAGGACAGAGGGCTCAGACCCCCAAAATAGCAAGAAGAGACCCCCTGTCCAGTCCTCACCATTACAGGCAGCCTCTCCTATCGCAAGGGTCCCTTCTCTTTTGCAACCTTCCCATCCATGGACTGGTACCTGCCCCATACCAGCTAGTGGGGAAAAGATCCTCTGGACAATAGGTCCACACTCTGCCCTCTAATGGCAGGCCTTCTAGTCTTTCCTGTCTCATTAGTACTTCTAGTGACTTCAGTCCTGTAGCTTTACAAAGTCTTCCTCTAGTTATTTCATAGCATCTTCGGTAGGGACACTAACACATAGTAGAATTGCAACTTTTTAAGCCTTAAGCAAACAGGGATCTTAGAGAAATGTCTCTCTCTTAAGAGGAAAAAAATTAAATGATAAAAGAAAACATCAAGTCGAATGACATTTCAGAGAGAAGCAACTTCCCCCTTGCACCCTAGGTACAGTAAAAGGTGAGTTGTCAGGTGCTGCTGAAATCCCCAGGTGAAAAGCTCATGGGGATACGACCCAAGAGAAAATGTGATTTTAAGGCCAAGTCTACTAATAAATCAAAGAAATACTAGTCTGTTGACCTTGGACAGAGGACCGTGGGTTGGGGCACACTGTAATAGGTACAATGCGGGGTGGATAAAGTATACCTGGGGTAATAAAGGCTCTAAATTTGTTTTATAAGTTTGCTCTGGAGTTATTACTGTCGCTATTTGACTTAATAATTATGGCTTAATGTGTTAATAATTTTTACTGATGCAGTAATCTTGTAGGCTAAGTGGTTGCCTGGGAACTCTATATCATGCACCTAGTAGGTCCTGGCAATAAATGTTAATTGCAGTATCTCCAGCTGCAGAACTTTGGAAGCCATGAGGGTACATTGCTCTTTCTTCACCCTCTCATGTTCCCCCAAACTGCCTAGTACTGTCTTGCATCACACCCCTTTCTGGCCCATTCCCAGGTACACATATGATGTGTTTCCCTGCATATCTGTCTGTAATGCACTGCCCAGGCCACTCTAGCTGTCATTCTTTAATGCTTCTCTGATTCCTGCGGGTGCTTCTGCTTGTTTGGTTGTTTTTTTCTGTTTGTTTGTTTACCTCCAGTATAGAAGTTTCTGGCAAAGAGACTGCATCTTCCTTAGGGATTGAGAGACCCATACAAGTTAGACTGTGAGCCTCTTGAGATGAAGGAGTTCTCTCACTCATCACTGTATCCTCAGGGCCCAGCAGAGCCACATGGCCCACAGAAGATGCTTAAAAAAGATCTGCAAAATCTGAACTGTGTTTTAGGTACATTGGAGCATAGCTGACCCTTTAGGGAAACATAGAGTTGAATGCAAAGGAAAAGCCGAGGAAAGGAGTTTTCCTTTCCCACAGCTTGGAGTGCTGAGAAATGCCCTTCTGTTGCGAGGTGGGAAGAGAACAGAGACAATGCTTTGGACCTAAATGCTTTCAGAAAGAAAGACTGTAGTGTGATTAGACCCATTTGATCCTGTCAGGTATGAAAAAGGCTTGGGCAAACAATGAGGCCATGCTGGCCAGGGCTCCACTTGGAAATTATTAAAAGGTAACAGGCAAAGGAAACTGATTTAGTGCATCTTGGGAAGGGGGGATGAGAGAAGAACCACACGTGGCCAGGTGCTCAGCAGGAGCCTCTTGCTATGGAGAGGCTGATTGTGATAAATGTCAAGAAGTCCAGGGGGATTAAAGGAAGGTGAGCACAGAGCCCCCACTTAGCTCCCATGAGAACATCAGACACTCCATCCTGTGTTCTTTCCTTTGAGCTCCTGGAACTAAGTGGTTCTCCCTACTCTGTCATGCTTTCTTTCCTTAGCAATATATTTCCTTCTGGTCCTGTCCCAATTACACGGAGAGGACATATTGTAGTGGAAATGAGCACTGATGCTGGAGCCAGACTGCCCAGTTCGAATCCTTCCTCTGCCACTCACTAGCTGTGTGACTTTGAACAAGTTACTTAAGCTCTCTGCACTTCAATTTTCTCATCTATAAAGTGGGATAATGATAATAGTACCTATGCATAAGGCTGGTATGAAGATTCAATAAATCAGTGCATGAGTGCTGTAAAGGTGATCTGCAAGCTCACTGGCCATGTTACTCTCTGAGACTGAGTTTCCACATCTATAAAACTAGCTAGTTAATAATAGGCATCTTGCAGAGTATTTGAGAGGATTGGAGGTAGTGAATACATTCAATCTAAAATGCCAGGAATACAGCAGCTGCTCAGAAAAAAAAATTAGTTATTTTTATTATTACCAATAGTTAACTATTTTGGCCCCAAAAATATTTCATTTTGGGAGTTTTATTTCTTTAAAAAGAATTCATCTCTACGATGTTGGTCTTGTAAGTTTAAATTTTGTTTCCTTAAGGTAAGAAATATCCATGTTGAATTAATCATCTCCACTAAAGCTTGCCTCTGAATTATTAGAATGATATTAGATAAAGGAAAGTCTCATATTAGATTTAATATAGCCACACAGAATTTCTTTTCAAAATTCTGCTATCTGAAATGCATCTCCAGGGAAAAGATGAAATAGTACCAACAACCATTGGAATGGCAGAAGATAAGCTTCCCATTTAGAGCAGAGAAAGTTCTCCAAGTGGAAGGAAGCCTCCTTCCATTTTTCCAGACAACTCCACCCTTGGCCAGGCACATGAGCCCCTTTTCTCACTGGGTCCCATGTAATTACCAACAGGGCAGAGTTCAGTGTCAGCATCCTGCTAACACCCTCCCTGAACTGGGCCTTCTTCTGCCCTCTCACTCTTGCCTACTTCTGCCATTTCACCTGTTACCCAGTTCCAATGTCGCTTCCACATTTTCAGGAATCTTTACAGCACTGTCCCACTCTACCAGTACCAATTTACTGTATAAGTACGTTTTTACACTGCTGATAAAGACATACCTGAGACTGGGCAATTTATAAAGAAAAAGAGGTTTAATGGATTCACAGTTCCACGTGGCTGGGGAGGCCTCCCAATCACGGCAGAAGGCACATCTTACATGGCAGCAGGCAAGAGAGAATGAGGACCCAAGCAAACGTGGAAACCCCTGATAAAACCATCAGATCTCAGGAGACTTATTCACTACCACGAGAACAGTATGGGGGAAACCTCCTCCATGATTCAACGATCTCCCACTGGGTCTGTCCCATGACACATGGGAATTATGGGAGCTACAATTCAAGATGAGATTTGGGTGGGGACACAGTCAAACCATATCAGTCACTCTTCCTCTTCCAGGTAGGCCCTTCTTCTATAAGGAACCACCAACATCCAACAGCCCACATTATCTGCAGCTCAAAAATCTCAGCAGGAAACTCTAAAGTCACAATAGGAGAGACCCAGCTCTGAGCACGCAACAAAATATAGTCCATACACCGGCTAAAGTGTATCCATCAACAAAGAACTACATATATGACAGTGGTCATCGAGTAAGCTAAGGTTAATTTATTATTGCAGAAAGAAAAGTATCTTTCATAAATTGAGGGTGGCCTAAGTGTATCGTGCTTATGAAGCCTACAGTAGTGTATACAAATGTCATAGGCCTTCACATTCACTCACCGACTCACCCAGAGCAACTTGCAGTCCTGCAAGCTCCATTCATGGTAAGTGTTCTATACAGAAGTATCATTTTTTACCTTTTATACCTTATATTTACTGTACCTTTTCTATATTTCGATATACAAATACTTATCATTGTGTACAATTCAGTATAGTAACATGCTGTACAGGTTTGTAGCCTAGGAGCAATGGGCTATATCATGTAGCCCAGGTGCGTAGTAGGCTATACCGTCAATGTCTGTATAAGTACACTCCAGGATGTTGACACAGCAACAACATTGCTTAATGATGCATTTCTCAGAACGTATCCCCATCTTTATTTTTTGGGACAGAGTCTCACTCTCTGAATATCCGATACACTTATTTGCTAGGCTGGAGTGCAGTGGCGCAATCTCGGCTCACTACAACCTCCGCCTCCCAGGTTCAAGCGATTCTCGTGCCTCACCCTACTGAGTAGCTGGGATTACAGGCGCCTGCCACCACACCTGACTAACTTTTGTATTTTTAGTGGAGGCAGGGTTTCACCATGTTGGCCAGGCTTGTCTCCAACTCCTGACCTCAAATTATCTGCCCACCTCAGCCTCCCAAAGTGCTGGGATTGCAGGCGTGAGCTACTGTGCCCGGCCACGTATCCCCATCTTTAAGCCATGCATGGTTATATTTGCAATTTAAGAAACAACTTGCAGAATGCTTTAGAGATGGACTGAAAAAAAAAAAGAGAAAGGGGAAGACTGGTCACATATGCATTAACAGAGGATTGAGTGACACGTGACAGGGGAGGACACATGACAGGGCCTGGAGGGGTGCCAGACACAAGATCTCATGAGGGTCCTGAGAGCCCCCAATTAATTAAGGTTGCCAGATTTAGAGGGAATAAAAAGACCACTCAGTTCAATTTGAATTTCAGATAAACAACAAATAATTTTTAGTATATGTATATCCTAGGAAATACTTGGAACATACACAAAAAATTTGGTCATTGTTTACCTGCAATGCAAATGTAACTTGGCATCCTACATTACCTGACAATCACACCTCTGATATGCCCTGGTATTACAGCTCCCACCTTTTAGAGAATCTGCTAGAAGTTCTCTCCCATTCTTCTTCCTCTGCATCCTCCACTAGAAATACAAAGACAAAGCATGGCTCCATCCTCTTTCCCTTTCCCTACTGCCAAAAAGAATGAAAGCCCAAAGAAAATCCCTTTCCCACGTGACAGAGGGAGAAGCTATGGATGTCGCTTGGAGGCAGCTGAATTCAAACATCTCGAGCAGAACCTGTGATCTTAAGCCCATTTCAGGGTCCCTCATGGGTCTGGGGATGGACTACTGTGATAGGGAGGTAACCAGTCTAAAACCGTAGGCAAAAAATTCTAAGTGTGCATTATTTTCCAGGAAGCTTATATAGATAGAGAGACAGAGAGACCTACAGAGAGATATATCCATGTATATAAAGAATTATCTACATCTATATCTGTGTATATATAAATATCTATATCTACATAGCCATATATCTTGATTTGAATTGTGTGTGTGTGTGTGTGTGTGTGTAGAGAGAAACCTATATATAGAGAGATATCTATGTATAAAGATAAATATCTATTTCCACAAAGTTCTCTCTCTATATATACATAGAAAGAGAGAGCGAAAGATTTATACATATGTACACACATACATATATAATTCTGTCAGGATTGTTCTAGATACTGGGAAAAGTCCTATCGCGAATCAGAGACACATGTTCCCTGACCCCATGGTGCTCACATTCTAGCTGCAGAGATGATCTACAAAGAAGCAAACAGATAACCAGACGTTTATTTTAGAGAGCAATAAGCTCTTTAAAGAAGGAATGCTTGGTAATGGGGAAAAGAGTGCTGGGGGTGGCTGGACATGCTCCCTTATTCAGATCCTACAGCAGCCCCGTAGCCCCTAAGGTGTGCACAGCATTTACGAGTCTGGCACTCAGGCCCTTCTGTACTCTGACCCCGGCCCCTTTACCAAATCTCATCCTTCGTTTCTCTACAACACAAATTCTTCACCTACACCATGTCTCTTGTTCCCACCTCTACGCCTTTGCTTACCTGCACACACTCTTTTCCAGCCTCCACAAATTTTTTCCAGTTTTAACTCTACATGATCCAGTTCTTGATCCGCCTCCTCCAGGAAGCCATCTCTGGTTTCTCTACCCCTTAAAAAAATACTTATTTTGAATTCTTAGCATATAGGCTACAAAGTGTCTTACATATTTAGCCAAATTACTTTTAAATCATTTTATTGAAGATCTTCTTGTCTCTCTACCTATGTTACAACCCCCTAGAGGATGGACGTTACTCCAAATACCCTTTCGTAGTCTCAGAAACATCGTACTGAACCTGATAAATACATGCTGAAATCATGAATGAAAAGATTTGCCACTTGCATCCACATGGGGAAATGGGTCATTACTCTGTAAGTATTTTTCAATTTCATTTTACTCAAGAAGTAATAGATATTTGGTAATACATTTTTATGTGAACTAAAATAAGCATGGCTCCATAGAGATGAACTATCAACAAAAAATGGACACATTTGCTGCTGGTCCTCAGTAGCTGTCTGGGATCTGGAAGCAACCTGATTCTTATTCAGACTCATCCCCTCAGAAACAAATTTGAACAAAAATAAAAAGTTGTGATAGGCCTAAGCTAAACAGGCTTTTCCTAAGTTTGTAGAAATCTTAAAAATTTACAGGTTTGGTTGGAATTCAGGAAAAAAAAAAATCGCATCATTTCCCAAACTCTACTACTCCCATCCCTACTTCCAAACCCTTTTCCAGTCTGACGGTGGTTCCAGAGTGAGGTCCAAAAGTACTTGTTTATATAACAGAAGTGGATTTACATCTGTCTCCACACAATAACATTTCTATCACGGACCATAATGAAATTCACTGGACAAACTTACACAACGAAAAGAATATGGATTTGGAAAAGGTTTGGATGAAGATCGACTCACAGCATGCCAATTCTCTTGCCTCTATTTCCGCTGAAAAATCTATAGGCATTCCCAATTCCTGTGGAGTTCCATCAGGGGAGCTGGCTTATGTATACGATGTGGCTGCATTTGAGCTTAAGGACAAGTGAAAGCGTATGAGCACTATTTGCAGAAATGAGAGAGTTTGCAGGAGAGGATTCTCAGAAGAGAAGGAAAACAGTTCTAAGACCTCGGTGATTTCTCTTCTTGCTGTAAACTCAACAGACTATCGGAGACTTTTTGCCGTTTCTTTATTTTGCAAAATGTTCTCAAAAGAAGTCTTAACCTCTATAGCAAGAGTTTAACATTCAGGCCTCTGGGCAAAATTATCTGCAAGTGTAAAATGAACAAACCTCCATCCACAAATGTCCTTCCCCAGTTCCACTCCAGAAGCAGCCTGGGTTCTGCTTCTGGCCTTTCCACAGTCCTGTTTTCCCTCCCTTTCCCAGGAGGCAGCCCACACTGCGAAACCTTCTCACTCCTGGGCCCCTTAACATGATGTTTCTTGGCTCTCCTCCTACCTCCCCTGTGCATCCTTCTTTTTTTTTTTTTTTTTTTTTTTTTTTTTTTTTTTTTTTTGGTGATGGAGTCTTGCTCTGTCACCCAGGCTGGAGTTCGGAGTCCAGTGGTGCGATCTCGGCTCACTGCAACCTCCGCCTCCCAGGTTCAAGCAATTCTCTTGCCTCCCAGGTTCAAGCAATTCTCCTGCCTCACCCTCCCGAGTAGCTGGGATTACAGGCACACGCCACCATGCCTGCTAAATTTTGTATTTTTAGTAGAGATGGGGTTTCTCCATGTTGCCCAGGCTGGTTTCGAACTCCTGAGCTCAGGCAATCTGCCCACCTCAGCCTCCCAAAATGTTAGGATTACAGGCATGAGCCACCAAGCCTGGCCCTGTGCATCCTTCTTTGTGCCCTTTGCTGAGTTCTTCTTCCCCCCGAGGGCAACCTATGTGCACTTCACACCTTCCTCTTTCATCCTGGAAACACATCCTATTTTATGACTTCACTATCACCTCTATTCCATGACTCTCGAATCTGTATTCTCACTCAATTTTTCACTGACACTCTAATTCAGGTGCCCACAAGCATCTCCAGCCGGACCTGTCATCATCACAGACTCTACGTGCTTCAAACTGAAATCATTGTCACCATTCTCATTACTCCTTCTCACAGCCTCACTAGGTTCTGCCGCCTAGGCTTAAAAGCCTGGAGCCATCCGTTTGTTCATTCAACAATTACTCACATGTGTATCTTTTGTGTCCTATAGCCTTTCTAGCCCACCATAACCAAAATTTTAGCCCCTTTTATTCCAACTCAAAATGTCATCTTCCTTTCTCTCCAGTTATCCCAGTCATAGCTACCTTCAAGGCTCAATTTTAGTCCTAAGTCATCTCTCCCTTCTCTGAATGTCTGATGCATTTATTTGCCATAGTATCATTTGGGTACTTAATACAACACTGCTTTGCACAGTTACCTGTTTCGTGAGTTACGTTTTACACCGTCAGTTATGTTACATAGACATACTTCCAAGCTCTGGATGAAAGGAACTGTATGGATTTTTTTAAAGGACCTGTCTACCCTGGCACATAAGTAAATGAGCTGAGCTTTATGCAATGCTTATCTCAGGACCTGGTGCAAAATAACAGCCTAAAAATATAGGTTTGAAAAAATCGTGAGAAACATTTGGTAAACTGAATAAGACTGAACTGCACAAAACGCTCCCCCAAAATGTCCGCAGCCCCGGTTTTGCCTCTTCTACCAGCTCTAGTGGAAGGCTATGAATACTGGACCGTCATGAGGGCAGGCATTGTGGAGGACACAGGTACACAGGGGTATTCAGTGGTGGATACATGTTTGGGTCTTGACAGGTCAAGCAAAAATGGTCCACACGGACTTGAATTATTCCAGGAGTGAAATGGAACATGAAAATACACTCGCCACTATTACTTTCCTTCCCCTCATAACTTTTAATAATACAAATGTTTGGCTTCACCTCTTCTCAGCCCTGTCACTGGCTGCATGGCTGGCAATGAGAACGAGAATGTTCTGCAAAATAGATCTGGGCCCATGGGCCAGTACAGTAGGGGAACCACAAAGAGTGCAGCTGGATTTGAGAAGGAGGAAGGAAGCCGAGGCCCAGCGAGGAGAGTGACCTGGTAACGGTCACACTTCTACTGGCCCAAATTAACCTGAGGTTCCTGCCTCACTCCCCTCTGCTCCCCTTCCTCCAGTCTCCGTTTGAGGACACCACCAGCCCCTGCTGACGTTTCCCTCAGCTTCATCAGCATCTCACATCCTTGGTTAAGAGGCTTCTTCCTACTTCTGATGGCTGCCATAACCCCATAGAGCAGAGCTGACCGCGCTCCACCCCTTACAAAGACAGAAGTGCTGAGAGACTTCAGTGTCATTTTTAATCTCCAAGCAGAAGTTAACGGTTGGAGTCAAAAACAAAAGAACAAAAATCCACAAGTGACCATCCCAGAGGCCCTCTCTGCAAAACCACACACAGAGTCCCAGGCTGACCTCGCATGGACTCCGAGAAAGAGACAATTCTCCCCTTCATTAGTCAATGACCCGAAAAAAAGGCAATCAAGCCAGGGTCACATGACTTTGGTTGTTTGGGGTTTGTTTAAGTTTTACTTTATTTAACGTGAATGAAAAATCTAAACTGTCTCTCTTATTTTATTCCTGGGGATTTAAAGCTAGCCAACACACAAAAGAACATTTAAAAAATAGACTTTGTGCCTAGTTCAAGAAGAAAATCAGATGCAAAAGGAGGAGAAAGAGGAAGAAAAAAAGGTAGATGGAGGGAAAAGTGGAAAACAATGACATAAAGACAGGAGACAGGAGTGAATGCAACTCAAAGGCAGAGAGACAGCAGCTGGAATCTCAGATAAAGAATCGGGGCCTGGCACGGTGGCTCATGCCTGTAACCCCCGCACTCTGGGAGGCAGAGGTGAGCAAATCACTTGCGGTTAGGAGTTTGAGACCAGCCTGGCCAATGTGGTGAAACTCTGTCTCTACTGAAAATATACAAAAATTAGCCTGGCATGGTGACAAGCACCTGTAATCCCAGCTGCCCGGGAGCTGAGGCAGGAGAATCACTTGAACCTGGGAGGCAGAGGCTGCAGTGAGCCAGGATCATGCCACTGCACTCCACCCTGGGCAACAGAGTGAGATTCCGTCTCAAAAAAAAAAAAAAAAAAGGAAAAGAATCGGGAAGGTAGGTAATGGAGAAACACACACACACACACACACACACACACACACTCACACAAAGTGTGAAAATAGCCACAGAGCGAATACCATGAGGAAATCACTATGCAGTTCTGCTCTGTTTATATTGTTTGTTTCAATTCAACAGTACTTTAAAAGATTCTAAAATAGCCGGGCATGTGGCTATTGATTAGCTGAAATGTGGCTACTGGGATTGAGAAAGTAAATTTCGACTTTGATGTAATTTTAATCAAACTTCCACTTAAATTTTAAAATGAAGGCAATATAAAGCCTGTTGCCACTAAACACAACTTTGTTTGGTAGGACTACTTTTCACTCTGCTTCAAAGTCAATCTGCTTCAAAGTTAATCTTATTTCAAAAAGATAAACCAGTTCTATTAATAGGAGCATGAATATTAGAGCTGATTTTTTGGGACTCAATTCAGTTATTAAAAAGCTTTTAAATATGTCTGGAATAACTTGGATATGTGCATTCACATTTTCAATTGTCAGTTTTATGGACTCTATAAAACTATAGATCAAGTATTTCTGATGAAAATGTAGCACCCAAATTCAGATGTGTTTTAAGTACACCAGATTTTGAAAACTTAGTGCAAAAAAAAAGATCTCTCGATAAATTTTACATTGATTATTCATTGAAACAAGAATAATATTTTGGATATATAGGGCCAAGTAAAATACACTATTAAATTTAAGTCAACCCATTCCTTTTTACTTTTTCTAATGTGGCTACTGGAAAATCTAAAATTAGGTATGTAGTTCATGTGTTTCAACTAGCCAGGCCTATTCTGAAGGAAGCAAAGCGAAGCTCCTTTAAAGAGGTCTGACAGAAACCAACGCCACCACGTGCCCTCAAATCTTGCTGGAGCCTTGGTAGCTGAGGAACCAGATAAATTCTTTTTTTTTTTTTTTTTTTTTTTGAGACGAAGTCCCGCTCTTGTTCCCCAGGCTGGAGTGCAACAGCGGGATCTCAGATCACTGCAAACTCTGCCTCCTGGGTTCAAGTGATTCTCCTGCCTCAGCCTCCCGAGTAGCTGGGATTATAGGCCTGCCACCACGCCCAGCTAATTTTTGTATTTTTAGTAGAGACGGGTTTTCACCATGTTGGCCAGGCTGGTCTTGAGCTCCTGACCTCAGGTGATCCGCCCACCTCAGCCTCCCAAAGTGCTGGGATTACAGGCGTGAGCCACCGCGCCAGGCCAGAACCTGATAAATTCTAAATAATCTGTAATGTTGGTGCCTAGGATGAGATGAACCAGGAAAGCAGGAAACTTCTTCAACCAAAAAAAGGCATACAGAGTGATATAATGGACTTCAGAGACTCAGAAGGGGGAGGATGGGAGGGGGCTAGGGATTAAAAAAAAAAACTACACATTAGGTACAATGTACACTACTCGGGTGACGGGTGCACTAAAATCCCAGAGTTCACCACTACAGAATTCATCCATGTAACAGAACAAAAAAAAACGCTTGTACCCCAAAAGCTATGAAATAAATTTAAAAAAAAAAAAAAAGGGATCCCAGAGGACATGACAATGTTCTCAATTCATGGAACCTCCACTCATGGGGGCTTCCCACCAGGTGGAGTCACAAGGCAGGAAGTCCAGAAGTGCAACCTTCCCAGCACCCACCTTTCAGAAAACTTAACAAAAGCTAGCAGATACCAAATCACAAGGAGGAGGAAAGAAACAGAGACATGGAAAAGCAAAAGGAACACACACAAACTCAGAGCAGTAGAGGATGAGAAAGCAATTGGCTTCATATAAATAATAGCAAAACAGTGCACACAGCTGTGTGTTTATACCTAGAAAATCCATCCTGGTGTTTGCCAAAGGCAAAGGAGATCTAACTCATTTATAATACTGTTCTCTTCGGTATTAAAATGCAATCTAATCAATTAAATAGTTTTACCCAGAAATATTCTTAAAAGTAAAATTTGTAATCACAGAAATTCTTGTCCTCATTTACAACACAGAAAATCATTAACTTTCTACTTTGGGAAAGTGAAAGGTGTCATCATCCATGGAAGAGACAAGAATATTCTACTTTTGCAGCCTAAGCTGAAGACTGATAATACAGATTTAGAAGCCAAATCAGTAAACACTGTAGCAGAAGCTTAGAAACTTCTAGAAGGGAAATACCAATCTGGAATAGTCTTCTTTGTACTGCACATAAAACAAATTCAATCTGGTGTGTTGTACATGTTTTTTAATAATAATGGTAATTAATTTGAATTATTGGCCATCTCACCTCCTCCAATTAAAAACCTCATTTTTTTAAATGGGAGGAGTAAATTCATGGCAGAAAGAGGTTGTACTCTAGAACTATCCAATACAGTAGCCACTACCCACACATGGCTACTGCACACTTGAAATGTAGCCAGTCTGAATTGAGATGCACCATAGTATAAAATTAACATGTGATTTCAAAGACCTAGTACAAAATAATTAAATCGAATTAAAATATTTTTCAATGTTGATTATATGTTGAAATAAAATTTTGATATTAAGTTAAACTATGTTATTAAAATTAATGACATCTGTTTCTTTTTATTTTTTTAGGTGGCTACAAGAAAAATGTTAAATCTGTGGCTTATGTTCTGTTTCTACCGGACAGTGCTCAAGTGACCAACTTCAGCTCCCTACACTAGGGGGCAAAGCCCAGGTTCACTGCCACAGGTCATGAGGTTGATGGTATTCTAGAAGCAGATCCACCAAGTCCTATGGAAAAGCTCCATGTAGCCTCCTGATAACAGTGACCAGGACCATCAGGAAGGCTGTCCTGTTGGAAACCACCATGGATGAGCCCAGGATGGGAACAGTTTTCAGAATGCAGGGATTCTAAGACTCTCATCACCCCCTGTGGTGGGTGCCGTGGGATGCCACCAAGATCCCACTTCAGAGCGGAGGCATGGGATCTTCTAGTCATCCCCCTGCTGAGACTCGAGGCTGAGTTCCACCCGGGGAATCAATCCTGGCCAAAGGTAAGGTTTCACCTAAGGTATGACCCTTTCCAAGCGATGGCTGGCACCCAATGACAGGTCAATTGGGTCAGTGGAGGGTACGAAGTGACCAACTTCATAAAACAACAGGACACTCTGAAGGGCTATCCCAGGTCCAAATGACTGAGACGTTTGCTGCAACTCCATTGCCGCTCAGTGGCTCCCTCTGACCAGTCCCGCTCCCCTGCCTTCCTCCCTCCCTCCCTCTCTCCCATGGCACTCCCCAGTAACCTCTGCATACAAAGCTCCATTTCAAGGTCTGCTTCTGGATGAACCCACCTAAGATATCCCCAGATGTGAAGAACACATTACAGCAAAATGTATATGCACGCATGCATGTGACACGTCCCCACACATGCACATGCACAGAGGGGACTTTATCTGCTTTGCATTCAGGCCCAGCAATGATGTCAGGATAGTTGGGTCAGCTAACAACAACAACAACAAAAAAAACCTAGCTCCTACCGGCTCCTGCAGAGTCCCTCCATTGTGATGATTATTGTGAAATATTTTTCAGCCTCTGCTCTATTGGGCAGAGAATAGAAATCCTGACAGCCAAGAGCTAACCTACTCGTGAAGCTGGTTATCTCACCTAGTTAGAGCCCTTTGCTAACGAGTCCAAAGATATAGGCTGCAGCTATCCCAAGGGGGCTAATTAATTTCATTCTGTTCCTTGACTACAGACTGCACCCCTAACCACACAGAACCCAGCAGCACTCTCGCTGTTGGTCACAGGGAAGCTACGTGGGAACACAGGCCTAGATCCGCATAAACAGTGGCCAGGTCAGGAAACTCACAGTGGCACACCCAGACAGGGGCTGCCCCCAGCCGCGTTACTGCTGAACCTGCCTCAGTTCACTCACTGCTTCCATCACTAAGAGTGATTTTTCTCCCAGAGATGGTCTTCTGGGTTCCTGGTCTTTCCCTGTTTTCTCTTCTTCTCTGAAGCATTACTTCCCTGTCTGGTCCACTGCAGCCCTGATACTGTAGTTCAACTGCACAGGTATTTTTTCTAAAGTTTAGAGAATCCTGGGTTGTAGGTTACACACAGTTAAGATATATCAAAAGCACGGCTCTCTATCGCACGCTAAGCCAGACCCAGGGAGGATATACAACAATCTTCCAGGCTCCCGAAGGTCTCTTTCCTCCCTCTCTTTTCCCTGGGGGCTTCTATCCCACTTGTCATAACACTGACCACCACTGAGCTGCCCCTTTTTCTCCATAGAGAAGTGAGACCTTTCCAACCTGGACTTGGATCTAACTCCTGGGCTTCAGGGTAAGACTCAGCTCCTCTCAACAACCTGTCCTACTCCCCGGACTCTGAGCCTAGAGACAGCAACAGGATTTCTTAACGCAGCTCCTGAGCATGAGCCTCCACTGAAGTCAACCGGTTTCCCAGTCTGTGCTTGGGACTGGGTTTTACAGTCCCAAACTGTGCCCTGTTTACCTCCTCCTGTCCTTAATTTCCTTTTTTTTTTTTTTTTTTTAGACAGAGTCTTGCTCTGTCACCCAGGCTGGAGTGCAATGGTGCATTCTCGGCTCACTGCAACCTCAGCTCCCCCAGGTTCAAGCGATTCTCCTGCCTCAGCCTCCCGAGTAGCTGAGATTACAGGCATGTGCCAGCATGCCCTGCTAATTTTTGTATTTTGGTAGAGACGGGGTTTCGCCATGTTGGCCAGGCTGCTCTCGAGCTCCTGACCTCAGGTGATCTGCCCGCCTCAGCCTCCCAAAGTGCTGGGATTACAGGTGTGAGACACCACGCCCAGCCCTGTCCTTACTTTCAAAATAAAGTATCTGATGGTGATGGTGGTGGTTGTTATTATTTTACTTCAATGAATCACATATGTTTATAAGATTAAATACAAAAAAAATCTTGAAAGGAAAAATCACTCATAATCCCACCACCCAGAGATAATCACTGTCAACATTTTGGTTTATTTCCTTGCAGCCCTTTTCTATGTATATGTGTATATATTATCTTGTAACATTCTAGCTAGAAGCATAATCTACATCTCATTTTACATTATTCTTTTTTTCAATTTGTATTCAATATGCAAGCATTTCTTTATGTCTAAAAATTCTGCGCAAATGTCACATTTAATGGTTATAGCACACTCTACTATATAACTGAACCATAATTTGTTTAACACTTACCCCATTTTTGAGCATTAAGATCATTACCAATTTTTAGTGATGAACAATTTGAATTTAAAACTCTCTGTATATTTCACATTGTTCCCTTAGGAGAAAGACCCTTAAATGGGATTACTTAGTCACAGAGTATGAACATTCTAAGACTTGTGATAAATATTGCCAAACTGATTTCAAGTAAGGTTGTATCAATTTGATCTCCTATGAACACACCAACAATGACTGAGAGTTTTCTAATTTTGTTAGGTAAAAAAACAAAACAAAACAAAAGATATGCTATTAGTGTATTAATTTGCATCTCAGATTACTTGGTGAAACCAAATACTTTTCATGTTTGTTAGAAATGTCCATTTCTCTTTGCAACCTGTTCACATCCTTTATGCATTTATTTATTGGGCTCTGAATCTATTTGCATGCCCTCTTACCATATTTGGAAAGTTAATATTTTGTCTAGCATGTTTGTTGCAAGTATTTTCCCAATTTCCTTGCCTTTTAATTTTTCATTACTTTTTGGCCTGCACAGTTTTTAATTTGAATGTGAACAAACCTATCAATCTTTTCCTTTGTAATTTCCCTTAAGCTTCGAAAAATCTTTCCTTCATCAGGGCATCAGATAAATAATCACCTCTTTTTCCTGCTTTGTTTAATAGTTTCCCATTGACTGTTCCCACTCTCAAGGCATTTCTAATCGGCTTCTCTCCAGGGCTTCCCTCACCACAGGTTATTTTCTCCCACTCCTCACTCATCCCATGTGCTGCAATTGTCCCTGGAGTGAAGATAGAGGTGATCCTTTTCAAATGGCCTGCAATATTTGAGGGAAGATGGAGGCTGCAGGCAGGTGGTTTGGTTCTGTTATCTTCTTGTGACATTGCACACAGGGCCAAGAGAAAGTGCCCCAGTGCCCCTGCTTACCTCCCAAGGGCTGCATCTATCTGCAGCCAGGGGAGAAAGAAGTAATGTTCAGGATTGTTGGGAATTCTTCCCAGGGGTCCTGGTAACCCCACCCCACTTGCACACAAGCACCTGCTTTCTCCTCTCTTTCCCTTCTTTCCCTTTCTGTGCTTCTCTGCGCCGAATCTCTGTAACTTCTCAAATTTGGGAGCAGCTTAGTCAGTGATATTGGGGAAACTTTCCTCTTCCTCTCCCACTCAATACAAACCCTCTCTGAGACTGGAGCTCCCTCTACCCTCTACCTCCAGATATTCACAGGGACCTGTGGGGGTAAGGGGCTGGGGTGTGGACTAGGTTTGCATCTCAGAGAACATTTGGAAGCTGGAATTAGGGAGCTCTGGTCTGGTTCTCTTGTCCCCATCTCTTGCTGGTGATCCAGCAGAGAGAAGAAAATCCCTGTTACACTCCTCTGTTTGCTCTCATCAGAAAACTAAACAGTGGACAGGCTTAAAGATTATCCCACATCCAGGACTGGGAAGGCTGAGCTGGGACGGCCAAGACAGGCCTGAAAGCCAGCAGGAAAGCACTGCGTGTCTAGGGGAGATTGTAAGATTCAAAGGGCAAGGGCCACACCTATCTTATTCACTGTATCCGAGGCCCTGGCAATTTCTTAGGGCTCGGTCAATAATGAGCCCTATGATTAGGAGTATCCTCTCCATCATGTACCCCATGAAGTATGGGGACTAACATATGCATAGACAATCAACTGTTTGGAATTATCCACAGAGGATTTTGAGGTTTGGTTTGGTTTTAGCAACAAATGCACTTTTTTATCCTTGACTAGCCCATGGATAAAAGCCCATAATACCTTTAGTACTTCATCCTCAAGTTCCTTAAATTTCTCTGGGCCTCATCACTAAAATGATAAAGTTAGATTAGATGACCTCAAATGTCACTTCTAGCTATAAAATTCCATGATTAGATTAATAACTTAAAATGAATGTTTTTATTGACGGTTATAAATTCTGTTCTGTCTACACATGGGCTTAGAGTATATGCAGTAATTTACATCTGACTGTACTTTACTGGAAGCTAAAGTTCAAAAAGGAATTAGAATTGTGATTGGCTGTTTCTAGCCTGCTGTGTACACTGCAACACAGGCACAGAAATGATTCTTCAAGCAAGTCTTCTACACCAACCATTAAACTATTATTAATATAAGAACATATTCCTTACCACAATAAATCAGAAGGCTTCATTTAATGATTCTGAAATTTGGTAAAGGTCATTCCCAGCTTCACGGAAAATCAGTCACAAATGAAGATGTGTCGACGGAAGCCCATTCGCCATAGAGGCCAATGTGATGGGAAGCTTTGAATGCTAATACTCTAGAACATTCCAACTAGTACTAACATAAATAATACTCATATTGAAATGAAAATTGATCCTAGGATTTCTTTTTACATGGCCTTAGGATTTGGTGGCTTGTTCAGAGAGTGCCAACTCATTTGAATATTTGCCTAATTAGGAAGATAAATCTGCTACCCCCGCTGCCAGCAATCATGTCGTGCGTTCCAAAGCCAAATATAAATGCCTTTTGTATCACCCACTGTTTCAGATTATTCACCTCCCACGTCTGCATAGACGGCACAGAACTGACCCAACTGTTTCTCTTCTTGGCCTGTCCTCTGCTCTCTCATCAAGGCTTGGCTCTGCCACATAGACGAGAGTGCAGATGGCACAGAACAATTTTGAGGGCATGGGGTACAAGAAGATGCAAGGGGAATTAGGGTTTGATTAACCCAGAATGAGGAAATGTGATGGGCATGGAAATTCTCGGACCAGGTTCTGCACGAGGGGGAATGATCACATCTAATCCTGCTGGAAAAGCTGACTCACCACCCTGGACACAGAAGACAGCCCTGGTGTGCCTGAGTTTTAAGCAGCATCCATCTCTCCTCTCATGGTACAGCCTCCTGCATTCTCCCTCCTAGCCACACAGAACTCCTCTCTGCTGCTCAGACATCCCTCTGGCCTCCTCATTTCCATGACTTGATCAAGCTGCTACATCAATCTAGAAAGTCTTTGTTTCCCTCTTGTCTGGGAAGTCCCAGCCATTGTTCAAGGCCTAATTTGAAATCCCATAAAACTCTCA
Organism: Homo sapiens; assembly: GCF_000001405.40. NCBI lineage: Eukaryota > Metazoa > Chordata > Mammalia > Primates > Hominidae > Homo > Homo sapiens. The sequence continues at coordinate 141,234,312 of NC_000007.14, read as the reverse complement.
CCAGATCATCCTAACCTCAGCAAAATGATCTCTCCTCCCCATGTTTCATGGCATTTGATTTGCCCCAATGTGCCCTTTATTGAAGTGATTTGTTTATGAATATAGACACTTTAAGTTTTACACAACAGAGAACAGAGGCAGTATCTTGATATTTTATCCCCACAAATGCCTGTCACAGACTTTACATATAACTGTAGACTAGCAAGAGGCAGGCAAAAGAGAGTAGTCACCTTCTCCCAGTGCAATCTGGACCATACATCTTTTTAGAAGCATCAGAGAGGACTACTGCACCTAGGGGGACCAACTCCCCATGCCTGAAGACAGAAGTTATCCAACTTTGGCTAGCACAAAGGAATAATCTTTAAATCAGTAGTCTGAAATGGCAGGATAAGGATCTGCATTTTTGCAAGCCCACTCAGGTAATTCTGATGCTGGTGGTCCTGGGATCACTGTTTGACAATTCTGCCCTGGGAAATATTTCATGTGATAGGGACAGATGCACAATGAAGTCAAAGAGGTCGAACTTGGCATTGCCAGTTTTGCAAAAGGGAGAAGTACATTTTGATAGGGAACTCATGGGAATGAATAGGGCTCTCAACCTTCTTTTGACCAGCAAAAGTCCATGTCAAAGTGCTCAGGGCTCTATATAAACACCCAGCTCCCTGAAGGTATCTGTGCTACAAGGGACCTAAGACTCTTCCCTCACAAAACACATACCCCAGTGGGACATGGAAGTTACAACACCCCCAGTCTAGCTCTTAACAGGTGCCTGTGCCGAAATGCATAGGAACCCTGAGAAGGAGTAGCCCAAAATAGAAGAAGAGCTTACGGTGGACTATCACTTGGAGAAAGGTTTCCAAGGTTAATATGGAAAAATGGAGAAAATTTATTCTCAGAACAGTGCTCACGCAGCTGAGAGCAATAGAAATTCGACCTTCAGCAATTTCCTGGGTCACCCCCATTAGGCTTTGAGCTAATCCTGCACCTAACAACCACTCTCACATTCTTTGTTTGATTAAAGAAATGTCTTTCATGCCTACTATGTGCCAGATAGATATCATACCAGACATTGGGATTAAAAGATAAAAATGTATGTCCCTTGCCCTAGCATAGACAAGCACAGCAGTGAATAATTGTAACTTAAATAGTGTGCTGACAGCAGTGTTCACAGGAGAGACTCCCAATCTGCCTTGGAGAGAGGAGCAGGGAAGATTGAGGTTTCAATCGCAGAACTAACACACTTCTCCAGGATGACCACATTCGAATCAATGCACTCTCACTCCATCTGTTCCAAGTTACAAGAGAACTTTCCACCTAAGGGAGTGGCATCATCCACTCCCCTCTGGCTTTTAGGGAGGGCAGCTCACAGCTGTACTCAGATCATCTCCTCAAGCTTCTCTCAATCAGGCTGTGGTGCCTCCATTACTAATCTCCTGCTTCCTGAGTTTGGGGCATGACTGCTGGATCCCCAAGGGCTTTGTAGCAGGGGGCTCAGGGCTCCTAATGGGACACAGCCCTGCCTGCTGGTAAAAGTAGGGTGGCTGGAGATCCATGAACACCATGGAGCCAGGGAAAGCTTTCTGGCAGGAGAAGAAAGCTACAGAAAGAGGAAGTAAGGAAGCTGAGCCTCTAAGGTTACATGGGTTTATTGGCATTTAATTCATATTTTTACTTCTATTTCAACTAAGAATTAAAATGTATAGAAAAAGCAATGCTGTGCTTGTGTGCTGCTGGATTTAGTTTGCAACATCACTGATCATTTGAGAAATGCAAATCAAAACCACAATGAGATACCATCTCACACCCGTCAGAATGGTAATTATTAGATAGTCAAGTAACAACAGATGCTGGCAAGGTTGCAGAGAAAAAGGAATGCTTTAACACTGTCGGTGGGAATGTAAATTAGTTCAACCATTGTGAAAGACAGTGTGACGACTCCTCAAAGACCTAGAACCAGAAATACCACTTGACCCAACAATCACATTACTAAATATATACCCAAAAGAATATAAATCTTCTATTATAAGGATACATGCATGCATATGTTCATTGCAGCACTATTCACAATAGCAAAGACATAGAGTCAACTCAAATGCCCATCAATAATAGACTGGATAAAGAAAATGTGGTACATGTACACCATGGAATACTATGCAGCCATAAAATGGAAAGAGAGCATGTCCTTTGCAGGGACATGGATGGAGCTGGAAGCCATTATCCTCAGCAAACTATTGCAAGAACAGAAAACCAAACACCGCATGTTCTCACTTATAAGTGGGAGCTGAACGATGAGAACACATGGAAACATGGGTGGGGAACATCACACACCAGGGCCTGTAGGGTTGGGGGTGGCAAGGGGAGGGACAGCATCAGGAAGAATAGCTAATAGATGTTGGGCTTAATACCTAGGTGAGGGGTTGATCGGTTTGGCAAACCACCACGGCACATGTTTACCTATGTAACAAACCTGCACATCGTGCACATGTGCCCCGGAACTTAAAATAAAAGTTGATGGGAAAAAGGAAAGAAAGAAAAAGCAATGCTGCCTAGGCTAGATCATGTGGTCAGTTATCTGAAGCCCAGCTAGTTGACCGTGGGAGAACTGCCAGTGGAGGGAGCCATGCCACTGTGCAGTTTCCACCAAGCAGCAGCAAGTCTCCACCTTGCAGATGCAGTGGCAGAGAGGGCCCTTCCAGCCCCCAGGGAGCAGGCTTTGCTTCCGTCTCTAAATAGGAATGCTGCAGAGGAGATACCATGTCAAATAGAAAAAGAAAACAGGAAATGGCTGGCACTGGGTGCGGAATTATTTTACTAAGCAAGTGTTTATTTTTCTGAGGCATCAGCAATTTTTTTTTCAGGTTACATACTGAGTAACTGCAATCATTGATTACATTAATGGATTGCCTCTGGAGAAGGAATCTAATTACATTTTTGTACAAATTGCAAAATGTAGATTAATTTCAAACTTCCTTGGCAGCCTTGTCGTGTTTTTTTTTTTTCTTCTCTTGAGCTCTAGGTCAGGAGCCCCAAAGCATGGCAAAGAAACCTGAACTTTGAGAAGGCTTTGTTTGTTCATTCAATAAATATGCACTGAGCTGCTTGCCTTCTGTATGCACCAGCTCTGTTCTAGGCGCTGGAAATGCAGAGGCAAACAGGACAATGTCTCAGTCCTCTTGGGAGTTCCCCAAGCTGTAAAAGAACTTCAAGAGAGAAAAATCCCAAATGTTCCTGAACCCATTTAAGTAGCTGCTGGGCTTTCCTTTCTGAACATCACTTAGGGCTTGGTGGCTCTTATCCAAAGGTTGTCCATTTCTTTAGCCCTGCAACAGAAATCTAAAAGAGTAGGAAAGTGGGAGGCCAAGGGAGGAGGATCACTTGAGGCCAGGAATTTGAGACCAGCCTGGGCAACACAGAGAGACCCTGTGACCTGCCTTCAAGGTTCAGCCTCTGCTGTCCTATGAGAGAACCTCTGAGCTGTCTTGTAATCTACAAAAAATAAAAAATAAAAATTAGCCAGGTGCAGTAGAGCACATCTGTAGTCCTAGCTACTGGGGAGGTTGAGGTGGGAGGATTGCTTAAGCTCAGAACTTCAAGACTGCAGTGAGCCATGACTGCACTACTGCACTCCAACCTGAGTGACAGAGCAAGGCTCTGTCTCAAAAATTAAAAAATAAATTTTTTAAAGAGTGGAAAAAGATTAAATAAGGGGGAAAGTGAAGAGGGTAACAAGAGAAGTAAGGAGTCTTTGGCCAAGTGGCACACCCACTGAAGACACTGATCTACTCAGAGATGGCAAAAGTAAGGTAACAGGACAGTAGAGACAAAGAAAAGAAAGAGAGAACTTTACAAAGGAGAAGTACAAGTGGCTGATAACCATTTCTTAAATTCAACCTTTCTTATAATTTCAAAAATGAGTAACTTTTTTTATCAATCAAATCAGCATATATCTTAAGGGGAAAAGGATTTTTCAATGTAGGTAAAATTTGGTAGGGCTATAAACTGCCTCAGTTTTTCTGGAAAGCAATTTGGCATTATATATCAAGAACCTAAGAAATGTTCATATCTTTGAGCCAGTAGTTCCAATTCTGGGCATTTATCCTAAACAAATTATCAGAAATATGATCAAAGATTTATGCACAAGGATTATCATTATAACATTATTATAATGGCCCAAAACTAGTTCAACATAAACATTTAACTTTAGAAGAAAGGTTAAGTAAATTATGTATACTTACATCGTAGAATATGATGAAGTAATTAAAATTATGTTTATGAAGAGTTTGATGACAAGGGAAAATGCTTATCATAGAATTATGAACAAAATTTGGGATACAAAATTATAAAGTATAATTTATGCCATGAAAAGAAATACAAAGAAAAACACAAAGGATATACACCACAACAGTAGTTTGTCTCTTTTTGTTGTTGGTGTTTGTTTTGAAACGGTCTCATTCTGTGGCCCAGGCTGGTGTACCGTGGGGAATTATAGATCACAGCAGCCTCAAACACCTAGGCTCAAACAATCCTCTCCACTATTTTTTTTTTAATTTTTCGTAGAGACAGGGTCTCACTATGTTGCCCAGGCTGGTCTGAAATTCCTGAGCTCAAGTGATCCTTCTACTTCGGCCTCCCAAAGTGCTGGGATTACAGGAATGAAACATCATGCCCAGCCTGTAATTTGCCTATTGATTATAGCATTTCAAGTGGTTGTTTCTGCTTTTCTTTTATACTATTCTGTTGATTTTTTTCTATAATAATTATGTTTCATCTTAATGATCAGGAGAAATAAAATAAGCCGATGGAAAACGCAAGAGAAAATAATAGGAAGGGAAACCATTAATGTAATGAGGAAGAAAAGGATGTTTCCCCTGCTCCATGGAACTGGGGATGGGGTAGGTGGTTACAGGGAAGGATTGAAACCAGAGACTTACAGGATTCAGAGGATGGGCAAATGCATGCTGCCAGAGTAGCATTCGGTGACAATGCCTGACCCAAATTTCCTCCCTCTTTTCAAGATTAGCTGGATTTACTGTTAGGTTTCCGTCTCCCTGACAACTCTTAAAAAATCTTGACCTGAGTCCATGGAATTTTAAGTCTGATTTGGTTCCATCATATTCAGCCTCCAATTGAATCCTACCTGGTCCTAGAAACTTCATACACTGACCCATGAAAAAAAAGTTTCACACACACACACACACACACACACACACACCACACACACACATCATTTTGCAAAAAAAATCCCTAGTCATGTAATCAAATTCCACCCCCACAACCAAAAAAAAAAAAAAAAAAAAAAGATAGTACTGACTCTAATCCATGGACTGTTCAAATTCTGTCTCTGGAGACTCCATCTCACTGAAGGAGATGAATTATAGTCTTGGAAAGCTTCTAAAAGGGGTGCCCCGTCTGTTCAGCACTTACCTTTCACTCAGTGAACTATAAATACTTAATGATGAGGCCAACAATGATGACGAAGTTGATCAATAGTAAGCATGGAGACAGCATTCCATTTCCACACCCCACCAGGATGGATGCCGAGCGAATGGAGGAAAATGATACAAGCCGGGGAGACAGCTGGCTGCTCCTCCACTGCTATCTTCATTCACCCATTGGTCACCCCTAGCTGGTGGCAGCTCAGTGCTCCCAGAGCAAGGGCTTAAGCTGTTATGAGGCTGCACTGGAGATCCTGACAGCCGATATGGAGGGCACCAGCCATCTCCTCAGCAGTGTCCTTTGGCCATGTAATTTTAATAAGCTCAACCTCAAGAAAGGAAAAGGGAGCCTGGGATGGTGTTGAATTATTCACAGCTCCAATCAGGGAAGGCAGAGGAACCCCTCTTCTGAGAGTAAGTGATAGCTACTCATTGATTTTTTTCCCCCTTCATGACCCCTAGATGAGAATCTAGTCTAAAAAAAAAAAGAAAGAAGAAAGTCTATCTTAAATCTGAGTTCGTGAATAATTAGTGAAGTTGAGAATTGTGTTTCAGTTGACATTTTTCTGAAGAGTAATTCTGATATCTTGGACTTGATTAGAAAAGGAAAAAAAAGCAAGGACCTTGGTATATTTAAATTTATTTAAATACAACATATATATGAAAACTATTTTTATGGATTAATGATCATAATCAAAGTGATCTTATTAAATAACACAATAAAAATGATGTGAGACCTGAAAGCCAAAAAGATACACGATTCATGCATTTATTAGATGCCTAAGTTGAATTTGCTTTTGAATGTGATATGTGTGTGCATGTGTGTGTGTGTGTGTGTACACACACCTTATTTCTTTGTATGGACAGAGAAATGTAAGCTATAAGAAAATATAGTTAATTCTTCCCTACACTTCAAGGAAATCTTGCTTTCTAGGATTTTTCTCATATTCCACACCCATAGTTAGTGCTGATAAATGTCTTCCTGGAGATAAAGACAGTCACTACGATCCTTTAAAGAGTGGGTTAGAAAACAGCCACAGAAGCTTCTTCAGGCCTTGTCCATACTCCTCAGAATCCCTGCTGTCCCCTAAAACACTTATGCAAGGGCAACTACCACCTTAGCAGGTGACCTCACCTCCCTATTTTGCGAAGTTCATATCCCCTGCTGAGAGTCTAGTCCAGACCCATTCTCTCAGAGCAGGAATGTCACAATGGCTCCTCACAGTCCGGACTCCGCCCATTCACATCCATCATGCCTGGCTGACAGATGCATTTCCTAAGACCTCCTAAAGTCATCATAAGGCTCATAGGACACGGCTCTTCTGTGAGTTATTTAACCTCTGTTAGCCTCAGTTTCCTCCTCTGTCAAACAGATATAATAATAATATTCACCTCATAGTACATTTGAGATTTCAGTGAATAAGGTATGTCAGGCACTTAGCACAGCCTCTGCACATCTGTCAGTAAGTGGTGATTATTGCATACGAATGCAAGCTCCATGAGGGCAGGGATTGCTGCTCTTCCATCTAATGCCTAGAACAGTGTCTGGTAAGTGAGAGAAACTCAAACCGTTTTACTTGAGTAAATGAGTGACGTATTTTAGGTTCCTTTCAGATGCCACTATTCCTGGCCAGTTATCCAAGCTAAGATGGTCGTTTCCTCCTCTGGATGCAGCCAAAAGCATTTTGTTTACCACACTTCCAGCCCCGGCCTCTGCCGTCCTGAGTCTGTGTCACTGCTCTGTGTTCCCTGGGAGACTTCAGGTTCCCTAAGGTGTCTCTCTCACTGCCCAGCTCCAGTGCTGTCCACACAGCGGACTCTCAGTCCACACTGGGCACTAAGGACCAGCCCTGCAAGTCATTCCAACAACAACCAAAGATGGCTCCTCGTGAACCAGATCTGCAAAGCTCCATCCAGGAATGGTAAACACTAAAAATCCAGGCCTCTCTCCTTCAATTTAATGAGGGATCAAAACGGAACTAGTAATTACTTTTTTCTTTTTCTTTTTTTTTTTTTTTCAGAGTGGTAGTCTCACTCTGTTGCTTAGGCTGGAGTGCAGTGGTGCAACTTCAGTTCACTGCAACCTCCACCTCCTGGGTTCAAGCAATTCTCATGCCTTAGCCACTTGAGTAGCTGGATTATAGGCATGCACCACCATGCCCGGCTAATTTTTGTTTTGTTTTGTTTTAGTAGAGATGGGTTTTAGCATATTGACCAGGCTGGTCTTGAACTCCTGGCCTCAAGTGATCCACCTGCCTTAGCCTCCCTAAATGCTGGGATTACAGGCATGAGCCTCCACGCCTAGCCAGTAGTTTTTAAAACTGTATGTTTCTGTTAGCTCTGCCAAGCTAAACAGTAGCTGTATTTGAGACCTCACCTATGAAACCAGAAGTCCCTATTCTTTTTGATGTAAAGGAATTTTCACTTCCTGAAAATGAAAAGATCTCTTCTGAGTAGGTACTGATGGCAATGTGAGATGAGAGAGGGTGGTGTGTGGGACTCAGGCAACACGGAGACAAAGCCAGCCTTGGGGAGGGTTCTGGAAGGGTAGTCGGCCTGGAGCTACCTACTTGGGGCTGGTGTCAGTCAGCATTGTCATCCACACTCATGAACAACCACCTGAAGAGCAGCTCCTTCCTTCTTCACACCCTCCCCCCAAGAGGGTGTTCCCATGAGCTCTGGGGAGGAGGTGACTTGTGCACAGTAGCTTTTTCTAGTTTCCTTGGCAACTGTGCAGCACTAGAAGCTCCAAGAGTGAGGCAGTGGATGGGGTGGTGGATGGAACACAGATGCTGATGTCAGTCAAATGTGTCACCTCCACACCCATGTTTAGCAGCCTCGTGGTTTCGGAAGCTGACACACACCACACACACCTGATTGCTCATTTCTAATTTGGTGCCAGGCGCCCAAGCAAAGAGCCTCAGGGAAACGTGGCAGAATGGGTCTCACTTTACCAACGTGAACTGAGACTGGGGCCTAAGACTGGATGATCCCAGCACCAAGGACACTGGATGTCCCTTGGTTGGGTTTCTGGACTTCATACAAGCCTACACAGGGCACATCAAGGGGCAAACATCGATCTTGTATCAGGGGCTGGCTACAAGGGACAGAGAAGTCTGAACGTTCATCATGGGAGTTGAGGGTATCCAATTTGGGGGATCCAGTCTAAAAATGACAGATGTAGCTGGGGTAGGGGGCAGAGATGGCAAGCCCATTCAGAGGCAAAACTGACTGGAAAATAGAAAGATGTAAGTCTCCAGCTTTGCAATGAATTCCATTCCAAAATCTCATTTGTTGAGGCAATTATTTAGAATTCAGAACCCATTTCCAGAGAAGTCCTGTCTGTTATAAATGATGACTGGGTTTCTAGCTATCCACAAAAGCCTATTTAACTCATAATGTCAATGAAGTACTATACATTTGCAATGAAAAGGAATAGAAAAAAAAATTCCTGTTGTGATAGCAGTAATTAAATGAAAAAGAAAAACTGAGAAGTGGAAAATAAATAGCTTTCTTTCATTTCTTTTGAACAAATGGACAAAGAGAAGGGTTCTTCACTTACTTTAGATAATAAGATAGAGCCTATGGTGGGGGAGGGGTGAAGGATGGAGCAGGGAGGTCCTTTGGGAGAAGAGAAGGGCAGTAGGCCTGCCGCACGAGATATGTGTGGGGCTCCCTGGCGGTAAGGAAAGAGCATGAATTTTGCAGTCACAACTGTCTGGATTCTAGTCCTGCCTCTTCTTGTAGCTCTGGGGGAAGTATTAGATCTCTTGTCTCAATTCCATCACTGGCAACCTTGATTGCATCAGACAAATGCCCGCATGGTAGGCACTGTGGTGCACCTTCCAGACCTCCCTGCAAGGAAAGACTTGCTGCCAGGTTCTAGAAAGGCTGTCAACCTTTAGCGGTCAATCCCTTTAGAGATTGCTCATACACCCAGAGCCACATACTCAAGGTCACTCCACTTCCAGTGCCTATATCCAAGAAGTGCCCAATGTGGGAGTGTAAAGACCCAGCCATTTCAACCTCATTCAGGAGACTTTGAAGGGTCGCTCTAGGACGAGAGCTCTCCAAGGGGTGTCATCGCACCCACATCCCAGCCTGACTTCTCCTTCTGCCAGAACCTGATTCCTCCCCTGCCCTTCTACAGGCATGAGTCCTAAGGAACTGAACTCCATCTGAGTCCACTTCCCAGGGAACTCAGCCTGCGACAGCCTGGCCCAGAGTTGGCTTGGGTAAATGTTGAGATCTTTGCCCTGCTGCCTCTCTCTCCTTACTTGCAGAGGACACAGATTGACAGAAAGGCCTAGTAACACCCCAAGTAGCTCTGGGATTGGGGCTGCTGAGAGCCCAAGGGCTGAGTGGTGAGCAAGAATCTGGGAACTCAAGGAAATGTGCATTCCTATACCCCGAAAATGGCTGGGGCATCCAGGTCACCTATAAAGTTTTGTTTCTAATGTATGAATGCTTGTAATCAAGAGTCTATAACTTGGAGATCGAATCCGTAAAAGAAATACAAGCACTGCTTGTTTGGAACTGCTCTGTCTGATATGGTAGCTGCTGGCCATGTGTCACACACAAATTTAAGTTGGTTTATGTATTAGTCTGTTTTCACTCTGCTGATAGAAACATAACCAAGACTGGGTAATTTATAAAGAAAAACAGGTTTAATGGACTCACAGTTCCACATGACTACGGAGGCCTCACAATCATGGCAGAAGGCAAAAGGCACGTCTTAACATGGCAGCACACAAGAGGGAATGAGAGCCAAGCAAAACGGGAAACGCTTTATAAAAACATCAGATCTCGTGAGACTTATTCACTACAATGAGAACATTATGGGGGAAACCGCCCCCATGATTCAATTATCTCCCACCGGCCCCTCCCACAACAGGTGAGAATTATGGGAGCTACAATTTAAGGTGAGATTTGGGTGGGGACACAGTCAAACCACGTCAGTTTATAAGTAAAATTTGAAATTCTGTTCCTCAGTTGAAATAGTCATATTTCAAGGGTTCAGTAGCCACTTGTGGCTTGTGGCTATCACACAGACTTACAGAATATTTCCATCACTACAGGGAGTTCTATTGGATGGTGCTGATTGGAACGTTGAATTGTAAAGGACCTAGGAAGGTTTGAACTGTATTCTGTGCCAACCTTCCCCAGAAGGCTCCTCAGATGGATATGCATAGAGAGTGAAACAAGATAAGTACCACTAGGCTTTCAATCCCCACCCCCAAACTCCCAGAACTCTAGCTCAGCACGTGGAAGGCTGAATTCCATGCACAACTACTCTAGGCAAGCCAGAATGACCCAGAAGCCTGCAGGCCTCTTGGCTATGACCTCCAAAGTTAAACCAGAGTTAGATATCAGGGAAATACAAAAAAAAAAAAAAAAAGAGTGAAAACAGCAGAGAACATCAGCTCCAAAGCCTAAGAAAGGAAGGGGTTCTCCTCTCAGAATCATCTGAAGAGGCCCTTCCATGCACCCCAAACATCTTAGCTCTGCCTGGTAACCCCAACTCCATAATCCCATAATCCAATCTATGACATAGCCAGCACCAGAACCAGAGCAAAGAGATGAAAATAAGGGGATAGTAATACAGTATAGTAATGTCACCTCTATGGCCTCCCCTCCACCCTAACCGCAGCTCTTATCCTATTGTTGGGCCCTCCTTTCTCTCTATGTCCAACATTCTTGCAGCATCCTCCTTTCAGATGTGTGTTTTCACACATCTGAAATAGAATAGAAGAGGATCTGATCATAGCAAACGGAAGGCAGGGCCGGGCTAGACAGGCGAGTCTTTTGGTTCCCCTCAACAATTTCAATACGTTGTACTCACATTGTATTTATCTTCAAAGCTCTGAAATGTTACTTTTTAGACACTAAGTACATAAATCTTCTTTTAGAGACTGTTTGTGTCTAAATTGCATTCTTATTGGGCACAACTGATAAATTAAAGAGCTGCTTCTGCTGCTGCTACCACACTGAGGACCTCAAACACTGATAATTCTCTGCCCTGAAACTCCTTTCACAATATGCTACACTTGCCAGTAAATAATAGTCAGCCACTTTCTACTCCTACATTGTAAACACCTAATGCAAGCTCCCATCACACATACCTGTGCAGACAGCAAACCCCCAACACTCACCAAGACAAACAGCCACATACAAGGCCAATTCACCTGCACAGGTTGCACAGAGTCAAACAGAAAAGCCCCTGAGTTGATGAAATGTCATTTCAGAGGCATTCCCCCCAGCTCCCATGGGACCTCAGTATGGGACCCCTGCCTTCCAATAATAATAGCTTCTCATGTTGGCTGGCATCAGACTTTGCAAACTTACTCAGAGATTGTGCATGAATTATTTTACCTAATTTAAACTTTATATTAATCCTCAAGGCAGGTATTACCATCTCTGCTTTACAAATGAGTGTACTGGGGTCAAACCACTTAAATAGTTTCCAAGAGTCATATACCTAGACAGTGGCAGAGGTGGAACTCAATCCAATATCTGCTGGACTCCATGGGGCTTGAATCCTGTTTCCCATTAAAGGAGTACATCAAAAACATAAGATAGAGATTTGGAGGCTAGATATTAGGAAGATTCCCTTAGCTAACACACACAATACAAAACAAAAAATCACCTCCCTCTTCCATGCTGTTGTATTCAACTAACCACAAGAAATATGGAAGGAAAGTAAATTACCAAATCTATAGCCAGTAAACAGACAGCACACAAATACAGGTCCTGCTTCCCTGAGAGGTTGTGCTAATTTGCTATATTCCATCTCCCATCCCAAGCCTACCCATGCTCTCCTGCCCTGACCCTTCTCTGACCACTACGATCCACACCAATGCTCTCCAGACCAAGAGCTCTCAAACCTTCATGTGTTAAAGGTCTTACAGATTCTTGGGTCCCACCCTTAGAGATTCTGACTCAGTAGGTTAGGCTGGGCTCTAAGAATTTGCATTTCAAACAAGTCCCCAGATAATGCAGACACTTCCAGGCAATCGACCCCATCTGGGAAGCACTGCCCTTGACGCTGGTAGGACTTTCATCACACAACATGAACTTGGTTACTTGCTCTGTTACCCCATCCTTGCTCCCAGCCACCTTCCTGCTGCCCTCCCCATCTTCAGAACACCCATCCCCCAAAATCCAGGATCAAACCCAATCACTGTTTGTGACTGGTGCTCTGACTATAACAGCCTCCCACCTTGTTCTGGGCATAGCACACCTGCCTTGTGTGCCCTGGTTCTTATAAGTGGGCTACTCTCTCAGCCACCATTGTCTATTTCTTATTCTAATACCCTTCTATTCCAAATTTCTTGTAAAGCTGGGGCTTTTCTTCCTTTGGCTAAGAGTCCTCCCTGGGAGTTCACTCATTCAGTCTGGAATGCCAAAGTAGCACCTACAGGACTTATACCTGCTGACTGACTTTATTGATGCAGGTATCTGCCTGCTCTGACATCCATGTCTTACCTAACCCAGATTCTCCATCACTGAGCTGTTTCTGCCAGCCAGAGTGCTGAGCACCTGTTCCTGTTCCTCTTCCTCACTGCAGCAGTTTGCCCGGAAGCTGAGCTCAGACTGTCTTAACTTTGAAAAGAATAATCACCTGCCATATTAAGCTCCCTTTTCAGCACCTGGAACTGGGACAGTTCCCCTAGAGGACAAAGAAGAGGCAAGTCCTAGATGATGCCCACTTTTCCCTCGCTGTAAAATGCAGGCCATGCCTCTTACTGAGATAAGGTAGTTTGTCTTATATATTGTTTTTTTTCCCCTGCAATGAATCCTTGCTGATTTAAGTATGGAAGTTGGGACCCATGAAGTGTACATGTCAGCAGCATTAGCCTGCACTCTCTAGGTAGTCTTAAATGTTTAAACATTAAGCAACAAGTAATTTGAGCCCTTACCTGGTTGGCACCTGGAAATATATCATCCAATTTGGGAAGCAGAATACCTTTTAATATCCCCTCCAGCACCCAACATGGGGGTTCTCACAGAACAGACACTCCACAACCATTGAATGAACAAATGAACAAATGGATGAAGGCGGACAGTGGGGTTGTTCTCCCAGTTCTCCTTCATGGTGTGGTGTCCGTATCAGTGCGCTCAGCCAGAAGAAAACCACTTCCAATCTGCAGAAGCTGAGAGAATGCCTCCAGGCCAGACTTCCAACTAATTCCCAGCACAAAATTGGACCTGTGCGTTCACATGAATTGTGGCTTGAAGACTGTAATTATACCAGCACAGTGGTTCTTAGGTTTTGTTCAGGACGTGGATGTTTTTAACAGAAAAGGCTGTACTGTACTCCCTCCCACCCCTACTCCAGGCCTCCTCCCTTCCCTCCCCCTAGGTCATCTCAAAAATAAACTCTCCCTCTTATCCATGTAGAGGGCGCCCTTGTATAGGCAGCCATGCTACAGCGCATTTTAATCACTGACCCCCAGCCAGGCCAGCTATCTAAGTAGGTGGGACCCACAGCTGTACATGCACATGCATTTATTATTTTATTATTATTATTATTATTATTATTATTATTATTATTATTATTATTATTTGAGATGGAGTTTCACTGTCACCCAGGCTGAAGTAAAGCAGCACGAGCTCCACTCACTGCAAACTCCACCTCCCAGGTTCAAGCAATTCTCCTGCCTCTGCCTCAGCCTCCCAAGTATGGCATATGTCACCACGCCCAGCTAATTTTTGTATTTTTAGTAAAGACGAGTTTCACTATGTTAGCCAGACTGGTCTCGAACCCTGATCTCAAGTGATCCAGCTGTCTCGGCCTCCCAAAGTGTTGGGATTTCAGGCACGAGACACCATGCCTGGCCCAACATTCATAATTTTAAAGCGTCTCTACGTTACCTATAATTCCCTTGCCATCATTCCTTGGGGCAGGCCTCCTGAAAAATAAAAATGCTATCCAGGGAAGGTAATCCAAGAACACATTAACCCCCTAACTCAAGCATGTTCATCAAATCAGTAAGCCTGTTCTCCAACAGAAACCTGAGGGAATGGGACAAATAAGAGGTCAGTTTTGACAGGCAGGAAAGCTGAGAGGGAAAGGAAGTGTCCTGGCATGAGTTACTTCTGCAAGAACAGATCTTGGTGCAATATCACATTAAGGGGTTTGTGTTCTCTGCCTGGCCTGGTGCATAAATACCACCAGAGCTCTGGGAGGACAGGCACAAGGCAGTGGGTATACTGAAAGGTTTACAAGATTCTCTGCAGGGGCCGGGTTGGGGCAGAGACACAAGGAATGGTTTGCAAAAAGCAAAGACTTCAGGACTCAAGGCAACCTATGATGACACGCTGTTGGCTGAGTCTTCTTGCTACCAAGTTTTTCTAGTTCTGGGGCAAGGAGGTGGTTTCTTGCTAGTGATGACCCCTGTGGATCCCAGTCTTGCAAGCAAGAGGCAGCTAACAACAGATCGCAAACAGTAAGAGCCTCATACTGGCTGAGCACCGATGCGAATGTGGGAGAAGGAAAATGGCTGATGCTGCAGGGGACCTGAGCTTCTAATGTCTGGGATGTTTACCTCATTAGGCTGTTTTCCATAACATCAGCCAAAAACATGAAGAAAAAAATAGCTGGAGGGACCCTACTGGAGCTCAGGCCTGGATTCTGAGCCCTCACCCTCGGATTCCTCTGAGGTCTGAGATGGGACCTCTAGGCAGCCCCTCCCACTGGCTCGGTTACCTCATCTGCAAAGGAGCCACAACAACACGGGAGGGACTCCTGGGAGGAAACGTCGAGTGATCCTCTGAGCAGCATTACAGCTGACTGAACAAAAAGAGGTGCTTACTGTTGTTATTACTGTTAGTTTCATCCCAAGCCCTTTGGTCCACAGCATTCATCTTCTCATAACAAGGATGGCTGGGGGAGGACGGACCAGGTGTCTAGGCAGCTCCCAGGCTGAGAAAGCCAGAGAGTTCTGAGTGGGAAGAAAGTTCAGAAGGTGGCCATTCTACATTGGAGCAGGCTGGGCTAGAACTGGCCAGCTGAGTCCACTGGGAAAGGGAAGGCAGGTACCATCAGGGAAAGAGCCAACACAAGTTCAGGGTGAGAAGGTTGATGCCAGTGGGGAGGGGAGGACCCAGGGTGGCTGGAGAGAGTCTAGACAGCACCAGGGACCCTGGGGTTCAAGGGCAGGACCCTCTAATTCTGGAAAGGGAGAGGGTGAGGAAGAGGGCACCGGAGAGTCCAGGTGTGGGGGGCCGGGTTGGGCTTAGCCAAGAAACATAAGTTAAGAGTCCTGCCCCAAGATCCACACCAGAGCACCAGGACACGCTGGGCTTCCCACCATACACCAGCCTGGGGTCAGGACTGGTCCCTTAAGACTGAGCCAACCCACAGGCAGTGGTGAGAGATCAAGAGCTGTGGGGACAGGGAGCCAAGTGTGTCATCCACATGTCTGCAGTAAGTGAGACAGTTCTGGATTTTTACTTCTTGTCCCTCCTAGTGGTATGGACACTAAAATGTCCCTGCTCATCCACAAAGTCTTGGTCTCCTGCCTCCCTTCCTCCATCCCCACTGCTCCCTCCCTCCTCTTCTCCTCTCTTCTCCCTCCCTCTGCCAGCCAGGCTGTACCCTGCTTCAGGATGGCTCCTTGGCACTGACGTTCTCTGCCCCAGGTGTGCAAGGATCCACTGTGCTGGTGAAGGCGAGGACCCCCAATGCTGTAGATGAGAAGCCTGTTCTGCCTGGTCCTGGTATGTGCTCAGCTTGCCTGAGGCAACAGCCACAGGGCCGATGAGTGAGCTCGTGTCTGTGTGTCTGCGGGGTTGGGGGTAGGGAGTAGGGAAGTCTCGGAGGGGAAATCGTCTCTCACTCTTTCCCTCCCTGGCCAGCTGGAAATGTGCTGTGTGACTACCCAATCTAATTAGTTGAACCCTCAGTCCTGACAGAAGAAAGCTTCAAAAAACACCTCTGGGTTTCTTGGCTCTCAGCAACTCGAAAGATAGCAGAGAGCATCTGATTGCAGGAAAGTAGAGCTCCAGCTCCCTGATTCTCGCTGCCAGGGGCAATCTACTGGGAGCAAAAACCTCCATCTTGAAAACGCCAAGCAGAATGAGAACATCTGAGCTCACGTCACAGTGAGTCCGCGTCTCAGGGATCTGACCCTGAGGGAACCTTAGTAACAGCTGCCCACAGAGGCTCTGCCCAGCAGATCAGCAGATCAAGGGGCAAAGAAGACCCACTTCTAATACCTTCCAATGGGTGTCTGCCCTGCAACCTCAGGCAGGTATTATTTGAGATGGAGTCTCGCTCTGTCACCCAGGCTGAAGTAAAGCTAATACCTTCCAATGGGTGTCTGCCCTGCAACCTCAGGCAGGCTCTGCTGCCGTGCCCTCTGCCAGCCTCCCTGGGGTCCTCACCTGGGGCAGCCAAGGCCCAGCTCCATGCCATCCCAGTTCCTTCCTGGGACGGATGCACTCACCTCTCAGCGACATCTTCCCATCCCCTGTTTTCTCAGCTTCCTCTGATATAGCCCACCCTGGCTGCCCAGGTCCTGTCGCAGACCCCCCACTCCCTATCAGCCACCTCCCCTTGTTGTGCCACACTGGGAAAGGCCCAGGCCCCACCTGTGCTGAAAGGGCAATGCCTGTGGTGGGGAGAACAAGAGCAGAGCTACTGGGGATGGCCTCAGGAGCTCCTGGGGGTCATGCAAGGACACCGAACTCTCCAAACAAGCACTGCTACCATAGACTGTGGGATATGAAAAGCATATAAAGACATAGTCTAGTGAGAGAGTGAAGCAGCTCCATTTAAAATGCCACCACTTCCCCTGACCTTGTCAATCAGATTCTGTTATATTTAAAACGTAAACCAGACAGCCCACCCAGGAGCAGCACCAGCCCAGCTCATCTCCTGCAGCTGCCTGTCCCCTCCTCACTGGCCAGTGACACTTGCCTGTCCCGCTGTGTCCTGGAGGCAGCCAGAGGATCTGGGTCAGGCATGCAGCTTACCCTTGGAGCCCACAGAGGCAGGATAAATGCCGTTCTACCTCGCTTTGCACTGCACCCCAGGGCACCGCACCACACCACAGCCCACCCAGGGCTGCTGGGACTTCAAGCCAGATAGTGGGTGGGTAGGAAGGCAGATGGGCTGCACCAGGCCTGGGTGGACTAAGGACATGGATCCCAACTCCAAAAGGAATTCTGCCTTTTCCCAGGGTGAGAAGGCGAAAGGCACCCACAGTACCCACCAGCAATCACCTAAAAAGCCAGAGTGAGAACCTGGTCACCAGTTCACCCAGACAACTCAGCATTTGAACCTCATCCACAAAGATCACCCTTCTTCCCTACCACACACACACACACCAGTTCACCTGGACAACTCAGCATTTGAACCTCATCCACAAAGATCACCCTTCTTCCCCACCACACACCCACACACACACACGCGCGCGCGCGCGCACACACACACACACACACACACACAGGCTTCATCCTCTGGCCTTTACTCCCTATGGAGTTTATTCTTTCTTTACAATTAGATTTGTAAGCCTAGTGGCCTCCAGAATCTTCTACCCTTTCACCTGCTAGTCACCCGACCATAAGGTGTATGAGCGCACACACCAGCATTTAAGCCTCCCATTGGTAGGCTTAACTTTTCAAAAACCACAATGTAGTTTTAAACCAAATTGTGCCTTTTCCTACTTGAAAATTTTATTTCTATATCAATGGTTGATGATGAGGCCACATGCAAATTCCTGATGAAAAGTATGTAATTCAGGTCAGGGACAGTGGCTCACACCTGTAATCCCAGCACTTTGAAAGGCTGAGGCAGGTGGATCTCTTGAGGCCAGGAGTTCAAGACCAGCCTGGCCAACATGGTGAAATCCGGTCTCTACTGAAAATACAAAAATTATACAGGCATGGTGGCACATGCCTGTAATCCCAGCTACTTCCAGCCTGGGCAACAGAACAAGACTCTGTCAAAAAAAAAAAAAGAAAGAAAGAAAGAAAGAAGGAAAGGAAGGAAGGAAGGAGGAAAAGAAAGAAAGAGAAAGAAAAGAAAAGAAAAGAAAGAAAGAAAGAAAGAAAGAAAGAAAGAAAGAAAGAAAGAAAGAAAGAAAGAAAGAAAGGAAAGTATATAATTCAAATTTAACCAAAGTCCAAATATTTGCCAGAAAGTGTTTCAGGAAAAAAATCAAATTTCTTTCCTTTGGCAAAAACTATATAGTAGGAAAAATTACAGAATACAAGATATTATGGTCAGATTATAAAATGATAACCAGACCAGGCACGGTGGCTCATGCCTGTAATCCCAGCACTTTGGAAGGCTGAGGCGGGTGGATCACTTGAGGTCAGGAATTTGAGACCAGCCTGGCCAACATGGTCAAACCCTGTCTCTACTAAAAATACAGAAGTTAGCTGGGCATGGTGGCACACGCCTGTAGTCCCAGCTACTCAGGAGGCTGAGGCAGGAGAATCGCATGAACCCAGGAGCCAGAGGTTTCAGTGAGCCAAGATTGTGCCACTGCACTCCAGCCTGGGCAACAGAGTGAGACTCCATCTCAAAAAATAATAATAATAATAATAATAAAGATGATAACCAATCTAGAATGAAAAGAATTAACTTGATTCCACTTAAAGAGTGCAGGACTCTCAAACCAAGTAAAGAAATCAAACTGATTTTTTTTCATTTCCAATGTTTGATCAGGAGTTGGCTAATATTTAATCATTTCTACTTTATTTTAAAGGGGGCTTATGTGCCTACTTCCCACCTAATGTCATCAATATCTGACCTCTAAAAATTAAAATCGACACTTCCTATGCTTCCCCTCTTGCCAGCATTCCCAATTACACTTAGTACCAAATTCAGTTGTGACAGATGCTCACCTGCCCTCTGGCTAAAAATAACTGTCATCGATGTCAGAAATGGCAAATGTTCCCTCTCTCTGCTTAACAGCCCATTAGGCGGCTTTGTGAAAGAGGCAGATGAATCCCTCACCAAAAGGTGGCCTCAACTTCACCCACACCAAGTGCCCGAGACCTTTTCACATATCAATCGTTGAGATGGCTTTTATCAGTTAAAAATAGATCTGTCACCCCAGTTCACAGCATAGGCTGCACACTAGATTTTGCAGAACCCTACAGCACTACAGTTTGGGAATAAGAACCTGGAGACACGCAGGGCTCAAAGAAGACCCCACAAAGCTTGGCATTATCCTCTCCTCTCTGTCTTTGCCAATGCCTCGTGACATGTTTCCAGCGATGCCTCCCTAGGTAATCTCTTTGAATTCCAGGTATCTACAGTGTGTGCAGTCAAAAGAGTTCTACCAGGTTTCCCTGAAGAGTATCTGTGCAATTTACACTAAAATAATTTTCCTTCTTGCTAAAAAATTTCCAAATTATCTTACTTGCTTAAAGCAATTCTACTATATTGTAATTATCACATTGCCTTGTAATTACTTGTATTATGAATGTCTCTCCCCATCCCCCACCCTCCTCCACCCCTGAACTAGAGCTCCCTAAAGAGCCCTCTGTGGCCTCGGTATTCACTGGCACAAAAAGAAACACAGCAACTTTGGTTAAATGGAGTTAATTTGAATTCAAGCTGCTATGTCAATAATTTCTTCCTTCTTAGATTCTGAATCCTATTACGACCCCCATAACTTAAGTTAGATTTCAATGGTTAATCCACAGGACTTATCAATCTTGAACATCCCTTTTAGGCTCCTAAGAAGGGACTATATTAGACCAATACATTGTGGGAAATAAGCAGCTATTGTATATTTCTACATTTTAGTCCTCACATGTCTACCTTGAAAAGGAAATTAATAACCCTGATGACTAGTGTCTCTAAGGCAAATATAACATTGAAATTAAATATGTGGTATGCTTAGCTCAATGCCAGCACATGGGAATCCTCTTTGAACATTAGCTCTCCATCCCCATGTGCTGCTTAGTGTCTCTAGTAATGGATAAATCTTGTAGGGGAAACAGCCCGGTGAATGCTATCTCATCCATTGGCACCTGCTCTATCATTTCAGGCCAGGAGTATTTAGTGACAATCATCTGGACACGCAGCCACAATATACTTCTTGAAACCAATGAATGATTGTTCTGTTTAATTTTACTTGTCTCTTTCACCTCCCACTCCCACCCGAAGCTGTGGTGGTTTAATTAAAGCCAATCCCAAAAGTAGAATACACCTGGTGGGCCTAATCGACGAAAAAGATAACTAAGCACCTATAAGGAGAAGAGAGATGTTTTCCATCTAGAGATCTACCATCTTCAAAGTTTACCAATAAAGGGATCTTTACTGTCAGGAATAAAAGAATCCTCCTTCACATATAGATGAAAACAGAATCTTAACCTTTCAGAATCTGGTGAAAAAAGATGGACTATGAATGCATGACAAATCAACAGAGGCAGCATGAACCTGCTGACAGTAGGAATGTGTCAGCTTGAAGAACTGTGCCTGCAGGAAGCAGAGCTCTCCTGCCACAGACAAGCAATGTATCCCAATGGCGCAGAAAAGTAAAAATAGCCAACAAACTCTGTTTGCTCATGAACTAACCCTCTCGTTGTCATTTAAGTCTCTGAGGATCCCTGGCCAAGAAATGCCCTAACCAATGCACACAGATATTCTGATCTTTGCTGAGGAATTGCACATGAACCAAGGTTCCAAAACCTATCATTTGAGGGTAAACCGTAGCTTTAAAGACCAGATCCTACTTCTTAGTGACCCACCCAGATGCAAATCTCCAATGTGATGCATCCTGCAACCACCAGCTGGTCTCATCCTTTACAAATGCAACCCAAGGGACTAACAGGTTACCACAATAATATTCCAAGCAACTTGAAGACAGGCTGGAATTATTAATAAATCCCAAGAGTTGGTTCAGTCAGGTAGGTGAAATCTTACATGCCTACCAGGGTAGTGAAATAAGATGACTGTCTAATTGCTAGTTGTTTCCGAAGTTTTGACGGTTGGTTCTTTCTTTAATTTTAGAAGCAAACTCCCCAAATTTATAATGCAATCAAAACCAACTGAGGCAATTCTAACCCAAAGATATTGGCACTTTATGGAACCATCTCAATGTTCTGAGACCATCCACAGATCCCAGAAGGAGGCACATCCAATCCTCCAATCCCTCCAAAGGGGACCTCACAGCACAGTCACAGCCACTGAGACTCAGGTGCACTTACGTAGGGCATGCCACTCATCCTGACGGATGGTCTTCGTGATATTGAAAGTGAGGTTCCTGGGGATGGTTGCTGAGGAGTAGTGGTATTTGATGTACGTACATCGCTCAATTTCTCCTAGAAAAGAGAAACAGGAAACAAAATGTTAAGGAAGCAGCAACCACATCTGGACTAGTTCTGGGATTAATTTTTCCATCCTGGAGAAGAAGACTTCTTTCATATTGGGCCTGGTGACAACTACAGAAAGACAATACCTTCAACTCAAAAAGAGCAAGAGAGTAGAACTACAATCAAATAGCATTGATTTAGATGGAAAAATACGTCTTTGGGATCATGCAGAGGTGGGAAGAACCAATGTTTAGGCTGATAGCAGCTTGTCTAACATTCCCAAGAAAATCAACTTTCAAGCCAAGAGAGGAAGTTTGGCATCAAAGGACATCAACAGTTTCCACCCCGGGACCAGCAGACAGCAGGATTTGTTAAGCCTTAATGATATCATTTGTGCTTTGGGCACACACAATTTTCTGGAATGGTGAGCTGGGGGAATGGTGGGTGGGGGCCTCCATCCTCCCATCCTCATCCTCCCAACCTCACCTCTGAACACAAAGCACTCAGATCAATCCGTGTCTCTTTGAACTAGTCTCTTTTCAGGTTTCTTGAACAAAATTTTGATTTATTAACAGACTCAACACCAATCAAAGCATGCTTTACTAGTCGATTGTCAAAATAGATCTTAGATTGTCAAATTTAGATCTTAGGGCAGAGATTCTCAAAGTGTGGTCCCAGGGCTGGCAACATCAGCATTCCCTAGGAACTTGCTACAAGTGCAACTTCTCAGGCTCAACCCCAGACCTACTGAGTCAAACTAGGAAGTAGAGCCTGGCAATCTGAATTTAAATCAGCCCTCCAGGGATTTTATTACACACTTAAGTTTGAGAACCACTGCCTTGGAGAAACTAACAAAATTGCCAGTGTATTAATGCATAAATCCACCCTTTATGTTTGCAAATTCCAAAAGGAAGGCACGGTGGGGAGCTCTTCCCCCATTACTTTTGGTTTCTTGCAGCCATATCTATTGACGCTTGCTCATCTCGGGGATATAAAGACTCAATGTCAGAGCATTGTGAAGAATCAGGAAAGGGGTGATTTTTAAAGGTTAGGGGGTTTTAAATTTGGTTTTGCACCTGAATGGATTTTGATGGTAATCCATTTTGCACCCCACTGATTTTCAATTT
Source organism: Homo sapiens (assembly GCF_000001405.40). Classification (NCBI taxonomy): domain Eukaryota; kingdom Metazoa; phylum Chordata; class Mammalia; order Primates; family Hominidae; genus Homo; species Homo sapiens. Next base: position 141,211,472 of record NC_000007.14, on the reverse strand, counting down.
ATAAGTGGTGCACATGATTGAACTGTTTGACCCCCTAGCCCACTGTCAGCAGGGAACCTGCAATTGGTGAAGTGCAATAATTTAGACAGTGCCTCATGAAACTGATGCCTTATTGTAAATCATATCTGGACAACTGCCCAGTTGCCAGTTATTGGCAGATGCTCCTCCCATGGGACTGACGCTGTCCAAGAGGCACGTTCTAGAGAGTAGTATGCACTCTTCCTGCATCTTCCATTTTTCAACTTTTCTGCCTCTTTTCCTTTAGCCCACAAGCATCCTGAAGCCTCTCACATGTCCCCAGCATTCCCCCTAAGCACACCTCCTCCTCATACCTTCATCCTGTCATCCTCCTTCCTTAACTTGCAAAACTTGTTGAAAAAGGAGTCTACCAGCCAGTCTCCACTTCCTCCATTCACATTCACACCTCCAACCCCACACGCTCTAATTTCCATAACAATTTCCATTAATAGCATCACCTCCCATCCAGTCTACATCATAAATCCTGCAGTCATTGCAAATGCTGCCTCCTCCTCAAGGGCGCCCTGCCTTCCTGACATCCAGCTGGTCACCAAATTCTGCAGGTCTGCTTCAGAAATGTCCCTGGAGTCCAGCACCTACTCTCTGTCTCCCCTCCTCCTGTAGTAGTTGTCCTGATACAGTCAACAATCACATTGTTTAAGGACTTACGAGATAGGAGGGACTCGCCAAGGCTCTGTAGACCACTGGTTTCCAACTTTACTTATGCTATGGTGCACACACAGAAGATGTTTACAAGGCTCCCTGGAGTAAACAGATGAGGCTGCCCATGGCTCTGTCCAGGCTCCTAGGGCACTGAAGGAGCCAGGGTTTCCAGCACACCTGGAACCTATTTATGGGTTCTGGACTTATTCCACCAGTGGGAAACTCTGTTATTGATATCATCTCATTTAATCATTTAATCCATTCTACAGCCACATTAAGTAGGCATTGCCATCCTCATCCCTATTTTTTTAATTTTTATTGATTGACTGATTGAGAGTTTTGCTCTTGTTGCCCAGGTTGGAGTGCAATGGCGCGATCTCGGCTCACCACAACCTCCGCCTCCCGGGTTCAAGCAATTCTCCTGCCTCAGCCCCCAAGTAGCTGGGATTACAAGCATGTGCCACCACATCCAGCTAATTTTGTATTTTTGGTAGAGATGGGGTTTCTCCGTGTTGGTCAGGCTGGTCTTGAACTCCCGACCTCAGGTGATCCACCCGCCTCGGCCTCCCAAAGTGCTGGGATTACAGGCATGAGCCACCGCATCCAGCCCCTCATCCCTATTTTTTAATGAGAAAGTGGAGGCATGAGGAGATTAAATGACTCACCCAAGGAGGTAGCAGTGCCAAGATTAAAACCCAGGACTGTCTAACCAGAGAGCCTCCTCTACCAGGCCACCCTCCCATGTGGAGTGTATTCTATAAAGGAAAATGTGATAATGTCACACCCCGTTCACAGGCCCTCTGTTGGCCTCTTACACACAGTATAAACCCTACACTCCTCAGGCATAAAGTCCCAGCTCCCTTCAGGCCCCAGCCTTCACATACCCCAGGCTCCAGCTAGGTGAACCTCCCACCTTACCCTGAATATGCCATATTCACTCCTGACTTAGCATCTATTCTCCTTCCTGCCTTTCTTTCCCTTAGGATGAGTAAACATCTACTCATCCTAAGAGATGGCTCAAATGACAGTTCCTCAGCAAAGCCTTCCTTGCATCTAGATTGCACCCCAGCAGCAGGCGTTCCACCAGCAGCTTCCCTGCTTCTGTCCTTCCTGCAGCAAACACACTCCTGCACTGTGATTTATCTGTTTACATGCCTCACTCCCCAACTAGATTATGAGTTTCTCAAGGGCAGGGATGTTGTCTTATTCATTCATCTTTATCTTCCCAGCCCCTAGCACAAGGTAAGCACCAATAACATGTGCTTTGAGGAAAGAAATGAATAATACGAGGTGTTCTTTGTAAGACTGCAGTGGGCAAAGAATCCAACCGCTTTTATTACATGCAAGGAATTAAAATAATTGAGGCAAATTAGAATCTAATGAATTAAAGGAGGCGATTGTTGCAGAACTCTGTGAGTCTATAGCAAATACCTCTTCCCTGCCTGGACAATACAAGGAGAGGCTTATTAATCACAGTGAGGTAGAAGAAAATGGCATATGATCACAGAACAGTGTCTCAATGTACTTGGTAAATGTAGCCCCGGGGCAACTAGGTCAATGGTTTTGGGGAAAAAAGGAATCAAAGAAAGAGGAAAGGAAGATATAAAGGGTAGAAGGTTGTAACAAGAATACCATCATGCCTTGGACATGTGCAGTTGGGCAGGTTGTGTCCTGCACAATGGCACTTCCCAGGGATACCTGGGCACTGAAACCCAGCTGCTGCTCTGCTGGCCAAGGCTTGCACCCTGCTGGAGGGTGTTGGGGGCTGCCCCTGCCAGAAGGTCTGCCTTTGTCTCACTTGCACAATGCTGCCTTACGAGCTAGCAGCAGCCCTACCTACAATAATTTCAAGATTCAACAAAACACCTCCAAGACCCAGCCTTGGGACACAAAACCAGGTCCCACTGGGAATGGCCAGATTGGTGACTCCCTCTTGTGTGAGGAAAGTACCTGATTTCTTAGCTCAGGTCAGATTCTCTCAGCCTCAACAGAAACTCAACAAGTTGCCACTGGTTCCAGGCAGGCTGGAGCCAGCTCCTTTAACCTCCTCCAACCGCAGCCCAGCCAGCCAGAGAGGGAAGAGGCCCTTGACATTCAGCAAGAGCAAGAAGCCAACCCACAGGCACTGCAGGTGACTGGCTAGGGAGCCTGCCTGGAGCAGCCACCACAGCCCCGCTTCAGGCCCTCGCTATTTGCTTTGCCTGGGGGATTGCAAGCATCCTGCCTCTGACAGCAATCAAATTTGAAAGATTCAAATATTGCCTAAAAAGAAAAGCAAAATATTTATCCATGTGTCTGCAGGTCCTGTCAGTGTGCTGGGCTTTTGTAAATACAGGAACCATCTGGGCACCAAATAAGTAGGCCCAGAATGTGGGCTGCCTAATACAAACAGGTTTTCCTGCAGCACACAATGCAGAGGGGCTACCTGGAAGGAAGGACAAACCCTTCTTCACCAAACTCCTGCATCCCAGCCCAGAGTCTCTGCTCTCCCTCTAGAAGCCTCAGGTGGGGGAGGACTGGCTGGTTGAGATCCCAGGGGTGGCTCCTTCCTGTGGCCCCTGTGGGAGACTTATTTATTTATTTATTTATTTATTTAAAAGAGACTGGGTCTCACTATGTCACCCAGGCTGGCATGCAGTGGCGTAATCATCGCTTACTACAGCCTGGAACTCCTGGGCTCAAGTGATTCTCCCACCTCAGCCTCTGCAATAGCTGTGACTACAGGCACATGCCACCATGTCCAGTTAATTTTTTTTTATTTTTAGTAGAGATGGGGGTCTCACTATATTGCCCAGGCTGGTCTCAAACTCTTAGGCTCAAGCGATCTGCCCACCTCAGTCTCCTAAATTGCTGGGATTATAGGCACAAGCCACCGCACCTGGCCTTTTCTTATGTTTTGTAGAGATGGGGTCTCACTATGTTGCTCAGGCTGGTCTCAGATTCCTGTGCTCAAGTGATCCTTCCACCTCTTCCTCCCAAAGTGCTAGGAGTACAGGCGTGAACCACCATCCCTGGACTGGTGGGACACTTTAAACCCTCAGTCATGCTCTGCCTTCTGAGCTAGTGACCCCTCCTGCCCATATGTCAGGGTCATAGCAAGACACAGGTAATTAAGGAGAGTTTCAAAAAAGGACAATTTAACCCAACAGCAAAAGAACAACCTGATTAAAAAATGGGGAAAGGATTTGAACAGACATTTCTCCAAAGGCAATGACATTCAAATGACCAACAGGAAAAGATGCCCAACATCACTAATCATCAGGGAAATGCGAATTGAAACTACAAGGGGATATCACCTCATACCTGTTAGGATGGCTATTATCAAAATAAATAAATAAGTAAATCATATTGGCGAGGAGGCGGAGAAAGCGAAACTCTTGCATGCTATTGGTGGGAATGTAAATCAGTGCAGCCACTGTGGGGCTCAGTATGGTGGTTCCTCAAAAAATTACGAATGATCCAGCAATCTTACTCCTGGGCATATATCCAAAACAATTGAAATCACTATCTCAAAGAGATATCTGCACTCCCATGTTCATTGCAGCATTATTCACAATAGCCAAAACATACAAGCAACCTAAATGTCCATCAGCAGATGAAGGATAAGGGAAAGCTGTATCCATGCGATATGCAATATTGCATCCCTACAATGCCATATAATCGGTCTTTAAAAAGAAGGGAAGCTTGCTGCATGCAACAACCATAGATTAACCTAGACATTATGCTAAGTGAATAAGCCAGTCACAGAAGGGCAAATACTGCATGATTCCACTTATATGAATTCTCTAAACTAGTCAAACTCATAGAAATAGAGAGGAGAATGGTAGTTGCCAGGGGCTGGAGAGTGGGAGAAATGGGGAGATTCCATTCAACAGATACAAATTTCAGTTGTGCAAGATAAATAAGAGATCTGCTATATAACCTTATGCCTATAGTTAATAATACTATTATACACTCGAAAATCTGTTAAGAGGGTAGATCTCATGTTAAATGTCCTTACTACATTAACAGCAAAACAGGGAGAGCAATTTACAAAGCTAAACACAGAGTATGAAGAGACCAGTGAAGGATGGTGTAAAGGACCCGGGGCTGGCAACAGAAGTAGCTGGTATGACCCCAAGGCCTGGAGGGGCAGAGGAGCAAGCTGTCACCAGGACCTGGCAAGGGCGGCCATATGGACAGAGATGATGCGGCCTTTGGCAGAGAGTCACAGCCAACCTGTGGTGAGGTGGCAGGGAAGAAACACCCAACCTCTCATTGCTCCAACCTTCAATCTCCCGTCAGTTCCTCCCTGTAGCACAACCCAAACTAGAAGCCAGAGGGTAGGTCAACCTCCAGGAGCTCAGAGCAGGTGCAGAAGACAGAGGCCAGGTTGGAAAGGCAGACAAAACATCCAGCTCATTCCTCTCTTTCTCCAGGGCTCTTCCTCTCACATCTCCCCTCGCTCTTCCACTTCCAAATGCATCACTCTAGCTTCCACTTAGTCCAATGCTAGCACATTCTTCCTTCCTAGAGGTCCCTGGTGGCAAAGGGAGACATGGGGAAGCATCAATGGGAAGAGACTGTTCCATTACTTTTTCTCCATCTCAAGTCTTCTAAGACCCAAACATAGCATGACAACTCACATCAAGTACTAAGTGTGGTCCCTGCACTTAGTAAGTGCTCAATAAATATTAGTTATTCTTATCAGTTGCTGTCCTAAGACTACTTTAAGGGGACATGAACACAGGAACTCAGAAATAATATTACTGAAATGTTTGCATCATGCTATAAACACAGATCTATGTCTATCAAGTATAAATTTTCCCACACAGTAGCCCCAGGAGGCTGGTGGAGCAAGAGCTCTGATGTATGGAAACAGAGACCAAGGAAGGGAGGGTGCCAGAGATGGCACAGAAACTGCGTGCAGTGACACTGAATTCTGAAGTCTGGTCACACCTACAGCAATGCCAGCAGGCAGTTTTTCTCCCACATGTATCAGCTCTCAGCAATCCAGGGTTTCCTAAGTGCTTGTCAAAGAAGTCTATCACTCAAGGGTAATATATATTAAGCAGGGCCCTTCTAGGCAGAGTGGTTTTAGAGGCAGTGCTGGGACCTAAGTTCAGCCCATCTAAAATTATCTTCCCTAAACAAATGCTGTAGTACTTTATATCTCCATTACAGAGTCATTCCTTTGGATCAAATATTGTTCTCCTTGACACCCATTGTTAAAGCTCTTGTAAATAAGTCTGAAGGGCTGAGATCCCAGATCCCCTTCCTCCAGAGGGAGGGCCCCTCAGCTACAGAGGATGCCTAGAGAGCAAAGATGCTGAGAAGGGATGAAGCACCGAAGGCAAAGGCAAGGCCCTAAACTACTCACAACGGCACCTGGGCACCTGGTGCTGACAGGGTGGCCGAGGAAGAATTGGAATGTGGGAACTCTCTCCACCCATCACTTTACAAGTGGTGAGGTAGGATTGGAACGTGATGGCCCAATGTATTTAGGAGAGGTTGGGTTAAACAAAGTATAAACAGCTTCCTTATTGCAGGACTTTAAGAGTTTTTAATATACATTGTGACTGCCCCAAAAAGGGACAGTTACAGCAGATTTTCCTAGACTACTTTATTCCCAAATCCTTTTTTATTCAAAGAGCAGTTTCCAGCACTAGACAGAGTTTATCGAAATCAGTCGAAGTGCCATGGCTCAGCCTGTAATCCCAGGACTTTGGGAGGCCAAAGTGGAAGGATCGCTTGAGGCCAGGAGTTCAAGACGAACCTGGGCAATAGAGTGAGACCCCGTCTCTATAAAAAAAAACTTTTAAAAATTAGCCGAGTGTGGTGTTGCACACCTGTGGTCTTAGCTACTCAAAAGGCTGGGGTGGGAGGACTGCTTGAGGCCAGGAGTTTGAGGCTTCAGTGAGCTGTGATCACACCACCACACTCCAGCCTGGGTGACAGAGCAAGATCCTGTCTCTTAAAAAAAAGTCAGAAGCCATTTCTTTTGTTTACATTCGCACAGCAAAGGGCACATAGGAAGCCCTGAGTTATATTTGGATGAGTGAAAAATAGATATCAAGGCCTGCTATTTGATCAAATGATCTACTAGGTAAATTGAGTAATGGCTCCAAGTATCTGCTGCTCTCTTCTCCGAAGCCATATCTGAGAGCTACCAGCAAAGCCAAACCAGGGTTGAATTCCCACCCACAAGCTGTATTTACACAATGTCTTAAAATGAGTCTGGAATCTTTGTGGACAAAACTAGTGCAATTGCCCTCAGTGTCCTGTGCCACATCCCCTCCGTTCACCTCCGATTCCGGCTGAAGCTGCAGTGGACGCTCCTGGGAAAGCTGATAGTGCCCACAGCAAGCACCCAGCAGCCCTCCCTACCTCCACTCCCTTCCCAAGTCCACTGAGCCCACGCTGAGCAACTATGGGAAAGCAGCTCTCAACTAAGGGGGTGACAGGGGTGGCAGATGGAGAGCAACAGCCCCGTCCTTTGGGAGAGTAATTATGAGATGCTTTCTCACAGTCCCTCAGAGGGTCCCCCTGGAATTGAACCTGACGCTCACAGTAGTCACTGGCTCAACCTCACCTTCTTGACTGGCTTCCCCTCTTTCCAGTCTCACGCTTCCAGCTCCTGCCCACCTGCTTCCCTCAGAGTCCCTGTCACAAGCTCTACTTTTGGAAGAACCCAAACTAAGAACAATGACTTAGAGGAGTGTAGCAGACAGGTTTACATGCTTGAAAAACGAACTGGTACAATTTAGTCTTGCGGTTACTTTGAAGGGTCCTATCAGCACTGTTGGATGAGGCAGGCTTTCTCTTCCTTTTTGGTTCTCCCAAGGCCCTTTCCTCTCTTGGTATTCACCCATCTACAGGCAAAGGGATAGACTCTATTAGTCCAGGACACACTACTGGACCACTTCTGAGAGTCCGTGTGTTTCCTCCATCCCAGAGTTCCTTTTTTTAAAACAAACAAAAATCTATTCAATGCCGACCACATGCCAGAGGCTCCCGTATTATCTCATGCTGTCCCCATGACAACCTCAGGAAGGGGTATTCTAGGACCAGCCCTGTTTCACAAAAGAGGCTTCCAGGCCTTCATCTGTGCCAGCCAGGGGAAAAGCTGGGATGCAGAGTCTGGCCTTACTAACCCAGGTATGTGCTTTCCAGTGTGAGTGCAGCAGTTTCAGACACCACGGCTACAAGGATTCACTGTTGGGTGGAAGATTTGCTGGGAACAAGGGTTATTTTTGCAGCCACAGTGCCTTGTACATGGAAGGAACTCAATACATCCACTGATGAGGAAAGAAAGAAAGGGAGGAAGGGACATCGTCCATGTCCTATATGTTGCTCACCTTTCCACGGTGACAATGTCTGGAGTGTCCAGCCCACGTGGGGTCTCCAAGTGGCACATGCTGGCCTCTGCCCACCACAGTGTCAGCCTTTAGGACTTGACGCTGTCTCACCCAATGGGCTGACAGTTCTTAGACTTTCTAGCCCGAGGCCTGGCTAATCCCCTGCACTTAATATATGGAAGATTAAATCAAAAGTAGAAAGAGCACATGGAAAAAAACCACCAACAAAAAAAGACAAAACCAGTTAGAGATTTAAGGCTCAGGCTTCGTCTCCTCTTTAAAGAGCATTTTCTCAAAAAAGAAAAAAGTGAAAATAACATCTTAGCAGGGAGATTTTTCTTTAGCACATTAAGAAGGCCATTTATCAGATGCATTCGCATTATCACATTGGATTCTTTAGAAGACCACGAGAGTTGGGTGGAGGAACACAGGAGTCTAGGGGCTTAAAGATTGGAGATTAAAAGGGAAACTTGGTCGGTGATGAAAGGTGCAGGAAGCAAACCAGGAATATTCTGGGGCTTCCAAGTGGGCAAACCATGCTGGTGGTTCCCACACCCCCCACAGCCCTGTCCCCAAATGGGGCAGAAATGGGAGAGGTGGAGAAGGCACACCCTTGGCAACCTCCACCAAGACCGGCAATGTTGACAGGAGCTCTCCCTATTTAAAAGGCAACTCTTCACAAAAGCTTATTTCAAGAAATCTCCACACCCCACCTCCCCCACGTCTTCTCTTTAGCGCCTTCTGCTCCTCCCAGATGTTCTGAGTCCAAGGATTTGCAAGGCTTATAGCTGCTGCAGGCCCAGCCAGAAAGAAGGTTTTATTTTCTTCATACTAAGGAAAAGTGTTATCTACGTTTTTATTTTCAATGCTTTCAAATGCATTCCATTTTGTATGCTTTGTTTTTTTGTACTGCCATATCAATGTGGCCTTTTAATGTTGTTTTGTATGCATTGCGTAGACTGAGTTCTAAATATTTAATTTCTTTCCATTCTATGTTACATAAATGTTTGTTATGAGAGGTGCTCAGGGGACCCTCCTCATTACACACATGGAATTTCATTTTCAAAACCTGTCACCCACCCGCCCACCCGACCATCATGTTTCTGACCCCCTTACCTTGCCCCTAAACACCTTCTGCTGGTTCTATTGCAACACATTTATTATATATTCATCAGGTATTTCTATCTATGGTAAAAGCTCTGAGATAGAGGAGCTTGTGTTTTTCACCTTTGTGGTCCTGATGGTCAAAATGATGCTTTGAGTACTGTTATTCATTTTAACAATAGCTTCTGTTTAATGAATACTTTCTGTGTATTAGGTACTGTGCACAGAACTGTTTTATTCATTTGTTTAATGCTAAAAGGTGCATTATTATCCCCACTCATATATGAAGACTGAGAAGCTTAGAGACGTATCCTTATCAAAAGTGCATAGCTATTAGGTGGCAGAGGTGGCATTCAAATCCACCTAACACACTCTTAAGTACGCCTGCCACACATGTCAAAAGAACTTGGGAAATACCAGTCTCTTCTGAAAGAAAGCAGGAGATCTTCCAAGGTTTTATATTGGAAACATATAAAGTAAAACTTTTCCATTTGCAGGGATTTTCAGCACCTACAGACTCTACTGCTCTTATCAGAGTAAGACAAAATGTTTGCTTCCATAGCTCCCTTAACAAGCTGGAGAGAAGATAGCTCCTCAGTAACACAGAGCACAGAAGTGAAGGAGAGCTCAGAGTGCTCACTAGCCCGCATCTGACGTCTTAAGTCTCAGCTACATTCCTGTCCCCATTCCCAGGACAAGCCACTTACCAGCAGGAGTCTTTGGGGCTCACCCTCTCAAAGCCTCTATTTCATCATCTGCAAAATACTGATGGTAATAATAGCACACACCTCAGAAAACAGATGAGGAATAAATGAGATAACCCATGTAAAACCTGCTCCATGGTGAGCCTTCAATAAAATCCCCTTCCCATACAACAGCCCATAAATATTTAAAGACAATGATCATGCCCCTCCCCACCCACAAGTCTCCTTTTCTTCCAGCTGAACACTTCCCGGCTCCCCCAACCACACAGTCACACTGGCCATCCTCCAGGTTCAGTCTGCGGTTGAGAATCTTTCCCAGGGTCACACGGAGCACTGAGCACAGTCACTCCTGTGCCCAGTCAGACCTGTGCAAACCCAGTAGGGCCACCGGCTCCCAGGTCTGGTGTCACAGCTCTGGCCATGTGGCCTGGCCTCCTCTTAGCTTTGTGGGCTGCTGTGTGCCGGTGCTGTCACCCGAGGGGATGGCGCCGACGTGGTTTCCTCCAACAAAGCTATTAAGCCAACTCTGCCCCTTCATGTGCACGGGAAGTTGTCCTTTCTCATTTTTCAGTTTTTTTTAATATTTTGGTTTGTTACCTCAGTGTAGGATCTTCTATTTGTTCCAGCCCCTGAAAAAAATTTTGGATCGTGATTCTGTCATTCTACAAATTAGCAATTAGTCCCACATGCTGCATCAGCAGGCCATCCCCATCCTCGCCAAGCCATTGCTAAAATCTTTCCACAGGGCGGTGCTGGAGGCAGAACTCTACCCAAACACACACACAAAGCCTTGTCATGACCCAAAATCAAGCAGTTAGGAGAAAGCACTTTGGGTGCCATCATTCCGCTGCCAGGAACTCAGCTCCCTCCCTGATCTGCCTCCGTACGTTCCTCTTTTGGCCACCTGGATGTCATGAGAGACCTTGCCCACACTGTTCACCCCTATCAGTATGTCTAAGAACCGTATCCAAAAAGGGAATGAGGTCAGCTTGGCATGGCTTGTTCACTCTGCCGGCATCACCACTTTCTCACTGTGTGCTCACCCACCATCTGTTTAATAAGCCTTTTGGACAGCTTTCCAGGGCTCCCTCTAACTGGGCTGCTTGTCCATATTCACGGAATCCCCTGATAGTGCTCTCTTTCATTGAAAATCTAGACACCGGTCACCTGCCTCCAGGCTCACAGCACTTTTCATTCCACAGCTCCTTCAAGCCATCCTGTCTCCCCCCGCAACCAGGACAGACCCACTAAAAAAACCACCTCTCAGCCCCACTAGAAAAACCACCTCTGAAAAACCATGTCCCCTACAACCAGGACAGCCCACTAGAAAAATCACCGTTGCATTCCACAGCTCCCTTAAGCCATCCTGTCTCCCCCGGCAACCAGGACAGGCCCACTAGAAAGCCACCTCTACCTATGCTTCCACATCATCTGGTGGTCAGCATTCCAACTAAGAAATAAAAATGGGCCAGGCACAGTGGCTCACACCCACCATCCTAAGACTTTGGCAAGCCGAGGCGGGAGAATCACTTGAGCCCAGGGGTTCAAGACCAGCCTGGGCAACATAGAGAGATCCTGTCTACAAATTTTTTTTTTGAGACAGAGTCTCACTCTGTTGCCCAGGCTGGGGTGCAGTGACACTATCTCAGCTCACTGCAAGCTCCGCCTCCTGGGTTCACACCATTCTTGTGCCTCAGCCTCCCAAGTAGCTGGGACTATAGGCACCCGCCACTACGCCCAGCTAATTTTTTGTATTTTTAGTAGAGATGGGGTTTCACCGTGTTAGCCAGGATGGTCTCGATCTCCTGACCTCGTGACCCACCTGCCTCGGCCTCCCAAAGTGCTGGGATTACAGGCGTGAGCCACTGCGCCCTGCCAAAAAAATTTTTTTTATTTAGCCAGGCATGGTGGCCTGCACCTGTAGTTTCAGCTTCTTGGAGGCTGAGGCAAGAGGATGGCTTGAGCCCAGGAGTTCATGGTTAAAGTGACCTATGATGGCACCATGGCACTCCAGCCTAAGTGATAGAGCAAGACCTGTCTCAAAGAAGAAAAGAGAGAGAGAGAGAAGAGGAAGGAAAAAGGAAGCAAAGGAGAAAGGAAGAAAATAAGCGAGGAATAAAGAGAGAGAAGCAGCCTCCCCACTGGGGGACCACCAGGCACCTCTCCCACTACAACGGATGGAGATCTTCCCCAAATTATGCCGATGGCTTCCATTCCTCTGCCTTATCATTGCATTTGCTAACCAGGTTCTTTTCATTCCTTTATCAAGAGACTCTTTTTCTTAACTAAAGTACCTACTAGGTTGCCATTACTACTAATGGCAGAAACCGCAATTACTTTTGCAGCAACCTATAACATTTCACAGTCTTCTGTTGTAAAGGTCACCTCATCTTTAGTGGGAGCTACCACCTTTTTATCCTAATTCCTTTTTTCCTGCATTCTGAATGCCTTTGCCCCTTTTCTGAGTTTTTTTGCATGTTTTGAACAAGACATTTTTAAATGTCATTACATAGCCGCTTCTTCACAAGAGGAAATAAAGAATGAGCTGTCTCCGTCTGTGCCCCTCATGGCCCATCCTGCCTGCGTGTTTTTGGCTGCTTTTTCCCCACTTCGCTCATGTATTTTCCAGCCTGAAACAGACTTCTTGGGAAAGAATGAGAAGGTGAGGTATGGCTTTAGATTACCATCTGGTGTGTAGTAAATAATCTATCCCTTATTCCCATCACATCCCTAATGACCTTTGGGAAAGTTCAGAGCCGCGAGCTGCCACCACCCTGCCTGCGGCCCCACACGCCCGGTGCAGACACCCGGCGCAGCTCCTCCAGGTACAGTTTCAGCCAGGGGAAGAATCATTCATCTCCAGGCTCTGACAGACAAACGAGGCGAGAAGGAGACCAGATCTGGTTTTTCACTGGAAAACAATGAGCTCATGCTTTCTCTCTGGGGACCCAGGAAGTGGAGACAGATCTGGAGATGGGAGACAGTGATGGAGGCAGGCAGGGGCGATGAAGGATGGGCCAGCAAGGGGAAGGAGGCCAGTCTGGCACTTTTTTAATGTCACTTTTGATAAGAATCCCCAGCTCTCAGGCCAGAGGGAAACATCCATTTTCTTTAAATTAAGGATTCAGCATGAGGCAGTTGTCCTAAAGGAAAGGGACAAAGAGAAGATAAACAGACTTGGAAATTCGTCATTCCTGCTTCTTCAGAGAAAAGTAAAATGATTGTTCATGAGTCACCAGAATTGCAGATGCCAGGACAGAGATGGCTTTCCTGGGCTCTGCCGCTGCCACCTCTGGGTGTGGCTTTGGGACCTGATGGCAGACACTCTGCTGGCCAGCTTCTCCCCAGTCAAGTCTGCCTCCCCCAGGTATGCACCTCCAGAAGGCCAAGGCCAGGCATTTCCTACAGACTGAGCTCAATAAAAATGAGAGGATTCAAACAGCCACACAGATGCTTCCAAACAGCTGAATGAATGTTTAGTTTCAGCTAGGGAAAAAAAAATGCATATCACTGAGTTTTCCACTTTTCCTTTGAAAAAGGAGTTACATAATGCTGATTTTCCTTTTTACCAGTTAATTCAGAGAGAGAGAGGGAAAGAAGAGATTAGGGAAGAACTGGGGGGAACTGAGTTGTACTTGAGAAACACAATTCAGATGATTGACTATTTTCCTCTTCAACCTGTTATATGCCTTAGCTAAAACTTGAATGGAAACTGGCAGGGTGCGGTGGCTCATGCCTGTAATCCCAGCACTGTGGGAGGCCGAGGTTGGTGGATCACCTGAGGTCAGGAGTTCGAGACCAGCTTGGCCATCATGGTGAAACCCCATCTCTACTAAAAACACAAAAAATTAGCCAGGTGTGGTGGTGCATGCCTATAATCCAGCTACTTGGGAGGCTGAGGCAGGAGAATCACTTGAACCCAGGAGGTGGAGGTTACAGTGAGCCAAGATCGCACCACTGCACTCCAGCCTAGGCAAGACAGTGAGACTCCATCTCAAAAACAAAAAACAAAAAACTTGAATGGAAACTAAAGATCACAGACAGAATGTAGAAACCCCAAATAGATGAATTATGTTTCTCTTTATACCTCTGTCTACTCACAAAATTGATTATTTCCGTGTTTAAGTTAAATGGCTTGGCTAGATTACAGATGTTAATTAAAGGGTTAACTTATCCTGACTCCCTAGTTGCAATGAAATTCAAAAACAGAACTGAAAAAAGGAAGAGCAACTTATTCACTCTTTTCCTCCTGTGTCCTGCAGCACTATGCAGAATAAAGAACATGGGTGCTGGAACCAATTTGCCATGGGTTCTAATCCTGGCTTTAAGAATCCCTAGATATGGGATCTTGGCCAAATTAATGAAGCCCTCTCTCTATACCCAAGTGTCTTTATCTTAAAATGCTGTGGTGCAAGTATCTACCCCCTTAGGGATATTGTGAGAATTCAATAAGTTCATACAGGGAAAGCACTTTGTGCCTGGTATGTCATAAGCAATCCATAATTGTTATAGCTATTGTTATACTATGGCACCATTTGGGACACAGATTATATATGTCAGACACCACGAATGTCCTTTAAGATATGCAGCAAGCACAAATCTGTCATGGTTTAACAAAAGAAATGAACGTCTAGGAGACAGCTTCCTATCATCCTGTCTTCTTCTGGCCTCAGTTACTGACCTCAGTTTCTTTCTCAGCCATGTTGCTGGCATCTCACCCCATCCCCACTCACAGCCCAAGGCAGCATCTCCCATTACACTGTAACCCTAGCTGTGTCCTACTATCCTACTCCTGGCTCAAGGACTGAGCCTACTGTGCCCTGATTTCCAGGCCCCTTGAAGACCAATTACACCAATGAGCTTCTCCAGCACATCTCCTCCACACATGCACGAGATCCCCAAGACATGAAAGCAGAAACATGGCTGCAGCTGCTCAGCACCAAATATAGTTTGATATTCGACGCACCCAGGGGAGTCACGATTTAGGACTCACCTTTGACCTGCAAGGGTTATATGGGTTAGTTAAACAAGTGTCCCCTAACCCCCAACCCTTAGCTCTAACCTGATGAGTCCAAGCCAAGATGGAATTAACTATTTTTTAACTTTCAGAAACGCTGCTCCACATTCCACTTCCCAATCACAACAGCAAACCTAACAGATTATATCAAGACTTGGTAAAGACAGGGGAAATAGAAACTTCCAGACACTGTTATTTAGAATACAAGTTGTTCCAAACACTTGACAAAATCAAGTAGAAATGTATATGTCCTATGGCCCACATTTACAGCCCCTCAACAAACTCCTACATGTGTGGCTGAGGAGGACATATATACAAGGATATTCAATACAGCATTGCTTGCAAAAAAGAGTGAAAACCAAATATCCAAAAAAAGAGTAAAAACCAGAAAAAAGTGGAAAAGTAAAAGGTGGTCACATTCACATGATAGAATATTATAGAGTCATTAAAATAAATGAAATAGAACTGTGTGTGTGTGTGCATGTGTGTGTGTGTATAGTGACAGATCTCAAAATATAATATTAAAAGCAAATAGAACTGCACATTGATACGTACAGTATCATACTGATATGCTTTGGCTGTGTCCCCACTCAAATCTCAACTTGAATTGTATCTCCCAGAACTCCCATGTGTTGTGGGAGGGACCCAGGGGGAGGTAATTGAATCATGGGATCCGGTCTTTCCTGTGCTATTCTTGTGATAGTGAGTAAGTCTCATGAGATTTCATGGGTTTACTGGGGGCTTCTGCTTTTGCTTCTTCCTCATTTTCTCTTGCTGCTGCCACGTAAGAAGTGCCTTTCGCCTCCTGCTATGATTCTGAGGCCTCCCCAGCCATGTGGAACTGTAAGTTCAATGAAATCTCTTTTTCTTCCCAGTCTTGGGTATGTCTTTATCAGCAGTGTGAAAATGAACTAATACAGTAAATTGGTACCAGTAGAGTGGGGTGTTGCTGAAAAGATACCTGAAAATGTGGAAGCAACTTTGGAACTGGGTAATAGGCAGAGGCTGGAACAGTTTGGAGGGCTCAGAAGAAGACAGGAAAATGTGGGAAAGTTTAGAACTTTCTAGAGACTTGTTGAATGGCTTTGCCCAAAATGCCGATAGTGATATGAACAATAAGGTCCACGCTGAGGTGGTCTCAGATGGAGATAAGGAACTTCTTGGGAACTGGAGTAAAGGTGACTCCTGTTATGTTTTAGCAAAGAGACTGGCAGAATTTTGGCCCTGCCTGAGAGATTTGTGGAACTTTGAACTTGAGAAAGATAACTTAGGGTATCTGGTGGAAGAAATTTCTAAGCAGCAAAGCATTCAAGAGGTGACTTGGGTACTGCTAAAGGCATTCAGTTTTATGAGGAAAGCAGAGCATAAAAGTTTGGAAAATTTGCAGCCTAACTATGCGATAGAAAAGAAAAACCCATTTTCTGGGGAGAAATTCAAGCCAGCTGCAGAAATGTGCATAAACAGCAAAGAGCCTAATGTTAATCCACAAGACCATGGGGAAAATGTCTCCAGGCCATGTCAGAGATCTTCATGGCAGCCCCTCCCATCACAGGCCTGGAGGCCCAAGAAGAAAAAGTGGTTTCATGGGCCAGGCCCAGGGTCCCCGTGCTGTGTGCAGCCTAGGGACTTGGTGCCCTGTGTCCCAGCCACTCCAGCTGTGGTTGATGTACAGGTTGGGTGTGGCTTCAGTGGGTGGAAGCCCCAAGCCTTGGCAGCTTCCACGTGGTGTTGAGCCTGTGGGTGCACAGACATCAAGAATTGAGGTTGGGGAACCTGCACCTAGACTTCAGAAGATGTGTGGAAATGCCTGGATGCCCAGGCAAAAGTTTGCTGCAGGGGTGGGGCCCTCATGGAGAACCTCTGCTAGGGCAGTGTGTAAGGGAAATGTGGGGTCAGAGACCCCATACAGAGTCTCTACTGGGGCACGCCTAGTGGAGCTGTGAGAAGAGGGCCACCATCCTCCAGAACCCAGAATAGTAGATCCACCGACAGCTTGCATCGTGCACCTAGAAAAGCTGCAGACACTAAACACCAGCCCAGGAAAGCTGCTGGTGGGGAGGCTGTAACCTGCAAAGCCACAGGGGCGGAGCTTCCCAAATCCATGGGAACCCACCTCTAGCATCAACATGACCTGGATGTGAGACATGGAGTCAAAGGAGATCATTTTGGAGCTTTAACATTTGACTGCCCTGCTGGATTTCAGACTTGGGTGGACCCTGTAGCCCTTGTTTTGGCCAATTTCTCCCATTTGAAATGGCTGTTTTTAGCCAATACTTGTATCCCATTGTATCTAGGAAGTAACTAGCTTGCTTTTGATTTTACAGGCTCATAGGCAGAAGAGACTTGTGTTGTCTCAGATGAGACTTTGGGCTGTGGACTTTTGGG
Source organism: Homo sapiens (assembly GCF_000001405.40). NCBI lineage: Eukaryota > Metazoa > Chordata > Mammalia > Primates > Hominidae > Homo > Homo sapiens. The sequence goes on along the minus strand of NC_000007.14, from coordinate 141,194,244 downwards.
TAATTGCTGAAATAAGACTTTGGGGGACTGCTGGGAAGGCATGATTGGTTTTGAAATGTGAGGACATGAGATTTGAAGAGGCCAGGGGTGGAATGATATGGTTTGGCTGTGTCCCCACCCAAATCTCAACTTGAATTGTATCTCCCAGAACTCCCAGGTGTTATGAGAGGGCCCCAGGGGGAGGTAATTGAATCATGGGGTCTGGTCTTTCCCATGCTATTCTTGTGATAGTGAATATGTCTCACGAGATCTGATGGGTTTATCAGGGGGTTCTGCTTTTGCTTCTCCCTCATTTTTTCTTGTTGCTGCCAAGTAAGAAGTATATGAGGTGGCCTGAGGCCAGCCTACAAGGCCCGGAATGGCAATATGAGGAGTCTGCACCTCACTCAACAGGAAACAGAAGTACTTTGAGGGCCAGAACTGGGCAGGGTCCTGCAGGGGGCCCTTGGAACTGGCAGCAGGGCATTCAGGGAAGGACCTGGGCTGGGGCTGTTGTGCTTGTCCAGGCACCAGAGTTGGGGCCTGAGTATGGCTGCAGACATGGGTAGGGTGGATGCACAGGAGCCCATCCAGTCTACTCTTGGCTTCCAGGTCCCCTTGAAGTTGACTGCTCCTTGCAGGAATGGGCTCGGCCTAGGCCTCCCTGCACACTGTGCTTGCCCTTCTCCTGCAGCACAGTCCAACAGCCACTCTCACTTCCCAAACATAAGAGCTAAGAGATGGCAAGTGGGTACCCCCTGGGACCCCAGGCATCCAGACAGAGTGAGTGGAGAGGAGCAACTCGTGCTGATGGAGTCACCTGACCCTGGAAGGGCTGCCCAACTCCTCTGCATAAGCACATTATTCCCATGACTCCAGGGGTCCCTTAGGTTTTGCATTCAGGGCCTCTCTGAAATCAGAAGCCAGCACACAGGAGCAGAGAGAGATAAGACAGACAGCTGTCTCTTATCTAGTTTTGCAAGGCCTCAGGTTGCCACTCCATTCACTGTGGTGAACAGAACTGGTGCTGCACGAGCCTGGCCAGGAAGTCTTCTCAGGGGAACTCAGGATCCCAAAAGCGCAGCCAAGAGCAGGGATGGTTTAGCAGAAGGGCTGGAGGCAGAGGATGCTAGGGCCACCGCCTCATAGGAGAAGCAGGCTGCAGGGGCAGGGCTTGACTGGAGGATGGGCAGAGGAGTTGGAGGTAAGCAGAGACCATGGCCAGAGTGGAACAATTAGATAGAGGGCATGGGCAGCTAACATTGGAGAAATTTCCATTTTCCTACATTTTTTCCTGCTTACAGAAGATGGAATACATTAAGATTTTTAAAATAAAAATAAATATCAAATCATAAGATGCCTCCCCCCTGGGAATTAGGACTTCAAAACGCACATCGCAGAGATGTTTATGGAATAAAGTGGCAGATATGAAACCACCAAAGCAAGTGATGTCTAAGTACTGAAACAGACTGAAGTAAACACCTAAAAATGAAGACCACTGGCTGGGCACAGTGGCTCACGCCTGTAATCCCAGCACTTTGGGAGGCTGAGCTGGGTGGATCACCTAAGGTCAGAAGATCGAGACCATCCTGGCTAACATGGTGAAACCCCATCTCTACTACAAATACAAAAAATTAGTCGGGTGTGGTGGCAAGCGCCTGTAGTCGCAGCTATTCGGGAGGCTGGGGCAAGAGCTTGGCAACGAGCCAAGATCGCCCCACTGCACTCCAGCCTGGGCGACAGAGTGAGACTCTGTCTCAAAAAAAAAAAAAAAAGACCGCTGCATGGAGAGTCCCCATTCCTTCCCATCTCTCAACCCAAGTTGTAGCAGCTCCCAGTTAGCTCCTGGAACATCTGCCTTGGTGCTTTTTTCTGCTGGACCAGCCACCCCCACCTCTCCCTTCCCCAGGTACATGGCCTATCTCCCCCTCCACACCCTGACGGTCCTTATCTAACCTCTGGTGTCTCTGCTGATCTTGGTCACTCCCTGCAGACCTGGAGCCCTCTGCCTGTCCTCTCTCTATAGCTACTTGGTGCTTCTTTCCCAGTAGGGCTCTGCCTCTCTCTGTTGCCTAGGTGATAGAAGAACTGGGCCAGAATTCAGAAAATCCAGCTCAATTTAAAATATGGGAATTTACTATATAGTAATAGTGGCATCTCAAATCAGTAAGGGAAATGATGGTTTATTTAATAAATGATATTCAGTAAACTGGATAGCCCTCTGGGAAAAATAAGATAAAATTGAAGGCACACCTTGCACCTTAAACCAGGGTAAATTCCCAATGGATCAAATATTTGTTTGGAAAAATTTAAGTCACAAAGCATTGGAAGAAAACAGGATTAAAACCTTTTTATAGCCCAAAAGAAAGAAAGCCTTTGTAACTATAACCCAAAATCCAAAAAAGAAAATACTGATAAATTTGAATACGTAAAAATACAAAATTTCACATAGCAAAACCTACCATAAGCAAAATCAAAAAACAAACTAAGAGGAGTACTTGCAACTCACATCACAAAGAACTCATTTGCTGCAAAGATTAAAAAAGCACCTACAACTGATAAGAAAAAGATCAACCAATACAATTTAAAAATGAGCAAAAGATATGAACAGAAAGTTCATGAAAATACAAATGTTACTTAAACATATGAAAAGATACTCAAGAGCACTCAAAATAAGACAGCTACAGATTAAATCTACACTGAATGCCATTTGTAACTATCATTCTGGCCAAGGCCCGGAAGCAAGGTTGATGGCAGTGGTGAGATGTGGAGAACCAGACACTGTCGTGAGTGGCCGTTGGAGTGTAAATTTCATAAATTTGTTCAGCCTCTCTAGAGGGCAATCCATCAGGATCTCTCAAAATTACAAAGCCTCAATTTGACCCAGAAATTCCACAGTTAGTAATTTCTCCAAGAGATGTTTCACAGGTGTGAAATGACAGATGTACAAGGTTATTCATTGCCACTTTGCTCATAAGAGCAACCTAAATTTCCATCAATAGGAGAATGAATAAATTATGGTACATGCATGCAATGGAAGGCAATACAGCCACTTAAAAATAGACAAGACGCTTTAGAAACTGATATGGAAAGCCTTACCAGATAAACTAAATGAAAATAAGCAAGGTGTAATATATACGATAAGTTCTTACTTAATGTCATTGATAGGCTCCTGGAAACTGGCTTTAAGCGAAATGATGTATAATGAAACCAGTTATTTTTTCTCATCAGTATTATAATGAAACAATGTTATTCAAGGACCTGATGTATGTTGCTTCACTTAAAATTGCAGTTTCCAAGAACCTATTGACGATGTTAAGTGAGGACTCAGTATACCACATTTATGTAAAAAAAAGGGAAAGAGGTGACAAATATAAATATAGATGAATAGGTATATGCTTGCCTATGCATAAAACATCTCTGGATGCAAACTAGTAATATTGGTTGTCTACAGAAGGATACTTGGGAGTTTGCGAAAATGAGAGGGAAAGAAACACTGCTTGTACAGATGGTCCCCAACTTAAGATACTTTGACTTAGATTGTTCAACTTTACCATGGTGTGAAAGTGATAGACATTCAGTAGAAACCATATGTCAAGTGCCCATACGACCAACTTGTTTTTCACTTTCAATACAGTATTCAGTAAATTACATGAGCTGGGCATGGTGGCTCCTGCCTGTAATCCGAACACCTTGAGAGGCCGAGGTGGGAGGATCACTCGAGCCCAGGAGTTCAAGACCAGCCTGGGCAACATAGAGAGCCTTCATCTCTATATAAAAAAAAAAAAATTAGCCACAGTGGCACATGACTGTAGTCCCAGCTACTTGGGAGACTGAAGCATGGGGATTTCTTGAGCCCAGGAGGTCAAGGCTACAGTGAGCTGTGATCACACCCCTGTACTCCAGCCTGGGCAACAGAACAAGACCCTGTCTAAAAGAAAAAAAAAACAAAAGTTACACGAGATATCCAACACTTTGTTATAAAATAGGCCTTGTGTTAGATGATTTTGCCCAACTGCAGGCTAATGTAAGTATTCTGAGCACACTTAAGGTAGGCTAAGCTAAGCTATGATGTTTGGTAGGTTAGGTATATTAAGTGCATTTTCTACTGCTGTTATTTTCAACTTATGATGGGTTGATCAGGACAAAACCTTGTCGTAAGCCAAGGAACATCTGTTTATCCTTTTATGCTTTTAAGACATTAAACCATGTGAATGTATTGCCTATTTTTTAAATGTTGATTATAATGCTAAAAAACAAAACAAGGTGAAGTTAAAATCATAAAAAAGAATATGGGTCTGTTTCAGCTCTGCCCAGGATGATGTGGGGATGGCCAATTCCCCTCTCTGAACCTCAGACTCTGAGCCCTGCCCTTCAGGGTTCCACACGCACAGCTACACAGGGCCCAGCAGCCCTGGTGGTTCTTGGTCGAGACCATCCAGTTTCTGGTACTCAGAGCCCTCCTCTCCCCACAACTTTGGCCACCCCTCTCTAAACTCCAAGGCAGGGCTGACCTTTCCTAGAGAGACGTTAGAATGGCCGACACAGTCAGGATGCTGCTCATGCTGATGTGGGAGCCAGCTCTGTCACTGCCACCACGAACTCTGCCCTGACCTTGTATACCAGTCGCCCTGACCTTATATACCAGACTGGGTAACTGGGCCTCTGCTTTATTCTCCCATGACCAGGGCCTGACTGTGATGACCGCTTCAGTCACCAGTTTCCCTAAGCTGAGGACTCCACCTTCTGGATTCCTGGCCTCAGATGAACTTCAGAGGCTTGGTCCCTGGCTGCCAGACCTAGGAATTGACCCAATAGTCTACAAGCTGCCCTTACATTCCTGCTGCTCTGCCCATCTGCTATCTGCCCGCCCACCAGCATCGGCCCACAGGCCAGGCTCAGCTATTCATTCCTGACACCAGAGTGCCCTGGAAGGGTTTCCTCTACTCTGGGTGCCCCTGCAGCCACTGCATGGGAAAGTTCTGCCTTCACTCAATGCTTCACGTGGCCAATCCATTAGAGCTTTGCTCTTGGAAACAGGCCTTCAAGTCTTTCCCTCTGGCTACATTCTAGCACAATGCAGTGAGGGATTCTCTTTTGTCATTTGATGTTCATTCTGGGTTATATTCAAACAGCTCAGAAAGCCTCTTATGATGTCCAGGTACCACAGCTGTCTGAAAGATGAAACATGGCTTCATTGTAGACCTTCAGAGCTACACTGGCTCCACCACTCTGTCTTTCCAAAGGACACTGTGACCTCCTCGGTTTGGGCCTGATTCCTTGTCAACTAATTCAGCATCAGGCCATGTGGCCTTGGACCTTCCTCAGGCGGCTGGATTCAGGGACACCTTCTAGCTCAGCATTACCAATGAATAACGCTGGCTCTTTTCAGGGTTTCTCAGGTTTGGGTAAGTCTGTGACCTTGATTCTCTCCAGGCTTATCTTCAATCCGCAGTGCATCCCAGACTTTGCAAAGCAGCCTGTAATTTTTGTGTGTCCTCTCGTGTGAGTACCTCAAGGTCACAATCACCAGCACAGAGCAATCAGCTCTCAAATGACTGTCTTAATGGATGTTGTTTGCAGCTTATCCTAACTAGAATGTAAGCTTATTTCTGTTTTATCTCCTCATAACACCTAGGGAAGCACAAGGCCTGAATACAGATGTAGAACATACAGGAAAAAAGTTTGGGACTGGAAGTCAGGAAGCTAGATCTGTCTCTCACTTGCTCATTGTGTATAACTGGGCAAGTCTCTTGACTTCTTGCTGACTCAGTTTCGTCCTACATCCAATAAGAGCAGTTACGCAAGTTGAGTATTTGCACAGGAAGTGTTTTGGATTTTGGATCTTTTCAGATTTTTGAAACACTTGCATTATACTCACCATTGAGCCTTCCTAATCCAAAAATCCAAAACCTGAAATGCTCCAATGAGCATTTCCTTTGAGTGTCTTCAGATTTTGGATAATTTCAGATTTTTGCATTTTTGGATTAGGGATGCTCAACCCATACCTACTTCAAGGGGTGGTTGTGATGATCCAATGAGTTCGGGCGTGTGAAGATGTGGGTTTAGCCATTACACACAACACAGGAGCTAAAGAGATTGATATACTGAAAGTCACTTTAAAAACATCCCTTGCTTACACCTTATACAAAAATTAATTCAAGATGGATTAAAGACTTAAATGTTAGACCTAAAACCATAAAAACCCTAGAAGAAAACCTAGGCAATACCATTCAGGACATAGGCATGGGCAAGGACTTCATGTCTAAAACACCAAAAGCAATGGCAACAAAAGACAAAATTGACAAATGGGATCTAATTAAACTAAAGAGCTTCTGCACAGCAAAAGAAACTATCATCAGAGTGAACAGGCAACCTACAGAATGGGAGAAAATTTTTGCAACCTACTCATCTGACAAAGGGCTAATATCCAGAATCTACAATGAACTCAAACAAATTTACAAGAAAAAAACAAACAACCCCATCAAAAAGTGGGCGAAGGATATAAACATACACTTCTCAAAAGAAGACATTTATGCAGCCAAACAACACATGAAAAAATGCTCATCATCACTGGCCATCAGAGAAATGCAAATCAAAACCACAATGAGATACCATCTCACACCAGTTAGAATGGCGATCATGAAAAAGTTAGGAAACAACAGGTGCTGGAGAGGATGTGGAGAAATAAGAACACTTTTACACTGTTGGTGGGACTGTAAACTAGTTCAACCATTGTGGAAGTCAGTGTGGCGATTCCTCAGGGATCTAGAACTAGAAATACCATTTGACCCAGCCATCCCATTACTGGGTATATACCCAAAGGATTATAAATCATGCTGCTACAAAGACACATGCACACGTATGTTTATAGCGGCACTATTCATAATAGCAAAGACTTGGAACCAACCTAAATGTCCAATAACGATAGACTGGATTAAGAAAATGTGGCACATATACACCATGGAATACTATGCAGCCATAAAAAATGATGAGCTCATGTCCTTTGTAGGGACATGGATGAAACTGGAAACCATCATTCTCAGCAAACTATCACAAGGACAAAAAACCAAACACCACATGTTCTCACTCATAGGTGGGAATTGAACAATGAGAACACATGGACACAGGAAGGGGAACATCACACACCAGGGACTGTTGTGGGGTGGGGGGAGGGGGGAGGGATAGCATTAGGAGATATACCTAATGCTAAATGACGAGTTAATGTGTGCAGCACACCAACATGGCACATGTATACATATGTAACAAACCTGCACGTTGTGCACATGTACCCTAGAACTTAAAGTATAATAATAATAAAATTTTTAAAAAAAGCATCATCTCAAAGAAGCTTCTCTAGGAGAAACAGGCTCTGTGCCATCCACATGGATTTGTGCTGCTCCACTGTGCCAGATACCAGGTGACCCCTAAGACACTGCAGGGCCAACAGCCCTGGTGAAAAGGCAGCCACATTGTTAGTAGCCACTGGTGGGGCTACTCACCGTCCCTGGGAATCAAGAGACCCACTCACATAACAGTTTTCACAGTTCCATCCCCTAGAAACTAGAGAAGCATGCCTTGGCCACCCATGCCATATGGCCCAGCACAAGATGTTGAACGAGGCTGATCAAATCCTCTCTCAAGTGAAGATGATGCCAGAAACACTGAAAGAATGCAGCTGAAGTGAAGAGGGGACTATAAGATTAAGCTGGTGTCAAGGAAAACAAACAACATCAATAAAATGAAATAAATAAAATGTAGGTTAAGGCAGGAGGGAGATGGACAAGGAAGAAGCTAAGTAGAGACAGCGGATGGGGAAGGAGGAGCAGAGGCCCCGAGAGGAAGGGCAGGATGGGGCTGCTGCAGTTTACACCCCTGCCAGGCATGCCATGCAAATCCACCCTCTTTACTTCACATAATCTTTGTGGGTTTCCTGATGTCAAACCAAACAGACTTGGTACCCTAAAAATGCATCCAACTTTCAAAACACAACTCCCTCTCTGGACCAGGGCTATTGGCACCACCTGCTTGGTTCTTGGCACCCACTGGACCTTCTAGGATTAGCTCTGGTTTCCTATCCATGACCTTGACTCTTTAACTATACACTGAACCTGCTACAAGTTGATAATGGCTTTCTCTCCACCCTAACACATACACACCCCTACCCAAACCCCATTTTTCTTTTTTATAGTATCAAGTCACAGTGGGCAGGAAAGGTGGTAAGTTACTAAGGATCTAGAAGGTTTCAAGAAATTGAAGTTTCAAAAGGAGAGAATTCTCAGGAGGAGCCGATCAAGGACCAAAGTCCACATTAATATCACAATTAAGTTCATCTACAGAGATCTGCTCTGTGCAGGTCTCTGATTGAGGCATTTAATATCAGCTCCCCAGAAAAGCCCTGAATGCAACATCTTAACAGCCTAAGCCATGACTGTGATATGGAAAGGGGGAAGGGAAGTGCTGGGTAGAGGAGGGCATGGTCCCTGGTTAGGGCTCCACCCCCACGGACCGAGGTGAGGACTGGCATTTTTGTTTGTCTGCCCAAATGCTGCATTTTCCAAGACGACCCTGGCCTGCCACACCCCCATCCTGTGCCTATAAAAACCCCAGAGACCCTAGCCAGAAGACACACAAGCAGCTGGACGTCGAGAGGAACGTATCTGCGGAAGAAGACACAAGCAGCTGGAGATAGGAGAAAACACATTGGTGGAGGAACACACAAGCGGCTGCGCGTTGAGGGCATGTTGGGAGCACACCAACAGGCACCCACATGCCAGCAGGCCACTGACCTGCTGAACGACATGGAGTTTGGCCAGGGCAGTCGGAGGAGAGCCCAGGCCGCTGAGCGGCCTGACTCCAGGGGAACACCATCTCCCTTCTGGCTCCCTCATCTGCTGAGAGCTACTTCCACTCAGTGAAACCCTGCACTCATTCTCCAAGCCCATGTGTGATCTGATTCTTCCAGTACACCAAGGCAAGAAACCTGGGATACAGAAAGCCCTCTGTCCTGGAGATAAGGCAGGAGGCTAATTGAGCTAACACAAGCCACCTACGGACGGCTAAACTAAAGAGCACCCTGTAACACACGCCCACTGGGGCTTCAGCTGTAAACATTCACCCCTAGATACTGCCGTGGGGTTGGAGCCCCACAGCCTGCCTATCTGTATGCTCCCCTAGAGCTTTGAGCAGCAGGGCACTGAAGAAGTGAGCCACACCACCATCGCACATCCTGCGAGGGGTGCAAGGGAACTTTTCCCGTTTCAACTGCGCTGAGCTTTAGATGTGTCTGGCCACGTCCAGAGGGTCAGTAAGGCAGCTGCAGCTTAGAGCAGAAGTGCTGATTGGAATTCAGAATATCTAAAGTCTAGTCCCAGGGTTACCTGTGTTTTCCTCTCTCTGGGTCTTCCAGAAGTTTATTTGTACCAAGGATCAATGAGTCGGCCAGGAAAATATTCATCCTGAGAAAAGGGTCACTGCGTGTAAACTTGGTCCAAGGACAATAGATCATAGTGAGGAGAGGGGGATTCCAAATGCAGGGGGATGTGTTGCTTTGGAGTTCCCCCAAGCTCCGTGCTCTGGGAATTGATGTCATAGCCCTAGAGAAGAGAAGTTTAACAAAATAAACAAAGAGCCCACAGCCAAAAGTCCCCACAAGACATTGCCACACACCCAAGGCAGCACAAGTAGGTGAAATTGACTAGGAGAGCAGAGGCTCCCACATATAAGACATGGGGAGTGGCAGGAGACCCTCAAAGTTGGGGCTAAATAGACCATAGTGTGGGTCTTGCTGGCAGAGAGGACAGGGTGAAGGAAATGTCAGAGCCCTCCAGGTAGCCTAGAGTCAAGAGCATTTAGAAACACGTAAGACACTCCTGGGGACTCTCTGAACCCACTGGGAAGAATTTGAGGGTCCCTAAAGAGTAACAGTGGGGGAGGAAGGACTGAAAATCAGGCTTAAAACCTGATCCAAGACAATAAAGCAACTGCAGATCTATCACATCAATCAGGTAAAATCCAGTGAACAAATACCAAGCAACTGTGAAAAATATTGTTCAAGATAATAGAAATATGGCCTCCAGAATGTTACATAGATTACTAGGCCCTGATATTTTCCTCAAGCTTTAAAACCAATTGCTGTTCTCATTGGTAATGGCTGATAGCCTGTGCTGTTCTGCAGGGAACTCTGCAAAGGAGAGGAATCCCCCAAGAAAACTCACAAAGAATGTCTCTCCTTTAATAAAAACCCACCAAGTGCAGGGACGAGTTTCCAAGAAGCATCACTGGTTGAAGGCTGACCTCAGAGAGGTCCAGTTCCATCGTGTCTGAACGTGATGCTTCTTTGCTGAGGCCAAACCTGGCTGTCCTGCACACCAAGGAGGCCGCATGCCGGGGCTAATTCCACCATGAACCAGCACGTGGATAAACCCACATTCCTCAGCTCAGGACCTGTCACTTCCAGAAAATGCTCTTATTTCTCAAACATCATAATCATATACATATTCATAATTATCCATCATTCATGTCATTAGGTATCATGAACAACACAAGGTGCTGGGTTGAGAAAAGTAAGAAAATGCAGTCTCGGCCTTAGCAGGTAACAATGTCATCTATTTGGAGAAGCAAAAAGGAGGAAGATGAGAAGAAGGAGGAGAGAAGGCAAGTCTAAGGAATTGTTGCTTTAATAAACATAAAGAACTATGTGGTGACTAACACATCAGTGTTTAGGATATAAATAGGTGTCTCTAAATTGTTTGAAATCAGAAAATGATACTTATTTACATTTCTAATACAGATAAGTAACTGCTTTTTTGTAGGTAACACAAAGAAAAATTTCAAACCCAGCTGTTTGCAGAATGAAAAGGTCTGACTTAAGAGGGCACTAATTTTTGCCACTTACCAAATTAATTTCCTGTGCATTTTCAACAATTAAGGGCAAATCAGAGGACCCAGAATTTGAGAGGGAACATTCTAATGACAGGGTGGGCTGTGAAGGCCGCCAGAGATCACAAGCTGTTCCCTCCCACCCTTGGTTTATTAACCCCATGCTGCTGAAAGAGTTCAGGTCTGGAAGAGGTCAAGGACAAAATGTTTACTCTGAGGTCCTCTGACTCACAAGGTGTTAGGATGTATAGCCAACATTGTTTTTATAATCAGGAATACTAGCCATTAAGGCAGTGCACTTCATTCATTCAAGCACATATGATTCTCCAGTAAAAAGGTCTGATTAGTGACAAAATTCAGGACTTTGACATACTTACTTCAATGTCTGATGAACATCATTTCAACATGTTGACTATTCAAAGCTGTATTAGTTCGTTCTCACAGTGTTAATAAACACATACTCGAGACTGGGTAATTTATAAGGGAAAGAGGCTGAATGGATTCACAGTTCAGCATGGCTAAGGAAACGGTGGAAGGCAAAGGAGAAGCAAAGGCACATCTTACGTGGCTCAGGGAAAAGAGAGCTTGTGCAGGGGAACTCCCATTTACAAAACCATCAGATCTCATGAGCGTTATTCACCACCACAAGAACAGTATGGGAGAAACCGCCCCACGATTCAATTATCTCCACCTGGCCCCACCCTTGACAGTGGGGATTACTACAGTTCAAGGTGAGATTTGGGTGGGGACACAGCCAAGCCATATCAAAACCCAATGTCCCTATCAACTCTTCTGTTTCCCTTACTAATTCTTTCCGGCCAGGTGACCCACTTCTCTTCTCTTACCTGTGTGATTCCAGATGGACTGTGCCCTAGAACTGGACTGTTTGAGGCTTTAACACACAATAAATTCTTGACATATGTTTGTTAAAACTCATGTTTAAATACATATAAGGGGAATATACAATACAGGGATGACCAGTATAACAAGCCAGTATAATAAGTTTGAGACCTTAACACACAATAACTTCTTGACACACAAGTCAAGGACCAGGGCTGTTGGCCCCACCCTCTTGGACCCAGTAGGAAGAGTCTAAAGAGTTTCCTGGCTGCACACAACATGTCCTTAGTTATGCAGGCCTTCTCAATCGTGGTGGCCTGAGGCTGCTGCCCGGCGAGCATGCATGAGTTCCCCCAGTGCCCAGGACACTTACCTGGTTCCAGACCCCTGACTGTCCAGGCCCCCAAAATCTTTCTCTGTGTCATATTCTCATAGGTCTAGTTTCAAGGCATGAGAACTTCAAAAGTAAGCCAATAGGAAAGGGTGTGCACTGGGAATGAGCAGGGCTGGGTGAAAAGACTGCTCAGCTCAAGGTCTAGCCTGAATGATAATGACCCCCAGTCTAAATATCAGTGTCGCTAGTGAAAACTAGATTAGTTCACAGGCAAGGGATCCAAGCTGGTAGGTGGACTCCAGCAGCAGGACTCTTTGGGTTGAGGCGAGCCTCCTAGTTGGGCAGCCAGTAGCACCATAATTCTAAAGAAAGTGATTGCGGATCCTGAACAGGATCAGCACCCAAGGAGGAAGACTTACCAAGAGTTTTCAGGAAATAAGGGATGCAGTTTAGCATGATAACATTCAAGGACCAGAGATAAAAGAGGAGTATATGTGGCTGTGGCTCTCCTGGTCCTAGCTCGTGGTTGTGAACCCGAACTCACTGTCACCCTAGTCTTGTCATTGACAGTTAATGCTAATTGCAGATTTGAAGTGACAAAGTTACATTTATTTGCAAAGAAATGCAATGTTAATGGCAGAACTAGGGCACAGGATATAACCTCCCAATCCACTCATCTCAAATATTTCCCTCTGTGGGAAGCCAGCCTACACTGAGCCCTTTATGAGACAGTCAGCCTACATGGAGCCTTTTCAGAATCGACTGGTCTACACCAACTATTTCCAGAGTCAACCTGTCTACACTGAGCCTCTCCTTAGTTAGCCAGCCTACATCAACCCTTCCCCAGTCAGCCAGTCTACACTGGTCATCCTGTATTGTATATTACCACTGTATGTACTTTATCATGAGTTTTAGCAAAAGTGTCAAGAACTTATTGTGTGTTGAGGCCTCAAAGGGCTTACAATCTAATGATACATTTGAAGATGTATTTATGAACACATCATTGTAATGACACACACTTGCATTTGTTCCTAGTCTCTGGCTGTTTCATGTATCTAATTTTGCCTCAAATACTGAAAGGTAAGTTCCCCAGAGAAAGGATCATACCTTCTATGGCTTTTGAATCCTTACCATGCTACCCTATGCAGTTCACTATCATACTTGGCACATGAGGAATGGAGAGATGGATGGATGAATTGACAGATGGGTGGATGGGTGGATGGATGGGTGGGGAGGAGGATGGATGAATGGATGTTGATGGAATTTTCCTTACATGGAGCCTTTTTTAAATGGGATTTAGAAACAACAGAGGACAGGGCACAATAAAACCTAGAAGTTTACAAGTGGAAGTGAATTTAGAGATATCTGATTACATTTCTCATTTCACAGATAAGGAAACTGAGTGCCAGAGGAATTAGGAGACAAGTCTTAGGTCAAACCACAAGTAATAGATAATTATACAATTTGAGAACTTGGAGACACTACTGTCCTCAGCAAGGTGGTATTGAAAACTAAAAAGATAATATGTCAAAACAACCCATTGTATTAATTTGGATATTCCCAATTATGTGATACAATAAGTCTACAAGTGAAACATTAATTTTGTTCCCATGAAGTGACTAAAGGAAGGGAGGCCTCTGGGCAGAGGTAAACTAGAAGACAGGGCTGGAACAAATGACATACTTTTGCATGGATTTGTAGATTTATATTTTCTTTTTCTTTCTTTCTTTTTTTTTTTTTTTTTTTTGAGATGGGCTCTCTCTCTGTCTCTCTCAGGCTGGAGATCGCAGTGGTGCGATCTCAGCTCACTGCAAACTCCACCTCCTGGGTTCAAGCGATTCTCCTGCCTCAGCCTCCCAAGTAGCTAGGATTTACAGTGCCCGCCTCCAAGCCTGGCTAATTTTTTGCATTTTTCATCATGTTGACCAGGCTGGTCTCAAACTCCTGACCTCAGGTGATCGACCAGCCTCAGCCTGTGCTGGAATTATAGGCATGAGCCACCACGCCTGGCCTGTGTTTTCTTTAGATTCATAATTTTTTAAAACACGGCCATCAATTCTCCCCCTCTACCATTTTGACATATCGATGATAAGCACAAAGAAAAACACCATTTCTCTCTATACTGTGTCACGGAGAGTTATGGACCACCAGCCATTTACATCTTAAGTTGGTTTAATTAAATTGCTTTCCTCTTAAAAATGGGCTGAGATGGAAGACGTGATGGAGGTGGTTTGGGAGCATGGGGCACTGAAAGTGTGAGGGCCTGAGAAGAGTAGACAGTTGGAGCTTTGGACAAACCGGCGAGGCCAGGAGAGACAGAGGAGTTGTGGGAGAAGGCTACAGAAGGGAGAGTAAAGTGCATTAAGAACTAAATGGGACAAAATCAAACTTCATCTTCTTTGCAGTGTGGCCAAGGGTCAGCCTGGCCCTGGGCTCTCCCATGGCCCTCGGGACAGAGGACACTTGTCCAGGATGGCCTGCTCTGACACTGGCATTAGAAAGGCTTTCCCCTCAACCTCACCCTTCATATGGTGCTCTGTCCCTAACCACTTAAATCCCACTCCCTGCAGCCCTTTCTCTTGTAAAGGTCAGTTTAAATTCTAAATATTTTCAAATAGAACTTGAACTACAACTATTTCTCTAGACCTAATCTTTTGCTGTCAGCAAGTTCACAGGGAAAAAAAAATCAATAAAGAGATTAGTTTCCAGTGACACTGCATATTACAGTAGCAGCACATTGCATCCATGCAACCATTTCAAATGATGACTTTTTATCAGAAAGCCTCTCCTTGCCTTCTGTCCCTCAAAAGAAAAAAATTAACTTACCAAGAAAAGTCCCTTTTTTTCCAAAATGTATCCATTTTTTTCCATTGGCAAATGCTGCCACTACTTTGCCTAAATTATTATTAACCCTTCAAATCAGGCATTAACTTTTATAATTTTCCAATATTAATATAGCCCTTTATCCAGAAAACTAAACTAGGCTGGAGGAGGGCATTTTCCTCCAAATTTCAGAGAAGCTATGCAAGTTCTAGCAAGTACATCTAGACCTTTAGCTTTCTAGTCTGAAGTCTTATTCTATAGACCAGTGGTTTCCAGTTTGATGTCAAGGGCTTGTCCATAAAATCAGTAGCTCTCTAGCAGCACAGTTCCACCTGAATTATCTGAAGGGCACTTACAGATCAACCTCAACTAAGCAAAAGTCAGCTGAGAACCCAAAAGCAAGTGAAAAGAGGTTCGGAACAAGCCCAACACCCATTCACAGAAAGTGCACATTCTTTAGTCGCAGGAGAGTCCCTCGGGCCTCCATTCAGAGCCTGCTGCTGCTTCCTCTAGACAAAAGTCTAGCAAAGTTAAACTGTGTAATTTTGGAGGCCACGGAAAATTATAACCAGAAAGAACTACTGCTAAAAGCCGGCAAACTGACAGCAGCCAAGAGGTTGTCTGTGGTTGTCAAAGTAGGACTCAGGAGAAAGAAGATCTCAAAAGCCAGAACAACCTGGGGCCATTCAGTGCAGGGATCACCATGGAGCACATAATTGCATTACAGCAAAACAGAATACTTGACCTTTTGATGATGACAGCGTATCACCAACGTATCACTTTAAATCATGGCTAAAACAAGCCAAGCCATTTAAGAAGGAATAATTTCTACAACCAATTCTATGGTTATTGTCAATGAAATTGTTTTAAGCTTTGTGTAGGTTGCCACACAAAGCGTAAGTAATCTGGACATTTAAACTTTGTGGTCCAGCTCATATGTCAATGATTATAGAAGAAATGATTAGGATTATTACATTAAAGTGGATAGTGCTAAAACGCTTCTATGTCTTCCCAGATGCATAATTTCTTTACAATAATTAATATTTTTAAAGAAACACCTTCACTAGAATCTCTTCAAAGTCTATTCTATCCAGTCTGCTAAGAAATGTTTTTGTGGGGGCCAATATTCAACATTCTTAAAGAAAAGAATTTTCAACCCAGAATGTCATATCCAGCCAAACTAAGCTTCATAAGTGAAGGAGAAATAAAATCCTTTACAGACAAGGAAATGGCAGAGAGATTTGTCACCACCAGGCCTGCCCTACAAGAGCTCCTAAAGGAAGCACTAAACATGGAAAGGAATAACCGGTACCAGCCACTGCAAAAACATACCAAATTGTAAAGGCCATCGATGCTATGAAGAAACTGCATAAACTAATGTGCAAAATAACCAGCTAGCATCATAATGGCAAGATCAAATTCACACATAACAATATTAACCTTAAATGTAAATGAGCTAAATGCCCCAATTAAAAGACACAGACTGGCAAATTGGATAAAGAGGCAAGACCTATCAGTGTGCTGTATTCAGGAGATCCATCTCATGTGCAAAGACACATATAGGCTCAAAATAATGGGATGAAGGAATATTTACCAAGAAAATGGAAAGCAAAAAAAAGCAGGGGTTGCAATTCTAGTCTCTGATAAAACAGACTTTAAACCAACAAAGATCAAAAGAGACAAAGGGCATTACATAATGGTAAAGGGATCAATTCAACAACAAGAGCTAACTATCCTAAATATATATGCACCCAATAAAGGAACACCCAGATTCATAAAGCAAGTTCTTAGAGACCTACAAAGAAACTTAGACCCCCACACAATAATAGTAGGAGACTTTAACACCCCACTGTCAATATTAGACAGATCGATGAGACAGAAAATTAAAAAGGATATCCAGGACTTGAACTCAGCTCCAGTCCAAGAGGACCTAATAGATATCTACAGAACTCTCCACCCCAAATCAACAGAATATACATTCTTCTCCGCTCCACATCACACTTATTCTAAAATTGACCACGTAATTGAAAGTGAAACACTCCTCAGCAAACGCAAAAGAACGGAAATCATAACAAACAGTCTCTCAGACCACAGTGCAATCAAATTAGAACTCAGGATTAAGAAACTCACTCAAAACTGCACAACTATATGGAAACTGAACAACCTGCTCCTGAATAACTCCTGGGTAAATAAAGAAATGAAGTTAGAAATGAAGTTTGAAACCAATGAGAACAAAGACACAACATACCAGCATCTCTGGGACACATTTAAAGCAGTGTGTAGAGGGAATTTTATAGCACTAAATGCCCACAAGAGAAAGCAAGAAAGATCTAAAATCGAAACCCTAACATCACAATTAAAAGAACTAGAAAAGAAAGAACAAACAAATTCAAAAGCTAGCAGAAGACAAGAAATAACTAAGATCAGAACAGAACTGAAGGAGACAGAGACACAAAAAACCCTTCAAAAAAATCAATGAATCCAGGAGCTGGTTTTTTGAAAAGATCAACAAAATAGGCCACTAGCCAGACTAATAAGAAAAGAGAGAAGAATCAAATAGACGCATAAAAAATGATAAAGAGGATATCACCACCGATCCCACAGAAATACAAACTACCACTGGAGAATCTGTAAGCACCTCTATGCAAATAAACCAGAAAATCTAGAAGAAATGAATAAATTCCTGGACACATACAGCCTCCCAAGACTAAACCAGGAAGAAATTGAATCCCTGAATAGACCAATAACAAGTTCTGAAATTGAGGCAGCAATTAATAGCCTACCAACCAAAAAAAGTCCAGGACCAGACGGATTCACAGCCGAATTCTACCAGAGGTACAAAGAGGAGCTGGTACCATTCCTTCTGAAACTATTCCAAATAATAGAAAAAGAGGGACTCCTCCCTAACTAATTTTATGAGGCCAGCATCATCCTGACACCAAAACCTGACAGAGACACAACAAAAAAAGAAAATTTCAGGCCAATAGCCCTGATGAACATCGATGTGAAAATCCTCAATAAAATACTGGCAAACCGAATCCAACAGCACATCAGAAAGCTTATCCACCATGATCAAGTCAGCTTCATCCCTGGGATGCAAGTCTGGTTCAACATATGCAAATCAGTAAATGTAATCCATCACATAAACAGAACCAATGACAAAAACCACATGATTATCTCAATAGATGCAGAAAAGGCCTTTGACAAAATTCAACAGCCCTTCATGCTAAAAACTCTCAATAAACTGGGCATTGATGGAACATATCTCAAAATAATAAGAGCTATTTATGACAAGCCCACAGCCAATATCATGCTGAATGGACAAAAACTGGAAGCATTCCCTTTGAAAACCAGCACAAAACAAGGATGCCCTCTCTCACCACTCCTATTCAACATAGTATTAGAAGTTCTGGCCAGGGAAGTCAGGCAAGAGAAAGAAGTAAAGTGTATTCAAGTAGGAAAAGAGGAAGTCAAATGGTCTCTGCTTGCAGATGACATGTTTGTATATTTAGAAAACTTCATTGTCTTAGCCCAATATCTCCTTAAGCTGATAAGCAACTTCAGCAAAGTCTCGGGATACAAATCAATGTACAAAAATCACAAGCATTCCTATACACCAATAACAGACAAACAGCCAAATCATGAGTGAACTCCCATTCACAACTGCTACAAAAAGAATAAAATACCTAGGAATCCAACTTACAAGGGATGTGAAGGACCTCTTCAAGGAAAACTACAAACCAATGCTCAACGAAATAACAGAGGACACAAACAAATGGAAAAACATTATATGCTCATGGATAGGAAAAACCAGTATCGTCAAAATGACCATACTGCCTAAAGTAATTTATAGATTTAATGCTATCCCAATCAAGCCACCATTGACTTTCTTCACAGAATTGGAAAAAACTACTTTAAATTTCATATGGAACCAAAAAAGGGCATGCATAGCCAAGACAATCCTAAGCAGAAAGAACAAAGCTGGAGGCATCACACTACCTGATGTCAAACTATACTACAAGGCTACAGTAACCAAAAGAGCATGGTACTGGTACCAAAACAGATATATAGACCAATGGAACAGAACAGAGGCCTCAGAAATAATACCACACATCTACAATCACATGATCTTTGACAAACCTGACAAAAACAAGCAATGGGGAAAGGATTCCCTATTTAATAAATGGTGTTGGGAAAACTAGCTAGCCATATGCAGAAAACTGAAACTAGATCCCTTCCTTACACCCCATACAAAAATTAACTCAAGATGGATTAAAGACTTAAATGTTAGACCTAAAACCATAAAAACCCTAGAAGAAAACCTAGGCAATACTATTCAGGACATAGGCATGGGCAAAGACTTCATGACTAAAACACCAAAAGCAATGGCAACAAAAGCCAAAATTGACAAACGGGATCTGATTAAACTAAAGAGCTTCTGCACAGCAAAAGAAACTATCATCAGAGTGAACAGGTGACCTACAGAATGGGAGAAAATTTTTGCAATCTATCCATCTGACAAACGGCTAATATCCAGGATCTACAAAGAACTTAAACAGATTTACATGAAAAAACAGACAACCCCATCAAAAAGTGGGCAAAGGATATGAACAGACATTTCTCAAAAGAAGACATTTATGTGGCCAACAAACATATGAGAAAAAGCTCATCATTACTGGTCATCAGAGAAATGCAAATCAAAACCACAATGAGATACCATCTCATGCCAGTTAGAATGGTGATCATTAAAAAGTCAGGAAACAACAGATGCTGGAGGGGAGGTGGAGAAATAGGAATGCTTTTACTCTGTTGGTGGGAGTGTAAATTAGTTCAACCATTGTGGAAAACAGTGTGGTGATTCCTCAAGGATCTAGAACTAGAAATACCATTTGACCCAGCAATCCCATTACTGGGTATATACCCAAAGGAATACATATCATTCTACTATAAAGACACATGCGCACTTATGTTTATTGCGGCACTGTTCACAGTAGCAAAGACTTGGAACAACCCAAATGCCCATCAATGACAGACTAGATTAAGAAAATGTGGCACATATACACCATGGAACACTATGCAGCCATAAAAAAGGATGAGTTCATGTCCTTTGCAGGGACATGGATGACGCTGGAAACCATCATTCTCAGCAAACTAATGCAAGAACAGTAAACCAAACACCACATGTTCTCACTCGTAAGTGGGAGTTGAACAATGAGAACACATGGACACAGGGAGGGGAACGTCACACACTGGGGCCTGTCAGGGGGTGGGGGTGGTGCTAGGGGAGCGATAGCATTAGGAGATATACCTAATGTAGATTATGGGTTGATGGGTGCAGCAAATCACCATGCCACATGTATACCTATGTAACAAACATGCACATTCTGCACATGTACCCCAGAACTTACAGTATAATTTTTAAAAAATGTTTTTGTGATGGAGGACTTGACTGATTAGAAAGGTAGAGAATCACTTCTCACACTTTCATGGTCTCTTCCCCTTGCTTGAGTTGGCACAAAACACAATGCTGGCCCCTATTAAGTCTATATATGGAGTTGAGTCAAAAGAAAGGAGAAGGGGTTACTTTGAAGAGTCCAGAGACTTAATATGGCAATGGCTAATGTATGACACAAGTAATCCTCCCCCACCCATGGCAAACTTGGCCAACCAATCCAAAACTAGTATAAGACTTCAGAATCCTTCCCTCAACACAAATTCAGACAAACATTATGATTGATTGAGGTTGACATTCAGAAGGAAATGATCCCAGGCATAAGTTATTATTCAATGACCTTAAATTTGATTTATATATTGTCAGGGTTGCAAGTTTCTCATGTGAGATAGGCTATCTTCTTTGATATCTTCACATCCTTAGTTGTGACTGCAGGCCAATCTTTCAGTCTTGACTCAAATACTCCCGCCTCAGTGAAGCCTTCCTTGGAGGCAGCGTGGTCAGGGAGTAACTGACTCGTTCAACTCTGTTTCCATAACATTTTGTATATTATTGATTCAGCTCAATCAGAAAACATTTACTGAGCATCTACTTTGTGTCAGGCATGGTACTAGGTACTGGGGATATAAATTTACACATGACATTGTTCTTGCCTTCGAGGAGCTTACAGTCTACCTTGCAGTATTTACCTCTGTTTCAAGTTCCTTAAGGGGAAAGGCAAACTCTCACTCAGCTTCAAACTAGACTACTTCTCTATAATGTTCATTCCAGTTGCACCATTCGTTACACGATCCATCATAGAATTCTCAATGTGGTATATAGACTCAGACCCCAAAACTAACCAATTTTTCAAGTACCTACTCACTTTTCTCAATACCACATTAATTCTAGTGATGGATTCCTGGATCCCCAGAGCCAAGTATAATACTCAGCAGTCTCTGGGAGACTTAGCTGGTCACCCTGTTCAGACGTAGAATCTGGACTTCAACAGTGATATTCTGATATTCATGCACACACATAGTCACACACACCACAATACATCTGTGCAGATCTCATCTGTACAATACTATAAGGAATAATTTAATCAGGATTTAACAAGGAGAACAAAAGAATTAATGGAGAATGACGATTTTTGCTTTGAGATGGAACTTACACAAAATTAAGTACAGCAGACTAGAAGTACTACACCTTTACCATCTCATAATCACTAATTGTTCCTCCCTTAGCCAATGTGGCCAGCAATCATTTCTGTTCTCATCCATTCCCACTATATCTGCTCCTCAGGTCCTCCTCTGTGGCATCCTGTGCTGCTGGGAGGTAACAGAGTCCTGGTCAGTTACTTCTCAAGAGGCTCTGAAACCGAGCCTGCTCCTTGTAGATGCTAGACACAGCACCACTTGCTGAGGTTGCAGGGCCCTGAAATTTACTCTGGTTCCCTGTTCCAGGGGCCCCTCCTCAGCCTTGTTTTGTCTGCTTCACTGCATGTCTAAGATGGTCTTGGTTTCCTTTCTGGTGTGAAGAATAACTTTCAGCTTACATTCAAGATGAAAAATACTCCCAACACTCCCCATCAAGGGCAGAGACATGGAGTCTGGTACTCCCTATGTAACATGATTAATATCCTCCCAGGCAGCAGCAGATCAGAGGTTTCACTCTTGAACCCAGTGCCTAACACCATGCTAGCATCTGGCAGACTCTCAATACACATTTGTGAATGAATGAATGAATGAGATGAAGCGAAATTATGAAATAGACTACTTTATGTTCACTGTTCTGTGAGTTGGAATACTGATTCCAACTCTGTAACCTTGGGGAAGGTATTTAATCTCTATATGCCTCAGTTTCCTCATCTGTAAAAGGGCAATGTGTAACACACAGCATCCGTGAAAGGAATACAGAAACCATGTATCAAGCACCTACTACGGTGCCTGTCTCATAGTAAGTACACAATAAATGGTCGCAATCACAGCACTAGCACACAATAGGTACTCAACAATTACCTGTTGAGAATTAATGTGTAGAGGCTCCAACAAGACCTGAAGGCACACATGCCTCTTGCCATTGCCCTTCATTCATTCATTCATTCATTCATTCACAAATGTGTATTGAGAGCCTGATAAATGCTAGCACAGTGTTAGGCACTGGGTTCATGGTGTTAAGCTGGCCCACATTTGCACATGTTCACACTGCCTTGCTTAACTGTCGCCTCTCTACCCCCTGCCCTGTCTAAGACACTGTCTTTGTCTGCTGGCTCTCTGCTGTGACACCACAGCCATCCCCTCTGTCTGGAATTTGCATGCATCACTCAGAAGACAGTGTCATGCGGGAGACCGAGGCCTGGCAAGGTGGTCGTGCATCCCCACTTCAGAATAAATAATAGGCGTGAGTCTGGCCAACCCACAGCCCAGAAACACCAACTAGCAGAACAGTCAAAAGACCTGAGTTCTAATTCTGTCTCCATCACTTGCCAGCTAAGTGATTGTGGGCAAGTTACTTGAGCTCCCAGACTGTTTCCCAGTCAGTAAAAACGATTTCACAGAAGTACCTACATCATAGCATTGTTATATAAACAAAGTAAGATAATGTGTGTAAGCACTTAGAACACTGCCTATCACATAGTAAAAAGTCTAAAATTTTGGTTTTTTTCCAGAGACAGGGTCTCACAATGTTGCCTTGGCTGGTCTCCAACTCCTGAACGCAAGGGATCCTCTGTCCTCAGCCTCCCAAAGTGCTGGAATTACATGCATGAGCCACTGCACCCAACCTATTTTTAAATAAACAACAGGCCTACCCTGAAGAGCTAAGAGTAGACTAGAAGATTCAAAAGTGAAGAGTTACACTTCAAGTATTTATTTTAATTTATATTTAGGGTGTGTGTGTGTGTGTGTGTGTGTGTGTGTGTGTGTGTGTGTGTGTGTATGTGTGTGTGATGTGTAGTCTGAACCTGTAATAACCATTCAAAGGCTGTAGATCAATCACAGAGTGAAGTAGAACATGTAAGTCACATGACATTGATTGACAGAGGAATGCCGACTGTGCCTTGCAGTTTGGCGTATTCAGGGTCAGGCACAGGACTTGTGATAGTGCGGCTGGGAAGGTAGAGCAACAGCAGTTAAATGAAGACCTGACCAACAGGGGCTGGTCCAGGATTAGTGCTGCCTAGGGCACTTCCAGATATTTCCCTGTTAGCGGCTATGTCTGTCCCCGCCCCACAGTCTCAACTTTGATACAGCAATGCATTGCACACAGTCCTTGTCAGCTGGTGGGAACTTAGTGGCAGCCATTCTGGGAAGGGTCATTTGGAGCAGATATGGGGGGGAATTTGAGAGGCAATCAGTTACACCATCGGTAACAGCTGACCTTTGTATCATTTGCAGAGCAATTCCATAAATTCCATTGTTTGATCCTTATAACAACGAGAAACAACTGATGGTTCCCATCTACAGGTGAACACTATGAGGCATACTCAGATTAAGTCACTTACCCATGATCTCATGGCCGGTCACAACACACTCAATAAAAAACTGAGAAGAGCCGCAGTGAAAGAAACAAGGTATAATCCACTGTAAGACGGATTATACCTATTTTGGGGGTCCTGTAAGAATTCCAAAAATTACTCATTATAAATGGAAGGGACTCTATCCAGGGACTATTCAGATCAAGAAAATTAACTCACACTTTGGTGACAGAATAAATTAATACAAACATATGAATAACAATATGAAAATACTTACCAGAAACCATGAAAATGCCCAGTCTTTGACCCAGTAATCACACTTGAGAAAACTTAGGCTAAGGAGAGAACCCAAAGAATTTTAAAGTTATACCCAAATAATGTTTATTGCAGCTGTATCATGGCAAAAATGTAGAAATCTAAGTATCCAATAGTAATGGAAAGCCAAAGAATGTGAAATACACACTTGATTGTATTTATGTAGCAATATGGAAAAATATTTGCATAAGATTGAAGAAAAATCTTAATTTATGCAAAAGAAATTATGTATTCATGTGAACAAACAGTGGAAGGGAACATACACTATTGAAAACAGTTTGATTTGACCAAGAAGATTGTGGTGAATTTTTTATCTTTCTTTAATCCAGAGTTGCACAAATATTGCTAAACATTATTGGCATATAATATAAAAGTCTGAAAATCAAAACGTGGAAAATTGTGCTAGAATCTCTAAGGTTTCTAATAGCTCCAATAATCTCTGTGAGCCTTTTGAGGCCAGGACAAGTGTCTTTTTCACCTTTGTATCCCCAGAGTTTTCTGCAAGTGATTATTTTCTCCATAAATACTGAGGAAATGCTACAAGCAAGCATGTGGATGATTCTTTGCAGAGCCTGTCAGAGCCTTGATTACCCCAAGAGCCAGGTGTCTAGATATTAGCCAGATGAATGTTCTATTATAAAAATACATGCACACGTACATTCATTGTGAATAGTGATTCACAATAGCAAGGACATGGAATCAACCTAAACACTCATCAGTGGTAGACCAGATAAAGAAAATGTGGCACATATGCACCATGGAATACTATGCAGCCATAAAAAAGAATGATATTATGTCCTTTGCAGGAACATGGGTGGAGCTGGAGGCCATCATCCTTAGCAAACTAAAACAGGAACAGAAAACCAAATACCACATGTTCTCACTTATAAGCAGGAGCTAAGTGATGAGAATACATGGACACATAGAGGTGAACAACACACTGGGGCCTATCGGATGGTGGAGGGTGAAAGGAGGGAGAGGATCAGGAAAAATAACTAATGGGTACTAGGCTCAATACCCGAGTGATAAAATAATCTGTACAACCAACCCCCATGACACAAGTTTACCTATATAACAAACATGTACCCCTGAACTTAAAATAAAAGTTAAATTTAAACACATAAAATATTCAGGAAGAACTAATTTTTAAAAGAGGAGATCAGAGGAATGGATTTGGAATGTTTCCAACACAAAGAAATGAGAAATGTTTGAGGTAATGGGTATCCCAATTGCTCTGATTTGATCATTACACATTGTATGCTTGTATCAAAATATCACATGTATCCCATAAATACATACAATTATTATGTCCCGATAAAAATTAAAAAGAAACAAAATGAAACAAAAAGAAAATATCCAGGAGGAATCATCTTCTTTTTTTTCTTTTTTTTTGGGGGACAGAGTCTCCCTCTGTCGCCCAGGCTGGAGTGCTGTGGCATGATCTCAGCTCACTGCAACCTCCACCTCCCGGGCTCAAGCGATTCTCCTGCCTCAGCCTCCCAAGTAGCTGGGATTAGAGGTGCTCGCCACCACACCCAGGTAATTTGTATTTTTAGTAGAGATGGGATTTCACCATGTTGGCCAGGCTCGTCTCAAACTCCTGACCTCAAGTGTTCCACCCACCTCAGCCTCCCAAAGTGCTAGGATTACAGGCAGAATCATCTTTTGAAAGAGGAAATCAGAGCAAAATCTGGGGAAGAGAGTGCTGGATTTAAAAATTTCTCAGTTTGCCCCTTTGATGTAGTTCCACAAATTACAATCCCCAATGCCAAGTGCACAAGAACAGAATAGCCTTGGTTCCCATTCTCCAAGGCCTAGAGACCTTCTCCAAGGCAGGATGTGTCTCTGGAAGGAGATGCCATGAAGTTTGCATTAAATTGAAGGTCACCAGAAGAATGACTTGAAGCCACGAGCCAACCAAATTACACCAAGTCAAAGGCATGAAATATCAGAGATCTTTGGATTAGAAAAGAGAGACAACCCAGCTAGGTAGGTGATCCATCTCCACCAGCTCAAGCAAGTCACTTAAACACTATGGGACTCAGATTCCCGGTCTCTGCCCTGGCCATCTCGCAGGGATGTCATGAAAATCAAACATGTTAAGAAAATGTGCCTGAAAAAGATGCATAAACTTGAAAGTGCTATCTATAGAAGAGTCTGGCTGCAGCAAATTCACAATAAATGTTGGAGCTAAGTGAGTGCATGAAAGCGTGAAAGGAAGCCAAATGATTATGAGATTTTTACAAAAATGTAGGGGCAAATATAAGGTGGGATGCTGGTCTGTGTTCAGAGCAGCAGGAAAAAGCTGCTTCCCTGGGGCACAACGGGTAGGCTTCTCAGATTGCTGGCAAATTGGCCTTGGGAGGAGCCACCAGGGCACACCGGCCCTGTCCAGGGCTGCATTCCTTTACAGGGCCTTAAAAGGGTAGAGCAGCCTCAGAATCAGGAAGAGAGCTGCCCTACATTCACTAATTATGCATTTGAGGACAGCACAGGCCTGAGCATTTGACAAAATTTTAAGGGATTGAAGGGAAGCCCTTTGTGAGAGGGCACATCAGACATGGGCTGTGATCAAAGGGACGAAAAAGAGCGAGGGATGTCAGTGACATAGATCCAGGCCCTTTGTACACGGTGACGTGATTAAAGGCACAAATCCACTTCAGAGTTGTCATTCCTAATAGAACCTGATGGGAATGAGGAGCAACGAACTGGCAGGAGGGCAACACGATTCGCGCACACTCACAGTGACTACCTCATGCCAACTTGCTACTGAGGGCCCCAGGATGCTGAGATACGCAAGACAGAGTGTCCTATATTGGATCTGCTTGCAGTCATACAGAGAGACAAATGACAGTGAGGGGCATTTGGGGTAACAGACGCATGGGCGAAGAGGCGATTTCTTAAGTCCTGCATTGAAGGACAAGATGTAGTACTCACGGGCAACTCTAGATAATGTGTCAGGAGACTAGTTCCATGTGTCCTCAGAGCAAAGCAAAGAGCCCAGAGCAGCTTCTGCTGCAAGGGACCTTAGATCACATAGGTCAACACCCTCATTTTAAAGATGAGAAGACTGGAGCCCAGAGAAGTTAAATGACTAGCTATAGGCCACACAAGAAGCTACTGGCTATGATCTTTAACATTGTCATTTTCCAAACATAATATTAAGTGATAGATACGAATCTGGCAGAGTTAACATGAGACTGAGAGGAAACCGTCTGTTCCAAGTCACCCATACAAGGACAAGAAAGGGGAATGAATGCTTGTTAAGAGGAATCTGTGGGTATCAAACTTCAGGAGGAAAAGCAATAGCCAGAAAGGGCACACTGCACTCCAGCCATGATCACAGTGTTTAGCTCACATCTGCAGGAGAAGCTGTCCTTGGTCTTTTCTCATTCATCTTTCAAAACTAAAAACCCAAAGGCAAGACTTGGCAGTGATCAAGTTCTTGGTTCCTGGTGCCACTCTTTGTCCTAAAAAGGAGCACCTGATACATGAAAGACAAGGTTAGGGCAGGTTCTGGGACGTTCCTGTGGGTCTCCTGGGTAGCAGCCCTCCACATCCCCAGGAATGTTTCTTCCTATCCCCTCTTGTCAGTAGATACTAGAAGGTGGCTCTGATCTTTGCAAAGCTTTCTAGCCCACCCCATCTCTTATGGCAGTTTCCAAAGGAGCTACCTTCCCTTTATGAAGACTAAATATGTTCTGGGGAAAGCAAACATATCAAACACTAACATGGATGCACTGCTGCTTCCACCAGCTCACGCTGGTGTGAACTACTCAAAAGGATTCCTCCATTGGGATTCCGACACAGAGGAAAGTTGACTGTTCCCAATGATCAAATAAATCCAGCAGGACCCTTACTTCCTGATGACCTCTTAGCACCTGTCTGGTTGCAGTCTGTGTTTCTCACTCTCCTAGAGCCCAAAATGGCCCCTTAGAGAGCACTGTGGATCCTGCACAAGGGGAACTTCATAATTGGGAAGAAGGTTTCATCTGGGTCCCACCTACTATAGGTCTACTGGCCCAGAGTCTGAGTACAGCAATTGTGGCAAATGCTGCTGGTTGTCTTTGACTATCCAGCCTGCTTTTTCTTCCTCAGGAACAGCACCCCAATTTTTAGCTAGCTAGGCTTGTCGCTTCCTGGAAAGAAACAAATAAAGACTACATTTCCACGGCTGTCTCATAGCTAAGTGGGGCCATGTAACAATGCCCGTGGCTAACAAGGACAGTCCCTCACTATGTGCCGTGCACAATGCTAAGCACCTTTCTGTACATAAAGTCACTTAATCTCACAAAAACCCTATGAGAGACACAGTGATTATCCCATTTTTACAGGGCAAACATCCCAGAGAAGTTAAGTAATTTTCCCAATTCATACTGTTAATGAGTGCCACAGCTGAGATTTCAACTCAAGCGGCCTGACCCCAGTCAAAGCTCTTCACCACTCATTACACTACACTAAATTCCAGCTGTAAAAGCAGAAGTTTTGTGTTGAACTTCCAGGAACATGCCTTTGAAAGGAGGGGGTTCCAGGAGGTGGAGCTGAATGTTCCTTCCTTGAGTGTGAGCTGAACTGAGAGACTTGCTTCTAACCAAGAGGGTCTGGAAAGGGAAATAAAATAACTAGACAGTGGAGAAACCTGGCAATCACCACCTTAACCAAGTGGTCAAGGTTACCATTGCCAGTAGTAAGGCATGCTGATATCATGGACTTTGATATGATGCAATGAAAGGGGGCTTCACTTCTGTGAAATTCTCCCCAAAACCTAATAACCCAGACTATTCCGTGAGATAACATCAGAGAAACTCAAGTTGAAGAGCTTTCTATGCAATGCCTGACCAATACTCTTAAAAACTATCAAGATTGTGAAAAACAAGAAAAGATGGAGAAAATATCACAGGTTGAAGGAGACTAAGAAGATATAATGATTACATGCAACGTGGGATCCAGGATTGGATCCTGGAGCCAAAAAGGACATTAGTATAAAAATAAGCAAAATTCTAATAAATAATATTATCAGGTTGATAATATTGTACCAATGTTAATTTCTGCATTTTGAAAGCTGTACCATGGTTTTGTAAGATGTTAACATTAGGGAAAGTTAAAGGAAGGATACACGGAAACTCTCTGTACTATTTTTGTAAATTTTCTATTAATCTAAAATTATTTCAAAATAAAATGTCTTTCAAAAAGGAAGAGGCAAGTGCTACCCTTCCCATTTCTTCCTATTGCTTACCTGTTAAATGATGGTGATGCTGGAACCCCAGCAGCCCTATTGATCCATGAGGTGACCCTGAAGTCACCTTGAGGATAGAAGTCATGTCCTGAGGATAACAGAGCAGAAAGATGGAGGCCTAGATCCCTAATGACGACACTCATTGCCCTCTTATCAGCCCTGAACTCCTAGTTGCAAACCTCTTTTTCTTATGAAAAAGAGAAATCACCTGTAACTTCTATAAGCCACTTATTTGGGGGTTTCCTGTCAAATGCAGCCAAACCTAATCCTTGTTAATAACAGCAATAGAATGAAAACCTGTGCAATTTCTATCACTGATATAAAAATTAGAATCTTAGCCTTGGACTTGGTCTTAAATTCCATCTAGTCCAAATTGTCATTTTTCACATGAGTAACAGAACCAAAGAGCTGAAACATGTGCCCAGGTCCCATCACCGGCAACAAAGCAAACACAGAAACCCAAGTCCTGTCCCAGTCCAGCTTCCTCCACTGGGTCTCACTGGTTGGTGAGAATTCCAAAAACCAGCATTGCAGCATTAATATAATTGCACCCATAAAAGTCAGGGTAAAATACTGCAATGCAGGTTTTTTCTGATTGTCACACTGACTCGCCTATCTCACTCTAATGATAACATTCTGAAATTTTACATTTCGGAATAGATTACTGACCACAGCAATACGTCTGCAAATTATAATTTTGTGAATTTCACATTTTGAGTTTCAGGAACCAAAGACTCACATATTAAAAATGATGCATTTGTTATATTTACTTGGTTTTCATTAAAAGGGTGTTGTACAAAGGAAAATGTGTACTATTGTATCTATCAAAGAGTATTATATTCAGAAAAAAATAAGGTTTCAGTAGTTACGGTCACTAATAACCTAAAAACCCAGGGAAAGTCACTTCCCCAATCTGAGTTACAAATGTCTTAGTCTGTAAAATTAAAGGATTAGCTGGGATTTGATTTCCCATGGTTTCCTTGTAATTCTAATAATCAGTAATTTCACAACACTAAAAAAATCATTCAGTGTTCACTATCTATGTATAAATGATTATTTCAAATATCTATACCTTTGCATTCTTCACTAAATCTGCTTAAAATATGCTGTTTGCTGGCCAGGCATGGTGGCTCACCCTGTAATCTCAGCACTTTGGGAGGTTGAGGCAGGCACACCACTTGAGGTCAGAAGTTCAAAGCCAGCCTGGCCACATGGTGAAACCCCACCTCTACTAAAAATACAAAAATTAGCCAGGCTTGATGGCGCTCACCTGTAATCCCAGCTACTCGGCAGACTGAGGCATGAGGAACCACCTTGAACCTGAAAGGCAGAGGTTGCAGTGAGCCAGGATTGCACCACTGCACACCAGCCTGGGCCACAGAACAAGACACCGTCTCAAAAAAAAAAAAAAAAAATTGCTGTTTGCTAAATAGAGAATACCAATCTGTGGTAGACTGCATTAATGATCCCAATTCTTCACCCTTCTCTTTGCTATGAAACATCACAGTTTCTCTCACCAATGAAGTAGAGTCGTTATCCCTGCCCCCTGAATCTGAGCTCAGCCACATAACTTGTTTTGGTCAATATCATATGGTGAGAGTGACAGTATGCCAGTTCCAAGCCTAGGCTTCCAGAAGGCCTACATATTTCCATACTTGTGCGGCTTCCACCATTATCATGAGAATTACATGCTTTGGCTAGCTTGCTGGTTCTGGTAGGGGGATAAGTACATGAAGAACCGCCCTAGCTAAGGCACCTCAGGCAGGCTCTCATCAACCTAGAGATGCATGAATGAGTCCAGCCAAGAAGCAGAACCATACAGCAGAGAACAGAACAGATCTATTGCACCCTGAAGACACTGGAGAAATAATGTTCATTGTAAGCCACGGAGGCTTTGTGGTTGGTTGTTACACAGCAAAAGCTAGCTGATACACTGCTTTAAAACCTCAACTTTGAAGGGAATCTATTTTTGGCAAGCACTGGCTATATGCATATGCCATAAAACGTTCTACAGGAAATGGATCTGGTTTGCTAGTGAAGTGAGGGATCCACATGCACGCTTGGCACCACATGCACAATCAATCCTTTGCCCACAAATGGATCAGGAAATCTGCCTACACACTCTCTGGAGCTTTATTCTTCACTCCCATAAAAGCACATTCAAATGCTGAGTTATCTACACAATACCACCTCTTGAAATCATGATTTAAAAACCATTTATACCAGACCCCATCTTTTGCTGTGCCTAAATTCAATCCAACATGCCTATTTTGATTAATGAAATAAAATGCTAGTGTTGGTACCATGGGACTGAGATTCTTTCCTAACTATGCATTGGTAAGAAACTAAATTAGATGTCAACATCCTATAATGGGATGAATATTGCTTTTATTCCCATAGGCAGTAGTGCTAAAAGGCAAATGTATTTAGTTGGGCCCATTTTGCTTATTTTTCAAACATTCCACAATTACTTATTAAGCTTCAACTTGCTCTATGTAAACATTGTTCAGGTGTCAGCCCTGGGTGTGGGCAGCATCCGGAACCAGCAAAGCCCAGGGTGTATCGCATGCCAGCAATGAGCAGACAGGGGGTCAAAGGACGGTCAGGCCACAGAGCCCAGGGACAGCTGAGGGATGTAAAACATGAGCGGAACAAGGTGAGAGGCAAGTGGCTGGAGAGAAAGAGCAGGACAACAGCCAGCAGGAGCTGCAGGGCGCAAGGCGTCACGCGTCAGCCTCCAAATCAGAGATGGCTTCTTGTTTTGTTCTAGGCTTCTCTGCAGTTCCTGTGGGGAAACGGGGAATCCTAGGGGAGCTGGCCAAGCCCTGCAGGTGGAGAAAGGCGGTTATTGGCACCTGACTGTGGGGCATCTGGAAAATTAGCTCCTGGCAAGGGAGTGCTGGCTGCTCAGCGCTGGGAAGGATGCCTCCCTTTCTGCCTGCAAGTGCACACAGACACACACACTCTCATGCTCTCTCACAAATCCTCACACAAACACACACATTCTCACATGCTCTTGCACACTCAGACCACACTGCTGCACTCATATACCACACAGCTGCACACTCACATGCCACACACTCTGCTTCTCTCACACACTCACCACCCTCACAAACTCTCATACACACTCTTCACACACAAACACACACACTGTCACACACACCACCCACTCTCTCACCTATACAGACACACACACAGTTGTCAAGTTCTGTCCAGCCCACCTCAGAAGTGTCTCTCACCCTCTTCCCAGGCACCCACGCCCAGGCCCGCACTGCCTCCCACCTGTTCCCCTGGAAGAGCCTCTGGATCTGGGGGACCACTGCTGCCAGTCCCTCAACCCACCCAGGCCTTCCTGCGCATGGTCACAAATGACCTTCATAAAACTCAGCTTTGATCTCGTCACTCTTCTGCTAAGAAGCCATTGATTCTCCCAGCATGACAGAATAATGGCCACACAACAGACCCACAAAGGCTCTGGCTTCGCTCCTGGGTCACCGTCTAGGCCTCCTCCCACTTATTAGAATCCTCTGCCTTTCCCAGCTCACCTCCAGCAGAGCCTTCCCGTCGAGCCTTTCTGCAGCCCCGTGGCTCAGAGTAAAATCCCCTCCCTCTGTGGCTCCCTCAGACCACTCACCACCTCGTCATCCACCATAGCCCTGGCCACTCTCATCCCAATCTTGTCAGACAGAAGCTCTTCGAGACAGGTCCTGTGTCCCATTCATCCTTACATCTCTCTTCCCCTTCCTTCATGCTTTGAGCATAAAAGAAATCCAGGCCGGGCGCAGTGGTTCGTGCCTGTAATCCCAGCACTTTGGGAGGCCAAGGTGGGCGGATCACGAGGTCAGGAGTTCAAGACCAGCCTGACCAACGTGGTGAAACCCCATCTCTACTAAAAATACAAAATTAGCCAGGCATGGTGGTGCATGCCTGTAATCCCAGCTACTCAGGAGGCTGAGGCAGAAGAATCACTTGAACCTGGGAGGTGGAAGTTGCAGTGAGCCAAGATCGCACTATTGCACTCCGTCCTGGGCAACAAGAGCAAAACTCCGTCTCAAAAAAACAAAGAAAAAGAAATCCAATAAAAATGTGTTGAATTTAAGGTTAATAATTGAATCTCTATGCAGGCCAATTAATTGTGTTAATCCCACATCCGACCAGTTCCCATCACTGAGCACAAGCTCAGTGTACCAGAGATCATGGCTGGTTCCAGGTGACTCAGACCCACCATAAGGAAAACGGTGCAGAACATATGCCCCATGTGCCCGCTCTCAATAGTCACTCAAACACAGGCCTCAGAAAACACCACTTAACAAGCAGTTATGGAGCATGTGTCATGTGGCAAGCACTCTTCTGGCCACCAAGGCACAGTCAGACAGCAGGTTAGGGAGGCAGAGAGCAACGTGATCCATCCTAGAGAATGACGACACTAGCAAGGCCAAGATAGGTGGGGATGTGGCAGAGGGAAGGAGGGGCAAGGAGGAGGCAGTGACCTGCCAAACCAAGTCTCTTCTGGGAGGAGATGCTCAGGCCAGTGGGACAGCAAAAGCCAGTGAGCTCGGAGCCTTCAAGGAGAAGTGAAGCTGGTGCCGGGGTATCACTGTGTACCAGGGCCCAGCATGGGAGGCTGGTGAGTTAGAAGGTAAGATATAGACAGCTTGAAATTCATCACCTCACATAAGAAGGATACAGTGGCCTTTGAGGACTCAGGGAAAGGGGTGGGAGTGGGGTGAGGGATAAAAGGCAACACATTGGGTACAGCGTACACTGCTCGGGTGATGGGTGCAGCAAAATTTCAGAAATCACCACTAAATAACATCCGCGTAACCAAACACCACCTCTTCCCCAAAAACAATTGAAATTATATATATATATTATATATTGATTATATATTACATATCTAAATTATATATATTATATATTAAAATTATATATATATATAAAATAAACAATGCTTCCCCATTATTGAACAATTTTTTTAAAATTCACCACCTTAGCCATTTTAACAGCTCGGTAGTGTTCAGTTCATTCATGTTGTTGCACAGCCAAACTCCAGGATTATTTTCATTATGCAAACTGAAATTTCACACCCATTAAACAACTCCCCATTCCTCCATCCCCCAACCCCCTGACGACCACCCTTCTACCTTCTGTCTCTATGAATTTGTCCATTCTAAGTAGAAAGAATATTCTATCTCATATAAGTGAAATCCTACAGTATTTGTCTTACTGTGTCTGGCTTACTTCGCTTGGCATGATGTCCTCCAGGTTCATCCGTGTTGTAGCGTGCGTCAGAATTTCCCTCGTTTCTGAGATGGAATAATATTCCACTCTATGAATATGCCACATTTTGTTTATCCATTTGTCTGTCGGTGAACACGTGGGTTGCTTCCGCCTTTTGGCTACTGTGAATAATGCATTTATGAACATGGGTGTACAAACATCTCTTCAAGACCCTGCTTTCAATTCTGGGGGGTGTATGCCCAGAAGTAGAATTGCTGGATCATACAGTAGTTCTATATTTAATTTTTGGGGGAGCTACCATACTGTTTTCCAGAGCGAGGAGCTGGGATTTTAAACTAAGTGAAACTGGAGGTCATTTGACAGTTTTGAGCAGGTGAGTAACATGATTTTATTTGGATTTTTAAACCATCCCTCTGGCTTGGTAACACATAGGATAGATTGTGGGAGCAAGAGTGACTGCAGGGAGACTACTGCAGCTAGAAGGTCATCATGAGGCCCTGGAAAGAGAAGAGGGAAGAAAGAGGAGATGAGGAGATGTAAGCAACCATCAGATGGGGATAGAACAGGGGTGCAGGCAGGAGAGGTTGGGAAGGGGCCGCTGAAGATGGCTGAGTCCCTGGATGCATGGTGACATCATTCACAAAATCAGAGAAAAGCAAGGGATATAAATATCTTTAAATAGTTCACAAAAGGTATCAAAGCCCTGCCCAACCTCTTCCTCATTTCCCTTGTCCTCTCCATCTCTAATTTTTTTACAATCCTAAATTTCCATTTAACCTTCATTCTCTCAGGCTCCCTGTCTGCCTCCTCAAGAACAGAAAGTGACTCATCAAGAGGTCACCCACAGGACCAAGACATTACTGAAGCATGCAGGCTTGTTCTTTCGGCATGCAGGCTGGCAGGAAGTCAGACCGCATCTCCAAGCAGAGGCCTGAGAATTGGCCAATCAGCCATCCACACTTGTCAGCAGATCCCAGTGCTCAGAGGACAGCGTGAGATCTAGGCATCCCCAGCTGGGCTCCAGGCAGAGAGTGACCCTGTCCACAGGTTCGGCCTCTTCTCAAGTCCCTGGGAGTCTTGTTCTTCCTGCTGGTCTTCTTGTCCTTGCCACATTTATAGATAAAGGATGGCTTTGGGGAGGCTGAGATTGGTCTTTAAACATTCAACAAATATTTACTAAGCACCTATTGTGTTCTTAGCAACATCCGGATATAAGGGATACAGACATTGATCAGACACGGATCTTGCTCTTGAAGAACTTTCAGGACAGACATCAATTGGCAACCTGAGGGGCCAAGCATGGTGGCTCATGCCTGTAATCCCAGCATTTTGGGAGGCTGAGGCAAGTGGATCACTTGAGGTCAGGAGTTCGAGAGCAGCCTGACCAACATGACGAAACCCTGTCTCTATTAAAAATACAAAAATTAGCCGGGCATGGTGGTGCATGGCTGTAATCCTGTCTACTTGGGGGGCTGAGGCAAGAGAATCGCTTGAACCCGGGAGATGGAGGCTGCAGTGAGCCGAGATTGCGCCACTGCACTCCAGCCTGGGCAACAGAGTGAGACTCCATCTCAAAAAACAAAAAATTGGCAATCTGAGGCCACACAAGCTTAAATACCACATGGTAAAGAGAAAGAGACTGTTGCAGACTGATGTCTGTTAGCAAAAGAGAGTGGGACTCGTGCTGGCCTACAAGGAAAAACCCAATTTGGGCAGAGAGGAGAGGAAAAGATGCACCAGGCAGGGGAGAGTGGTTCATTAGAGGCACAGAGGCGGGGAACAGTAGAGCCAGTGAGCAGGACACAGGAAGCAGGGTGGAAGGGCCTCCAGGAGGCTAAGATGACACTCAGCTGTGAGGAAATGAGGATCTCAGAGAGGAGCAAGAAGGAGAAACTAACATCTTATCACCATGATGTGCCAGGCATCACGCCGGAAGCGTCATCACTGTTACCTCGCTCGGAACTCACAGTCACCTGCGAGGAGTGAGATTGGGGTTATCATCCCCATTTCACAGATGTGCAAGTTGGGCTTAGTTACAACTAAAAGTTTTTTTGAGTAAGACTGCCAGCGACAGGACCTGGGGTCGGGCTGCTGAGAGAGATGAGGAAGCAGCTGTTACTCTCTTGGACCCAGACCTCCTCTCTCCGTGTTGTTGTTGTTGTTGTTGTTGTTCTGTTATTGTCCCTGGGTGCTTTGAGTTTCATTTGTTTGCTTGTTGGTTGGCTGGTGTGCGTGTGTGTGTGCGTGTGTGTGTGTGTGCACGCGCGCAGGAGTAGGAAAGAGAGGATCTGTTTTGCTTTGCTATGCTTCTTGCCTTAAAGCTGTTCTATAAAATGAGGAAGCTCCTCTCCTAGGACTCCAGCATGAGAGGAGGAAGGGTGTGGTCCTCTCCAGTAGACTGCACCAACTGTCCCAATTCTTCACCCTTTCCTGTCCTCAAAATCACCATGAGACTTGGTAGTTTGCACCAAGAGAGGCAGAGCATCCATCCCCGTCCCAGGTCTGTCCAGATTGGCGATGTGACTTGTCTTGGCCAGTGGGAAGAGGGCAGAAGGGACAGTGAGCCTCAGCTCCCCCAGGCCTCCAGAAGTACTGCGTGTTTCCACTTTCACCACTGCTAAGAGAAGGATATACTCAGGGTCGTCTGCTGGCCCCAGAAAACTGAAAGCTGGGAGCTGGGTGGAGAAGACCTGAGCCCCAACTATAGCTGGGAGGCCAGCCCAGCTTAGATCAGCAGCATTCTGAAACATCCCCTGGTTACAAACCACTGACCTACCCCAAATCCCTCATTTATCAACAGATGCATCTGAAACCCAGGCTGGAGAAATGATCTGCTAGAGCCTTACAACCAGTTAGAAATTGGGTCTCCTGATTTCTAATCCACAGCTTTTTCACCATCCCACCCTATCTCATCAAAGGAATTCCCTGCAGGCTGCAAGAAAAGAGAGGAAATCTGAGATGCCAACCAAGTAAGTAATTACGCAGAATAGATGCAGTCAAAAAGCATGAAAGCAAGATTTAACCTGGATAATCCCTCCATAATTTAGAGTTGATCCGTCTAAACAAGTTCCTGTTGATTTCCCAGGAGGCCCTTTCTTCTTCTGCTGAAGTCACTGGGAGCATCAGAGCTGAATCCATTAACCCCATCATCTTTCAAGGTGTCCATCTTTTGTACCTAAGAAATGTGGCTGACGTTTTTCATTTTTGAATCTGTGTTTTATTACTAGGCTCTATGGTACTCAAAAATAACCGCTTTTTTCCCAAGGGACTTTGCATGTTCTCTGCTTCACACAGATTTCAAGTCAGCCTCAACACTGCCTTAGTAATATCATTGCCTATAAATACTGCTGTCATTTAAAAATTCTTATAATCATGGCATAGTAGGGCTGGAAAAGACCTCAGAGATCCAGTTCCAAAGCCATCATTTTACACAGAAGGACACTGAGGCACAAGGAAGGTAATTGATCTTCCCCCAGTTACAGAGCTGGTTATTGGCAGAGCAATCAGTACTATGAGTGAGATTTGCAGAATCATGCTAGAAATACAAAATAAGCTCAAGTGTCTAAGGGAGTCACTGAAAATGGGTCACTCCATATTTGTTTTGGGGTTTTTTTGGTTGTTTGAGATGGAGTCTCACCCTATCGCCCAGGCTGGAGTGCAGTGGTACGATCTCGGCTCACTGCAGCCTCCGCCTCCTGGGTTCAAGCGATTCTCCTGCCTCAGCCTCTCAAGTAGTTGAGATTACAGGTGCCCACCACCATGCCCAGCTATTTTTTCTATTTTTAGTAACAACGGGTTTTCACCATCTTGGCCAGGCTGGTCTCGAATTCCTGACCTCAGGTGATCCACCCGCCTCAGCTTCCCAAAGTGCTAGGATTACAGATGTGAGCCACCACGCCCGACCCCTTATTTGTTAAGATGCCTGATGCCAGGACTCATGCCCCAAGTCTGGGCAGAGATTGAATAACAAAAGAAAATGGCCCTGCCTGGGAAGAAACTGAGACCTCCTTGAAGAGCCAGCAGGTTGCCAGGGCTACTGGCACCTCAGATGCTAGCCTGACCCCAGGATGGCTGAGCACACATACCCCTTCCATCAGACGTGGAAGCCAAGCACCACTGGAAGGGTGAGGGCACTGCTGATGATGTGCTGGAGCCAGCCTGTGCCAACAGCTCAGAACCAAAAGCTTCATTTTGTGTGCCAGCTGTTAAACTGCTGAGAGCTTGAAATCATGGTGGGTGTATTTAGACCATGGGGTGCTATGCCCCCATCAGGGAGTCATGGCCTGCCCTAAAATTAAGAAGAGCCATCCCCACAGACAGGGATACTCAGAGAGGGAAAAACAGAATTAGCAAGGAAAAAAGAGCTCCTACCCAGATCCTTGGCAGCAAGAGCCCCATGGGCTGCATCCCTGTATGATGAGTACCCGACTCACATGTGCCTAATGTGATCTCTACAAACTACTTCTCTGTCTAAATCTTCTGCCTAAAATCACAGTATCCTGATTCTTGCTGCCCACACCTGTCCCCTGTTTTCAGCCCTGGACCCGCCTAACACTGTGTCCTATGAGTCCTCCACAGATTGGCCAAGTTTGGGCAACAGCAAGAAAACCAACCTGTTTTCTCCTTTCCTAACCTGAGCTGAAAAAATCAACAGCTGGGCGAGGTGCAGTGGCTCACACCTGTAATCCTAGCACTTTGGGAGGCTGAGGCAGGTGGATCACTTGAGGTCAGCAGTTCAAGGCCAGCCTGGCCAATATGGTGAGATCCCCACCATCTCTACTAAAAATACAATAATTAGATATGGTGGTGTGCGCCTGTGGTCCCAGCTACTTGGGAGGCTAAGGCAGGAGAATCGTTTGAACCTGGGGAGTGGAGGTTGCAGTGGGCCAAGATTGCACCATTGCACTCCAGCCTGGGCAACAGAGCAAGACTCTGCCTCAAAAAAAAAAAAAAAAGTTAACAAGTTAACAGCTGCATCCCAGGGACTAAGAGCTCCAGGGCTCCAGCTAACTCATGAAGAAACAGAACTATAAGTATCCAAGGGCCACCGTGGATCCAGGCCCATCGCCTTTCCATGGAGAAAGGATCCAATGTTTACTGGAAAACACATGTGCAGGAACAGCTGCCCTGACCCAGAAAAGCAAGATTCTGACAAAGGACACTACTGTGTGATCAGTTTAGGGGAGCCACATGACCTTCAGTGGGTCAAGTTTTCCCATCCATACCAAGCCACCTCTGCAGAACTAACTGCACAAAGACACCAACCAGTCTATAGCAGAGCCTCGGTCTGTCCTAGATGAGGGCCCACACCTGCCCTCGAGGACCAGTTCCAGCAATGAGGACCTCAGCGACCCATGTGGCATGGGCTGGCCTGAGGCAAGGGCTTTGCAATTTTACTGTCTGATCTCTTGGTAATACATGTTTCCTTTAGGCAGAAAGCCATTCTGGCCCAAGCCTTCAAATTCTGGCCTTGTCTAAAGAATTTTCCTCTTTATCTTTTCCACCTATGGAAGACAGAGCCACTGCAGAGGCATTCAATCAGCCCCCAGCTGACCGCATTTAAAAATAAATCTCAGATGGTTAGCA
The DNA here is from genome assembly GCF_000001405.40 of Homo sapiens. Taxonomy (NCBI): domain Eukaryota; kingdom Metazoa; phylum Chordata; class Mammalia; order Primates; family Hominidae; genus Homo; species Homo sapiens. The sequence goes on along the minus strand of NC_000007.14, from coordinate 141,154,100 downwards.
AAAGTAAATAGAAATGGGAAAGTTGCCCACCTTGCTTATGTAGCCCCAATGCCTAGAAAGTGTCAGGTACAGAACAGCACTGAATAAATATTCATCAAGACTTCAAAATGAGTAAAAGAATTGATTTTTTTAAATGAAGGTGTCTATATCACCCTGCATAGAACCAAAAGTAAAAACAATAAGGCCAAAGATTGGTAGATTTGATTACCTAGAAATTTAAAACTTCTGTATGTTAAAGATATGATAAAAATGAAAGTACATGATAAATGGAAAAATATCTGTAACATAGGACAAAATGCTTATGTCTTATATAAAGAGCTCATCCAAATCAATATGAAAAAGATAAACATTCTAATAAAATAAAGGCAATTCACAGAAAAACAAGTGACCAATACATATAAAAAGTGTCCATTGTCATTTAAAAAGGTATTTTTCACATGAGAAAATTTACAAAGTTTAAAAATAATGAAATACTCACTGTCAGCAGAGTTGTGAAGAATGAATATTATCATACTCTGCTAGTGGGAAAGTAAATTAGTGTAAATCTTCAGGAAAACGTTTTTGCAATAATACCAAAAGCTTTTAAATGTACATGCCTTTTGATGCAGAAATAGCACTAATAGAATTTATCCTCAAGCAGTCTATTTGCAAAGATGCCTGAACAAAGTTGCTTACCATGGCATTATTTATAACAACAAAATTTATAAGCAAACTAAAGTTCCAACAAAAGGGAGAGATTTTTAAAAGTAAATTATGGATTCTGAGATAATGAAATACTTTGCAGCCACTAAAAATCGAGGTGTTGAAAAAATCTTCAACGTTGGAAAATGTTCAAAATATATTGCAGAGATGGGGGAAAGCAGTCTATAAATCAGCACTTTCACAAATCCATTTGTTTAAAAAAAATACACATGTGGGTACATGGAAAAAATATTAACAGTTGCTATCTGTGAATAGAGAAACTATAGACAATCTGGCTTTTTTATGTTTTGCAAATTTTCACCGAAAGCATGTGTCTTTCATCTGAAAGAAGAACAGTTAAGTGTTCAGGCCTTGGTTTAATTTTTGGTTCCACGATTTATCAGCCATGTGACTTAAGACAAAATATCTACTTTCTCTGCACCTCCTTTTCACCATCTGTTGAAAAAAGGATTCTGGTACTATCTCCTAGAATTAAATAAAATAATCTCTGTGAAGTGCTTAGCACAATTCCTGGCACATAGTAAATGTCTAGTAAATGTTAGCTACTGCTATTAGAGAAAATGAATAGTAACTATTATTTAAAAAGAGAAATGAACGTATTTTGAGATTTGGCCTTGGCCTCCACGGGGGTCTAATAGAGTCTACCTAACTGCCTGTCCAGTGGAAAGGCCAGCTGTGTCCAAGGGGAGAAGCAGCCCCTCGGGTTGGAGGCCCCCCACTGAACCACTGGACGAGAGAGCCCACTTTCCACCTCCCAATTCCCTGCTAATGTTCTTGCTCCTGAGTCCACAATGCTATCTCAGAAAAAAACTTTAACTTCAAAACCCTCCTAAGTATCCCAGTCAGGACAAAGCTTGGTCTCTTGATGTAGAAGTGACAGAGGGTCACACTCTGCCCTCAAGTTCCAGGACTCGCAGAAACCTGGAGTCTATAAATGAGCATCAGGAAGCAAAAAGAGGTGATCACTGTCTTTGAGGTGACCCCAATTTTGTGAAGTCTGGAAGCCACACCAGCATGACATTTCAGAACTCTGAGGCCCTTCCTCCCAGAGACGGTGCCCACCAGTCCTGAGCCACCAAGAAGGGCCTCCCTGCAGAGAGCAACCCACGCTGGGCTGGAGGCCGAAAAGCCCGGCTGCTGCAAGAGCGCTCTATGCCTGTTCCCAGGGCCAAGAGTCTTTCCCAGCCTCCTAGTGTGGGGCTCAGTCAGCCTGCATCCCATCCTGAATGCTGACTTTGGTCTCCTGGCTTGGGAGTTTTTTATCCACATGTGCTCCAGGGAGGCAGCTGCCACAGGCTTCCTCCAATCCTGCACAGTGCCATGCCTCTCAGCATAGGGCAACTCACTGGCCACTGAGCCCCCTCTCTCCCTACGAGTCACAGAGACAGGGAAGTCCTCTGTGGATCTTAGCTTACTGCCCCCACTGTAGCACACTGTCCAATGGCTGTGACGTCACGTGTCAGGCTGCACCCGTGAATCCTGGCTGCAGCATCCATGCTGTGGAGCCCACAGGACACAGTGTGGCCAGAAGGGACCTGAGAGGTGAGGGGCACCCCCCCTGTAGCTGACTCACACCCCCTACATGTGGCTGAGTCTTGAATCTGGTACAATGAGACAATGTCCTAGAGTAGCCCTGCCTGTTAAGACCTATTTGGCAGGAAGGAGGGGTGTCTTTCAAGATCACACAGATTAAAATCATGATGGCGTGGGTTCACATGGCCTTCCCCTCCCACTGAGGTCCTGATTCTCCTTGTGCAGAGAGAGAACTATATCTCCACAGGGACTTTCACCATCAATCCTCCCGATGCTAATTGCCAGCCCAGTCAGGGACTCCGTCTGACCACAGGATCCACCGAGCCCATCCTACAATCTGGACCTAGCCCCTGCCTTAGAGTCAGGTGAGGGACTCATGGAAAATAGGCAACCTGGTGGAAAGAATATAAACTTGAGAGTCAGACTCAGCTGGTGCCTCATCCACCCCTTTCCAGCTGTGTAATCCTGGCCAAGCCACTTATCCTTTACAAGACCCAGTTTCTTTAGCTGTGGAATGAAGAAGAATAATCCCCACCACACAGGGTTGTGGTGAGGTCTAAATAAGATAATGAATATAAAGTACATGAGACCTGGTGAGAGGTCAATCAATGGCAGCCATTATTATTGTTAACCACATTTTCTATCTCCACGGCCATTTCTAGCACACAGGGATGCTGTACACTCAACAATAAACGCCAAGGGGAGAGTCAGTGACAGTATTTTGAGTGTTCGTCCCATTTTCCTCTGTGTCCTTCATCTACCACCCTGCCAGGCATATTGTAGAGAGCAGACCCTTAAATATTTGTTGAAGGAATAATTAAATGAATGACATTTGGTCTCTGAGATGTACCTTCTGTATTTTATCATTTCATGAATGATGTATTATTTCGTGACCTTTTGGATTTTCATTTAATCATGCATCTAGATTAAATCCTGATTTATTTCCATGACCCTGAACAGTATAGCTCTTTTCTTCCATATTATCCTGCTTATCTGGATACAAGGTCTACACCAAGTGTATCCCTTTGTGTAATCAACCACCCCAAAAGTATGTGACTTAAAACAACCACAATCTATTTATTTCTTCCAGTCTTGTCGGCTGACTAGGCAGTTCTGCTGGTCTCACTTGGACTCACTCATTTGGTTGCAGTCAGACAGCAGCTGAAATGACTGGCCCAAAATGGCCTCAGCCCCAGCTGTCAGCTGGACCTCTCTCTCATCCTAGAGAAGTCCAGCCCAGGCTTCATTCCATGACAGCAGGGGTGAGCCAAGAAGCCAAAGGCAGAAGCTGAAAGACCTCTGGAGCCTGGGCTTGAAACTAGCTCAACGTCCCTTCTGCCACTTTCATGGGTCAAGGGAAGTCCCAAGACCAGTACAACTGTTTCTTTGTTGGGGAGGACTTCGGAGGAAAGAACAGACTCTACCCACTGATAGAAAGAGCTTCAAAATATTTTGGTCCAGTTTTCAACCCAGTTAAAGTAAAAGAAACATACATATAACTGAGCCCATGTAGCTGTGGGGGAAAAATTGCATCCTGACTTGGACCTACAAAAAGTCAAGAATATCCGACATTGGAAAATACTTTTTTCCAAACTAGGATGTTTCAAGGCCGTTCAGGGTTGTCTGAAACTTCCTCTCCCTGGGTGACTTCATTTACTGTCATTATTTCAATGCCATCTATATGCTAATGACCCTCAAATTTATACCTCTGGCTCAGCTTCTGACTCACATATTCAACTCTTGATTTTCCTCCCCAAATCTGCTCCATCCATAGTCTTTCCAACCCCGCTAAAGAGACTCCTCAGCCACTCGAGTGCTCAGGCCACAAATGTAGTTTGTCCTCAGTTGCTCTCTTTCCTTCACCTCCCACTTTCCACCCATCAACAAATCCTGTCAGCTCTACCCCCAGGCCACCTCTCCCCATCTCCACTGCTGCATCAGTTTCTAGGGTTGTCATAACAAACTACCACAAACCAGGCAGCTAAAAACAACAGAAATGTATTGTCACATAGTTCTAGAGCCAGAAGGACAAAATCGAGACGTTGGCAGAGCCATGTTCTCTCCATAACCCGCAGGGCGGAACCCTTCCTTGTCTCTTCCCAGCTTCTGGTGGTGGCCTTGGTGGCTCTTAGCTTGCAGTTGCATCGCTCCCTTCTCTGCCTCAGTCATCATAAGGCGTTCTCCCCAGGGGTCTCTGTATCTGAGTCCAAATTTCCCTCTGCTTATAAGGACACAAATCACATTACGTTAGGCCCATGCTAATCCAGTATGACCTCATCTTAACTTACATCTGTAAAGGACCTGTTGTTGTTGTTGTTGTTGTTGCTGTTGTTGTTGTTACCCAGGCTGGAGTGCAGTGGCACGATCTCGGCTCACTGCAACCTCCACCTCAAGTGTTCAAACAATTCTTCTGCCTCAGCCTCCTGAGTAGCTGGAATTACAAGCGTACACCACCATGCTCCACTAATTTTTGTATTTTTTTTAGTAGAGATGGGGTTTTCCCATGAGCTTGAACTCCTGAGCTCAAGCAATCCACCCACCTTGGCCTTCCAAAGTGCTAAGATTACAGGCCTGAGCCACTGCACCTGGCCTAAAGGCCCTATTTCTAAATAAGGTCACATTCACAGGTGCCAGGGGTCAGGGCTTCAACATATATTTTTGGAGGATAACATCTACTGAAATCTAGTCCAACCCAACATCATCTCTTACTGCAGTCTTCTCTTTTACTAGTCTCCCTGTTCCACTCTTGACCCCTCCTACAACAAAACCTTAGCACAAAATCTGAACTCCTTACCTGGCATTCAAAGCCCAAAGCCATGATCCTCACAGCCTCTCCCAACCTAACTCCCTACTGCCCTCCACTTCATCTTCATGCCACAGCCACATAGAGCTCCTCTCCATCTCTGACAAGCTAAGGACCACCCAAGTGAGGGCCTTTTCACTAGTAGTTCCCTGTGCCTGGGATGCCACCCCCAAGATTCAAATGACCCACTCTTCTTGTCATTCAGCCACAGGCTTAGACATCACGTCTTCAGAAATCTTCCCAGAGATCTTCTCACACCTTTCTTAATTCGATTCCTTACATGGCACTTAGAACCATGTGACTGATTGATTGCCCGTCACCCTCAGTAGGATATGAGCAGGGACTGTACCTCCATCACTGCTCTATTCTCTGCACCAAGAATAGTGCCTGGCACACAATAAATGCTCAATAAATATTTGTTGAATAAATAAACTGCTTCTTGATTTTCAAGTCCAATAGGCATTTTTCAATCTTTGTCCTGCAGAACCTATCGCATTTGACAGGAACAATCACTCCCTCTTCTTGAAATTCTTGACCATCTCCTCCCATCCCTGACCAATCTCCAGGCCATGGTTTCCTGGCTCCTCTAACTATAACTTCCCTGCCTACTTTGCACACTCTTCTTCCTCTGTCTGTGCCTTTAATGTCTGTAAACCTTGGGGTTCTGTTTTAGGTCCTTGTGGTAGACAGAATAATGCTCCTCTAAAGATGTTCACATCCTAATCGCTGGAACCTGTGAGTATGTTACCTTGCATGGCTGAGGGTCTGTGATGAGGAAATAATCCTGAATTATCTAGGTAGGCCCAATGTAATCTCAAAGGTCCTTGTAAAAGAGAGGCAAGAAGGTTAAAGTTGGAGAAGATGATGGACAATAGAAACAGTGGTTGGAGTGATATGGGGCCATGAGCCAAGGAATGTGGGCAGCCTCTGGAAGCTGAAAAAGGCAGGGAATGGGCTCTCCCCTAGAGCCTCCAGAAGGGACACAGCTCTGCTCGCACCCTGATTTTAGCCCCCTAGGACCCATTTCAGCCTTTGGATATCTGGTACTATAAGATAATAAATTTGTGCTGTTTTAAGCCACTAGGTTTGTGGCAGTTTGTTACAGCAGCACAGAAACCTAACGCTGTTCTCTTCTTCTCCCCTGTACATGTTCTCTTTGGGCAACTTTATCTTCATCCCTAGCTTCAATTGCCATCTATAAGTGGATATTTCTCTCTAAAGTTCAGACTTCTACATCCAACAGCTTAACATCTTTAACTGGATGTCCTGTGGGTACCCCAAACTCAATACATCCTCAGCTCAATCCCTCTCCCACTCCCCCACAACCTGTCTCTCTCGCTGTGTTCTCTGTCTCAGCTGATGGCAGCGTGGTGTGCCCATTCTCCCACGTGGGGCTCCTTAGGGACTTCCTTTCCTTCTCCCCAATGTGCAATTAATCTCCAAGTCCTGCTCTTTAGATTGCATATGCTCACCCCTCCTCTCCATTGCTTCCATCACAACCCTCTTCATCGCTTGCCTTGATTTCCACAATAGCCTTCCCTCTGGCCACCAGCCTCCATCCTTGAACTCCTGGAGTCCATCCTCCATGTGGCATTTTTCTTTTTAAAATGCAAAAATCTTAACACATCCCTCCTTTCATAGATTCCTCTGAGATAAAAGTCAAGTTGCTAAACACGGCTTACAAGGCTCTCCTTGCCTGCCTCCCACCCCTACCACCCAGCCTCACCACCACCCAGCCTCACCTCCTCTGCACCACAGCCCCTGCTTCCACTACCCCAAATGCACTCCTCTATTAGAACACAGGAGGGAGGGAAGGAGAAAGGGAAGGAGAAAGGGAAGGAGGGACGGAGGGAGGGAAGGGGAGGAAAGAAGAAAGGTTGGTTTTACTACCAATCTTTCCTTCACTCACTATGCTTCTCCAAAACCCTCATTTGACTAATTTCCAATTCAAGGGGAGTAGCAGCACCCCTCCATATAAGACACCTGCACATGTAGATATCCACTCTTATACATTCTCATTACTAAAGACACAACCAAAAATGCAAAATCATGCTCCAAGATGCAAATGCATGTAATAGTCATTCTCTTATAGATATGTCCACCCATAGAAATACACAGATACAGAAGACACAGACAGATGGTGATCCAGCTGCAAGCGCCTTCCCATAACTAACCTTAAAATCCTCATGCGCAGACACAGCCTGAAGATACAAACCTCCATGCTTCTGCGGCTTAGGGAGCAGGAGAAGGGGTGGGAAAGGATGGTAGAAGGATTATGGGTAAATGGGAGAAAGGAAGAATGACCATGGAAGAGCTAACTGGGATATATTCATTCACCAACATTCACTAAGCCCCAGTGACAGGCCAAACGCCATGCTGCTACACAATAAGGCTATGAAGATCCTTAGTAGTACTGATAATAATAGTAATAGCAGCCAATGATAGTGGTTGTTATATAGCAGACACTAAGTGTTGTGCTTGTACTAACTCTTTTAATCCTCATAGTAATCTCATGATAGATACTATAATTACACTCTGTATATACATGATGTAACAAGGTGCAGGAAAGTTAGGTAATATATCCAACATCACTTAGCTAAAAAGTGGCAGAACTTGGATTCCTACCCAGGCTATCAGAGTCCAGGGTCTGTGCTGTTATCCACCTTGCAATACAAGACCCTGCCCAAGAGTAATTCGCAGGCCACTAGGCACTCACATCCTGAAGTTGGGGATTGGATGTCTTCTTCCTCCAGGAAAGCAGCATGGAATAGAAGGAAGTAACAGGCCCTCTGGGGATGGACACCAGCCTTAAAGTCAAGTGGACTTGCACCCAATCCTAACTCTGTACTCAAATCCTGGCTCTACACCCAAATCCTAGCTCTGCCACCCACTTGTGGAAACCTTAGCAAGTTACTTCACCTCTCTTGAGTGTCAGTTTCCTCATCTGTAAGTGAGGGTATTAACACCTACTTTGCCGAGCTTTATTAGGATTAAATGGATAGAGGATATAAAAGTATTGAACACAGTGCTCAGCATATAGTAAGCACTCAACAAATAAGAAATCCCTTCCCCTTGTTACTCCAACAAATAGTTACCCTTCAGCTCCCTGAACCTAATGCTTTCCAGAAGCATTAGATGAACAATTGCAAACTACAGCCCTCTGGCATGTATAGTGTTTGGCCAGCAAAGTATTTTAAAAGGCTTAGTAACTGGGCAGGAGCCCTAATTTAGGCCACAAGACAAGCAGCTCAGCACGTAGCAGCTCTTGCAATTGCAGATGGCCACCCCCAGCCCCTGAAGGCAATTCAGTTCTCAACAGCTGCATCAGCATTAAGGGGGCCTAAAACTATCTACTTCAGATCTACGGAATCAGACTTTCCCAGGAAGGGGCCCTGAACTCTGCTGGTGATATTCTTGTACACGTTCATGTGTGAGAGCCACTGAATTAAAGAGTAAAAGAGACACTTTGTGTTTTCCAGCAAGATGCCTGGCTCAGGGGTGAATACACTGAGCCATGATGCTGGCAGGTTTGGAAGCTTCTTTTATAGGAGACAGGAAATAAACAAAGGCCATCTTTCTGTTCCTAGAAAGAAGGAGCCCTCTTAAAATAGAGTTTCCAGGAATTTTTCCAGGGGAAGTCACTGGGTCTTCCTTGTCCAGATTTCAGAAGCCAGAAAAGCTAGGCACAACAGGGTTAGCTCTACCACGCCTGGGCCTTGAGGGAAGAGGTGGATCTGAGGCCAAAGAGAGCAGTTCCTGGAGGACAGAACCCCTGGGTGGAGTGGCAGAGTCAGGAGGCTAACAGTCCTCTTCAAGCCCTCCTCAGGAGCCAGGGACTGACCGAGGGCAGCAGCATGGCCCAAGGCCTGAGGGAGCAGAGCCAAGGGGCAACCGAGGGTCCACCAGGCCTGGTAGGATGTAGGTATTTATGCTGCACAGGAACAGAGCTTTGAGTCACAGGCCTGGGGCAAGTCTTGCCGACTGACTCAGTATGCAACCAAAAGTGACCTTAGAATAATTTCCTCAGAAAAGTAATTATGCCAGAGCTAAAGGTCAGATAGCAACTAAAGACTCCAACATCAGACTCAGCATTTCCCCTCAACCTAGAGCTAGGATGACATGACCATCCTCCCCACCCAAGTTGGAGCCCCTGCAGCCTCAGCCACCCTGAGCCTGGTCAGTGAAAAAAAGCAACGTCGGTGTTGTGGGCCAACTGAGAATTCAGCCTCGGGTCTGGCTTGCAGGGTCCAGTCCTGGCATTGTGCCCTTCACTCTTGCTCCCACCTTGAACTGCATGTCTGGGAAAGGAGCTCCTACCTCCTTTGTGCCCAAATCTCTGAGCCCAGCTTACCCTACCTCTGCCCCCATCCTTAAATAAAGGACTATTCCTGTGTCCCTTGCCTGAATTTAGAGTCCTGCTCTCTGCAAGCCAGTATCCTTTAGAAACACTTCCGACCCCCAGTGCTCAGGCCTCCCAGCATCGTTTGTGTCTGGGTTCAGCACTGTAAGGAGAGCACTCCATCAGCCCCATCCAGCCCTCTGTGCTCTACCATGTCACATCTCTAGCTTTGTTCCAAAATGTTACCTTCAACAGAGAAAAAATAATTAGCACATTTATTGAGCCTCTATTTGTACTTCTTTGCCCTCAGCTATTCTTTTTATTTTATTTTTGGCATAAGAAAAAACTTTAGTCTTTATTATACCTAACAGCAAATAAAATAAAATAAATACCAGCCAGATATCTCACCTACAGAAAGCAATACTCAGCTAGAATTCACAGATACCTTTTCTGATCATAAAGCTTAATTAACAAGTTATGGAAGCCCTAACCAGAGCCATCAGGAAAGAGAAAGAAATAAAAGGCATCCAAATAGGAAAAGAAGGAGTCAAATTGTCTTTACTGACGCTATGATTCTATACCTAGAAAATCCTAAGATTCTGCCAAAAGGCTCCTGGAACTGCTAAACAAGTGTAGTAAACTTTCAGGATACAAAATCAATGTATAAAAATCCATGTCATTTCTAGACACCAATAACATTCAAGCTGAGAGCCAAATCAAGAACGCAATCCCATTTACAATAGCTGCAAAAATAAAATTTAAAAAAATCTAGGAATACATCTAACCAAAGAGATGAAAGATCTCTACAAGGAGAACTATAAAACACTGCTGAAATAAATCATAGGTGACACAAACAAATGGAAAAACATTACATGCCCATGAACTGGAAGAATCAATATTGTTAAAATGGCCATACTTCCTAAAGCAATCTATAGATTTAATGCTATTCCTATCAAGATACCAAAGTCATTTTTCGCAGACTAGAAAAAAACTATTATAACATTTATATGGACCCAAAAAAAAGTATGAATAGCCAAAGCAATCCTAAGCAAAAGAACAAAGCCAGAGGCATCACATTACCTGACTTTAAACTATATTATAAGCCTACAGCAACCAAAACAGCATGGTACCAGTACAAAATCAGACACACAGACCAAGGGAACAGAATAGAGAAACCAGAAATAGAGCCACACACCTACAACCATCTGATCTTTGACAAAGTCAACAAAAATAAGCAATGGGGAAAGGACTCCTGGTTCAATAAGTGGTGCTGGGATAGCTGGCTAGCCATAGGCAGAAAAATAAAACTGGACCACTACCTTTCACCGTATACAAAAAATTACCTCAATATAGATGAAAGATTTAAATGTAAGACTTCAAATTATGAAAATTCTAGAAGAAAACCTAGAAAACACCATTCTGGACATTGGCCTTGAGAAAGAATGTATGACTAAGTCCTCAAAAGCAATTGCTACAAAAACAAATATTCACAAGTGGGACCTAATTAAACTAAAAAGCTTCTGCACAGCAAAATAAACTATCAACGGTGTAAACAACCTACAGAATGGAAGAATATTTGCAAACTATGCATCCAACAAATGTCTAAAATCGAAAATCTATAAGGAACTTAATTCATCAAGCAAAAAACAAATAATCCCATTTTAAAATAGGCAAAAAACATAAACAGACACTTCTCAAAAAGAGACATATTTGCAGCCAACAAACAAACATGAAAAAATGCTCCACATAACTAATCATCAAAGAAATGCAAATCAAAACCACAATGAGATGCTATCTCACACCACTCAGAATGGCTACTATTAAAAAGTCAAAAAGCAACAGATGCTGGAGAGGCTGCAGAGAAAAGACAATGCTTATACATTATTGGTGGGAATATAAATTAGTTCAGCCACTGTGGAAAGCAATTCGGAGATTTCTCAAAGAACTTAAAAGAGAGCTACCATTTGACCTAGCAATCCCATTACTGGGAATACATCCAAATGAAAATAAATTGTTCGGCCGGGGGTGGTGGCTCACGCCTGTAATCCCAGCACTTTGGGAGGCTGAGGCGGGTGGATCATGAGGTCAGGAGATCGAGACCATCCTGGCTAACACAGTGAAACCCCATCTCTACTAAAAATACAAAAAATTAGCTAGGCATGGTGGTGGGCACCTGTAGTCCTAGCTACTTGAGAGGCTGAGGTAGGACAATGGCATGAACCTGGGAGGCAGAGCTTGCAGCGAGCAGAGAATGCACCACTGCACTCCAGCCTGGGTGACAGAGCGAGACTCCATCTCAAAAAAAAAAAAAAGAAAGAAAAGAAAAAAGAAAATAAATTGTTCTACCAAAATACACATGTACTTATATGTTCCTCACAGCACTATTCACAATAGCAAGACATGGAATCAGTCCAGATGCCCAACAGCAGTGGATTGGATGAAGAAAATGTGGTACATATATGCCACGGAATACTATGCAGCCATGAAAAAGCTGAAATTGTGTCCTTTGCAGCAACATGGATACAGCTGGGGGCCATTATCCTAAGCAAATTAATGTAGGAATAGAAAACCAAACACTGCATGTTCTCACTTATAAGTGGGTGCTAAACACTGGGTACTCATGGACATAAGGATGGCAACAATAGACATTGGAGACAGGGTGGAATAATTATTGGATACTATGCTCAGTAACTGGGTGACAGGATCAATCATACCCCAAACCTTAGAATCACACAATATGCCCAGGTAACAAACCTGTACATGTACCCCCTGAATCTAAAATAGAAGTTGAAATTATTTTTTAAGTTGCCTAGCGAATTAGAATATAAACATCAACACAATTAATGAACTTGTTAAGTACTGTATACATAAATGGAATCCTCAATTTCATACATTCAGCTTTTTTTAATCAGTCTAACTTTTCTTTAATACTTTATGCACTGAAACCCATAAAGTTTAAACCATGGCTCATATGTTAAACTTGGGCATTAATTCATCAGGTGTTGAATGAACATTGCAAGCTCTGTCATGAAAGTTCTGCTTCCTGGCCAGGTTTCATTCATTTCTTCCTTCAACAAATGTTGATTGAGGGCCAGCTATGTATTAGGCACTGTGGGTGAAACATAGCACCTGAACTCATGGAGCTGACAATATATGTGGGGAGACAGATAATAAATAGGAAAGCAAATGAATCATAACATACTGTATAATTTAAGCTATGGATGAAAGAATCAGGGTACTATAATAAAAAACAAATGAGGAACACACCAGTAGCCATGGGCATACCTGGCACCCAGATCTCAGTTTCTAAAGCCATTCTCCAATAAAAGGAGCCAGGGCTCCTTGGAAAAATGGCTGATTCCAAGACTGGGGCAGGAAAAATACAAGATGATTCTAGAGTATCTTGTACTGCCAGAAAGTAAGAAGATGAAAAAAAAAATTGATGGGGCAAAGTCAAAGAAACGCAGGAACCATCTGGAAGAGCTACCAAAGGCCAAGGTTGGAACAATTGGAGCAACAAAATAAGCAAGGTAGTACTGAATTATAACCTAAAGTGTAAAATAAATATTCATGAGTTGATACTGATATGAATAAATGATTGAATATATTAATAAATGGAGAAGAAATAAATTTGTTATGCAGAAAAATACCAAACAATTTATATAGATACTGCATCCTAAAGGAGGGGAAGTGTAACTCCCAACTCCTTAGGGTGGGCTGTGTCTAGTGACCTCCTTCGAAAGAGTACAGTAGGAAAAGAGGGAAAAATAAATAACTTCACAGTAGAAAAATCTGACAAACACTACCCCATTCAGGTGATCAAAATCAACGTCAACATTCATAAATCACATTGATAGCATGCACCCTTGATACACAGTGATGAAAATGGCACTTCGCCTCTGTGGTCTTCCTCTCAAATACCCATAACTCAGTCTAATTATGAGAAAAACATCAGACAAGTTCCAGTAGAGGAGCATCTGACAATATCCCTGACCAGTACTCCTCAAAACCGTCAAAGTCACCAAAAACAAATTCTGAGAAACTGTCACAGCCAAGAGGAGCCCAAGGATACATGAGAAATAAATCTAATATGGAGTCCTGGATGGGATCCTGGTACAGAAAAAGGACATCTGGTAAAAACTAAGCAAATCTGAATAAACTATGAACTTGCATTAATACTGATATAACATTGGCTCATTAATAGAAAGAAATGCACCACACTAATGTAAGATGTTAAAAATAGGAACTATGGGCAGGATTTGTAAGAACTCTCTATACTGTCTGCTCAGTTTTTCTGTAAATACAAAACTGTTCTAAAAAATAAAGTCTATTAGTAAAAATAAGTATATAAATGGAGAGAGGAGTCTAATTTAAACAGGGTGTTCTAAGAAAGCCCCACTGAGGAGTTAACTTTAAGCCTGCACTTGAAGGTCTGAGTCGTGTAAGGAGAGGAGAAAGTTCAGATCTTCGGAAACAGTTCATGCAAAGGCCCTCTGGCAGGAAGGACCTTGGCAGATCTGAGGAATGGAGAGAATGTCCAGATGCCTGAAGTGCCATAAACAAGAGGTGGAGCAGAGGGAAATAAGGCTGAGGGGGTATGCAAGCGCCAGACGCTCAAGACCTTGATGCTACAGGCTATAGTAAGGAGAAGAACCTCTGGCCGGGTGCAGTGGCTCGTGCCTGTAATCCCAGCACTCTGGGGGACTGAGGTGGGCAGATGACCTGAAGTCGGGAGTTCAAGACCAGCCTGGCCAACACGGTGAAACTCTGTCTCTACTAAAAATACAAAAATTAGCTGGGTGTGGTGGTGGCCACCTGTAATCCCAGCTACTTGGGAGGCTGAGGCAGGAGAATCGCTTGAATCCAAAAGGTGAAGGTTGCAGTGACCCAAGATCACACCACTGCACTCCAACCTAGACAACAAGAGTGAGAGACTCTGTCTCAAAAAAAAAAAAAACTTCATTCTAAGTTCACCAAGAAGTAACAGGAGTTTAGTTTCTCAGTACAGCCATCTTATTTAGCAGAGCAATGTTTGTGCAACTATGGAAATTACAATCATTCATTTCATAAAAGCAAATGGGGGCTCAAGTGTGGCAGCTCATCCCTGTAGTCCCAGCACTTTGGGAGGCCAAGGCAGACGATCGCTTGAGCCCAGGAGTTCAAGACCAGCCTGGTCAACATGGCAAAACCTTGTCTCTACAAAAAATTAGGCAGGCATGGTGGCATGTCCCTGTAGTCCCAGCTACTCAGGGGCTGAGGTGGGAAGATCTCTTGAGCCCAGAAGGGTGAGGCTGCTGTGAGCCATGATTATGTCACTGAACTCCAGCTTGGGCAAAACAGCGAGACTCTGCCTAAAAAAATTTTTTAAAGTGAATGGGAAATGAAATATTGAAGATAAAAATTGTAAGTCTCGTAAACACATTTGAGCAAAGATGGAAACCATTAGGCAGGCCGAGAAGGTAAAAAGATAGGTGAAACCAAACTCATCTTTGCATATTCATTGTATTTCAGCTGACTGCGTGATTAATGGCGAAAGAAAAGAACAAACTTTAAAAATGTCTTTTAAATGTTGAGGTGATTTCATTGAAGATTATGTCTAAAAGATAAAGTTTAACTTTGGCGTCCATAATTTTTTATATCTCTGAGAAAAAACCCTCCTGAAAACATGTAAGTCATTTTTGTACATGATTTTAGGAATAAAAAGAAAGTGGGGAACCACTTTTTTTTTCTTTTTTTTTTTGACATGGAGTCTCACTGTGTTGCCCAGGCTGGACTGCGGTGGCGCGATCTCAGCTCACTGCAAGCTCTGCCTCCCGGGTTCACACCATTCTCCTGCCTCAGCCTCCCGAGTAGCTGGGATTACAGGCACGTGCCACCACACCCGGCTAATTTTTTGTATTTTTTTAGTAGAGACAGGGTTTCACCATGTTAGCCAGGATGGTCTCGGTCTCCTGACCTCGTGATCCACCCGCCTCAGCCTCCCAAAGTGCTGGGATTACAGGCGTGAGCCACCCCGCCCGGCCACCACTTTTATACTTTCAACCTGTAAGTCTTATCTTTAACAGCTTGACTGAATTTTGAAACAGGTTTTTTTTTTCAGTGCCTTCCCTACTGCTTCCCAAGTCCAGCATTAAGTTCACATTCACCTCCCAAAACATGAGATGATTAAACTCCCCATCCATACCCACACACACCTCCACCCCCACCCTCAGAAGGCAAGGCCCTGGGATGAAACCACCTGGGCCATCTTCTCTCTTCTGGGGTCTTGCTTCTCCAGACCTTACAAAGGAACTGGCAATAAAATCTGTTAAACTAATTCTCCATAAGGACCCATAGGACTCTCCCTTAAAATTTTGAATTTTAGGCCGGGCGCAGTGGCTCATGCCTGTAATCCCAGCACTTTGGGAGGCCGAGATGGGTGGATCACGAGGTCAGGAGATCGAGACCATCCTGGCTAACATGGTGAAACCCCATCTCTACTAAAAATACAAAAAATTAGCCAGGCATGGTGGTGGGTGCCTGTAGTCCCAGCTATTCGGGAGGCTGAGGCAGGACAATGGCGTGAACCCTGGAGGTGGAGCTTGCAGTGAGCCGAGATGGCGCCACTGCACTCCAGCCTGGGCGACTGAGCGAGACTCTGTCTCAAAAAAAAAAAAAAAATTGAATTTTAAAAGAGATCTCATGAAAATAAGAGCACCTTAAGCCAAGAAACAAATCTTTACTAATATGCATTTTAGGAGTTCTGCCAATCTGGTGGGAGATATATTTTGTAGAATGGAAACTTACAGCAGCCCCCTTCCATCATACAACATGGACAACTAAATACTGTGTCAACTCAGAAGTTCCATTTTATTATTAATAACTTCAGTGTATTTTCTCTATTTTCATATCCTTCAAACGATTGTTTTCATTGATACACAATAATTGTACATATCTATGTGGTACCTGTGATATTTGATATATGCATACAATGTGTATGATCACATGAGGGTATTTAGGATATCCATCACCTCAAACAATTATTATTTCTTTGTATTGGAATTATTCAAAATCTTCTCTTCTAGCTATTTTGAAATATACAATAAATTATGGTTAACTATAGCCACCCTATTATATTTTCAAACACTAGAACTTAGCCAGCCTCTCTTCATGCCCCACACATACCCTTCCCAGTCTCTGGTAAATATCATTCTATTCTCAACCTCCATCAGATCAACTTTTTTAGCTCTCATATATGAGAACATGTGATATTTGTCTTCCTGTGCCTGGCTTATTTTGCTTAACATAATGACCTTCGGTTCCATCCACATTGCTGAAAATGACAAGATTTCATTTTCTTTGATGGCTGAATAGTATTTCATTGCATATATATGCCACATTTCCTTTATCTATTCATCTGTTGATGGACACTTCAGTTGATTCCGTATCTTGGCTATTGTGAATAGTGCTGCAATACACATAGGGGTGCAGGTATCCCTTTGATATACTGATTTCTTTTCTTTTGAATAAATACCCAGTAGTTGGATTGCTGGATCATATAGTAGTTCTATTTTAAGTTTTTTTAAAAACCTCCATACTGTTTTCCATAATGGCTATATTAATTTACATTCTCACCAACAGCATATAAGAATTCCCTTTTCTCCACATCCCCCCAACCCAGCATTTGTTATTTTTTGTCTTTTTCATCATAGCCATTCTAACTGGGGTGATATTATATTTCACACACTGTGGCTTTAATTTGCATTTCCCTGATGATTAGTGGTGTTGAGCATCTTTTCATATACCTGTTGACCATTTATTTACATGTCTTCTTTTGAGAAATATGTATTCAGATCCTTTGCCCACTTTTTGTTTTTTTAGAGATGGGTCTCACTCTGTCACCAAGGCTGGAGTACAGTGGTGCAATTACAGCTCATTGCAGCCTTGAACTCCTGGGCTCAAGCAATCCTCTTGCCTCAGCCTCCCAAGTAGCTGGGATTATATGCATCAGCCACTGTGCCGATTGCCCACTTTTTAATGGGATTGGGCTTTTTGTTTTGTTTTGTTTTTCTGTTGAGTTGTTTGAGTTCCTTATATATTCTGGATATTAATCCCTTGCTGATTAATTGTTTGTAATTCTTTTCTACCATTCTACAGGTTGTCTCTTCACAGTGTTGTTTCCTTTTCCATGCAGAAGCTTTTTAGTTTAATATAGTTCTATCAGTCTGTTTTTGGTTTTGTTTTGTTGCATATGCTTTTGAAGTCTTGGCCATAAAATCTTTGCCTGGACCAATGTCCTGAAGCAATTCCCCTATGTTTTCATCAAGTAGTTTTATAGTTTTAGTCTTATGTCTTTAATCCATTTTCAATTGATTTTTGTATATGGTGAGACATAGGGGTCCAGTTTCATTCTTCTGCATGTGTCTATCCAATTTTCCCAACACCATTTATTGAAGAGCAAGTCCTTTCCCCAGTGTAGGTTCTTGTCGACTTTGTTGAAGATCAGTTGGCTGTAAATATGTGGCTTTATTTCTGAGTTCTCTATTCTGTTACATTGGTCTATATGTCTGTTTTTATACCAACACCAAGTTGTTTTGGTTACTATAGTTTTGTAGTATATTTTGAAGACAGGTACTATGAAGCCTCCAGCTTTGTTCTTTTTGCTCAGTATCATTTTGTCTATTTGGGGCCTTTTGTGGTTCCATATGAATTCTAGGACATCTCCTTTTTCATTTCTGATTTTATTTATATGGGTCTTCTCTTCCTTTTCCTTGGTTAGTCTAGCTAGCAGTTTATCAATTTTATTTATCTTTTCAAAAAAAACCTCTCATTTCACTGATCCTTTGTATTTTTTTAGTCTCTATTTCACTTAGGTATTTATTTCCTTTTACTAATTTGGGATTTGGTTTATTCCTGCGTTTCTAGTTTCCTGAGGTGCATCATTAGGTTATTTGAAATCATTCCACTTTTTCGATATAGGCATTTATTGCTATAAGCTTCCCTCTTAGAACTGCTTTTGCTGTAACCCATAGGTTTGGGTATGCTGTGTTTCAATTTTCATTTGTTTCAAGATTTTTTCTTAACTTCCTTCTTAAGATCTTCACTGGTCCAATGGTTGTTCAGGGACATGTTGTTTAATTTCCATGCATTTGTACAGTTTCCAAAGTTCCTCTTGTTATTGATTTCTACTTTTATTCCACGGTGATCTGAGAAGATACTTGATATGATTTTGAGTTTTTAAAATTTATTGAGACTTGGTTTGTGGCCTAAAATACAGCCTATTCTGGAGAACGTTCTATGTACTGATGAGAAGAATGTGTATTCAGCAGCTATTGGATAAAATGTTCTGTAAATGTCTGTCACATCCATTTGGTCTAAAGTCCAATTTAAGTCCAGTGTTTCTTTGTTGATTTTCTGTCTAGATGATCTATCCAATGCTGAGAGTGGGGTGTTTAAGTCTCCTACTGTGATTGTATTGAAGCCTCTCTCTCCCTTTAAATTTAATAATATTTGCTTTATATATTTGGGTGCACCCAGTGTTGAGTGCATATATATTTAAAATCGTTATATCTTCTTGCTGAATTGATACCTTCATCATTATATAATGACCTTCTTTGTCTCTTTTTCACATGGCTGGGGAGGCCTCACAATCATGGAGGAAGGCAAGAAGGAGCAAGTCACATCTTATGTGGATGTCAGCAGGCAAAGGGAGAGCTTGTGCACAGAAACTCCGATTTTTAAAACCATCAGATCTCATGAGACTCATTCACTATCACAAGAACAGCATGGGAAAGACCTACCCCCATGATTCAGTCATCTCCCACTGGCTCCCTCCCAAAACATGTGGTACTTATGGGAGATATAAGATGAGATTTGGGTGGGGACACAGAACAAAACCATATCAGCATGGAATATCTTTTTCCATCCCTCCACTTTTAGTCTATATGTGTCTTTACAGGTGAAGTGAGTTTCTTGTAAGAAGCATAAACTTATGTCATTTTTTAAATCCATTCAGTCATTCTATATCTTCTAAGTGAGATATTTAATTCATTCACAGCCAAAGTTATTATTGATAGGTGAGGACTGTCATTATTGTTCATTGTTTTCTGGTTGTTTTGTATATTCTTTGTTCCTTTCTTTCTTAATGTTTATCATTGCAGTTTGGTGGTTTTTTGTATTGGTAACATTTGACTCCTTTCTCTTTCCCATTATGTGTCTGCTCTACCACCTGCTTTCATACTTTTGTGTGTTTTCATGATGGTAGATATTGTTCTTTCATTTCCAGATGTAGGACTCCCTTAAGCAGTTCTTGTAGGTTCAGTCTAGTGGTGATGGATGTCCTCAGTTTTTGCTTGTCTGGGAAAGACTTTATTTCTCCTTAATTTTTGAAAGCTAACTTTACTAGATTTAGTATTCTTAGCTGATGGCTTTTCTTTTTTTTCCCCCCTTTCTGCACATTGTTGTGTTGGGTTTTTGTGTTGTTGTTGTTTTATTTTGTTTTGTTTTCTTCAAGTCAGAGTCTCACTCTGTTGCCTAGGCTGAAGTGCAGTGGCATGATCATAACTCACTGCAGCCTCAAACTTTCAGGTTCAAGCGATCCTCCTACCTCAGCCTCCCAAGTAGCTGGGACTACAGGCATGCACCACCATGTCCACCTAATGTTTTTATTTTTTGTACAAATGGGGTCTTGTTTTGTTACCCTGGCTACTCTCAAACTCCTGCCCTTAAGCAATCCTCCCATCTCAGCCTCTCAAAACACTAGGATTATAGGAATGAGCCATTACACCCACCTCTTTCAACATTTTGAATATATCATCCCATGATATATTCTCTTGGCCTCTAAGGTTTCTGTTGAGAAATCTTTTGTTAGTCTGATGGGAACTCTGTCACATGTAACTTAATACTTTCCTCTTGTTATTTTTCAGAATTCTTTGTCTTTGACTTTTAGCAGTCTGACCACAATCTGCCTTGGGGAAGATCTTCTTGGGTTGAATCTATTTGAGAATTTTTGAATTTCCATGTGCCTGGTTGTCTATATCTCTTGCAAGACTTGGAAAGTTTTCAGCTATTATTTTGTTAAATGGGTTTTCTACGCCTTTGCCTCTCTCTTCTCTGAAACTTTCAAAATTCAAATATTTGGTTGCTTTATGACATCCTGTGTGGAATATAGGCTTCCTTTATTCTTTTTTATTTTTATTTTTTAAGTCTGACTGGGTTATTTCAAAAGACCTGTCTTCATGAACAGAAAATCTTTCTTCTGCTTGATTTAGTCTGTTATCGAAGCTCTCAATTGTATTTTTTATCTCATTCATTGAATTATTCAGTTATGGGATGTCTGTTTGGTTCTTTTTTATGGTAAGTATATCTTTGTTGAATTTCTCACTCAGATCATGAATTGTTTTCCCCATTTCTCTGTATTGTTTCTCTGTGTTCTCTTGTATCTTATTGAGTTTCTTTAATGTCATTATTTTGAATTCTTTTTCAGGCATTTCTTAGATTTCCTTTTCATTAGAATCTGTTGCTGAACAATTATTTTATTCTTTTATAGGTGTCATATCTTTTTGCTTTTTCATGTTTATTGTGTCCTTACATTAATACCTGCACATCTAGTGTAACAGTTGCTTCTTCCAATTTTATGAATTGGCTTTCATAGGGAAAGACTTTTTCTATAGATATATCTATAATGTTATTTGGGTAGGATACCTTGGCTTTGATTCTGGGTGGGTGCAGTAGTGTAGGGTCTGTATGATTTCTTTAGCTATAATCAGCATCAGAGGTGTCTATGAATTCTTCAGTGGTTTAGGCTGCAGTTGTTAGTGGAGGTTACGGCAAGGCTCTGTGGGAGACAGGGATGCCAGGCAGACTGGTCATCAGACACCAGTGGTGGTGGCAGTGAACTGAAATTGTCAGTCCTTGGATCCCAAGGTGGCGTATGTGGGCACTGGTGGTAGCAAGTTCAGGCAGGTGGCTCCTTGGGCCTCCAGGCAGCTTGCTTGGGTGCCTACAGTGGCAATGGTGGCTTGGGTGTGTAGGAGGGTCATCAGGCCCCTAGGTAGCACGCATGATATGGGTGGTGGTGGTAGCATCAGCCAGCCAACCCTCAAGCCCCCAAGTGGCACATGTGGGCACCAGCAGTGGCAGTGGCAGGCTGGGCAGACCAGTTCCCAGGCCCCCAGGTGGCACGTGCAGGTGGGTTTCAGAGGCTATTTCCAGACCCTATTACCAAACCATATTACATTTTGTTTTTAAGGAAAAATTCAAATATTAACTTTGCCACTGTCAGAAACTCCTAATAAGTACATTGCTAAATGTTGATTAAAGTGTAACATGTTTACTTTCATAGCTTTAAAATGCTTTCATTAAACAAATATTTATTATGTGCCAGCACTGATCTGAAAGCTGGGAATATAATGATCATCAAATCAGATAAGGTCCCCAATCTTGAAAGCTTATTTTCTAGTTAAATTTGGTTACAGCCAAAAATCCAACAGAAATGGTAGTCTGCCCTTAGAAGCCCAATAGGAACTTATGACCTGCCAAACAAAGATAGGTAGGAGGAATTAATAGTCTTCTTTTCTCAAGCAGAGAACACTGAATCCACAGTGAGTTTCAGAGTGAAGGAAATCCTCAGCCTCAGCACTCAAAACGAAGGCCTAGGACTAGGAATAAAGGTTCAAAGTCTATGGTGAGAAAGAAAGAGGAGTGAAATTATATAAAAGCAAATGTTGGGGGAAATGAGTGCGTGTACAAACAGAACTGCATACTCATGACCATACTAACATGATAACAATACTAAATGCTGGTAAAGCTGCAGAGCATCTGCAACTTTCCTATATTGTTGGTGGGTGTATAAAATAGTTCAACCACTTTTGAGGACAGCCAGTTTCTTATAAAGCTAAAACATGCACTTACCAAATAATCCCACTTTTAGGAATTTACCCAAGAGAAATGAAAATCTGTCCACAAAAAGACTTATACAAAAATGTTCATAGCAAATGTATTCAAAATAGCCCAAAACTAGAAACTACCCAAATGCCCATCAACAAGGTAGTAGACAAACAAACTGTGAGATGTTCATACTATGAGGATACTACTCAGCAATAAAAATAAACAGAACAAGGTGAATCTCAAAACCCTATGATAGGTAAAAGAAGCCAGGTAGACAAAGAGCATGTAGTGTATGTTTTCAATTATACGTAACCCGAAAGTGGGCAAAACTAATCTATACTAAAAGAAGTCAGATTTGTGATTGGTTGGGGCTGGGAGAAGGTGGAGAATTGATGAGAGAATAAATGGGCTGATGGAAACATTCTGCATCTTATTTTGGGTGATAGTTACACTCAGCTGGTAACACATATGAAACAGAACACTTCAGATCTGGACATTTTATTGTATGTTAATGAACTCTCAATTTAAAAAAAAATTAAGCTGCTTAGTATAAGATTACCAATAAAGAGCACACAAAAATACCAGCAAACAACTGAGTTGAGAGATCTGCTCTCTTTAAAGAATGTACAAAGTTTTGGTAGCTACTGTTAGCATTCTAGGTCAATAATATCAGGTTGGGTGGACTGGTCCAAGAGAGTTTTGCAGCAAATGCCTTCTGAGATTCAAAAACAACTTGGTCACAAATAATCTTTCAGAAAATAGCTCTCCTGTAAAAAAGCAGATTTACTGAGAGTCTACCAGGTCCAGGCAAGGAACTGAGTGCCTGGGAATTCAACCCTAAAACTGATGAGTTCCCGTTCTAATGGGGAATGAAATGGCAGCAGTGGGAGAGGGTCAGCTATAAAATAAACAAAAAAGTTAATTACATAATTTCAGATGCTGACTGATCACATACTCAGTTTGTACTTAAAAGGCCATCTTGCTTTTAAGTTTTTCTAATTAAGGTGTGAAGTTGGAAGGCAGAATGGTATAGCAATAAAAAGCATGCATGGGCTATGGTGATAGAGCATTTAGTTAATTACTTAGTATAATTCCTGGAATATAGTAAGCTTTCAATAAGTCTCAGTTATTATTATTATCATTATTATTTCCCTCCTCTCCCTCCTCTCTTATAAGAAAAACATAAACTTTGAGAATATATGTGCAATTAAAGATATGAACAAAAATATTCATAAAAGTTTCATTCATAATAGCCAAAACTGGAAACTACCCAAACAGTAGAATGGATAAATAAATTGTGGTATAGTCATATAATGGAATAGCTCCTTGCAATAAAAAGAACAAACTGCTGCTACACAGCACTTAACCACTTGGATGACTCTCATGATATAATATTGAGTGAAAGAAGGCAAACATAAAAGATCACATACTATACAATTACATTTATATTGAGGAGTAAGCACTGATTTTTCTTATCTTGCCCAAATTCCTATCTAAGGGGTCTGGGGAGTCATGCCCTACAAACCGTAAATTCTTATCAGATGAGTTTTATTTAACTGTATATGATGACTTACTTTCCAATCTGACTTGCATAATGTTATGTGACAAAGAAGAAAATCTACATATTTTACCCCAAAACATGTTTCTTTGCCATATTTTGAAATGGCCCTGCAAAGCCGTTCTTCGTGGGGGAAAATTCGCATTTTTAAAGAATCTCTATTAATATAGCTAAATCTTTCTCTTTCAGGCCCTCCAAATCCTGAAGAGATTAACTGAGAGTCTAGCACCTTTTAAAGATATGAATAGGAATCTGAATAGGAAACATCGGTCATCTATTGTCTTTAAGGGCAGCCACTATGAGACTTGAAACTTCAAAAGAAACTTGGTCTCCATAATCTTTTGTCTTAATCTGAACATTTCCTTTCTATTGATCCCAGGTCTTTAGAAAAACTCAACAAATTGTCAACTGGAAAATATTTATAGCCTGGAAGCCGTGCAGCCCCGCCCCTCACCCTTTGAATTATCCTGCCTTTCTGGGCCAAACCAATGTATTTCTCAAATGTATTTGATTGACGTCCCATGTCTCCCTAAAATGTAGAAAACCAAGCTGTACCTTAACCACCCTGGGCACCTGTTCTCAGGCCCTCCTGAGGGCTATATCATGGGCCATGGTCACTCACATTTGGCTCAGAATATATCTCTTCAAATAATTTTAAGAGTTTGACTCTTTTCATCAACAATATGAAGTTCAAGAATAGGCAAAACCAACCTATGATAATAGAAGTCAGAGAGTGTTTATATTTATTTGGCAGGAGTTTTTGACTAGAAGGATCCACAAGGGAATGCTCTTGAGTGTTAGAAGCATTCGTTATCTTGATCTGAGTGCTGGTGACATGGGTGTGTACATGTGTAAAGATTAATTGAGCTGTTCACTACAGAGCTGAGCACTTTATTGTATGTAGCTTATACCTCAATATAAAAATTTCTAACTAATCTAAGCACAACTAAGCAAAATAAAGATGTACCTATGGGAATATGAATATTTCTTATATGACATCTCAGATATTTTCAGCTACTGATGGCTGCAGTAAATGAGAATGCTGGACCTCCTCTATCATAAATAGTTCATTCATTCAATCCACATTTCCTGAGCATCTCTCAGCTGCCAGGACCATGCTAGCTCCCCAGGACACACGAATGAACATCACAACACAATCCGTACCCTCAAGGGCATCCCTGAAATGGGCAGTCAGCCATGTAACCCACTATCCTAGGGCAACTGGTGGCAGCTTCTCTAAATGTGACCACAGGGTCTTGCAGGATTTCACTGACTTCCACAGGAGAAACCTTAGACTCTAATTTTTAATTTAGTAACTGAAACATCATGCATGGTAATCCATTTCTTCTGAGGAGCAATATGGGTAATATATCTCCAATCATGGTGTTTAATTACAATTGACATTTCTAGGTCTTTCTTGGTGGTGATGGCAAACATCCTGGAAGGCTCCTTGTTTCTGACAACAGCAGAGGAGAAGAGGCTAATTTTAGAGAATGTGGCCTGGCTTCTACTCTCCAGAGGAACATCCAACAGATGACTCTTTGTTCTCTTAGCAGGAGAAGTGATGTGGGAATCAGGAAACAATGTCTGACTTCAGTTCCTCCCTACCACACTCATCGTGGGCCCCGGAATTCTGCCCTCCAGATGGTTCAAGAGTTAACCCCATGCACTATTAATGTATGAAACATGACAAACTGTGCTTTGTTCCTGGCATGAATTAACAATTTGTTTAACATATTTTGGAGCTTTTTTTTTTTCAAGGATCCAAGTTAATTGATGTTACAGCCAAAATAGCCTGATGTGCTTGTTCATTGTAGAGAAGCATTTTTACAATGCTGAGTAGCAAAAATGAGGACACGTAAGGTGCCCAGGGGCTGTTTTGCCTTGCCAAATAAGTCTGAAGACCAAAGAAGTTTGATAACTCCTTAGCTATAAGGAAATATTCAACTTTTGGAGAGAATAAGGAAGCAAGAGAAAAGAGACTTGGGAAGGCCAACAATTCCTCCTAAGGCCAAGCAAGCAATTATTCCTGACTTAATACTGACAAGACCAAAAAGCAGGCCCAGTGGAACTGTATTCAGGTTCTAGATATGACCAGTTGTCCCAGTTTGCCTGGGATAGTCCCAGTTTACACCTGTTATAAATATTAATAGTGTCCCTTTTATTCTCAAGGGTGTCCAAGTATGTCTCACTTAACTTATATGCTCACCTTATCAGTAAGGGGACAATAATTTATGCAATCACCTTATCAATACAGGAATAAATAGCCAGCGAACTGGAATTCACACAGCCTTTAGGAAAAGGGGATCAGATCCTCTTATGCCCTGTGGTTCGCGTTGGGCCTGCTCAGAGAAGTGCAGATCCCACAGCCAACAGAATCTGAGAGGTAATATGGTGCAAAAGAACTGAACCTAAAACTTGAAATTCTTATTCTACCAGCATGAAAGACCTCACAGAAAAGGAAAAGTAGAAAACCCCTAAAGAAGCAAAGACTTCTCAGGGAAGCTAAAAGGGCTGACCACAAAGGGGAGAGAAGGCTCTAACCCACAGTGCTTGTGTTAGTTCCCTAGGACTGCCATAAAAAACTTCCACAAACTGGGTGACTTCAAACAACAGAAATCTACTCTCTCACAATTCTGGAGGCCAGAAGCCCAAATCAAGGTGTCTGCAGAACTGACTCCTTCCAGAGGCTGTAGGGGAGAACCTATTCCATGCCTCTCTCCAGTTTCTGGTAATCCTCCAGTATCTTTGGTGCTCCAACATCCCAATCTCTGCCTACATATTCACGTGGCCCTCCCCTCTGTGTGTCTCTGTACTTCTGTGGCCTCTCTTCTTCTTATTGGGACACCTGTCTTCGGATTTAGGGCTCACCCCAAATCCAGGATGATCTCATCATGAAATCCTTAATTACATCTGCAAAGACTCTTTTACCAAATAAGAGCACCTTCACAGGTTCTAGGGGTTAGGACATGAACATAACTTTTTAGACATTCAGCCCACTATAAATGTGTACAAAACAGTTCCCAGGTGAGTCAAAGTTTACCAAATATTCTTTTTAAAAACTCAAAAGGTCTATCCGAGCTAAATTTGGAGTAAGAAGAAAAAGAGCTCGATCCCTTGCAGGAGAAAGGGGCTAAGAGAACCAAATGCCCAAGAGGTAGGGACACTATTTTATGGCCACTGTGTCCAAGAAGGAACAGCTGGACTGTTGGTCATGTCCACCTCTCACCTGCAAGGCTTTTCCTGGTATTCACTGCTGATGGCCTGGGAAGGTCAGCTATACACAGGGTCACACAGCTGAATATGTTAGAGCTGCATCTGTTGCAAATCCGCCTGATCCTACAGCCTCCACACTTTGCAACTTTTGGTCACCATAAATATCAGCTGCCCACTCCTCAACACACATACACACACACACACACACACACACACACACACACACTTTGAGAAGATACCAAAGAGGAGATGGTTAGTTTCGGTCTCAAAATTCCCCCAGGGTTTTTCTAGACCAAGGTCTCGCACGTGATTTTAACACCAAACACCAATCCAACTTAGCCTGTCCATCAAGTGCCCACGGATATAAACAAGACATAAAACAATAGAAAACTGAATTTAAAATTACTGTGTCATTATCTTCCAGGCATGTCATTCCCCTGATCAAAAAGCATCACTGATGGCCCATTGCTAAAGCAGTGTTTTCCCAGTGGTTTTCCACTTACTAAGCAGGAACAAGGTGCAGAGTATCGGATGAAGGAAGAGAGGGTCAGGTTTGAGGGTAACATTGCAGATTTCAATAGCACATCTCCACTTCTACCCATTTTATATGACAGCCTTCCACGTAAAACTGCATCTTAAGAAAGGGTTCTGAGGCTAAATGAATAAATGTGGGAAACCACGGATCTACAGCGTCAAGGCTTAGCTCAAATTACAAAGCTTTTCACAAACCAGTCCCAGCCCACCTCTCCTGCCCAATCTCCCATTCACCTCCTCCAGGCCCCATCCCCACCACCCTCTATCCCAGCATGCCAGGACAGTGCTTGACTCATGCTATTCCTCAGCTTAGAATGTTCTTCCCAATCCCCTCCCCAACCTGCAAACCAAATGTCCTCTCAGCATCCTTTCCTCCATAATGTCTTCTTCCTCCACCCCAATCCAAGACGTCCTCTCCTTTCTCCGAACTCCTACCAAACCAACTATTTGATCACTCATTTCACACAATCTGGTCATCGCTTGGTAACTGTCTTGCTCCCTTCCTGCTAACTAGCACAAAGCCTGTTAGGGAAGGGAGCTCTCAGCATTAAAGGCCAGTGGTGTCCCTTAGCAGTCACTCAACAAAGTCTACCAACTGACAAAAGACAAGGTTACTTGAGGGTCCAGGAGAAATTCCAAAGCTGGGCTTTAACAGGTTAAATACAACTTATATTCAGCTCATTCTTATTAATTTCCTGCACTTCCAGTACCAAAAGAAATTTTCTAGCAAACTGACTTCTTTTACCTGGAGGGTTGCAAATGCCAACTGCAATTAAAACTACAACTTCATTTTCCGGTAGGTTTCAAATGGCTTGTGGCACTGGACTTCACTTCTTTTCTTTTTCTTTTTCTTTTTTTTTTTTTTTTTCGAGATGGAGTCTCACTCTGTCACCCAGGCTGGAGTGCAGTGGCATGATCTTGGCTCACTGCAACCCCCACCTCCTGGGTTCAGGCAATTCTCCTCCTCAGCCTCCTAAGTAGCTGGGATTACAGGCGTGTGCCACCACACCCGGCTGATTTTTGTATTTTTAGTAGAGACAGGGTTTCATCATGTTGTCCAGGCTGGTCTCAAACTCCTGACCTCATGATCCACCCTCCTCGGCCTCCCAAAGTGCTGGGATTACAGGTGTGAGCCACCACATCCGGCGCCGGGCTTCACTTCTTAACAAGCAGGGAGAAATCTGAGTTGTTTCAGTTTGGGGAGTTTTTATGTTGTTACTGTTATTGTTGTTGCTGGCCAGATTTTATAACAGGCTTCTTCCTCCTGAGGTGATGTATGGCATATCTGTTTAAGCCAAAGCAAATTGAAATTAATTTTGCCTTGGGAATTTTTGTTAATGTCTTAACACTCCTTAAGCTAATTGGAGACACTTGAGAATGTCAACTAAGAAAACTGAGGTTGAGATAGGAGAGAGATTGTCTGCTAATTCAAACACAGACATTCTCTTGAAGCATTTTTTTTATTCCTTGGACAAGAAACAATTAATTAACACCCCAATAGGGGGCCTCAGATATTTCTTTTATCTTTAGTTAACTTCCAACAAACCAAAGTACAAAAAGGATAGAATAAAGGGGGATATTAGGTAGCCCAGGTAATTCTGGAAGCTTTCTTACAATTTTGTCTTTTGATTCTGTTTGGTGAGAAAATAAGTCTTGAAATTCTAGGGAGGAGGAAAGTGATGGGTAATGAGAAAGAAAACCGCCGTGTAATCTTTTTCTGAAAGGTTTTTATTTCACACAGTGTATGTTTTTTTAGAAAAAATAAAATATAATACTCATATCCCTACCTTGCTTATGTTGCAATTTCAAACATTTACAATGCATGCTTAGAATACCATATGTTAGGCATTGGAGTCAACAAATATTTATTATTATACATTCCTGACACTCTGCTAGGTGCTGGGGAAACAAAATAAATAAAATGTGACCAACTTTTTCACTTTCAGGAATGTGGACAAGTAGATACTCTGAAGGGATCTCGAAAATAAGACAACCAGGAGTCCCGCCCTCAGAGAGCTTACAGTCGAGGCAACCATGCTTGCCAATAGTAAAAGGAGGCAGAAGGAGACACAAGAAAAATCATCACTTCTTAATGTTTGATATTCATTACCAGATAGACTAACCTGTGTCCATTGAGGCAGAAGTTCACATTTATTTGAAACTTTTTTTTCTATTTTTTTTTTAGTCAGAGTCTCACTCTGTCACCCAGGCTGGAGTGCAGTGGCATGATCTTGGCTCACTGCAACCTCTGCCTCCCAGATTCCAGCTGTTCTCCTGCCTCAGCCTCCCGAGTAGCTGGGATTGCAGGCCCACACCACCACGCCTGACTAATTTTTGTATTTTTAGTAGAGACAGGGTTTGGCCATGTTGGACAGGCTGGTCTTCAACTCCTGACCTCAGGTGATCTGCCCACCTCGGCCTCCCAAAGTACTGGGATTACAGGTGTGAGCCACCGCACCCAGCCTGTTTGAAACCTTTAAAAACAGAGTGTTCAGGCCTGGGATGGTGTTTCACACCTGTAATACCAGCACTTTGGGAGGCCGATGAGGGCAGATTTCTTAAGCCCAGAAGTTTGAGACCAGCCTGGGCAACATGGCGAAACCTTGTCTCCACAAAGAATACAAAAAAAATAGCCAGGCTTGGTGTTGTGCGCCTGTGGTCCCAGCTACTCAGGAAGCTGAGGTGGATGGATCACTTGAGCCCAGGAGGTCAAGGCTGCAGTGAGCCTAGATCATGCAACTGCACTCCAGCCTGGGTTACAGATTGAGACTCTGTCTCAAAAAAAAAACCTAACCTAACTATTTATATGACTCTAAGAAAGGAGAAGTAAGCAGTATGCCATCCTAGCATGTATATCAGCCAAGAGCCTCAGAGTATGTTCTAGTTCAAAGGGCTGCAGCAATCTCTAGCTCCCCCACTACCAATGAAGGAAGCCAAAGCCCACTGAGGTCAAGGTCTGCCTGAGTTCACAGTGGTCACCAGTACAGACACTGGAATTAGACTCCATGTCCCTGGGTCTGAGGCAGGTGCACAGCCACTAACAGCTGCCATCTCCTCTGCATGAATGCAAACACTTCAGCCTGTGAACTCCTCCAGGAGCTTCAGGGGATAATGTGATGAGGAGGAGAGGAGAAGACACTCTTGTTCCTGTTGTTTCCTACATCTACTGCAGGACATGGAAAGCCACGCAGACCTCAGAGAATCTTCACAATGACAGACAGTGACACCACCAGTCTTGGCACTAGGCCTGAAGATATAAAGGGAGAGACTCCCAGGCCACCTGAACACCCAGTCCATTAAAGCTCAGTGTTGTCTTCCCAGCCTTATCTGATTCCAAAAGTCTCTTTTCCCACAAGGTGGGCATAATTTCTATTTTCCTGTGTATCCTTGATACAGCATCAAGAGACAGAGAAAAGACAGGCTAAGGCAACATGCAGGACACTCAGAAGAGCCTTAAAGCAAGAGACGGCAATAAAAATAATTAAAGGAGAAGAAGCAGAAGCAGCCTCAGAATGTCAGGCATAACACAGAGTGTAGAACTGGACTGAAATTCAGACAGAGGCTCTTGGCTGACCACAACTGGAATTTCCAGCTTTGAGAATGTTTTTCTTCTTTTTCTGACCAGTAGCCTTGATCCGCCTGCAAGTGGGCAGGAAATAATGTTTGGCTATGGAAGCAAACAAGCTGTAATGGTTATCTTCATAGCTATACAAACAAACAAGCTATTATGGTTATCTTTCATTCAGAGCCTTCAGATTTACAAAGAAGAAAAGTGGGAAAGAAAGAAGAAAAATAATAGGCAAGATGAAAAAGGAAAAAGCCCTTATCCATAATTTCCTCCCATACCATCATGATATTATGGTTCCTCCCATACCATAAATAATATTACATTTGTGTAATCATATTTAAAGTTAGGCCCACAGTCTCCACACAGTACATGGAGATGTCCCTGGACCCAGCATTTCATCTCCCACGATGCTGGTGGTCTCTCTCTGATAGAGGTGAACCACCATTCCTAGGACAGGATGGAATTTGTTTTGCAGAATCAACATCCCTTTGTTTCACAATCTTGTGTCCTTAAGACGCTCTGAGACTGACAAGCATAAAATTCTTACATGTGACAGCCCTTGAAAAAGATGCTACAATAATTGTCCATTGATAAATCCATTATCAATAATAATTCCCTAATCTACAGTGTCTGAATAGCCTGCATTAGACAGAACTGGCCTAGATTTCCGCTTTTTTCCCCTTTTGAAAAGTCTTTATGAAGTCCCTCCTCAAGGCATATTTTTTCTACTGAGCTCTCTCCCTTCCTTTTTCCATTCCTTTTTTCCTTTTCACTGTTCTCTCTTTGCTTATCCAGCAAAAGTCTTATTTATTTATTAAATAGAAGACCTTGAATATATTATGTTCCAGTTTTCCAGTGAAATATTCAGGCCATTTTCATTTATTTCTAATAATAACAGACTTCTAATTGGACAGAGCAAATCCAATAACACTTGTTTTTCTCCTACCCTCACGAAATCTACCAATGGAAGGAAAGGGTTTAAGTGGGGGAAATGCCTGCAACCCACAAAGACAAAGAATGGGAAAGGAGACTTCAACAGATGAAAGATTGCAACAAACTTTTGGAAGGAAGAGAACAGGTGAGAGTAGCTGACTGAAGAGAGCAAAGAAAGTTAACAAGCTCAGCAAGTCAAAAAGGGGGTGCTAAAAAGAAGGGAGATTCATCTCCAGAGACCCAAGGAAAGCCTAAGACAATGATACCAGGTTCATGGGGAGGAAAAGATCAGGTCTCATAAAAAGAAACAATCTAAGAGTCATCGCATCTCTCATTACCCAGAGATTTGTGCTTTCAAACTGAGGCATAATTAATTTCGAACTCTCTTCCCAATCAAACCGTCAGGCAAGACTGAGAGAATAAGAGCATTTTCAGGCAAACAGGACTCAAAAATGCACACCCTTTTTAAAGAGGCTACTACAGGATGTACTGCAACAAAAAGAAGAAATAAACTAAGAAAAAAGAAGACAGAGCACTCATGGAAGAGGTGATCTAATCAGGAGTGTGATCAATTAAAGCCTAGGATAATTGAGACCGCACTCCCAGCCTAAAGAGAAACTAACTCAAGCTGGAAGAAAGAGGGCTCTGCAAAGGGGAAACGGAACTTACAGAGTATCTGACATGTGTGGGTGTTTGGAAAACAATACTGACAGGTATTTCACAGATCTACTACACTCTTTGGGAAAATTTAGCCATAGATAGATAAAAAGCTAAGCAAAAGATTTTAAAGGTGATTATTACCTCTAGGAAAACAAAACAATGTACAATAATTAAACATCATCATAATACAATTTGGCTTAAAAGTAAATGATATTTACACAGTCATAATAATGTAAACACTGACAAGGGATTTAACCAAAAATAGTGATACAGTAATATTAAGAAAATAAGAGGGAAGGGTGGAAGGATGAGGTATAAGGACTATAATCCAATCAAGTATGCTAGAAAGTCATAATATGCAATGCTCTCCAAGAAATAGCAGAAGGAGTATATAATTATAATAATAATTATTATTATTATTTAGAGACAGAGTCTTGCTCTGTCACCCAGTCTGGAGTGCAGTGGCATGGTCATGGCTCACTACAGCCTTGACCTCATGGGCTCAAGTGATCCTCCCACCTCAGCCTCTGATCCCTGAAGCAGCCGAAACTACAGGTACGTGCCACCATATCCAGCTATTTTATTTTTATTTTTTGTAGAGATAGGGTCTTGCTATATTGCCCAGGCTAGTCTCCAACTCCTAGCCTCAAGGGATCCTCCCACCTCTGCCTCCCAAAGTATTGGGATTATAGGAGTGAGACACTTCATCCAGCAAAGTATATTATTTTTAAACATGGTGATATATGAGAAAATAACTAAAAACATCCAAAGTCATTGCCTCTAAAAAAAACTGGCTTAGGAAACAGAAGGCAAGGGACTGCTTTTTTCTTTAGGACACCTTTAGTTGTATTTTATTAGCAGTTTGATTAAAAGGTATTAATAAAAATAAAACTAGATTTAAAAGCTTGTGTCCTATTAATATATATTCTGAATTAACATTTTATAAAAGCTACGATTATCTTGTATAATCTTGCACAATTGTATGGTATTGCATTATGTTACTAAAAGCATTTTATTGAATAGAAACTTTTAAAATAGTCCACCATTTTTTAAAAAACTAACATGGATATGAATGCTATCCATTCACAAACAGATATATTTTCTCACAACAACCTGATAAATTGCATATTACCATTTCCTTCCTTCTGCAGATAAAAAGAAAGGAAGGTTGAACTTGCCCAAGGTTACAAGACTTCTAAAGGGAAGAGTTGAGACTCCATGCAGGGCTTCTGACTTCAGGTCCACATGGCACGCACTGTTGATATCGCCTCACTATTCTAAGCCAGATCCCTCAATGCTAAGTCACCAAATTTTGCCTACAGATATGGAGAAAAACATTGCCCTTCCCAAAGCTATGGTTACAAGATACATCTCCACCTCACCTCACCCTTCCATTCTTATCTAAGATCTGGCCACTTTCTCATTACAGTTGGACTATCCAATAAAAGCAGACTATGCCTTGATGATAACACTTTTAATCCCATGGTGATGGCAGAGCTCTGCCCTGCTCCAGGCCTCCAAACACTAGGAGGAAAAGAGAGCCCGCAATGCCCTCTGAGGTCTCATTCTGCCTCACTGAGAGCTGCACCAGAGGGTATCCAATCCAAAGCCCTCTCACATTCCAAGGGCCTCATTGCCTTCTCTCAACCGACATAACCCCGGCTCCCTTCTCCAGCCTTTCCTCCATCTCACCCTTACCCTCCCTATTTCTGAGGCTGAACCAAACAAAAAAGACAGGGATTCCCCACTGAAGACAATTAACAAATATACCTGCAAAATACATCAAAGCATGTTCATAAAGATGCGCTGAGTGCCACCCTGAGGTGTAGATGTTACACAGAACACAGGCTTGAACCGTCTCTGTGTAGTGAGCAATCGACATTAGGCAGAGAGAGTACACATGCTGTAAAATCACACTAAGTCACTCTAGTCTGAGGAAGGGCAGTAGCCCACATCAGTGTTCCGCCCCCATCCTGAGGGCTCCTCAGGCCCTGCAGGCCCTCTACATCTTCCACTTGCAAGCCTATGCCTGACAGCTCCCTCTAGCCACTAGAGCTCACTGGGACCAAGTGGGACAGACCAGAAGTGCCAGGTAATTAATGCCCCCATCCCCAGCAGGCCTCAACAAATGACTGAGGAGAATCAGTGGATAAATGGATAAATAGGCCAGCACCCTCATGGGTCAGGCTGAGTAACCTGAACCATTTTCTGCTCTGTCCCCCAGCAGTCTCCAGTGGGATGGAGCCCCAGGTGCCCCCAGCACTAACCTGCTCAACGGCTCAGCCTCTGCAGGCTTCCTTTCTCCCATGCCCCTTCCAGTCCTCCTCCTCCCTTGTTTCAGGACTTCTGGGAGAACTCAAACTAATACAAGGCCTGCCTGACTCAGCAAAATGTCTTAAGAGAGCCACGCGTGCCAAATAATTACCCTTGGGGACCTGCTATACTAAATAGATAAGATTAACACATAATTAGCACATCTGTTTTTTTAATGCAAAATAAACTTTGCTAGGAAGTAAGATTTTCCGAAGTGGCTTGAACAAGACCCTTTTGGTTTTGCTTACACCGTTGTTTCCTTCATACGATTTCTTCAGTACCCTTTCTTCTTTGCAAAGGCAAACTTCTTCTGACCACAAAGTCTTTCAAATAGGCAAATTAACCAGATCTGAAATAATGAGAGTTCTTGATCATTGATATATTTTCTACCCTAGTGTTGCCTCTTTAGCAAAGAGTCTTCAAAATTGTCAGCCATTCAGGCGTCCTACAATACTTGCACAGGACTCTAACGAGCAGGCCCAGAGCTTCCCCCCTGGGGTCACAGATCCGTGATTTAACTAGAATAATCACCATCACCATCAGTCACTATTGTATACCACTTACTATACGCTGGATATTCTAAACACTTCACATATACTCACTCATTTCATCCTGCAAACTAGGCATTATTTATTATCCTCCCCATTGTACAGATAATGAGACAGAGGCACAGAGTTTAAGTAACTTGTCTCATGTCACATAGCAAATGCAGAAGCTAAGATTGAAACCCAGCTGCCTGAATCTAGACTCAGGGCTCTTCACAGGCTCTCACCTGTGGGCCCTGATTCCAAGAGCAAAGGCAGACAGGCCAGGCTTCCAAAAGGAATCCAGTTTGAGTTGGAGGCCAACCTAAATCCAGGAATCAGCCTTGAAAGAGAGGCTCTCAAAGAGCTGGGGCCACTGTGGGCACAGGAATGAGCCACAGACAGAAACATCTGCAGTGCTGATCGAGTCCCACCATCTGAACTTTGCAACTAAACTCCCTTCCACAGGAGTGTTTTACAACACAATAATTTCCCAAAATTATATAAGGGATAGCAAATAATGTAACATTTCACAAATATTTTACTCCACCACAGATGCCATAGAATGGTCCCTTAACCCCCCAAAAAGTCTCCAAGTTCAGGCATCATGCTACCTGACCTCAAACAATACTACAAGGCTACAGTAACCAAAACAGCATGGTACTGGTACCAAAACAGACATACAGACCCATGGAACAGAACAGAAGCCTCAGAAAAAACGCCACACATCTACAACCATCTGATCTTTGACAAACCTGACAAAAACAAGCAATGGAGAAAGGATTCCCTATTTAATAAATGGTATTGGGAAAACTGGCTAGCCATATGCAGAATACTGAAACTGGACCCCTTCCTTACACCTTATACAAAAATTAACTCAACATGGATTAAAGACTTAAATGTAAGACCTAAAACCATAAAAAACCCTAGAAGAAAACCTAGGCAATACCATTCAGGACATAGGCATGGGCAAAGACTTCATGACTAAAACACCAAAAGCAATGGCAACAAAAGCCAAAATTGACAAATGGGAACTAATTAAACTGAAGAGCTTCTGCACAACAAAAGGAACTATCATCAGAGTGAACAGGCAACCTACAGAATGGGAGAAAATTTTTGTAATCTATCAACCTGACAAAGGGCTAATATCCAGAATCTACAAAGAACTTAAATAGATTTACAAGAAAAAAAAACCATCAAAAAGTGGGCAAAGGATATGAACAGACACTTCTCAAAAGAAGACATTTATGTGGTCAACAAACATATGAAAAAAAGCTCATCATCACTGGTCATTAGAGAAATGCAAACCAAAACCACAATGAGATACCATCTCACGCCAGTTAGAATGGCAATCGTTAAAAAGTCAGGAAACAACAGATGCTGGAGAGGATGTGGAGAAATACGAATGCTTTCACACTGTTGGTGGGAGTGTAAATTAGTTCAACCATTGTGGAAGACAGTGTGGTGATTCCTCAAGGATCTAGAACCAGAAATACATTTGACCCAGCAATTCCATTACTGGGTATATACCCAAAGGATTAAAAATCACTTTACTATAAAGACAACATGCTCACAAGTTTATTGCAGCACTGTTGACAATAGCAAAGACTTGGAACCAACCCAAATGCCCATCAATGATAAACTGGATAAAGAAAATGTGGCACATATATGCCATGGAATACTATGCAGCCATAAAAAAGCATGAGTTCATGTCCTTTGCAGGGACATGGATGAAGCTGGAAACCATCATTCTCAGCAAACTAACACAGGAACAGAAAACCAAACACTGCACGCTCTCACTCGTAAGTAGGAGTTGAACAATGAGAACACATGGACACAGGGAGGGGAGCATCACACACTGGGGCCTGTCAGGGGATGGGGGTCTAGGGGAGGGATAGCATTAGGAGAAATACCTAGTGTAGATGATGGGAGGATGGGTGCAGCAAACTGCCACTGCACGTGTATATGTATGTAACAAACCCTCACGTTCTGCACATGTATCCCAGAACTTAAAGTATTTAAAAAAAAAAAAGTCTCCAAGTTCATTGCAGAGTCAATTCATTGGAGATTCAATTCATTGGAATTTAATAGTCAAAGAAATTGACTTCAACTCCCTAAATGAACTAAACATTTGAATCTAGCATCCCTCTTGGTCTCAGGATATGCTGTTTGTACTCCTGAGTCCTCTTTTTCCCTTTCACCTCCATCTCTGAGCTTCCTTCCAGCACCTCCTGGAAGGCCACAGGGCAGAGGGAAACATACTCTGCCATTCTGTGTCTGCACCCACCTTTGCTTTGGGCTTATGGCTGTGTTGGCACAAAGAACACCAAATTGTCTCTGGCTAATGAGAACAGAGGCACCTCGATAGGTAAATAATACATTCAGTCATGGCCAGCTGTTCAAACAAAGGTTTCTCAGTGGTTCAAAGAGAAATTCAAAGAGAATGAAGTCAGTGTGGGACACATGAAACACTGAACTCGGAGCTGAAGCTGCCAGCGCCATACTCATTTGCCAAGAGCAATTTCATTTGAGTAAAAAACATCATCCATCACATTAAATTAATGTTGTTAATTTCCATTTTATTGGTTTTGTCATTTTATTTATTTTTAACGTGTAAATCTCATCTGGTTTCATGGATATATGAGAGCTTTAAGTACTAGGAGTTTATACCTAGCTTTATTTTATACATATTTAAATAACATTATAATAAAAATAATCTAAGTCAACTCTGGGGGTTCAGAAGAATGTTTTCCTTTAAATGCAGCTCTCAACCTTGCAGACAGGCCTTTGCCCTCAGAGGTGAATGCCCTTGGAAAGGTCACTCTTTGCCCTCCCCAGGGATCCTTGCTTCTAGCAGGTGCTAGTGAAGTTTTCAGTCGACTGAGCCAGGGAACTTTGCCCCTCATTCGCCTGATCCCTACTTTTATGTCTCAACAGTTTCTTAGCCCTTTCTCTCCCTTCTCCATCCAATAGCCTCTAAGTTTTAAAATTTCCACAAATCAATTCCTACTTTTCATCAAATTAAGGGAAAGTTCTGAGTCCTATGCCTGGTGTTAAAAATTTTAAACAATCTGATAATTTCAATACACCTTTCACTCTTTCCCTATAACACCCCTAGGCCCCACCCGGCTTTTCTGCTCATTCCTACTGTTACATAACACTGGAGTCCCCTCTGTCCTTCTCCCCAGCCCATTCAAATCCCATGGATCCAGCCAGGCATGGTGGCTCACACCTGTAATCCCAGCACTTTGGGAGGCCAGGTTGGGTGAATCACCTGAGGTCAGGAGTTCAAAACCAGCCTGGCCTGAAACCCTGCCTCTACTAAAAATACAAAAAAAAGATTAGCTGGGCATGGTAGCACACACCTGTAATCCCAGCTACTCGGGAGGTTGAGGCAGGAGAATCACTTGAACCCAGGAGGCGGAGGTTGCAGTGAGCCAAGATCACGCCACTGCATTCCAGCCTGGGTGACAAAGCGAGACTCTGTCACAAACACACACACACACACACACACAAATCCCACAGATCCTAACTGACCTTCTTGGGATCAATCTAGTCCACAAGCTCCATGTACACTGCCCTTCTCTTTTTCTTTCTCTGGTAACACCTACCCAAGCTGAGTCACCCACTTTGGCCTTTACCCATACAAGACATTCTAAAGTAACCCCAGTGTTCCACACCATTTTCCAATCAAAGGGGAAGCTCTTGGAGGACAGGGAAAATATCTTACTACATTCTTTATTCCCCTGCCTTAGCCTGAATTCCCCGCTTAAGCAGAGTCTGAGATAATAGTTTATATGCAGTAGGTTATCTGGGATGGATCCAAAGAACAGGAGTGAAAAACTGGGGGAGAGGGAAGCCCAGGAGGGGGAGAAAGCCAGTGCACCGGCACATTAATGAGCTCAGCCCCATGGAGACTTTGGAAAGAGACAAATAGAATAGGCCTCAGAATCACCTGCCCAAAGGGCAGAAGGAGAGAGCATTTTACCACCAGCTCCTATTCACTGGTCAAGTGTTGGCCTGACAGCTGTTGACTCCTTTGCATCTCCAGATAGCACAGGCATGAAGTCCAACAGGTCTCCCAAAGATGCTTCACAGAAACCCTGGGGCAGAAAGGGAGAGATATACAGTGCAGCTGAAGGGAGATACAGTGCAGCTGAAGGGAGATACAGTGCAGCTGAAGGGAGATACAGTGCAGCTGAAGGGAGATACAGTGCAGCTGAAGGGAGAGATATACAGATATACAGTGCAGCTGAAGAGAGATGCTGTCTAGTTACATCTGTGTGAGGCTGGTTGCCCAGCAATGATCAGAGTACAAGATGGACAAAGAGGATGTGAGACAGGACACAGAGATGCCTGCCTGCCTCAGCAACCAGTACGATGCTATGCTGAAAGGAGGTGTGTTGCAATTCCTATAGAATCAATGCAAACATTTCTCCCTTAGGGCCTTCACATATTAATCAATGCTCTTCTGTGGTCATCTGGTTTCAGATCTGGAAATCTCAAGGCTTCCTCTTTATACCAGTTATAAACCATCTTTGATTCTCATACTAAAATGCCCTTAACTGTGAAAATAGCAAGACAATAGATAACCACTATGTTAGATTTCTATATAGCATTTCTGTACTCTAATCACATTATCTAAATAACCTTCTCCCCTGTCTGAGATAGCACAATTACCATGCCTATAAATCAGAGGTCATATAGCTCAAATGCCCATTCAATGGTAACCAAATAAAATGTTGTCCTCAACTCAATTCTACAGACATTCACTGAGTCCCTGTGATACACGGCTTGCTGCTGCAGGTGCTGGCATGTAATGATGTGCATGCCATGGTCCCCGGCCTCAGACTGAGGACGGCCCAGCTCACTGCAAGGTAGACATCAAGAGGAACCCCCAGAGAAACAGATGCACGGAAGGAGCTCAAAGGGAGGGGACTCCCATTCCAGTTGGGTAATTAGGAATGGCTTCCTAAAGGATGGGGTGTTGAGGTGGGTGGTCATTCTGACTGGTCATTCTGTCTGAAAGGATCCTCCCAGGAAGAGGTATGAGAATAGGAAGGAAAAGGGTCCCAGTAGTCCCATCTGGCTGTGCAATGCCCTCACCTGAACCTTCCATGCCTGTCTAGTCCAATGGTTTTCAAGTCCAATGGTTTTCAAGTCTGATGGTGTGCAAGCTGTGTGATGTGGAGACTCAGGATCTCAGGGAACAGATGGACAGTGATGGGACAGATGGGACAGAGCGCAGGGCTCTGAGGGTACCCCTCCTGCTTCAACTAGAACAGCTGAGTGAGAACAAAATGGACTCTACTGTTAAACAAGCATCTGAAACCCAAAAACCAATCTTGGAGTTAAGAGCACCAGTCTGAGTACTTAACCCCACCACCAATCAGCCACACAGACATGAGCAAAGGCCTTGAGTTTTCTCACTCTCATCCTTCAGCATCTCTCAAAATGTCTCCAACTGTTCCTGCTGTCTCTGAATTGTTAGACAGCTTGAGTAGATATTCCAAATATCTACTTAATATTTGGAAGCCTGATAAAGTATTTGCTGATACCCAGTGGTCTGCCTCTGGTTAAAATGCAAAGCAAGTTCCCAAGTCACAGTATATTTTACTTCCTTTTATACCTCTTCCCCACATGAGGGGCTAGAGGAGTAAGATAAATGAAATACACTTCCTGGCCACTTACCCAGCAAAAGCCATTTATCACCCTGGCCAAGTGGATGAGTGGC
Source organism: Homo sapiens (assembly GCF_000001405.40). NCBI lineage: Eukaryota > Metazoa > Chordata > Mammalia > Primates > Hominidae > Homo > Homo sapiens. Next base: position 141,112,816 of record NC_000007.14, on the reverse strand, counting down.
TATTTGCAGAACAAAATGCATGGTTTTGAGAGGTGTCCAGGTGAGTTCTCCTCTCTCTGATAAAAAAGAGAGAGCGCCACTCTTTGCTGTGATCAGCAATACTTACCCTCTTAGATTTCCTAGAGTCACATGCCTGGAGATGATGGAGAGGTATCCTTGCAAAATATGTAGGGCAGCAAAGCAAGGAAGAGAAGAAATTACTGATACTTTGGCCTGAGACTATTAACAGATTGTTAAATTCTAATCCAGTAATAAAAGACTTCGGTTAGGCGTGGTGGCTCATGCCTGTTATCTCAGAACTTTGGGAAGCCAAGGCAGGAGGATCACTTGAGTCCACAAGTTTGAGACCAACCTGAGCCACCTAGCAAGACTCCATCTCTGCAAAAAATACAAAAATTAGCCAGGCTGTGGTGGCTAACACCTGTTGTCCCAGCTACTCAGGAGGCTGAGGTGAGAGGATTGCTTGAGCCCAGGAAATCAAGGCTACAGTGAGCCGTGGTCATGCCATTGCACTCTAGCATGATGACAGAGCAAGACTCTGCCTTTAAAAAAGGTTAAAAAATAAAAACTTAAAAAATTAAAAAATAGACTTCATGAGTTCATGAGGTAGTTTATGAAAATAAACCACTTTGAGGTGAATAAATCTCTCAGATTAAAATTAGCCCAAAAAGCATGAAAATGGCCTATGTGTGTTCGTTCTTCATGACTACCAGCGAACAGGCTAATATACACATACATACAGGCAAAAACTAAAGATCAAATATAAGCAAATAGCAGGAAAAATAATTATTGACTTTGTAAATTGTGTATCCTTAATACTTCTAGAGACAAATGTTTCTGCCTTTGTCAGGAAATGCCAAGATTGTTAACTTCAACTACTGTAAATTAATACACACACTTCAGTTTATTGAGGGGTATAATCAGAATGAAAATATTGATATAGGCAAACACTCATTTCTGGCAATAGAAAAGTAAATATAAACACAATTCACAACGGCATTAATTTGTCTTACTCCTTTTCCTCCAGGATTATTATAAAGTGTTCTAGCCCTCTATCTGAGGAAATGATTAAGAGCCTTTTCAGTTCTGACCATTCCTCCTTCTCTTTAATTATTTCTTCATCCAGAATTAACATTGGCAAATCCCCTCCAACTTTTTAACATTCATCTTCTCCGATCTACACAAGCTGGCTTCACAGCTGAGACAAGAAGAAGCCACCTATATTTAAGGGACTTTCCCTAGGCTAATGAATTGTCAGCAAAGAAAGCATTTTTGAAGCAATCCTGTATAACAAAAATGGCAAATTAACATGTTAGATAAGGACAGGTTAGCAGATGCCATATTCTTCAGGTTGTAGACACCAGTCTCCACAGTGCCTGTATTTGCTGGCTCAGGCTGCCTCATATGGTTTGGCTGTGTCCCCACCCAAATTTCATCTTGAATTGTAGCTCCCATAATCCTCAAGTGTCATGGGAGGGACCCAGTGGGAGGTAACCAAATCTTGGGGGGGTGGTTTTTCCTGTCCTGTTCTTGCGATAGTGAATAAGCCCCATGAAATCTGATGGTTTTAAAAAGGGCAGTTCCTCTGCACACGCTCTCTTGCCTGCCACCATGTAAGACATGACTTTGCTCCTCCATCACCTTCCGCCATGATTGTGAGGCCTCCCAGCCATGTGGAACTGTGAGTCCATTAAACCTCTTTTTCTTTATAAATTACTGGGTATGTCCTTACAGCAGCATGAGAACCGACTAATACACTGGCATAACAAAAGACCATAGACTGCGTGGCTTAAACAACAGATGTTTACTTCCTCTCATTTCTGGAAGTCTGAGATCAAGGTTCCAGCAGCATTTGGTTTCTGGTGAAGCCTCTCTTCTTGGCTTGTAGCTGGCTTCCTTCTCACCGTGTGTTCACATGACCTTTTCTCAGTTGGAGAACAAGACAGCGAGCTCTCAGGGGTCTCTTCTTACAAGGAGACCAATGCTATCAGATCAGGGCCCCAGCCTTACAACCTCATTTAATCTCAATTACTCCCTTACCCCAGATACAGCCACACTAGGGTCAGGGCTTCAACATATGAATTTTAGGGGGACACATACATTCAGTCTATAACAGTATCTGTGGAGAAATTTGCTATTCTCTGGAATTTAGGAAAATTAGTTACTCGCTCAGTCAAGATTTATTCTGCTCTCCTATGTGCCAGGCATTACCCTGATGGTGAAAGGAAAGAGAAGAAAAAGGAGAGGACACATGTGGAGAACAGGCAAGCATGAATAAGTGCTCACATCCAAACAGCTGCCTCTCTTCTTCATACCTATAGTTTTGTCTATTAACCTTTGAGTGTATATTTATTGGTTCTCCAAATGCTGCCTCTATACATTAATGTGGTGCTTCAGGTGGAAGTAGCACAATTTGAATCAATATTTGTGTGTTCTTCCCAAGTTCTGATGTAACTATATGTTCCAAATTGTATTATTGGACTTCCGCTACTTATTTACTAAAAAAGTTATTTCTTCAAACAAATTTTATAATCTATAAGCCCTTGGGGGAAGGGGCTTTGTCTTGTTCCATTGAAATCCACAGCTACTTAGCATTTGATACATAATAGACTTTCATACAACTGTTGAATGAATAAAGAAACAACAATTACCACACACCAAATTAAAAGATACGGTTTTAAATAAAATTATTAAAGAAATAAGCTGCTAAAATCCAATCATTACTTTTCCTACCATGTACCTTTTTTCCTATAAATTGGATTTTTAAAATGGCATAGGGTTTTATTTATCTTTTAATCAATAAGTCATAAATTTTATAAAATCCTGTTTAATTTTTGCTTAAGAGTCTTTTTTTTTTAGAGAGAGAGAGAGCGACAGAGACAGAGTCTCGCTCTATCACCCAGGCTGGAGTGCCATGGCACAATCATAGCTCACTGCAGCCTTGAACTCCTTGACTCAAACAATCCTCCTGCCTATGCCTCCCAAAGCACTGGAATTACAGGCATGATCCTCCACATCCAGCCCAACAGTCAGTTTTTTATTCCTGTGTTAGTGTCATCAAAAGCCACAACAGCCATCTCCTGCCACAGGCTTCTCCCAAATTAACTACCTTCACCATGGGACTTACTTTTCTTTCCACAATTATTTATCAAGCTCCTACAATCTGCCAGCCTCCGTCCTAGACAAGGGGGGTTAATGGTGAGGAGAAAGACACAGTCCCCCCCTTGCAATGCTTACAATCTAGCAAAGGAAACAATCACACCAATAAACATGAATTAAACTGAATTAAGTATACTGAAGAAAAGGAACCCAGGCCTTTGAAAAGTGAGAGCAGGAGATCAGGTAAGAATCCAAAAGCTTTGTCATTGCCAATAACTGCAACTCCTCCATAATCACAATTTCACGTGTCACACTCTGTCCACCACCCCCTGAGTTTCCAGCTTACTCTCTCTAATATTCATTTCTCCATCAATCATTTAACTCCACCAAGACTTACAACACATTGATCCCATCACCCTTTCACCACCCCTTACCTTTTCCTGTCCTTTTGGTCCACATATCTCAGCCTAGAATCCATCACCAGGCGCTATATCACTCCATTCCCATGCCTCTCATTCACTTCCAACTAACTCCTTGATATGGTTTGGCTCTGTGTCCCCCACCCAACTCTCATCTTGAGTTGTACTCCCATAATTCCCACATGTTGTGGGAGGGACCCAGTTGGAGATAATTGAATCATGGGGGCGGTCTCTCCTATACTGTTCTCATGGTAGTGAATAAGTCTCATGAGATTTGATGGTTTGATAAGGGGAAATCCGTTTCACTTGGCTCTCATTCTCTCTCTTGCCGCCACCATGTAAGAAGTGCCTTTCACCTCCCACCATGATTGTGAGGCCTCCCTAGCCACGTGGAACTTTAAGTCCATTAAACCTCTTTCCTTTGTAAATTGCCAAGTCTCAGGTATGTCTTTATCAGCAGCAAGAAAACGGACTAATACACTCCTGGTTAACTCCAACTCTCTGCCTTCTCCATGCTTTTGCTAACACAGCAGAACACTGCTAGAGAAAAAACACACAATCATGCCAAACTAGTCTCATGTTATACCTGGGACCACAGCCCTCAAGTGAGCCCAAAACCTGCCTGCCGGGATACTGGAAGTCTAAGTCCACCCACTTGTTCAAGCATCTGGAGAGTTATTTCACATGTCTTCCTTCCTCTTCGCCCCTCCATCACCTGCTCCCCCATCTCACTCTTGGGTGATGATCTTGCATCCTTCAATACCAAGAATTGATGCAATCAAAAGAATTTCCACAAACTCCCAGTACCACATCTGTCTACCTAACAGCACGAGTCTAACCATGACACACTCTGCTTTCTTTCCTGCTACTATAGATGGATTGCCCATGAACCTTCTGGATGCAAACTTGCACACTGGGTTCCATCTCCTTGTGCTTATTCAATAACATCACTCTAACGATTCTCCCTCTCTCCCATATCAGCAAATTTTCCTTCTGCATTGGACCATGCCATTATCATTCAAATATGCTGTTATTTTTCCCATCTCTGAAAATCCTTCTCCCAAAATCCCTTCTTGTCCCAGCTAATGCTTCATTTCTCTACCACCTTTATGACAAATCATCTTTAAAGAGTTCTCTCTCTTAACGGCCTCCAATATTTCTCCTTCCATCTTCTCATGAACCTTGTCCAATCAGGCTTTTACTCCTCCACCGCTAATACTACCAATAACCTCTAAATTGCCAAATGCAATGGTCAAATCTCAGTCCTCAGCTGTTCGACCAGCAACATCTGACACAGACCACTTCCTCCTCCTGGAAACACTTTCTTCACTTGACCTCCAGAACACCACAAACTCTAGCACATCACCAATCACATCTTTTCAATCTTATTTGCCATTCCTTTTCTTCTCCAGGAACTCTTTTTGTTATAGTGTCCCAGGCCTCAGTCCATGGGCCTTTTATCTTCTCTTGTCCCCTCCCTTGGTGATCTCATCTAATTATAGCTTTAAATACCATCAACGCTGACAACTCTCAAATTTGTATCTCCAGTTCAGATTGTTCTGCTAAACTCTAGACACATATATCCAAGTGCCTACTCTCTGATGTATAACAGACATCTCCAATTTAATATGCCCTAAACCAAAGCCCTTATCTCCCTAAAGCCTGTGCTAGCCATCTCAATGCCCATGTTACTTGATGGCAACTCCATTCTTGGCCACGCAAAACTGTGGAGCTTTCCCTGAGTCCTATATTTCTCTCATATCCCCTCTACATACTCAATCCATCAGAAAATCCTGTTCACTGTACCTTTAAAGTATCTCTACTTCTCACCCGCTCCACTGCCAACACTGTGACCCATGCTACCATCACCATGCCTACATTGTAAACGCAGCTCCTAACTGATCTCCCTGCATCCACTCTTCCCCCACTACTGTCTTTTGTCAACACAGTACCCAGAATGATCCTTGAAAAACATAAAGCAGATTATATCACTGGTCTGCTCAAAATGGTCCAACAACCTCTCATCTCAGAGTAAAAGCCAGGACCTGACAGTGGCCCTATGTGACCACATCTTCTACTGCTCTATCCCTCACTCACTCTACTCCATGCCACCAGCCTTCTGGCTGTTTCTCAAACACACTGGGCATACTCCAGCTTTAGATACTTTGCACAGGCTGCTTCCTCTCTCTTCCCCCTCCTACTCCAGAAAAATATTTCTTAGTCCTGTATCTCCCTCAATGTCATCTTCTTAGTGAGCTCTTCTTCCCTGTCCAGTCTATTTGAAATTGCAAACCAACACCCCAACTTCACACTCCCCATGTTCTTTACCTTGATCCATCTTTTCCCAAAACATTCATCAGCCTCCAATTGTTGTCTCCCCATTGGAATACTAGGCTCAGGCAGAACAGGGATTTTGTTTATTTTTGACTCATGAATTTTGGATGCCTAGAACAGTGCCTGGCACACTATGAGCACCCAATAAATATGAAATATGTGTTAAGTGAATACAGTAAATGAGAGGCAGAGACAAGATTACTAAAAGTAACAATTAGAATATACATAGTTTATCCAGGAGTGAAGATGGTGATGATGGGGGAGGACCACTGGGTTCCCAGGAACAGGTTAGCATTTATTAGCACATTTACACAAATGTGTTTATCAAATTATCTAGTTGTTACTTCAGAAAGTGGCCTGAGGAAGAAAGAAGGCTCCAGATATCTGGTATCTCAGAGAGAGTTTAAGTATTTCTAAAACTTTCTCACAACCCGTCAACCTACTCCAAAGAGGAAATAACTGTGAGCTTGTACTCCTAGGGGAAATGAAGGGTGGGTGTGGCCCACCAAAACCTAAATGTCTTTAAAGAATCATGTTTTCACTTTAAAAGTTAGATGCATTTTATGTTCCTCTCTGTAATATATCTATGTGTTTTAATATACAAATACTGTTAAATTATTTAACGGTTTAATTGATTTCCTAAATAATCTTAAAATGCACAAGCTAGAAAAAGAGTGCCATGTCTGCCCTGGGCATCATGCACTCCCTAGGAAGCAGGGGAACCCCAGTTTTAGAATCACTGGGCACTTTGGAACTGTCAAAAAACAACTATGAAGAATGCAAAGTCAAATGCAAGTATAAATACAAACTCACCTTTTCACAATTCTGCCTTGGCTGACCCAAAATGACCCTTTTTTCTTTTCTTTTTTTTTTTTTTTTGAGACAGGGTCTCACTCTGTTGCCCAGACTGACTGAGATCTCAGCCCACTGCAACCTCTGTCTCCCAGGCTCAAGCAATTCTCATGCCTCAGTCTCCCAAGTAGCCGGGACCATAGGCGTGCACTACCACGCCCGGCTAATTTTTATATTTTTAGTAGACACAGGGTTTCACTATGTTGCCCAGGCTGGTCTCTAACTCCTGAGCTCAAGGGATCCACCCACCTTGGCCTCCCAAACAGCTGGGATTACAGGCATGAGCCACCATGCCTGGCCCCAAACTAATCATTTTTAAAGGCTCTATTAAAAGGCTCTTTTGAATTATGTGAACCTTGTGCAAACTTCTGGCTTTGCTTTCATCGTCTTCTAATGACCAAACACTTTGTTCTAGAGCTATTTAGAGCATTTTAGGTTTTCCCCTAACATCTTTAGCAGCTCGAACTTGGAAGAAGTCATTACGAATGATGAGAGAAATTAGGGAGAAGAGTGCTTTTAATGAAAATGATATTAATGTGCATTTCTATTTGTAGCTAAATAAAACAAAAGAAATATGTTTTTTGTGTTTTGTTTTGTTTAGTTTTTGAGATGGAGTCTCACTGTGTTGCCCAGGCTAGAATACAGTGGCACGATCTCAGCTCACTGCAACCTCCGTCTCCTGGGTTCAAGCAATTCTCATGTCTCAGCCTCCCAAGTAGCTAGGACTATAGGCACACAACACCACGCCAGCTAATTTTTGTATTTTTAGTAGAGACAGGGTTTCACCACGTTGGCCAGGCTGGTCTTGAACTCCTGACCTCAAGTGATCCGCCCACCTCGGCCTCCAAAGTGCTGGGATTACAGGCGTGAGCCACCACAGCAGCCAATGTTCCCTCTTTTAAATAAAATCTTGGGGTGGAGTAGGGGTTTGCTCATACAATGACAGTTTAGCCAGCTGGCCCTTCCTTTTTCCCACAGTGACCCCTGCTCTTTGCCCCTCTTTCCTCTCCCACCTCACACGTCCATCATGTCAACTTTGGGATGAAAGGCCACCCTGGGGTTGGGGTAATTCTCTGACTTAAGTCAGATCTGTGACTCTCATTCAATGCAACTGTCTTCAAAGTTCACAAACAGTTCTGACTTTCAGGCCATGTTATGACCAAATTGTATTCTCCTAAAACTCCCATGTTGAACCCCTACCCCCAGAGACCTCAGGATCTGACTGTATTTGGGTCTTTACAGAGGTAGTTAAGGTAAAACCAGGTCATTAAAGGAGCACTAATCCAATACAACTGGTGTCCTTATAAGAGGAGATGAAGACCACACAGGTGCAGAGGAAAGACCACGTGAAGGCACAGGGGGAAGACAGCATCTACAAGCCCAGGAGAGAGGCCTCTGGAGAAACCGGCCCTGCCAACACCTTGATCTCAGACTCCTAGCCTCCAAAATTGTGAGAAAATACATTTTTGTGTTTAAGCCACCCAGTCTGTGGTACAGCAGTCCAAGCAAACTAATATAGCCCATAAATAAGAGACATGATTCAGTCTCAATGAGCGAGAGAGTAGAAAGCAGCAGAGGTAGCTGATGACAGGGCTGAGAGGGCAGAGACAGAGCAGCAGATAGAGGGAGGATAAAACTCTGAATGCCAAATTGCATTTTTAGCCCTAGAAAGAATCCCGGCTTTGCCCTGCAGTAGTTCCCTCCTCACATCTTCTAATATATTCTTGCACCTGGAGAGGAGTGTCATCTCTCTTGCTGGCAGTAGAATGTTTTCTAGAGCTCCACAGGAGGCCCACCTCAGCCTTCCATAGGTCACTGTGCTCGAAATACAGGCTGAAAACAGAGGATCCTTCACCTCTACAGCAGGGGCCAGGACAGCCCACATGCCGTCAGTCTCCAAGTGAGGTAAAGGCCTTACTAGCTGCCCAGGATGAAGCTCCTGCATCTCAGGAGGTCGGGGAAAAGCAAATCATGTTTGTTTTACATTCAAAACTCATAAAATTTCTGACCTGGCTCAGGTTCAACTAAAATAACTGGTCACTCTGAAAATGCATGAATGGTTTTTTCGGTTGTGCATGGCAGGGGGTAGGTGAGAACAGAAGAAAATAGTTTCTATTTTTTCAAATGATACCCAGTGACCCCAAGGGAAGATACTCTTCTGTCAACAGTGATTATGCAGAGGAATTGGTTCCTGAAAGGATCCTGAATCCAATCAACCCTGTTTTCTTTGCAATGATAAGGGCTTACCAGGGAAAATCCATAATTCCACCACTAATACAGTCTTAGTAAAATCTGCCAATAAATCTTCAGAGAAAATGTCAGCAATAGTGTTTTAAATAAATAGAAAAAACATATTATATGGTACAAATTCAAAAACCACATCTCATTATTGTACAAATTCAGGTTTCTTCCAGGTCAAATTTTGTTCCCTAAAGCTACATAGAAGCCCAAAGATAGTCCTAATCCTCCTTCTAAAACCAATGTTAAAAATTCACTCAGTCAACCAGCATTTCCCATGGACTGACTATGAGCCAGGCAGGGTGACAGAAATGAGAATAAACAGACAAATGAGATAGAGCCCTCAAAAAACTCATTATCAGGTAAAGTAGACACACAAAAATCAATAGATTATAGTGTAATATGATATGTGCTCCAATAGAGGCAAAGTGAAAGAAGACAGGGAAACTCAGAAAGGTGATCATTGTACATGGGATTCTGAAGGCACTCGAATTTCAACTTCCAATCAAAGAGGATACGAGAGAGAAAACATGCTGGTTTCAATGCTTTATACTCTCAACTCAGCCTGACAATATATGTCCACTATCAACTGCCCCTCTCTTTCCTACCCCGGTGATCTACAACCACAATTGTGATTCAGCAGGTCTAGACTGGTTTCTTCCTTTCAAAGTTCTCAGAAGAGATGAGTTGACCCCACCTGGGGAGCAATAATTTTTTTCCTTTCCGCACTTGAAAGAAGACTAGGTAGCTGGAAAATGACAGATATAGCAGTAGGGAAAACCCACAAATGACACGAAGTGCTACTCTGGGTATCTTTGGGCTCCTGGATTTAACTGCCCCTTAGAGCACAAGCCTTGGGATGTCAGTGAGTGTGGCTGCCTGTGATGGAGAGAGATCCAGATGGTGGTTCCAGAGGCCTGGCTCCACCCGCCTTAGCCACTTAACTGGACACATTTCATTCAATCTCATAAACTTCAACTTTCTCCTCTGTGAAATGGGGTCATACCAGCTACCCTGCCTGCCTCACAGAAAGCTTGGGAAATCAAAGGAACCATGATCAGTGGAAATGCTCCTAAGCTTCAAAAACACTGTGCAAATATAAGAGAGGGTTATAATTAACCTAGCCACAGAGCTGCCTTGGGGCTTGATTAAAATACACTGTACTCCTCTAGATCGACAAAGTGTGAATGTGGTTAAAAAATAGGGACAGCTACTCCTAAACAGAGACAGTTGGTGTGTGGGCACATCCCCATAAGCATTTTCTATGCCAGGAAACCTGCATATGCTTAGAAACTAGCACGTTTCTGTTGGCCTTATAGCAGCAGTGTAGGAGAGCTTGAAAAATTAAATCTGTAGCAGGCAACACCACTGCCAAACACAACTGTCCCAACTCCCAAAAAACATGTTGAACACCAACCCCTGTCAATTGAATAAAATATACCCTGCAATTAGACCAGGGAACCCCATGCAGCCAGACACAAGCATGATAAATGCAAATAGGGTCTCTAGCAAAGTGACCACTGTCCTATATAGGTCAAAGCCTATGAATAAAAACCTTTCTTCATAAGAGAAAGGTTTTAGATAGTGAAACTCTTTACCCACCCTAACAAATGATTCACAAAAACAGTACTTTCTCTATCGGATTACAGTAAATTTTCCAATACAATGAATGCTTTGTTTGGCTGAACCCTTTAATAGTCATTCGCACTCTCTAATGAAACTACTAATTACAAAATCTCTGCATTGCAGGCAATAAAATAGGGTTGCTAACCTCTTTACAGTGTTTTAGTTCTGCCATCAAGGAGCAATTACTCTTCAACAGGCCTCCCTGTTTTTCGCTGAGTCTCACCTCAAACATCCTAATCAAACCTACTGAAAAAAAACAAAATCTACTCATACACATAACTAAGCATACAGTATGAGCATGTATGTACACACACACACACACACACACACACACACACACGTTAACACACACTATCCAGGCACCTGAAGAAAAAAAATAGAGGGTACTGACAAACATCCTAGAAGATCCCCATGTTCCGATTATTCCTTTGCACTGGCTAATTCATGAAGAGCAGGGCTTCAGCTCACTACACACTGGACATGTAATTTTTAGTAATAGGCCATTAAAACTAAACTCTACCACAACAAAAATATGTGATACCTAATGGAGTTGACTGTACCACAATATGCTGCATGTATTTTTATTTATAGATAGTTATCTGTTATCCATCAGTCTCTCCGGCTGCTGCCACCACACAAAATAGAGGGAAGCACTTATGCATCATGAGACATGTTTGTTTCAGGATTATTACCATTATGGCAGCTTCCAAGTTCAAATCATCTCAGAGTAGCTTAACACACTGTGTGTCCACAAGGGCGTCTTAACCTGTACCAGAGAAAACAGGAGTTAATCACTTCAACCATTACAACTAGGGCTGTTTAATCACTGGTGAGGTTTGTTGCTGAAGAAATCAATGTTTACCACATGACCATAGGCAAAAAGACAGAAAGAGATAAAAATCTATTATTCCAGTTTTTAAAGGTTAAAGGGAAAAACAGAAAGACTGCATGAAACATTTTATTGTCATTCATAAATTAATTAATCAAGAGTTAGACAACAAGCAACAGATTTAGAGTAACTTCTGCCAAACCCAAATTAGGTTCAAAAGAGCCAAAATATTTTTTTCCCAGATTTACAGGTTACACTCTGAATTTGGTGGCTTATCTAATGCTCCAGAGGATATATCTGAAAGAATTACTTTAATAACTTAGAAAAGTAATCAAATCGAGCCTGTGGAAATTTACATTATCTCCTTTCCAAAGATCCAGGGAGTGGTGTAATAGCTTGAGGGCACATAAGTCAAAATATGTGTATCTATGAAGTAGCCAGATTCTTTGACGGCATCTGTTTCTTTACAGAACAAACACCAAAATGTATACACTCAGTTTCATTCCTCAAAGCCCTTTAGTACTTTACATTTGGGCCTATATAATTATTCCATTACTCAGAAGACATTTGGAATGCCTCTTTCGGAATAAATTTTGAATTAGTTTATGAGCCACATAAGAAAATCAGTTTATTGTCACACATTCTACATATATATGTAGAATACGTATACATTCTGCATATATATATTCTACATTCATACATGTACCTGTGTGCAATACAGTCAGCCCTTGTTTATATCTACAGAAAAGCCTCAGAGCAAAGAGTCTAAAAATAATTTCTATTTAATATTTGATGAAGCATGCCTTTCTATTTATGTAAGAAATAGGTGTATTGGAACTTCTGTAAATTTATGTTAATTAAAATAATACAAACACATGATGATTAGGGAGCCAGACTGAATCAGGAATATCTGGGAGATTGACTAGTTTTCCTGTCTCTCCTCCACAAAGTACAGCATGCTATCTACTCCAAGCTGGTTATAGAAAATGCTAGCATCTCTCATACTTTCCAAAAAGAAATGTGTATGAGTGTTTACACTTATACAGAGAGCAAAGTGAGAATTTTCAGGAAGAAAACGACCACTCAATCAAAAGTTCCAAAGGAACTAAAAGATGGACGTATCCAGTAATTCCCAATCCAGCTATATTATAGAATACGTGGCCCAACCAAACATGCTGAATTACAAGTTACTTATTTAAAAAAAAAAAAAAAGATGTTACAGATGTGGGGTCTGAGAATCTGCTTATTCTAAAACTGCCCAGGTGATTAGGATTGCAGTCTGAATTAAGAGACACCATTTTGGTCGGGCGCAGTGGCTCACGCCTGTAATCCCAGCACTTTGGGAGGCCAAGGCGGGCGGATCACGAGGTCAGGAGATCGAGACCATCCTGGCTAACATGGTGAAACCCCATCTCTACTAACAATACAAAAAATTAGCCGGGTGTGGTGGCGGGTGCCTGTAGTCCCAGCTACGAGGGAGGAGAATGGCGTGAACCCGGGATGCGGAGCTTGCAGTGAGCCGAGATCACGCCACTGCACTCCAGCCTGGACGACAAAGCCAGACTCTGTCTCAAAAAAAAAAAAAAAGAGACACCGTTTTCATTTTACAGACACAAGCTCCAAAGGGGCCAGTGACCCAGGTAAACAGCAGAGCTGGATATAGGAGTCAATGCTTTGACTCAACCTAGCACAGTGATCTTTCCATTAAATGTCACCTAAGCTGTGATTAAGGACCATAACGCATGAATGCAGTTGATACATAAGAAACTGTGATTTGCTATAGATCTATAATAGTGCAAACCAAGCTCCTGTGCCAAATCAAGAGATTAGAACATTACTGAGTGTGGAGGTCTACTCTGATCTGCATCCCTCTTTGAGAGGCTGCAGCTTATGGTTCTTTAACAATACATTGCTGGCTACATATGAGTCCATTCAGCACATTGACAATTCAATTCAGGATGAATTAATGTGCAAACCCTTAATCAGACCCAGACATGTAAGAAAGTTTTCAAAAGTAGCTATTTATAATAATGTTTAAAAGGAACGTGTGGCCACAAAATACTCATCTTACCTAATAGTTTAAATTTCACATTAGAAATGTATCTTTTTGCCCTAAAGCTTAGTCTCCATATCTGTAGCATGTTCTCCTGGGAAGGGCCAGGAATTGAACTTTATTAGTCATTTACAACTGAAAATAATACAGGGTCTGCCAATAGGAAGGAAGGTAGAGAAATGACTTCATTCATGGAAAAGGGAGGAAAATTCATATCAAGGAGGAAAATATTCTGAAGGAGGAGGCTGGGATCTCCAAAGACAAACTTCACAGCTGTCCCTAGATTCCATTCTGCCCTGGTTGATAATGTATGGTCTAATTGGCTTTAGCAAAGTTAGAAGACTTTTGTTTTCGGTTTCTCTAAACATGTTTGTTTGTTTGTTTGTTTGTTTTGTTTTGGGTTTGGTTTTTGTAAATAACAATGGCCGAGATGGAGCCAGACAGATTATTAAAAGGGTAAACTTCATCGGAAAGGTGAAGGCAAAGCCCCAAAGAAATCACAACTGGAGACTTTCAGATATGCACTTGCACATACAGCACTTCTGACAAGAGAAATCATTTTGGCAGTTATCTAATGCAGATACGCACATGGAAATGGCCTTGTCAACCCATTCTATTTTCTTATGAGTTTTAAAGATAATAACAATAGCTTGCACTTACTATGTGCCAGGTACTATTCTATGGCATTTACTTGTATGAACTCACTCAACCTTCACAATAAATCTCTAAGATAGAATTCAAATATAATCTCCATTTTATAGATAAGGAAACTGAGGCATAGAAAGCTTAAGTAATCTGCTCAGGGTCACACAGATAGTAAACTGTAAAGCTGAGATCTGAAGGCAGTATAACTTCAGGGTCTACACTCTTCACTGCTCACTCTCTACAGAAGCTACTTAAAACAGTAGCCTAGACAAACCACTTTACATACAAATGTCTTTAAATTGGGTTAAGACAAAAAATATTTGTAATTGTGTCCTGACAAATCTGATAAATCTGGGATCCAAAACATTAAGCCCTTCAAGAGGGCAGTTCTGTATTTAATCTGGTATGAGGAATTATGGTTAGAAGAACATTCTTCCATTGACACTGGGGACATTTTCCAGTACCAAAAGTTTCAAGTGGCACAGACTCTAACATCAAGTGAGTAAAAGAGATAATAAATTGGAAAGATACCTTCTCACTGGGAAAAAGTTGTAAGGCTTCATATTTTTGGTAAGGGAACATGTAGAATGGTGGACTTTTGGTAATGTCATGAATCACAGTAGAAAATCTGGCTGGGTGTGATGGCTTATGCCTGTAATCTTAGCACTTTGGGAGGCGGAGGCAGGTGGATCACTTGAGCCCAGGAGTTCGAGACCAGCCTGGGCAACATGGCGAAACCCCATCTCTACAAAAAATACAAAAATTAGCCAGGCATGGTGGCACACACCTGTAGTCCCAGCTACTTGGTGGGCTGAGGTGGGAGGATCACTTGAACCAGGGAGGTCGAAGCTGCAGTGAGAGAGATCGTTCCACTGCACTCCATCCTGGGTGACAAAGTGAGACTTTGTCTCAAAAAAAAAAAAAAAAAGAAAGAAAGAAAAAGAAAAGAAACATAAAGCGAATGGCGATTTGTTGAAGGAGAAAAATAAGTATATGATGAGTAAGTTATATAAGAAGTACTGTACACATCAAAGATGATGAGGTTTGGGAAAGTTTGCAAATTTAGCACTTGATGAAAATGCTAAAGATTTCAGGACCATGGACAGACCCCGTATCGCTCTATTGGCCAAAATGGGTCAAGGTGGACTGATTCTCTTCAATTTTTGAATAGTAACCAGGATGAGGTTAAGAGACCCTTGACCATTCTTAACATTTTTGAGAGGGAAAAAAGTACTGAATTTATTCTTTATTTCTTCAAATCTTGTTATAAATACATACAGATTACTATAACATGTATTGTGTTAACCTAGATGTAGACAGTTTACATTTTGTCTTTTTTTTTTTTTTTTTTTTTTTGAGACGGAGTCTCACTCTTTCGCCCAGGCCGGACTGCAGTGGTGCTATCTCGGCTCACTGCAAACTCCTCCCGGGTTCACGCCATTCTCCTGCCTCAGCCTCCCGAGTAGCTGGGACTACAGGCGCCCGCCACAATGTTAGCTGCGATATAGGATTCATATTACAGTTGAAAGGGGATGCATTATTATATACATGTATAACTAATGGAATACTAGCTACTGTAACAGATAAACTTTAAAATCTCTGTAACTTCGCTAAGAATTTTTTTTTTTTTTTGAGACAACTTCTCACTCTGTCACCCAAGCTGGAGTGCAGCTGTGCAATCATAGCTCACTGCAGCCTTGATCTTCTGGACTCAGATGATCCTCCCACCTCAGCCTCCTGAGTAGCTGGGACTACAGGCACGTGCCACCATGCCCAGTTAACTTTTTAAAATTTTTTGTAGAGATGAGATCTCGCTATGTTGCCCAGGCTGGTCTCACACTCCTGGGCTCGAGTGATCCTTCTGCTTCCCCAAGTGCTGGGATAACAGGTGTGAGCCACCCACCCAGCCTCTCTGGAACTTCTGTCTGACTACCTTGAAGTTAAGGTTCCCATGATCCCCTTTTGGGTTTGATTAATTTGCTGAGGCAGCTCACAGAATTCAGAGAAACACTTACTTACATTTTGTAGTTTATTATAAGGGATATTACAAAAGATACAGAAGAGACTATAGAGTGCAGTATAAGGGAAGGGGTATGGAGCTTCCCTGCCCTCCCTGGTTACACCGCCTTCTAGGAACCTCCACATGGTCAGCTATCCAGAAGCTCCAGAAGATTATTTCTTGTTCACTAAAGTCCAATTGGCCACCAACACAGGGGAGGTCACTGTTTTCTGACATTCGAGGACTCAGGCTTCTCAAGGCTTTGCCATCTTCAGTCCTTGCCTTCTAACGTCACCCAGAATATTAGCATCCAGAGAGAAGATAGAAGAAAATAGGCAATCACACAGAATTATTTTATGGGACAGACATGGAAGTGGAATATACCACTTATACTCACATATCACTGTCCAGAACCCAGTCACATAGCCACACCTAACTCTAACTGCAGAGAATGCTGAGTAAAATAGCCTGGCTGTACACCCATAAGGAAAGGCACTGTCTGTTCAGTGGGCAAACATTTGACCTGCAATGCAATTTAAAGCATAGTGTAACAAAATATCTATGACTAGAATACTACTCTATTAAATATTTACCCCTCAAAGCTGGAAGAATGCCAGTTATGAGGAGACAGAGCAAGAGGCTGATCATGTTGTATAGTCCCCTCTGGATACCATGGGCAAGGCCATCAATGCCAGTAGTGGCCTTGTAGGATATGGTTGGTTGCCTACGTTACCATCAGCATTTATACTTCTCTTCACCCACCTGGCCACTCCTATGGATACCAGGTGATGAAAGACAGGTAAAAGTACAAAACAGGAAAACACACAGGCACACCCCCAATTCAACACAGCACCGTGAGGCAGCATCCTGGAGTGCAGTGGTTGAAAGATCACTGGAAAAGGCAATGGTTCTGATCTGCTTCCACTCTTTATTAGCCAGGCAACAGATGGTAAACATTTTTGAGCCTCAGGTCTTCTGTATGTAAAATGAGAATAATCATACGTCTTCTGCATGCCACACATATTGGTGAGGTGGCTCAGGGTTTGATTGGTGAAAATAAAAGTACTGTTGAAATGATCTGATTGAGAGAATACACAGCTGCTGAAAGACAGAAAGCAAATGGGCGACCAAAGATTATGGAGGAGAGCAATCTATTCAATAAGCCTATGTACTGGGATAGTTGTGGAAGAAAGCAGCAATAACGTAACAGAGAAAAATCATAAGTTAAAAAATTCCCAAGAGTTTGAAAAAATAAAATTGGTCATGACACACATTCCAAAAAACATTTTATGGAAATTAAGAATCTACTTGTTTACAGGTAGAACTCATCATATTACCAGACACACATCAGAAGGGTAAAGAAAAAGTCAAAAGTTAAAGGCAAATTACAGGTGGAACTAAATGGCATTTCTCACATGGTTTCCAAATTGGAAACTAGTATCCCACCGTTTCTGAGTAGAAGGCAATGGGGAAAATGATACACCACCTGCTCCACTAACTTGCACCTGTTATTCCTTGTCTCCAGAACATACACAGCTTTTCTTAGAATTTTGAGTCCTTACAAACCCCACTGAAGAAATAAAAAAGGCTAATGACATCCATACCTTCTCAAAAAACCTACAAAGTGGCTGCCTATAAATGTGGCCAATAATTTTCACACAATAGCCAGACTCTTTTTTCCAAGAAAGGAAGGTTTTGTGACCGTAATTTCTATATTAATGTAGAAAATACTTGTTGTGGGGAGGTTACAAGGAATTATTGCACTTCGTTTTTAAAAAGAACTTAACAGTATAATAACAAAGAAATTGATTCTGCATCACTATAGGTCTTCAGTCATTTAATCAGAGGCTCTGAAATGCAGACACAGTGAAGCATTTTTAGGATGACAAGGCAAGAATGTGGCTATTCAGCCTGAAAATAAAGCAGCTTTATCTCAAAAAATGACCTGAATGTCATCAGAGCCAAAGCACCCTAAATTCTAATTAGAGTGATGCTATTAAATTAAAAACTGCAGAAACCATTGGCTAAAGGATCCCTACAGGAGATAGCAACTAGAAAGAGAGGTTTGAGGATGCACTGTCCTCTCTTTTAAAAAATGAAACCTGTTTATGCTTTTCAGAGCACCATACTTCAAGACACAGCGTGTCACATTCCAACTAACTGAGGCCAAAATGTCTCAGAATGTCCAACCAATCACCAGCCACCCAGTGCTTAGAATAGCTAGGCTACTCTGACCAGAGATCCTTTTTATAAAGCAAATGCAAACCACCATACCCAAATAGAATAGAGTAAGGTTCACTTTCCAATCCTGCTTTCTTCAGAGAACTCCCATTAATTACTCAATAATAAAAAGATGCTAAAGTACTATAGAAACTCTCTTCTAAAAAGCATAAAGCTCTTTGCTCTATTTTCCCATTAGGTTGTAATGTGAGTAAAATAATTGATGCCTTGCTTCAAGAAAGGCCATCTCCAATTTTTTCTTCCTGCCTCACCTAAAACATGTGTTTCTTCCTGGGCCATGTTCATTTCCTTCCATCTTTTTTTTCCCACCTTCCTTCCTACTTCAACCCTATCCAGCAGTTGCTCCTGCAATTCTATTCTCTCCTTTTTGTTTTTTCTGCACCATCAGTTTTGTCCCTATCTATGAACCATTCCCATCAGCCTACAACTATGCTTTTATTTATCTAATTTAAAAAGAAAAACTTAAGTCTCTCTTGACCTAACTTTCTCAGTCCAGTTACCATTTCTTTCTTTATATTTATACCAAAACTCCTTTAAAAATTTGTCTTTGCTCACCGTCTCCAATTCCTCTCCTTCCATTCACTCTTGGTCAAGTTTTTACCCCCAACACTGAAATCAATGACCTCTGCATTGTGAAATCCAAAATTCAAGTCTCAGGCCTCATTGAACTTGACCCATTGACAGCACTTCACAGCGGTGACCACTTCCTCCTCCTTAACATATTTTCTTCATTTGGCTTCTAGGACAGCACACTTTCCCGAATGTTCTCTTAACTCACTGACTCTTCCTCACAGTCTCTTTTGCAGATTCCAACTCATCTCCCTGAGCTCTATCAAGCTGGAGTGCCCCAGGGCTTAATCTTTGGATATTTTCTCTTCCAAGTTTACAATCAATCCCTCTCTAGGTGATCTCTTTCAGTCTCACAACTTCCAGTACCATGAGCTGATGACTCCTCTGTTTACATCCCCAGTGAGACTTCTCCCCCAAACTCGGTCCTATATATCCAGCTAACTCTTGATATCTCCCCTTGAGCAACTAAAAAGGCACCTCAAAGATTATCATACACAAAATAGTAGATCTTCAAAACAAGATCCTGCAGTCCTATCCATCATGGTAAATGGCAGCTCTGCTCTGCCAGCTCCTGTTGAAATATTGGTGCCATCTTTGACTTCTTTTTCTCATCTGCCCTGCATCTGATCCCTCCGCCAATCCTGATAACTTTCCATTCAAAATACATCCAGAATCCAGTCTCTTCTCCCTGTACTCTGGTTCTAGTCACCATCTTTGCTGGCTGGTCTCCTGGCTTCTATATATGCCCTTCTATAATCTATTACCAATTCAGCTACCCAAGGGATCCTTTTGAGCCATAAATCTAATCACATCGCTCCTCTTCTCAAAATCCTGCAGTGCTTCCTATGACCTTCAAACACTACGTAACATGGATCTTTAATTCCCTGACATCTGACTACAAGCCCCCTCACCTGCTCTGCCCCATTCATTCTGCCACCTTTGCTATTTCTATAACATGCCACCATTCTCTGACATCAAAGTCACTGCCCTTGTTATTCCCTCCACTTGAAATCCTCTTCCTCAGAGAGCCCCATAGCTAGTTCCTCATGTCCTTCAGACCTTGACTCAAATGTCAGCTTCTTGGTGCACTCTTCTCTGGCCATCCCATCTGCAATTTCAACTCACCACCTCACACTTCCTATCCCTTTTCCATGCTTTGTTTTCTTCTCCTTAGCACTAAGCTTTATCTAATGTATTATATGTTTTACTTATTTATCTGATTATTGTCCATTTTCTCAGTGGAATATGAGCTCCATATAGGCAAAAGATTTTGCCTATTTAGTGAACTACTGCATCCTAAGCCCCCTGTACAAATTATGACATGTAAGTATTCATCAAATATTTGTTGAACAAGCGAATATATAATCTATATAATTTACCCATGCATCATGAAGGAGAAGCATAAAGTAGAAATTGTTACCCCACTGGAAAAAGTCACCATCCTCCCTCAGTTCATATGGACCTAGGACCTCACCTGTACATAAGTACATTTTGCACAGGTAGACTGTAAGTGTCCCCAGCCTTCAAGTCAAGAAACTCAGCCAAGGAGGTTCATGCTATCTTCTGCAGGTTTCCATTACCCTCCACTTCCATCTATATCACTTTATTTCCAGGGCGTTTACTTTTCCTAGTTCCTCACTGATGCTATATCCAAGCCCACCCAAGTCTCTTAAAAATCAGTGTTCAGATTACAAGATTTTTTTAAATTGGTAGGGTAACCAAGAATTACTATAATCAAGAAATATTTGAGGCCAAGGGAACTAATCCTGTCTTTCTCGGTCTGGGAATTCTTCCATTAACAGAAGCTGAATTTGTATGGAATTCAGCTATAACAGTGGACACAAGACCTCCTGGAATGTATCTTTAGCATGTTAAAGTACATTAGGTGGGGTGTGGTAGCTCACACTTATAATCCCAGCACTTTGGGAGGCTGAGGTGGGTGGATCACTTGAGGTCAGGAGTTCGAGGCCAGTCTGGCCAACATGGTGAAACCTTGTCTCTACTAAAAATACAAAAATTAGCCAGGCATGGTGGCACATGCCCGTAGTCTCAGCTACTCAGGAGGTTGAGGCAGGAGAATCACTTGAGCCTGGGAGGCAGAGGTTTCAGTGAGCCGAGATCACGCTGCTGCACTCCAGCCTGGGAGACAGAGCAAGACTCCGTCTCTAAAAATTAACAAAGTACATTCTAGGACTCATCACCTTGAAAGGATCTATTTCTTTCTTCTAAATAATAAGGATCTCAATGCAGGGATATTCTTGTTGTTATTCCTAAATGCACTTCACTACCTGGAGACAATCTATCTCCTATGAAGAAGCCATTATGGTCTCTGATGCAGCTCCCTTTTTAGCAGCTTATTGATCTACAAGCACCCAGCCAGCCACCACACCACTAAAGATATGTGTAATAAAAGCTGATACAGGCATGCTGCTGGCAGAGGAGCACAAATGTCCTTCTTTGAAATGTTAACAACTCTGCTGACCCAAGGAGAAGAAATGCCACCTTCAGTTTGAAATAGACCACTGGGTTCCTACAGGTTTTTAAATAAATATATATATAACAAGAGACAGTTTTCCAGTGAAAGGGTTACCCACCATTTTATGAAACCTGAATTACTGTATAACTCATTAATAATATTTACAATTTTTTTTAAATTAAAGCCAGCTCTTCAAACCACAAATTTAACAGAAATGCCTACCCAATGGTTATTACTGAATTTTGACCTATAGCACTTTATACAACTTGGGCAGAAAGTGCTGGAAATCATTTTCCAGCTTAACCTAGCATAATTAACTCCTAATATAAATCCAGGAGTTATGGGGGTCATAGGAAATATTTCCTTGATATGAATCATTTATTCAACCTAGTTTAGAGAGCCAAGCAATGCAGCCATATCTATATTTATCTGCTAAAAGCAAAATAATTACTCTACTTATCTGAGTTAGGTGGCAATGGGCTGTGCCCTTCAGATATTATGGCTAAAGGAGAAGTCCTTAAAACCCTGACTGTGAGATGACCTGGACTGAACAACAGTCACTGGCATTTCCAAAGAGAATCTGCTTCTCGGTAAGACCCTAAGGAGTGAAACTCTCTCACATATTGTTAACCTGGAATTTGGTGGTCTTTGTAAGAAAAGATGTGTTGGCTGGCCATGACATCTCTCTGTCCCTGAATCCCCCTATGGGGGACAAATGCTTTCTGTAATGTTCACCTACCACAATAGGGACAGATACATCAGAGAATCAGAGGCAGATACCCACCATGTTTTCCCAACATCACTGACCCACTCATTTTGAAAGTCATGAAAAGTGAACTGAAGAATAAACCAAAGAAGAGGAAATTACAGAAAGCACAGTCTGCTTTCCTTCATCAGTCTGTTCTCATTATCTGACCAAAGTCACTATCAGAGGAGATATGAGGAGGCTGCTCTCAACAACGTTTGAGAGAGAGGCTTCATCAAGACAACCCGAGGACATTACTGCTGATAAACATTGAGAAACTTGGAAATGGATGCTGAGGAAATAGTTGGATATGCCAGTAAAAGACTTAGAAGTAGGCTGGGTACAGTGGCTCACTCCTGTAACTCCAACACTCTGGGGTTTGGGATGCTGAGGTGGGAGGACCCCTTGAGGTCATAGTTCAAAGCTGCAGTGAGCTATGATTGCACCATTGCACTCCAGCCGGGGCCACAGAGTGAGACCCTGTCTCTAAAATTAAATTTTTTTAAAAAATTTAAAGGTCCAGAAGCAGATTTGGAAATTCTTATATTCATGATAGGAACAAGAATGGCAGTAGGCTTCTCTGTATCCAAGTATGCTGATGAGAGGAAGAGTCTGGGAAAGGCAAGAAGGGTAGCAAAAGTGGACAAGATTATCATGAAGTGGTGGCTAGACTTTTTTTTTTATTATACTTTAAGTTCTAGGGTACATGTGCACAACTTGCAGGTATGTTACATATGTATACATATGCCATGTTGGTGTGCTGCACCCATTAACTCGTCATTTACATTAGGTATATCTCCTAATGCTATCCCTCCCCCTCCCCCAACCCCACAACAGGCCCTGGTGTGTGATGTTCCCCTTCCTGTATCCAAGTGTTCTCACTGTTCAATTCCCACCTATGAGTGAGAACATGCGGTGTTTGGTTTTTTGTCCTTGCAATAGTTTGCTCAGAATGATGGTTTCCAGCTTCATCCATGTCCCTACAAAGGACATGAACTCATCCTTTTTTATGGCTGCATAGTATTCCATGGTGTATATGTGCCACATTTTCTTAATCCAGTCTATCATTGATGGACATTTGGGTTAGTTCCAAGTCTTTGCTATTGTGAATAGTGCCGCAATAAACATATGTGTGCATGTGTCTTTATAGCAGCATGATTTATAATCCTTTGGGTATATACCCAGTAATGGGATGGCTGGCTCAAATGGTATTTCTAGTTCTAGATCCATGAGGAATCGCCACACTGTCTTCCACAATGGTTAAACTAGTTTACAGTCCCATCAACAGTGTAAAAGTGTTCCTATTTATCCCTTGGGAGCCTTTGCTCATGATTCTTCCTTTGTCTGGAAGCCTCCTCCCCATCTCGGCCCCCTACCTCCAAGTCTGCCTGTCCAGTGCCTGCTAATCCCTTAGGAATCAGCCTAAAGCCCTTCCTCCCAGTCTTGCTGGATGTCCCCTCATCCCCAAATACCAGGTCGAAGTGCTTTCTGCCTCCTTTAGGCTTCTGGACACACCAAACATACATTCTTTCCAGCAATAGTGACATTTTGTCGTATTTATTTGCTTACCCATATGTTTCCCTCCCTTTTGAGACCATTTTGGAACTATTTCCTACTCACCTTTTTATCCACAGGGTTTTGCATAATGCATGGATATAATGCATGGGCCATAATAGGTACTTAGTAAATATTTGTTGAATGAATGAAAGTTTATCTCAGTTAATGCACTAGATCTGGAAATCTCATTTTAAAAAGATTCATAACTTCATTGGGCTAGGGTGGGGGATTCACTATTAAAAGGAACAATGATGTGAATTGTTTTATAATGCATATAATAAACTTCAATTTATTTTCTTTTTTAAGGTTTATTTTTTTTCTTAAAGCCTCCATATCCCCAATTCACAAAGTAATTTAAACAACCCCATCAAAAAGTGGGCAAAGGATATGAACACACAATTCTCAAAAGAACACATTTATGGCAGTGAGCCATGTTCTCTAAGACAGAGGAAAATGAAGAAGAGATGAGTCTGGAGGAAAAAGATGAAATAGATTCCTTTGGACCCATGGGTGATCCTAGTGGAGATATCCAATAGGCAAGATGCTCAGATGGAAAGACTGGCTAGAGATTCCCAGTGCAACTAGTCATGAGCATAAAAGAAAATGGCCCTAGACGTGGCTGAGACTGATCCAGGAGAAGGTGAAGAGTGAGAAAGAGAAGTGGAATTCTGAAGGATATCTACACAGTCTGAGGAAGAAAAACTGGCAAAGAAGAAGGAATAAGAATAGAGCTACACACAGATCTGGTAGAGAACAGTGTCTGGAAAGCCAGGGAGTGAGGTTTTTCAGGAGCAGTCTCAGGAGGGGGATGGGTGAGGAAACCTAGCACATGGGAGTGCATGGGAGGTGCACACGAGGAAGGAAAGAAAGCCAGGCAAGCAGAGAAGCCACAACTAAAAAGAACAAGGGCCAAGCAAGTCACCTTCCACTCCACTGATGCTGACATTGAGGAAGGAGTGAGAGAGAAGAGGTTGAAGACACAGAGGCCAGGCTTTTCCAAAGTGGAAGGTCATTCACCTCATGAAGTGCAACATGTCTCCCTCCCCGCAGAGCATCAAGAACCAAGCAGAACACCCACCTGGGACCTTCAGCCCAGGCCTGTCCAGGGCTGCATCTGGGCATCTCTTCCAGCCCTGTGGTTACCAAAACATGAGCACTGAAGTTATTCTGCTTCAACACCCCTGAAATCCCTTGGAACTTTCATGATCCCTTGGTAATGAGAGGCCAGCTTTGGTTTTTTCAAAGCAGTATAAACTGAAAAATGGAGTTCTTGCTATAATTCTGAGGGGATTTTTCTATTCCAGCTATAGTTTGTATAAATAGGGAAGGCAGAAACACATGATCTTAACATAAGGACTCTTGGCTGAAGCCACCTTCATAATCTTCAGAATAAATGATCAATACCTTAAAGTTTTACTAACACTCTCTACTCAGTTTCAAAAGTGATATGAAAACTGCTAAAGAAGACAAATATACTCTATTTCTTTTTTATCAATTCTCACCTTTTCTTTACTAGTTCTCGCTGAATTATCTTCCCTGGGGTTAAAATGCCTTCTGAGAGGTCTGTGCTCAATTCTGGGTTTGTCTCACACCCTCAATAGCTGGTTACTCTCTGTCTCAGTGCTCTATCTATTTAAAGTTCAATCTATGATCAAGTTAATTGAAAAAGTGACTTTAGTGGCTCTTGGAATTCTTGATTTTTTTTCTCCACAAGCAGCAGGAAATTTAAAAGGGGCTGGAATGACTTGTCCATTAGTCTCCATCTCAGTAATCAATCATTGTAAAGCCCTGATTTCCTCCTCTTACACATCAGAAGGGAATAAAGCAAAATGTTATTCTGTCTACACTCTTCTCTAACAGCTAATTTCAAGGAAAACTGTTGGTTAGGGATGAACTGATTCCCCTTTTTTCTAAATGCTTCTTGTTCCTACTTACAAAAGTCAACCACAGACTGCCCCAGGGACAAAGTTTTCTGGTAATTTTCCTTAAAGAACCTGCATCCTGCACACTGAACAACACAATCTGAATAAAATTTTACCTTTTTTATCAGAATTGTAACAGTCACTCATGTGGCTTGAATGTGCATGCATGTGAATATTTGCTTCAGATCTTCTGTTTTTTTTTGTTTTTAAAAAACAAAATATCAGGCCAGATGCGGTGGCTCACACCTGTAATCCTAGCATCTTGGGAGGCCAAGGAAGGCAGATCACTTGAGGTCAGGAGTTCGATAAGAGCCCGGCCAACATGGTGAATCCCTGTTGCTATTGAAAATATAAAAATCAGCTGGGCGTGGTGGCAGGTGCCTGTAATCGAGGCTGAGGCACAAGAATCATTTGAACCCAGAAGATGGAGGTTGCAGTGAGCAGAAATCACACCACTGCACTCCAGCGTGGGTGACACAGCAAGACTCCATCTCAAAAAATAAATAAATAAATAAAGTATCACAGATGCTTTGGAAGTTCCCTGGCACCCTTTCCAATTCCATTTCTTTCCCTTTCTTGAGAAAAGTAAATACCATCCTTCATTTTGTGTTTATTAGTCTCATGCATATTTTTATGCATACAATGCAAATATGTTTCTTTAGAGAATATCTAATATTGTTTTACCTGTTTTTGAACTTCGTATAAATGGTGTCCTATTCTGTATTTCATTCTGCACCCTACCTTTCTTACTCAAAGTTGTGTTTATCCATTTGGAAATATATACATATGCTTCATGTAATAATATTAACATACATGTGTTATACAATAGAAATGATTACAGTATATTTGAAATACATGTTTTAATATTAATATTAATTGGATCAGGCATGATGGCTCATGCCTGTAATCCTAGCACTTTGGAAGGCCCAAGGCAGGCGGATCACTTGAGGTCAAGAGTTCGAGACCAGCCTGGCCAACATGGTGAAACCCCATCCCTGCTGTATAAAAATTAGCCAGCAGTGGTGGCAGGCGCCTGTAGTCCCAGCTACTCAGCAGGCTGAGGCACAAGAATCATCTGAACCCAGGAGATGGAGGTTGCAGTGAGCAAGATCACACCACTGCACTCCAGCCTGAGCGACAGAGTAAGACTCGGTCTCAAAAAATAATAATAATTAATATTAATACATGTATTTCAAATATACCATGATCATTTCTATTGTATGAATATACCATACATCATTATCTTATTAATGAACATTTACATCTTTTGTTTATTTTGTGATACCGTCACAAACAGTGGTGCCATGGACATTCTTGGATGGGCTTCACGTGCTCATAAGTGGAAGGGCCGGGCCACAGGCACGCACGTCTTCAACCTCATGAGAGAGTACCTCATCTCTCTCCAGTGTTGTGCCAGTGAGCAGGCAGCATCGCCTGAGCATGGAGCTTCTTTCAGGTAAAAACAACCCTAGCCCATCCAGGCCTGTGAATACTCCAGGCCCTTGGGGAAATGGAGCTGCATTGCCTAAATAGAATCACTATTATAAAGATGAAGAGAAATTGAGGGCAAAACTGAATGAGAGGGACTCCAGAGCAAATAAAGTGTCCAACAGAGTGAGCTCCAGAATATAGAACAGCAGGGCATTTTAAAAAGCAGGAAATGATATAAATGCATGACGATGACCTAATATAAAGTAAATTGCCTTTTCTTGGCAAAATACTTTGACGCCAAAAAAAAAATCAATTGAAATAATTCAGATACTGCAGTCTCCTATAAAAGCAGCAAATCTGTCAAACTTCTGTGAATGCTCACAGCAGCTTCTACTCAGAGGAAACATCACCTGTAGATGAATCCTAGTGACTCCTGGAAGGTCATTTAAATGCCATCTCTGTGCATACAAATTTACAAAAAATAGGCCAGGCATGGTGGCTCACACCTGTAATCCCAGCACTTTGGGAGGCTGAGGCTGGTGGATCACCTGAGATCAGGAATTCGAGACCAGCCTGGCCAACATGGTGAAACCCCATCTCTACTAAAAAAAAAAAAAAAAAAAAAAAAAATACAAATTAGCCGAGAGTGCTGACAGGTGCCTGTAATCCCAGCTACTCAGCAGGCTGAGGCAGGAAAATCACTTGAACCTGGGAGGCAGAGACTGCAGTGAGCTGAGATCGTGATGTGGCAGTGCGCACCTGTAATCCCAGCTACTCAGAAAGCTGAGGCAGCAGAATCACTTGAACCCGGGAGGCGGAGGTTGCGATGAGCCGAGATCGTGCCATTGCACTCAAGCCTGGGCAATAGAGTAAGACTCGGTCTCAAACAAAAAAAAAAATTACAAAACAATACACTTTTTTCATCTTTGAATCACCTGTTTGCTGCCCGGCTTATATTTATACTTGCTGTTTTTAAACATCATGAATATACGATCTCTGATATGATATGATTTATAAAATTTGGGCAGCAATGGCTGCCTTTTAGGAGAAGGACAGGCATCTGGGGGACAAGCAGGGGTGGCAGGGAGACTAGACAAGCATTACCTAGTCGGGGCTCATAACTTTTAAGGGAGGCTGAGATTCCACCTTATCAATCCACAAATCTCTCTCTAAGAACATCTTAGGATCACATGTCCGCTTTTCTGCAAAACATGCGCTGACGGCTCCCAGATGGGGCCCAGCCATCCAGGCTCCCAGCACAGAAATCTCCCATAGAACCAACCAGGGGGCTTGTACTTGTGAGTTTACCTATCTCCTCACTTTTTAGCTCCATGAGGACAGAAACAACAGATTTCACTCAAAATCTTTCACCTCAAGTAATGTGCCTGGCATTGTTGGTGCTTAATAGACATTTTTTAAATAAGTTCAGTGAAATGTTCTTCACCATTCAATGATTTTTAAATGGCCCAAGGGATGTATTCATTAGTTTTCCTTGTTTTATATATTGGTACTCCTTAAAAGCTCTGTTCAGAAAAAGCAAAAAAAATCTAAGGCTCAAAAATGTTTAGCTGTAAGCCCTACGAGGGCAGGAATTTCATGTTTTACTAACTTCTGCATCCCAAGCATACTTTGGTTGTGCCTAATACATAGTAGGTGCTCAATAAATGTGCTGAATAGGCTGGGCGTGGTGGCTTATACCTGTAATCCCAGCACTTTTGGAGGCCGAGGCAGGCATATCACCTGAGGTCAGGAGTTCGAGACCAGCCTGGCCAAAATGGCAAAGCCCCATCTCTACTAAAAATACGAAAATTAGCCAGGCATGGCGGCATGTGCCTGTAATCCCAGCTACATAGCCTGGGCAACAAGAGCGAGACTCTGTCTCAAAAAAAAAAAAAAATTCTGCTGAATGAATGAAGAGCCTTGGCTACGAAGTATTCCACACACTAAACAGAATCCAGTTCCTTTCTCTATTGAGTGTTTAAATGTATTTTTTTTTCCTTGGGGTAATTTACCATTTTAACCACTTTTAAAGTCCAGTGGCATTAAGTACATTGACAGTGTTGTGCATCTGTCATCACCTTTCTCTTAGGTTTTTCATTTTAAACCCTGAACTGCAAATCACATTTCAAGCCATTTGAAAGAGGAAAAGTTCGTTTTTATTACATGTTTTTAGAGTGGTAAGAAATTAGCTATTCCTATTGCAAACTAGAACCCAGGATGATCTCTTTAGAAATTGCTTTGTCTCTCACATCTGTCTGTCTGTCTGTCTGTCTGTCTCTCTCTCTCTCTCCCTCCCTTCCTCTTTCTCTTCCCACCCCCCATCAACTTTTGCCTTGCCCCTCTTTTCACCCTCCCTCAACCATGTACCTATTATCTACTCTTTGACACCTAAATCTAACTTTCTCATCAAATGTAAAAGTATGAAAGGGCTTGGAGTTTATAGAATCTAAACACATTATTTTACATATGAGAAAATAAGTCATATAAAAGAATATATGAATTCTCTCGAAAACAGCAATCAAGACATTAGGATGATTTTTCCATCTATTCATTCACCAAGTCACACCCTTCCTCCTCTCTCTGTGGATTGTTTGGGAGTAGTAAGTTACAAACATATCTGCATCTAAATAGACGCTTGTGATTGTAACATCTAACATCTAGATGTGTGTGGGGGGAGGTGTGCGTGTCTGTGTATGATGGGTCAAACTAACCCAAGTGTGTTTAGCATTCTGCCTGAAGGCCTAGGATTACTTACTAATAGCAAAGAGGGGGAAATGTTTTCAACTGACAATCCAAAGTGGAATACACAGTATTGATCCTCTAATTGACCCTACAGTAAAAGAATAAATAAACTGACCTCTTCAACAGAAAAAAAGGCTCTAGACTTTGTTGACTCAATAAAAAGAGCTCACTCCTGCATTCCCTGACTAGTTGATTCCTTATCCAATTGATGCAGGTAAGACCTCCTGAGGAAGCACCTGATACCACTGCACATGACAATGAACTTGGGAAACCATGAGCTGGAGTGTAAGCTCCCTTAGGACAGGAACCAACCATGCCTTTTTGTTCTCCCTCCACACGTAGCAAAGAGCTCTGCACACAGCAGGTGCTCAAAACACATCTCTTTACTCCATCCATTCATTTGCCCAGTAAGTCACAGGTTTTCTTCTTGAATCACTGACTCTCACTGGTTAGTTGAGTTTTAGGATGATTGAGGAGGAGAGATGGGACTATGAGTGTTTATTTATTACATATGGGCATACACATGGCGTATACGCAAGGAGGTGCACATCATGTATACAAGACTATGGATGTTTGCATGTGTTTCTTTGAAGGTGAGTATGTCTTAAGTTTTTTAATCAGCAAACAGTTTTTCAGAACCTACTAAGTACAGGACCCCAAGTGTGTTTTAGACATTAAACAGTTCCTGCCCTCTAGGAATTCAATAAAGAATGCAGAAAGAAAGAGCCTGTGGAGGTCCCTCAGCTAATGAAACCTCCTGAACTCCAGTCTATATTAGTTTTACCACCTCTTTTCCCTGCAACACCCAAAGCCTCCTTGTATGGAACTACAGTCACATGTCACTGAACAACAGGGATATGTTCTGAGAAATGCATCGTTAGGCGATTTTGTCGTCATGCAGACATCAGAGTGTACTTCCACAACCTAGATGGTGTAGCCTAGTACACACCAAGGTTATGTGGTATAGCCTATTGCTCCAAGGCTATAAACCTGAACAGCATGTTACTGTACTGAATACTGTAGGCAATTATAACACAATGGTAAGTATTTGTGTTTCTAAACATAGGAAAGATGCAGTCGAAATGCAGTAGAGAAGACAAAAAATGATACACCTGTGGAGACTCTTACCATGAATGCAGCTTAGAAAACTGGGAGTTGCTTTGGGTGAGTCAGTGAGTGAGAGGTGAGTGGCGAGTGAAAGTGAGGTCCTAGGACATTACTGTACACTACTGTAGACCTTATAAATACTGTACACTTAGGCTACACCAAACTATACAAAATATTTTTCTTTCTTCAACAATAACCTCAGCTCACTGTAGATTTTTTACTTTATATACTTTTTAATTCTTTTAACTTTACAACTGTATGAAATATTTTCTTTCTTTTTTTTTTTCTTTTTTTTGAGATGGAGTTTCACTATTGTTACCCAGGCTGGAGCGCAATGGTGCAATCTCAGCTCACTACAACCTCCACCTCCCAAGTTCAAGCAATTCTCCTGCCTCAGCCTCCCAAGTAGCTGGGATTACAGGCATGTGCCACCATGCCTGGTTAATTTTTTGTATTTTTAGTAGAGACGGGGTTTCACCATGTTGGCCAGGCTGGTTTCGAACTCCTGACCTCAGGTGATCCACCCACCTCAACCTCCAAAGTGCTGGGATTACAGGTGTGAGCCACTGCACCCAGGCTCTTTCTTTATATCCTTATCCTATAAGCTTTTTTCTGTTTATAAAATTTTTTATTTTTCAACTTTTGAAACGTTTTTGTTAAAAACTAAGACACACACACACACACATTAGCCTAAGCCTGCAGAGGGTTGGGATCATCAATCTCGCTGTCTTCCACCTCCACATTTTAGCCCACTGGAAAGTCTTCAGGGGCAATGGTGCACATGGAGCTGTCACCTCCTGATAACAATGCCTTCTTCTGGAATACCTCCTGAAGGACCCACCTGGGGCTGTTTTACAGTTAACTTTTTTTTATAAGCAGAAGGAGTACACTCTAAAACAATGATTAGAAGTATAGCATAGTAAATATATAAACCAGTAACAGTCATTTTATTATCAAGTATTACATACTGTACATAATTGTTTGTGCTAGACTTCTATACCGCCGGCAGTGCAGTAGCTTTGTTTACACCAGCCTCAACCCAAACACAGGAGTAATGGGTTGCTGCACTGTGACATCTATGATGTCACTAGGCCATAAGAATTTTTCAGCTCCATGATAACCTTATGAGACCACTGCAGTCTGTCTTTAACCAAAATGTTACAGGGCACATGACTGCATTTCATTTTTGCCTTACTTGTCATTCTTCCCCTTTGCGCTTCGTAAGGGCAGACCTTCATGGTGCCCATTACCCTGTGCTATATTACACGATTCATATATTAGATATTATTTTTACTCTATGACTATTTTTCTTCAGATGGAGTCTCGCTCTATCACCCAGGCTGGGGTGCAGTAGCACGATCTCGGCTCACTGCAACCTCCGCTTCCTGGATTCAAGCCATTCTCCTGCCTCAGCCTCTCGAGTAGCTGGGATTACAGGCATGCGCCACCACACCCAGCTAATTTTTGTATTTTCTGTAGACACAGGGTTTCAACCATGTTGGCCAGGATGGTCTCAATCTCTTGACCTCGTAATCCGCCCTCCTCAGCCTCCCAAAATTCTGGGATTACAGGCGTGCGCCACCGTGCCCAGCCGTGGAGTATTTATTTATTGTCCGTCTCTCCCCTCTGGAATGTAAGCTTCTCCATTTGGTCCAACACTGTACCTGATGCACAGCCCAAAGGCCCTCAATAAATACTTGTTGAATGAATGAATGTGTCCTTCATGTCTATAATTTCAGCATCTACCACAGCAAGCGAAGTAAATAAGCAAAAGTTATATGACAAAATGTGTATGCACTTTGGTCAGTGAGCTTCAAAACAGGGTGTGTGAGCCACTCTCATTACTTCAATTTAGAATTGAGATTCCAAGAGTATTATTTCCTTTTTATTCTCAATTTGTGGAATCAATATCCCAGTTTCTTCTCCACCTCACTCCTGCCCCGATAGATTCTAAGATGATGGTAGAGTGTGGTGGGTGAGTTCCCACATCCAGAGCCAGAATTCAAATTCTGACACCTTTGTTTCCTAACTAACTGTGAGAATTCACAAGTTATCTGACCTTTCTGTGCCTCAGTTCCCTCAAATTTAGGATGAGAATTTAAAATAATACTTATACTTCCTAGGGTTATTATGAACAATAAATTAGCTAATACATATAAAACTTTTAGGAGAGACCTGTCATCAAGATTGGCTATAATTATCATTAATCTCTTTCCCACCCCACCAACTTTGCAAGTGATGTTTAATGGAGATGGAGAGGGCAGGAGGGAAGAAGGGAGAAGCTTGTGAGAATTCTGTGAGTTGATGATAGAAAATTAAAATATAAATTTACTATAATTGACCATGAACTAAAGCCTTCTGCCCAATATATTCAAGTAGCAGTTTCTTAAAGTGTAGAATGATATACTTAAATTTAAACCCAAGTTATCATGGAATTATACTCATCTGAAACAAAGTTATGTGCTTGGTTCTTTTAGAGGCTATAGGCTCTGCGTGGCGCTGTCCAACAGAATTTTCTCCGATGGTGGGAATGTTCACTGTAATCTGCACTGTCCCATACAATAGCCAGTAGGCACATACGGCTACTGAACATTTGAAATGTGGCCAATACAACTACGGAAATAATTTTTGTTTGTTTGTTTTTTGAGACAGAGTCTCGCTCTGTCACCCAGGCTGGAGTGCAACGGCATGATACCAGATCACCGCAACCTCTACCTCCTAGGTTCAAGCGATTCTCCTGCCTCAGCCTCCTGAGTAGCTGGCATTACAGACACACACCACCATGCCCAGCTAATTTTTGTATTTTTACTAGAGATGGGTTTTCACCATGTTGGCGAGGCTGGTCTCGAACTCCTGAACTCAAGTGATTCACCTGCCTCGGCCTCCCAAAGTGCTGGGATTACAGGCGTGAACCACTGTGCCCAGCCTATTTTATTTAACTTTGGTTATTGTTAACTTGAACAGCCACATGTGGGTTGTGGCTCCCCAACTGGGCAGCATAGCTGTAGGGGATTTGATATACGAGCTCCCTGACTTGGTCCATGGCTGCTCTCCAGCTCCTGGTCTGCTCCTTCTCCTTGCCCCAGAAATCAACACTCACAAGGCCAAACTGCTGTTCCACACCTCTATGGCTGTGCATATGCTGGCCCATTGCCTGAAATATCCTTCCTCCACATCCACCTCCAAACCTTATCAAACATCTTGTTCAGATTTCATTTCCTCAGGACAACTTTCCCTAACCTCCTCCTGCCTACCTCCCGCTACTGCCGACACAATCCACCATCACTTTCTCTGTGTTCCTCTGCATCTGTTTCTGTTGCTGCTCTCATCATCCTGTAGTTGTAACCTATTTTCTCTGACACTAACAGACTATGCAAATTCTGAGGACCAGATCTTATGCATTTCTTCATCCTAGCGATGTGTGCCCATAACACAATACATGTGTAGTAAATATTTGCTGATCCCATTATTAATTTTTAAATATGTGAATGTTTTCTTAAAATTACTTTTGGAGTATTGACAACCACTCTGTGATTATGGGAACTCTTTAAGTCAAAGTCTATTATAAGGCCAATTTTCAAATAATAAAAAGTTCTTAGAGTATCAGTTGAAGTTCTACTTATTTCAAACTATATCAATATAATATTTTAGTACAAACCAAATAATATAATTTTCCCCTTAGAGTTCCCTAGAACAAAATCCTACCTATAACTCCTCCTCCTAAGGGTCTGGAAGTCTCTTGGATTTCAGAAACTGATCTTGTCACTGATCTGTCCCCAGTGCCTGCAGTCACTTACTAGGGAGACATGGATGAGATTTAAAAGCAAGAAGACAAAAGGACCTGATTTAAGACTTGTCATGGATGCCAACAAATGGGAATTCAGGGTAATCTACCCTTGCTGTACCCTATATCCAATCTTACCCCCAAGAAGGAAATAATTAAAACCTTATCCATCATAAAAAATAATGTCCACAAGTGATATGTGTCTGCTTAGTGACATGTTATCCAAAACAGAATTGTCTGTTTTCCTTATTCTTTGGCAAAGCTCAAGAAATCGTCCCTTCATAGATTATGTAGCATTTGTTGCAATATTGACCTGGCCTGACAGCCACACTGTTTCATATTTTCCCATCACGATTTTCTAATTTTTTACTTAAATTCTCACACAAGTGTTTCTATAATTAGAATAAGCTTGGATGGATACATTTCTGTGAACCTAATTTGTATGAAATATTTCCCAAATACCAAGCATCTGGTGAATGTATTTAACAAATGATGGTCTTTCCTGACCTCTAGGAACTTACAGTTTAATAATGCAAACAAATGAATACACAGTGATGAGAAATGCATACGTGTGGGTACAGCATGGCAGAAGGTCCTGGAGGGGAATGGATTTCAGAATGAATATGAATCCAGAGGACTTTACCTTCAAATCAGACATAGATTTGATGTTCGTTTTCTTATTAATTATGTGGTTTTATGTTGAAATGCACAAATAGCACTTTCTAATGTAATGAACATCGATTTAACAAATAACTAAGTTCTTTAGATCATTTAGATAAGTCTCTAATTTTCCTATATATTAACGGATTTTAAAGTCTTTTCTCTGGTTTTCTTTTTCCCTTGCCCATTACATATCTTCCAGAATTTTAATCAAAGTAGATATTTCAAAGAAGACAGAGGTCTGAGATCTCTTTTGCGGTTTCTAATGAATAATGTGAGATAAACATCTTTTTCTAAAATGTCTCATTTAAATATAGGGATATCAGTTTCTCTTTTTAACTTCCTTATAAAATCTGCCCATCTAAGAGGAACACTAAGTGTAAAAATTGTGTTCTATATGTTATTGGAATTGCTTGTGAATTCTACTAATATAACATGCACTTATTTCCAAAATGTGTCTATTGCTGCTCAGAAAAGGAAGATCTGGTTTTCAAAGAGTGTGTGTTGAGGTTAAAAATGAAGATAGTGACCTTAACTCTCTCAAGATTTGTAAGGCTGGCATGTCATCTATCTCAATAATACCTAACAAGAATGTCAAATGGACAGAAACAGCCATGGTAAGCGGGTGCTTGCCGCTGACAGTGATTGCTGTATTTTGGGCGATGGGGAACACCATTTCCATTAGTTCAAGTGAAATACAATGCCCTGCCAACTCTAGGTATCAGTGTATTCAATACCCCTGCTGTGCCATGTCCATTTTCTGTTGCTGCAATTAAAAATCAGTCGATACAAAATCAAAATGTTGTACATTCTTCCCCTATCCCTTTCCCTGTCTCTGTTTCCAGCTTCACCGGAAGAACATGTCACTATGGCAACCAACCCCTCCAGTGCACAGACCAAGTCAACCTTTCTAGTCAGACTGCCAAGCAGAGCAACAGGGAATCAAAGCTCTGAATGGAACCGCCAGAAACCATGAATTCCATCCCCCTTTCTCTAAGTGGGGTTAACCAACACAAGAAGGGATACCTCTCTTATTCTAGAAGGCATTCAAGGAAGGAAAAGTAAGAATATCCTTCAACAAATTCTCCCAGTGTTTGCTGTTCATTATTAACATGAATTCTCCCTCACATTTCAGCTAACTTCCTCTCATTTCAATTTTAAAGAAAGCAGAAAATCATGGATAAAATAACACTTTATAAATCTGAGAATCTCAAAACTGTTATAAGGTCACTCATTGTCAAAAACTATTCTAGGCCCTCTTGTTTTCCTGCCTTGGCAGCCAAACCCAAGTTGGTCTCTTCTGGACTCCCCTAATATTCTGTACATCTTTACAAAGTGGTAGTGCTCCAAATGGGTCACCTTGTTCCAATAAGAACCCAATTGTGAAGCAAATGGGATATTGGTTGTATTAACACACCAATAACAAAATCAGCTAAAATCCCTAGTCATTCTAAAGAAGCTATAAAACAAACAGATAGATTCTGTCTCTGAAGCCACCTCACCTAAATCTGACCTGGCCACCTAGACCAGACCCACTGCTTGTCATTCTTAAACACTTGACTTTTTTGCAAATTAACAATTTTTTCTGATCAATTGCACACTTGTATCCATCAAAGAACATCAGTTCTCATAAATATTATTTTAATACAGCAGCAAACCTCACAGCATTATAATGAGACACTAAGAACTGCTTTTATATCTTGGCCTTAAAAACTTTGCAAATAATAGTATCTTTGTCACCTTGACATCACCATTTAATAGTTAAAGAGAATGAAACACAAGGGGAAAAAAACCAGACTCATAAAATCTGCACATCTTCCTAGGATGTAGCTACCATAGAAGAGAACATATTCCTTTCTTCAGAGCAGTTTTAATACACATTCAAACAATATTCCAGTGGGTTGACAACAGGATGGTTCCCAAAGTATAAATCATACAAGGTTTACAAATTCCATCCGATAAGCAGAATTTTTTAAGTAATGTGATCATATTAAAGTATCAAATAAATTTTTATCATTAGCAAATGCAGCTTGTTTTGTGTTTTGACATACACTTTGGGAATTTTTATATACATTTTCTGAAAATCTTATTTTTTTTCTCTGACATGCCCACTTTGATGTTACTGAAAGAACTATTTTTTTTTTACTTATTAGACCTTGTTGATATTCGATGCACAGAAGTCACTACAGTCAACCACTGTTTCAGAAGGAGACATAAAGAATTGTGATATGATGCTGCTGGTCAGCTGGCTTGGAGCTGCTTACAGGACAGGGGCTGTGATTTATTGATGTTTATATGACCAGTGCCTACACCATATCTGGTATAGTATAGCGCTCAGCAAACGTTTCTGGTATGAATAAGGCCTTCTCTGTGAAATGTTTCCCCCAATTTTCCTTGATTAAATCAGTTCAACAAAAATTAGGAACCTGTCTACCCCTGACACATGACTCCTAAAGGGCTTCCTTTAAGAGCACAAACAACGTTCCAGATTCCCTTCTTCTCAGAGGCTGATGAAGCATTATCCTGGATAAGAACCCTGGACCATGAGGTTCCACTCGAATCCCGACAGAGACGCGCGAAAGGAGAGGCAGGGGAGAGAGTTAAGCCTGCACCAAGCTTCATTAACAGCTATTGGGAGGCAAGTCCTGGCCCCGAGGCTCAGCCAGGCCTGGATAACCGGACCGCCTGGAACCCAGAGACCTGATAGCCTGTGGCCTGGGAAGGAGACGCGAGGGGCTGCGGGGCCTAAAGGCGCCGGGCTCTCCGCAGCGCCACGCCTTGCGCCCGGCGCTTACCTTTCCGAATGAGGGCGGCGATCTCGGGGTCGAAGCCCTGCCGGTGGCACTTCCTCCAGAGGCCCATGTTGGTGGAGTTGTACTGCCGGCTGCACTCGTCCGCGGGGCTCATGGCGAACAGCTGCCGGCGATTCCGGGCCCGGAGGAGTTTGCCCTCCCAGCGGTCCAGGCGCGAGCGGCTCGCCCGGAGCGGCAAGTTGTTGTTATTGTTGTAAATGAAGCCGGGGTCGACCCGGCGGGTGTTGAAGGCCTTGCACCTGTCCCTGTGCTTCCTGGCGTCCGTCTCGTACCAGTGGTCCGAGCAGATGGCCACGGCCAGCATGCCGAGGGCGCAGAGCGCTAGCGAGAGGCCAGTGTAGAGCAGTAACCTTCCGGCAGCCATGCCTCCGCTTGGCGGCTACACCATGGGCATGATCCGCCGCAGCCTCGCCTTCCCTCGCCGCACCCGGAACAAAGCGGCGGGCGGCCGAGCTGGGGGAGGGGGCAGGAGAGGGACTCGCGCCGCGGCGCCCCCTCGGCCCCCGCCTACCGGAGCACGGCCCGGGGACTGCGGGGATGGGGGCGGGCGGCCTAAAAAGTTCTGATCCGGAGAGGCTCCCGCGGGCTCCTGGGCATCCTCTGAGGCAGGTGCAGCCTCCGGCGGCGGCGAACCCAGCGCGGCCGCCTCCCGCCCCCTCCCCGCCCCGCAGGAAGCGACTGCCCCGAAGCAGCCGCCTCGGCTCCCAGCCCGGCTTCGGGCGCCGCTGCCCTCGGGCCGGAAACTAAATGCCAAGTGTCCTCGGCTGCGGTGGGGCTTCTTTGTGCAGGATGGTGACGGGACAGAACTCGCCTGTCTCTCTGAGGGGGACGGGGGGTGCTGTCAGGAGGCGCCACTGGACCACCGGGTGAAGTAGAACGCCCCGGATGCGGCCGGCGGGCGAAAGAAACCTCCAGGTGCTGGGGCCGGCTTCTCGGAGTCCCTCCTGGGTCTCTGGCTCAGAGCCTCTCCCCCTCCCCGTCTGCAAGCAAAGACCTGGGGCGCGCACCCAGAAATGTTCTTCCTCTTTGGGTCGGGTCCTCTTAAAATCTCCGTTCTCTGGTCACCAGCAGGTCGGTTGCTCCTTCTGACCCGCGTGCTGCGCTCAGAGGCGCACTCCCCGCGGACGCACGCTCTCGGCCGACCTTTCCCCGCGAGCTCCCCGGTGCCCTGCCTCTGGCATCGCCATTCAGGCGGCCCCTCGGGCCGACAGCGTGTTCACCCGGGCGGCGTTACCGGACGAGACCCGGCCTGGGATCTGCGGAGACTGGGCGGCTGCTGGCGGACGCGAGGGGCGGGCTGCGCGGCGGAGGGTGCACCAGGCAGCGCTCACTGCGCGCGGCGCTAGGGGCTCGGCCCACCGCGCCTTCAACACCATGGACAGGTCACGCCGCCACGGCGCGCTGCCGGCCCAGCCGCCAGCCCCCGAGCGTCACGCAGCTCTTCCCAGCGCCGTCTTCTGCCTGGAGTGTCCACCCGACCGCCTCCGGACCCGGCTCTCCCGCGACGCCTCCGCCTCACTTCATCTGGCACCCGGGAGCCCCGGGAGCCTGCCGCCCAGGTGCAAAGAAAATGCCGCAGGCACCGAAGAAAACCCCGGTCCCGGCCCCTCCAAACAATCCGCCCCTTTCTCCAGGCACCTGAGCCCTTGGCACTCTGGCACCCCGTCTGCTCTGCCCAGCTGGGCTCAGTCGCTCTCAGATTGCACCATTTTCTTCGCAGCCCACCCGGGCGCCGAGATGCCGGCTCACTCGACAGCGTGCAGAGAATCCCGTCCTGGCCTCGGCGTCCCACGATCCGGCTCCCGGCGCGCGGTGGTCGCCGAGATGAATGGGGAGAGGGTGGGGGAGGGAGGCTGGGTCACTCGGCTTCCCCTCGTCGCCTCCTCCTCTAGCCGCGGCGGCTCCGAGGCCTCGCAGGCTCGGCTGGTGCCCGGGAGGCGCGAGAGCCCAGGCTGCGCCCAGGGGACTGGGGAAATCGCATTGCCCGGGTGCGGGCGCCGGAGGAAGCTGCTGCCGCGCTCTCTCGTCCGGCGCGGGTAGCTGCAGCCTTGGCTAAAACCCACAGACGAGAACACCGAGCGCGCAGCCAAAAGCTAGTGATGTCATCCGTGCAACGTGAGCCTCATCTCTTATTTTTCTAGTCTCCTTAAAGATAAACTGCACCATTTCCCAGGCACGAAATGTCTAAGTCTTATTCTTTGACCAGGCAAGTCAATGGTGTCTAGATAGGTATGTGCCCAACCACATCCATATTTATGCACATATACATATATGTGGTATGTAGCATGTTTACATGCATTATTATAAATTTAGGGATGTTGCCTACAGCTCCTGTTTCTCTTTTCAGCCATGGAAAATTCTCTCAAATCCACTACGGTTATTTAAAGGAAAAACTGCTTATTGCGGAGTCGGCCTTCAAAGGGGCCAAGCGAGCTCCCTGCATCCCCGGTTTGGGTCGCTGGTGTCTTGGGAGGCATTTGATCTTTTTTTCCCCAGAAAGCCACAGGCGCTACCTTGCAAGCTACAGGCGTTTCCACCTAGGACTGAGCTGAGAGCGGCTGCGGAGTTATCCGGCCAGCCCCAGTCCAGTCCCAAGCCAGAGCCAGGCACCCCGACACACACCCACCTCCACCTGCCCTCCCTCCTCGGCAGGAACAGAAAGAAGAAATTTGGCTGATCGACTCAAGACGAGAGAAATTTAATGGTGGATGGGGGGTGGTCCGTTAGTAGATATTTTGAAAACGCTGGAGAGCTCGAGCGTTGAGGGAAGGTGGGGTTAAAAGAAACCTCGATGCAGGGTTTGTCATTTTGTAAGGGTGGCCGCTGGATTTAGGCTCTGCAGGGGCTCTGGGAGGTAGCGCCGGACCCCAGACCTTGAGCGGGTGGGCCCCAGGCAAGCCCCGCTTCATCCCAACTTCAGCCCCCCTGCTCTGCTCACGTGAGACGGCGCCGCAAAGGCTGGGACCCTCCCTCCCGGCATCAAACGCTGGGTTTTTCACTCTAATGCTCACCCCTCGTTTTCACCCTCACCCCAAAGTCGAGGTCCGGCATTGCCGGGTAAAGAGTTGCCCTGGGGAAAAAGAGAGTCTCTGACACCCTGCTTTGCACAACGGGGCTTGTGAGCCAAAATGAGCGCACCTCCACCATATTCTTTTTGTCTTTTTTTTTTTCCCTCTCTCTCTCTCTCTCTCTCCCCCGCCCTTCCTGCATTTTGAAAAGCGCGAACGAGGCGTTTCAGTGCCATCTAGTGGGGGAGGGGCGTGCCTCGCTTTCGCTTTTCACCCCTGGATTCTGCAATGGGATTTGCCCAAGGGACAGCAGAGCCTGAGGAGGCCCGCTGGATTCTCGGGTGCCCGGCTGGTCGAGGGACTGCAGGCATGCGCCCTTGGCCAGATCTCTGCCCTCTGGCTGCCCTAGGATGTCGAGATGGAGTCAAGTGACTTTGGCCCCAGTGTCTTCTAATCTTCCTTTCTACCCACCCCCCTTAACCAGTGCACCCTCCCCCAACCTTGAAAATAGAGAAACAAATAAGCGCAAACACTTTGCACTCATGCAGACAACGTCTTAAATTTCTAAAGTTATCTTCTTCACTAAAGTCGAGAGCACTTTTAGGCTAACAAGCTGCCTGCATTTGATAACAGGGAGGTAGAAAAGGGGTGAAATGACATCTACAAGGTCACTCGCGAAATCAGGGCACAGGGGGCCTTCAAGCCCCAGTCTCCTGGTTTCCAGCTTTCCTCTCTTCTTAAACCCGGCCGAAGGGGGTGCCCCTGAGACCACTGGCAGTCCAGGCAGTTGTTCATTCCTAGTAAATGTACCTGTTTATTTTGTCCTTATCTTTCCTTCCTCTTCCATTGTGCCACCCATCTAGTTTCTCCTGGCCTGTACCTGAGGCCTGCTTCCAAGGATGTGCCTGGCCCACTCCCCAAGGTCCTCAGCAGTCCTGTATTTCGGGCCCTGCTTGCAGTGGGAACCCAAATGGTACACTATCCTCCTCTTTACTGAACATCATTAAAATTCTATTTTGAAATGTTTGTCCTTGATGAAATCCCAAAAATCCTATAAAGTTATTGATTCATGGCCTCCTTTGAAGTGCAATTACCTTGGGCAGCCCTATATTATTATGGGATGATCCTGGTCCTCGGGGCTAAGACGGTTGCATGACTATCTTTTCTTAATTGGGTGATCTAAGTTTCTTCCTGCTGCCTGCTTCCGATTCCTTCCACTCTGCTAGCTATAGCATCACCATCTTTGGGTTTCCAACCTATTTCTTCCCATTTGCACCAACACCATCCCAGATCATAGGATCTCAAAATCAGAAGAGTCTAGAGTCAAACACACATGTAATAATGCATGAATCTCTTTTACAACATTTTCCAAAGAGTGAATGACCAGCTTCTGCTTGCACACTTGAAGTGATGGGGGAATCACTTTGTCTGCAAGCGGCCCACTCCACTTCAGACAGTGAAAGTAGCTACACAGTTCTTCCCTATACTGAGCTTTCTCCTAAGTCTGTATAATTATACTCATTGGCTTTTGTTTTTGCTTTCTAGAGGCCCACAATGAGGCCTGATTTGTCTTCCATTTAGTGGTCCTTCTTGCCCTTGACATCAGTCATCATGTTCTTCCTACATCTTCTTTCCTCCAGACTAAATACCCCTTGTTCATTCTTGTGCTTGCTCTTCTCTGGTTTCTGATACTTTCTGGTTGTTAGTGTTCCTTTTAGCTAATACCTCCTTCATCTAGAAGTCATGTAAACCTATGAAGAAAATTTGGTAAGTCTGTCATGTTCTTATATGTGGAGTTCTTATATATCCTTTGTGGAGTTCTAATGATCCTCACTTCCTCTTCTGGGAGCCCATAAGTCATCCCCTTCTTAAGCCATTCCTAGAATCTTGCTCCAAAATGGCATTAAGGTCATTGATCTGTGATTTGTGAAATCTGCATTTTTCAAATTTGGCGTTTCATTTGTTCACACCCACCCACTCCCTTTTTTAAAGCAATATTAACATTCTACAAGCTCTCTCTAAAGTCACCGACAAAGGTTGAGACATCATTCAAAGTTCTCTCCATTTCCTGGAACACAGTTCACCTGGAGCAGACAGATGTTTTCCTCCAATTTCTTCACCCCTTCTGAACTGCCTTCAGTTACCATATTGTTCTACGCTATACCACACCTTCGGCCTGAAAATCTCTCTTTGACATTGTCAATTGAAAGCAAAACAAGTTGATGAGATGTTCTTTCTCTCTGCCACATATCAATATTAATATTACACAATTTGGCCAGGTGCAGTGGCTCAC
Organism: Homo sapiens; assembly: GCF_000001405.40. NCBI lineage: Eukaryota > Metazoa > Chordata > Mammalia > Primates > Hominidae > Homo > Homo sapiens. Next base: position 141,069,373 of record NC_000007.14, on the reverse strand, counting down.
ACCTCTAATCACAGCACTTTGGGAGACCAAAATGGGAGGATTGCTTGAGCCCAGGAGTTTGGACAAGCCTGGGCAACATAGTGGGATCCTATGTCTACAAAGCTGGGTGTGGCGGCATGCACCTGTGGTCCCAGCTACTCAGGAGGCTGAGGTAGGAGGATCACTTGAGCCTGGGAGGTCGTAGCTGTGGTGAGCCATGATGGCACCACTGTACTGCAGCCTGGAAAACAGAGTGAGAGACCCTGCCTCAAAAAAAAAAAAAAAAAAAAAAATACACCATTTGTCTAGAGCAAAGTTTCCCTACATATTCTTATTTCTTTTTTCGTAATTAACTTTGCACAATTTGGACATTATTTGTAACCCAAAAGTTATTTTGAGCTCTAGCCCTCCTGACACAGTTCCCAGGTCAATGACATGCTAGTATTTATGGGCAAACAGGTATCTTTCTTTTCTCATGCAGATCTTCTTTCTAAATCTCAGTTTTAAGACTGGGCAGGGTGGCTCATGGCTGTAATCCCAGCACTTTGGGAGGTCGAGGCAGGGTATCACTTGAGGTCAGGAGTTTGAAACCAGCCTGGCCAACATGGTGAAACCCCATCTCTACTAAAAATACAAAAATTAGCCAGGCATGGTGGCAGGTGCCTGTTATCCCAGCTACTTGGGAGGCTGAGGCAGGAGAATCACTTGAACCCAAGAGGTAGAGGTTGCAGTGAGCCAAGATCACACCACTGCACTCCAACCTGGGTGACAGAGTGAGACTCAGTATCAAAAAAAAAAAAAAAAAGTCAGCTTTAGAGAGTCATATTAGTTTAACTACCTTCCTTCTCTTCTTCCTCATCTTCCTCCACCCCACCACCATATTAATCTTCTTAAATTCCACAGTTATCCTTTAAAATCCTGTAGTAGGGTTGGGCACAGTGGCTCACGCCTGGAATCCCAGCTTTGGGAGGCCAAGGAGGGCAGATCACTTGAGTCTGGGAGTTCGAGACCAGCCTGGCCAACATGGCAAAACCCCATCTCTGCTAAAAATACAAAAATAAGCCAGGCATGGTGGTGCAGGCCTGCAATCCCAGCTATTCGGGAGGCTGAGGCACGAGAATCACTTGAATCCAGGAGGTAGAGACTGCAGTGAGCGGAGATCATGCTGCTGTACTCCAGCCTGGGTGACAGAATGAGAGTCTGTCTTAAAAATAAAATAAAATAAAATTCTGCAGTAGTTTCACTTTGTCTGTACCTTAAAGTTCAGACCTTTTACATCTCTATAAGACCCTGCCCAGGGCTTCAGCCTAGCCTCTAACGATGACTTCCTCACTCTCAAAGAAACACCCTCGGGTGGAGGAGCCAAGATGGCCGAATAGGAACAGCTCTGGTCTACAGCTCCCAGCGTGAGCGACGCAGAAGACGGGTGATTTCTGCATTTCCATCTGAGGTACCGGGTTCATCTCACTAGGGAGTGCCAGACAGTGGGCGCAGGCCAGTGTGTGCGCGCACCGTGCGTGAGCCGAAGCAGGGCGAGGCATTGCCTCACCTGGGAAGCGCAAGGGGTCAGGGAGTTCCCTTTCCGAGTCAAAGAAAGGGGTGACGGACGCACCTGGAAAATCGGGTCACTCCCACCCGAATATTGCGCTTTTCAGACCGGCTTAAGAAACGGCGCACCACGAGACTATATCCCACACCTGGCTCAGAGGGTCCTACGCCCACGGAATCTCGCTGATTGCTAGCACAGCAGTCTGAGATCAAACTGCAAGGCGGCAACGAGGCTGGGGGAGGGGCGCCCGCCATTGCCCAGGCTTGCTTAGGTAAACAAAGCAGCCGGGAAGCTCGAACTGGGTGGAGCCCACCACAGCTCAAGGAGGCCTGCCTGCCTCCGTAGGCTCCACCTCTGGGGGCAGGGCACAGACAAACAAAAAAACAGCAGTAACCTCTGCAGACTTAAGTGTCCCTGTCTGACAGCTTTGAAGAGAGCAGTGGTTCTCCCAGCACGCAGCTGGAGATCTGAGAACGCGCAGACTGCCTCCTCAAGTGGGTCCCTGACCCCTGACCCCCGAGCAGCCTAACTGGGAGGCACCCCCCAGCAGGGGCACACTGACACCTCACACGGCAGGGTATTCCAACAGACCTGCACCTGAGGGTCCTGTCTGTTAGAAGGAAAACTAACAACCAGAAAGGACATCTACACCGAAAACCCATCTGTACATCACCATCATCAAAGACCAAAAGTAGATAAAACCACAAAGATGGGGAAAAAACAGAACAGAAAAACTGGAAACTCTAAAAAGCAGAGCGCCTCTCCTCCTCCAAAGGAACGCAGTTCCTCACCAGCAATGGAACAAAACTGGATGGAGAATGATTTTGACGAGCTGAGAGAAGAAGGCTTCAGACGATCAAATTACTCTGAGCTACGGGAGGACATTCAAACCAAAGGCAAAGAAGTTGAAAACTTTGAAAAAAATTTAGAAGAATGTATAACTAGAATAACCAATACAGAGAAGTGCTTAAAGGAGCTGATGGAGCTGAAAACCAAGGCTCGAGAACTACGTGAAGAATGCAGAAGCCTCAGGAGCCGATGCGATCAACTGGAAGAAAGGGTATCAGCAATGGAAGATGAAATGAATGAAATGAAGCGAGAAGGGAAGTTTAGAGAAAAAAGAATAAAAAGAAATGAGCAAAGCCTCCAAGAAATATGGGACTATGTGAAAAGACCAAATCTACGTCTGATTGGTGTACCTGAAAGTGATGTGGAGAATGGAACCAAGTTGGAAAACACTCTGCAGGATATTATCCAGGAGAACTTCCCCAATCTAGCAAGGCAGGCCAACGTTCAGATTCAGGAAATAGAGAGAATGCCACAAAGATACTCCTCAAGAAGAGCAACTCCAAGACACATAATTGTCAGATTCACCAAAGTTGAAATGAAGGAAAAAATGTTAAGGGCAGCCAGAGAGAAAGGTCGGGTTACCCTCAAAGGAAAGCCCATCAGACTAACAGCAGTTCTCTCGGCAGAAACCCTACAAGCCAGAAGAGAGTGGGGGCCAATATTCAACATTCTTAAAGAAAAGAATTTTCAACCCAGAATTTCATATCCAGCCAAACTAAGCTTCATAAGTGAAGGAGAAATAAAATACTTTATAGAGAAGCAAATGCTGAGAGATTTTGTCACCACCAGGCCTGCCCTAAAAGAGCTCCTGAAGGAAGCGCTAAACATGGAAAGGAACAACCGGTACCAGCCGCTGCAAAATCATGCCAAAATGTAAAGACCATCGAGACTAGGAAGAAACTGCATCAACTAATGAGCAAAATCACCAGCTAACATCATAATGACAGGATCAAATTCACACATAACAATATTAACTTTAAATATAAATGGACTAAATTCTGCAATTAAAAGACACAGACTGGCAAGTTGGATAAAGAGTCAAGACCCATCAGTGTGCTGTATTCAGGAAACCCATCTCACGTGCAGAGACACACATAGGCTCAAAATAAAAGGATGGAGGAAGATCTACCAAGCCAATGGAAAACAAAAAAAGGCAGGGGTTGCAATCCTAGTCTCTGATAAAACAGACTTTAAACCAACAAAGATCAAAAGAGACAAAGAAGGCCATTACATAATGGTAAAGGGATCAATTCAACAAGAGGAGCTAACTATCCTAAATATTTATGCACCCAATACAGGAGCACCCAGATTCATAAAGCAACTCCTGAGTGACCTACAAAGAGACTTAGACTCCCACACATTAATAATGGGAGACTTTAACACCCCACTGTCAACATTAGACAGATCAACGAGACAGAAAGTCAACAAGGATACCCAGGAATTGAACTCAGCTCTGCACCAAGCAGACCTAATAGACATCTACAGAACTCTCCACCCCAAATCAACAGAATATACATTGTTTTCAGCACCACACCACACCTATTCCAAAATTGACCACATACTTGGAAGTAAAGCTCTCCTCAGCAAATGTAAAAGAACAGAAATTATAACAAACTATCTCTCAGACCACAGTGCAATCAAACTAGAACTCAGGATTAAGAATCTCACTCAAAGCCGCTCAACTACATGGAAACTGAACAACCTGCTCCTGAATGACTACTGGGTACATAACGAAATGAAGGCAGAAATAAAGATGTTCTTTGAAACCAACGAAACAAAGACACCACATACCAGAATCTCTGGGACGCATTCAAAGCAGTGTGTAGAGGGAAATTTATAGCACTAATCGCCTACAAGAGAAAGCAGGAAAGATCCAAAACTGACACCCTAACATCACAATTAAAAGAACTAGAAAAGCAAGAGCAAACACATTCAAAAGCTAGCAGAAGGCAAGAAATAACTAAAATCAGAGCAGAACTGAAGGAAATAGAGACACAAAAAACCCTTCAAAAAATCAATGAATCCAGGAGCTGGTTTTTTGAAAGGATCAACAAAATTGATAGACCGCTAGCAAGACTAATAAAGAAAAAAGAGAAGAATCAAATAGACACAATAAAAAATGATAAAGGGGATATCACCACCGATCCCACAGAAATACAAACTACCATCAGAGAATACTACAAACACCTCTACGCAAATAAACTAGAAAATCTAGAAGAAATGGATACATTCCTCGACACATACACTCTCCCAAGGCTAAACCAGGAAGAAGTTGAATCTCTGAATAGACCAATAACAGGCTCTGAAATTGTGGCAGTAATCAATAGTTTACCAACCAAAAAGAGTCCAGGACCAGATGGATTCACAGCCGAATTCTACCAGAGGTACAAGGAGGAACTGGTACCATTCCTTCTGAAACTATTCCAATCAATAGAAAAAGAGGGAATCCTCCCTAACTCATTTTATGAGGCCAGCATCATTCTGATACCAAAGTCGGGCAGAGACACAACCAAAAAAGAGAATTTTAGACCGATATCCTTGATGAACATTGATGCAAAAATCCTCAATAAAATACTGGCAAACCGAATCCAGCAGCACATCAAAAAGCTTATCCACCATGATCAAGTGGGCTTCATCCCTGGGATGCAAGGCTGGTTCAATATACGCAAATCAATAAATGTAATCCAGCATATAAACAGAGCCAAAGACAAAAACCACATGATTATCTCAATAGATGCAGAAAAAGCCTTTGACAAAATTCAACAACCCTTCATGCTAAAAACTCTCAATAAATTAGGTATTGATGGGACGTATTTCAAAATAATAAGAGCTATCTATGACAAACCCACAGCCAATATCATACTGAATGGGCAAAAACTGGAAGCATTCCCTTTGAAAACTGGCACAAGACAGGGATGCCCTCTCTCACCGCTCCTATTCAACATAGTGTTGGAAGTTCTGGCCAGGGCAATCAGGCAGGAGAAGGAAATAAAGGGTATTCAATTAGGAAAAGAGGAAGTCAAATTGTCCCTGTTTGCAGACGACATGATTGTTTATCTAGAAAACCCCATTGTCTCAGCCCAAAATCTCCTTAAGCTGATAAGCAACTTCAGCAAAGTCTCAGGATACAAAATCAATGTACAAAAATCACAAGCATTCTTATACACCAACAACAGACAAACAGAGAGCCAAATCATGAGTGAACTCCCATTCACAATTGCTTCAAAGAGAATAAAATACCTAGGAATCCAACTTACAAGGGATGTGAAGGACCTCTTCAAGGAGAACTACAAACCACTGCTCAAGGAAATAAAAGAGGACACAAACAAATGGAAGAACATTCCATGCTCATGGGTAGGAAGAATCAATATCGTGAAAATGGCCATACTGCCCAAGGTAATTTACAGATTCAATGCCATCCCCATCAAGCTACCAATGACTTTCTTCACAGAATTGGAAAAAACTACTTTAAAGTTCATATGGAACCAAAAAAGAGCCCGCATCGCCAAGTCAATCCTAAGCCAAAAGAACAAAGCTGGAGGCATCACACTACCTGACTTCAAACTATACTACAAGGCTACAGTAACCAAAACAGCATGGTACTGGTACCAAAACAGAGATATAGATCAATGGAACAGAACAGAGCCCTCAGAAATAATGCCGCATATCTACAACTATCTGATCTTTGACAAACCTGAGAAAAACAAGCAATGGGGAAAGGATTCCCTATTTAATAAATGGTGCTGGGAAAACTGGCTAGCCATATGTAGAAAGCTGAAACTGGATCCCTTCCTTACACCTTATACAAAAATCAATTCAAGATGGATTAAAGATTTAAACGTTAGACCTAAAACCATAAAAACCCTAGAAGAAAACCTAGGCATTACCATTCAGGACATAGGCGTGGGCAAGGACTTCATGTCCAAAACACCAAAAGCAATGGCAACAAAAGCCAAAATTGACAAATGGGATCTAATTAAACTAAAGAGCTTCTGCACAGCAAAAGAAACTACCATCAGAGTGAACAGGCAACCTACAACATGGGAGAAAATTTTCGCAACCTACTCATCTGACAAAGGGCTAATATCCAGAATCTACAATGAACTCAAACAAATTTACAAGAAAAAAACAAACAACCCCATCAAAAAGTGGGCGAAGGACATGAACAGACACTTCTCAAAAGAAGACATTTATGCAGCCAAAAAACACATGAAGAAATGCTCATCATCACTGGCCATCAGAGAAATGCAAATCAAAACCACTATGAGATATCATCTCACACCAGTTAGAATGGCAATCATTAAAAAGTCAGGAAACAACAGGTGCTGGAGAGGATGTGGAGAAATAGGAACACTTTTACACTGTTGGTGGGACTGTAAACTAGTTCAACCATTGTGGAAGTCAGTGTGGCGATTCCTCAGGGATCTAGAACTAGAAATACCATTTGACCCAGCCATCCCATTACTGGGTATATACCCAAAGGACTATAAATCATGCTGCTATAAAGACACATGCACACGTATGTTTATTGCGGCACTATTCACAATAGCAAAGACTTGGAACCAACCCAAATGTCCAACAATGATAGACTGGATTAAGAAAATGTGGCACATATACACCATGGAATACTATGCAGCCATAAAAAATGATGAGTTCATGCCCTTTGTAGGGACATGGATGAAGCTGGAAACCATCATTCTCAGTAAACTATCGCAAGAACAAAAAACCAAACACCGCATATTCTCACTCATAGGTGGGAATTGAACAATGAGATCACATGGACACAGGAAGGGGAATATCACACTCTGGGGACTGTGGTGGGGTCGGGGGAGGGGGGAGGGATAGCATTGGGAGATATACCTAATGCTAGATGACACGTTAGTGGGTGCAGCGCACCAGCATGGCACATGTATACATATGTAACTAACCTGCACAATGTGCACATGTACCCTAAAACTTAGAGTATAATAACAAAAAAAAAAACATTAAAAAAAAAAAAAAAGAAAAAAAGAAACACCCTCTAAACATGTTTTGAAAGCTCCACATTGGTATCATTCCTCTTGCCCACATAATATCTAACTGCTCTGGTTTTTAAGATCCTTACAATTACAGGTGCCTCATATCAATAGGTCAAATAAACATCATTTGATCATCTCACTAGAAGCTAAAAAGACCACCAATTAAACCCAACAAACATTCTTGATATGTAAAAGGTGTTCCTAAACTAGAGATAATTTTAAATGAATAAGATCATCTCCTACATAAAGAAATATTTCAAACTAGTAGGAATAAAACAACACAACAGAAAAAAATGTGCAAAGTTTATAAAAAGACAATTTACAGAAGAAGAAATTGAGATGGAAAATTAACATACGAAAAAAACCTCACTAGTAATCTACAGAATGCAAATGTTTTTAAAATACTGTTGTTTACCCACCAGATGGGGAAAAAATCTACATGTCTGTTAATATCAAGTGTTGGCTGGGGCATAGAGAAACATGCTCTCATGCACTTCTGGTGGGAGCATGAGCTGATAGAGCCACTCTAGATGGCAATTAGGAGTCACTGTTAAGATGAAAAAGACATGTCTCTATGACCCAGCAGATATCCTTCTGTACTTGTCTGCCCATGTCATCACATAACTATCTCCTCTTGTGTATCTTCACATCACTCCTCTGTGCATCTCCATCTCCAAATTTCCCTCTTCTTATGGGGACAACAGTCATATTGCTATAGAGACCTACCCTACTCCAGTTTGACCTATCTTAATTATCTTAATTAATTACATCTACGATTATGCGATTTTTTTTTTTTTTTTTGAGACAGAGTCTTGCTCTGCCGCCAGGCTGGAGTGCTATGGCTCAATCTTGGCTCACTGCAAGCTCTACCTCCCAGGTTCAAGTGATTCTCCTGCCTCAGCCTCCCGAGTAGCTGGGACTACAGGCGCACACCACCACACCCAGCTAATTTTTGTATTTTTAGCACAGACAGGGTTTTACCATGTTGGCCAGGATGATCTCGATCTCTTCACCTCGTGATCCACCCACCTCGGCCTCCCAAAGTGCTGGGATTATAAGCGTGAGCCACTGCACCCTGCCATGATGACACTATTTCTAAAGAAGATCACATTCTGAGGAACTGAGGGTTAGGACTTCAACCCATAACTCTACTTTTCATACAGAAAAAAAAGGGAGCATAAGAAAATATACATGTATCTACTTATTTGTGCAAAATCAAAGGGTAAAAAGCCAAGTAGGCAACAGTAAGTTGATAGCAGGAAGCCACTAGCACCCTGGGTTAAAAGCAACATTGAGAGACCCCAGGGCAAGCATACAAATGAAGGTCCACATACCATAAGTCTCAATGTTTAAAATAAGTCAAATGACAAATTGTTAAATCAAAGTGTGTTCTATCCTTCTATATTACAAATACCTTTATGATGACAAAATTTTGAAATAAATACATGTAAAGTTATTTTAGTTTTTTTTCTTTTTAATAGAGACAGGGTCTCATTCTGTTACCCAGACTGGAGTGCAGCGGTGTACTCCACTGCAACCTCAAACTCCTGGATTCAATTGATCCTCCCATCTCAGCCTCCTGAGTAGATGGGACTACAGACGTGTGTCACCACACCTGGTTAATTTTCATATTTTTTTGGTAAAGATGAGGTTTCACCATGTTACCCAGGCTGGTCTCAAGCTCCTGGGCTCAAGTAATCCTCCTGCCTTGGCCTCCCAATGTACTAGGATTACAAGCATGAGCCACCATGCCCAGCAAGTTATGTTTCTTGCATAAATAAAAGTTGGCAAAATAGCATGTGCTGGTGAACCAGCAATGTTCAAATACATAGTAAAATAAAAGCATTTCATAATTCATAACTAATTATACATATTTTTTCTTATTTTTCTTGATGTTTACTCCAGAAAAATCATTAATCCTATTGCTATAATCAAGATTTTCACATAACTTCTGTTGATGGTAATGCCAAATGTTCTTAACAACTTTTTGATTCATTGTAATTTTTCGATCATTTTTTGTTTTGTTTCAAGACAGGGTCTCTCTCTGTAGCAGAGGCTGGATTGCAGTGGTGCCATCACAACTCACTGCAGCCTCGACCTCCCAGGCTTAAGAGATCCTCCCACCTCTGCCTCCTGAGAAGCTGAGACTACAGGTGCACGCCACCGCATTTGGCTAATTTTTATATTTTTAGTAGAGATGGGGTTTCACCATGGCTCCCAGGCTGGTCTCAAACTCTGGGCTTAAGCAATCTGTTCACCTTGGCCTCCCAAAGTGCTGGGATTGCAGGCATGAGCTACCATGCCCAGCCAGATAGGTTTTTTTAGCATTATTAATTTCAACTTGGACAAATTTCACTCTACTGAGGCAGTAACACTTTTATTGGAAGTATTGGTAAAATTTTTAAAGCATACTTATTTTGAAATTTTACGTTATTTTCAAGCACTGTAACAATCATCTATGAAAAGCTTATAGTGCAGAACAATATTATATTTTACTTTTATCATATAAATCATGATCGATCATATATACCTTTTTTTTACCATCTCTTAAAGTAATATCTAGATCCATATAACATTTCTTAAGTTCGTCTTTCAAATATTCCAATGCTAGGATAAAGGAGACCAAAAATCAAAACATACTGCTTAATTTATTAAAATCAGTCTTTAATCAAGACCATATCTTGATCTATAATGATTGGAAAATAGTTTTTATAGACATTACTTTGGGATAATGAATCTTCTCCTTTAAAGTCTTTCTTTTTTTTTTTTTTTTAGATTTGCCTAATCTGGATATTTCTTTTTTTTTATTTTATTATTATTATACTTTAAGTTTTAGGGTACATGTGCCTTGTTCAAGGGAAAGCCATTCTCATGCCTCAGCCTCCCAAGTAGCTGAGACAAAGGCATGCACCACCACACCTGACTAATTTAAAGTCATAAAGACATTTTCATTTTCTTGTTCTAATGTCCTAATATTTTATTATAATATCATTTTGATTTCACATGCAGTTCATTTCTATTTGGAGAAAAACATTTTCTTTAAAATTTAAACATATATTTTAAAAATTAAGTGAGAAATTGCCAAACTTAGATCTGAATTTTTACAGATCTAAGATTTTACAGATCTAATTTTTACAGATTTCTGTTTCTGTACATTTTTTTTTTTTTACTTTTTTTTTCAGTTTAATCCTTGGATTTCGTTTGGCTTATATGTTAAAAATCCTCAAAAGAAAGGAAACTAAGCCAGAAACCTTTTAAGGAGGACTCCCTTTCAGGACCTCCTACCTATTTTGTTTACATTATTAATAACAAGCAATAGTTCATATCAAAGAATTGTGGATAGCACAAATCCAAAATTGATTTCCTTTTCCACCAAAGACCACATTTTGCTCTATATGTGAGCATCATCTGTTGTTTCAGGTAGCTGGTACATCTTATATCTAGTATACCTTATGTATTTTATGTATTTTCTAAATAAAATTTAATGACTTTGGCAGCATTTTCTAGTCAGAATTTCCATCATATGTCTTCAAGTGGCTATAAGATCAAATTTAAATGTGCTTTGTCTGTGGATAAATTCAAGATATAGCACAAATACCTATAATCTTTTAATTTCTCCAAAGAATTTTACAACTATTGGCTCAAGCTGAGGCCACATCTCTTAGTAACACATTAAACTATGTACGATATGTGACATTAGCATGTTTCTGTATTTTAGGCCAAAATTCAGAATGGGTCGAGAAATATAGTTAAGAGCAACATGAATTGCTTAATATCGCAAAACAGTCCTCAGGTACCGTGTACAACTGTTGCAAAATATCATCCTAATTCCCGTGTAACTCCAGAACCACGAAGTGGAACACCAAAGGAAGACAGAAGATGGATACTTATGACTTCTGGGAAATTATACTTCCTTATTCAAAAATCTACTGAACACATGCTGTCTGGGAGAAAAGATTGACAAGTTAATCATTTTGTCCTCTTTTGTGTCTAAGTGCTTCTACCTTCAGATCCTCTCAGCACATCAAAGCAGAATCCACCCCCAACATCAGCAGCAACACAACCCAAAACACTTAATGGCACTCAGATGCAGTTGTCTTTTGTTTTGAGGATACAGGCCAAGAGGTATGTCAGAGCACTTTCCTGGGGCCCATTCTGTGTTAACCAGAAGAGCAGAAGTTTAGGGTCACAGCCCATGCTGTGCAGACCTGATGCAGGAACTCAAGACACAGAGGCAACCATGAATTCTTCAGTTCAGTTATTTGTGTGTGTTTGGAATATGCAGAGCCCTCTAACGTGGGGTTGGGAAGGGACCCTCTTGCTGGGGACTAAGGGCAGCCTAGCTGAAGAAACAAAAAAAGGAAGAAGTATTTCCTGAAACCTGGAACCAGGTTTGCCCAACAGAAGCTGGACCCATGGAGACACCTGTCTGGCCAGAGCTGGAGCCACGAAACAGATGCAGCTGTTGCTAGAGTTGCTACTTGTGGCAGAGAACAAGGGAGGAATACCTGGGCTTCTCCCTTTCTTCTATTCACCAATCTCTTGCCAGAACCTCCCAGGGCCTGCACTCAGCAGGAAGCCAGCTGACATGGGAACCTTGGGACACGCCGATTTCAGTCCACTGCAGTACAACAGAGCGGGGAAGGGCAAGGAACAGATGTTAAGGCAAACAGGACACGGTGAACTGGCACACAGTGAAACTTCAGAGACATTCCAATAAAATCAGGACCAAGATAAATATGCTGTCTCACATACGTATATATATGATGGTTTTTGAGATAGGGTCTCCCTCTGTCAGCCAGGCAGGAGTGCAGTGGCACACTTAACAGCTCACTGCAGCCTCCACCTCCTGGGCTCAAGCAAGGAGCCCAGAGCAATCCTCCCACCTCAGCCTCCCTAGTACCTGGGACTACAGGCATGCACCACCATGTCCAGCTAATTTTTTTGTATTTTTTTGTAGAGATGGGGTTTTGCCATGTTGCCCAGGCTGATCTCAAACTCCTCACCTCAAGTGATCTGTCCGCCTCAGCCTCCCAAAGTGCTGGGATTACAGGAGTGAGCCACTGCATCAGGCTACTATTTAATATATTAGAGGTCAAGAAAAGGGCAGGAAACAAAAATAAGTGTTATAACCATTGGAAAGGAGGATGCAAAACTATCACTATACACAGAAAATGACTGAAAATTCAAAAGAATAAACTAACAAGCTAGTAGCACTAATAAGAGAGTCGGATAAGATGGCTGAATATAAGAAAAATAAACAGATATCAATACTTTCCAACATAATAGCAATTAATTATCAGAAAATATATTGGAAAACTCTTCCATTCAAGATAACAAAAACTATAACACACTTATGAATAACAGTTACAAAGAAAGGAGAGGATATGAAGAAAACTACAAAACTTCATTGAGAGACACAAATGATATAAACAAAATGTAAAAACCTATCATGTTCTGGCCAGGCGCGGTGCTCACACCTGTAATCCCAGCACTTTGGGAGGCCGAGGCAGGCAGATCACCTGAGGTCAGGAGTTCAACACCAGCCTGACCAACATAGTGAAACCACATCTCTACTAAAAATACAAAAAAAATTAGCTGGGCGTGGTGGCGCCCACCTGTAACCCCAGCTACTCGGGAGCTGAGGCAAGAGAATCGCTTGAATCCAGGAGGCAGAGGCTGCAGTGAGCCGAGATCACACCACTGCACTCCAGCCTGGGCGACAGAGCAAGACTTTGTCTCAAAACAAAACAAAACAAAACAAAACCTACCATGTTCCTAAATGAAACAACTCAATACTATAAAAGTGCCGATGCTTTTCAAAGTCATTTATAGATTTAATACGGTGCCAATTGAAATCTCCATTTGTTTGATTTGGAACTTGAAAAAATAATTTTCAAGGTAATCTGAAAAAATATTCATGACAACAGCGAAAATATTATTATGGGATAATCTTTCATAAATATTAAAATATTTTTTAATCACAGTATTTTAAATAGTGTGATACCCACTTCTTAGACTCTGCATTCCCCATCCCAGAAGCCTCAGTATTTTTTTATAAATAAAAAGAACAAGACATGATTCATTAAAAATCATGAAAAACATGATTTGTAAGAAATTAGACCTGTAAGTGACTACAATTCCTCAAGATCTGGAAAAGTGAAAAGGAAATGGCAGCTGCCCAGCCAGGTTTTGACCTGAATGAGTGCACAGCGATGCCCCTCGGCCTATGCAATGCCTCAATGTTTTCCAATCGTTGAATTCTGGGCTGAGGAGGCATAGGTTATGTGGACAGCATCCCATTCTACTTCCAACCTGACTTCTGAGGCCGGATCCTGAAAGTCCTGATCACTTGCTACATTGTCTCCTATAGACTGAATTGTGTTCCCCAAAAATTCTTATATTGAAGCACTAATGCCCAATGTGATGGTATTCGGAGATGGGGTCTTTGAAGGTAATTGGATTTAGATGAGGTCATGAAGGTGGGGCCCTCATGATGGGATTAGTGCCCTTATAAGAAGAGGAAGAGACACCAGAGTTCTCTCTCTGCCACATGAAGACACAGTGAGAAGGCAGCTGTCTACAAGCCAGTATCTGAGCCCTCACCAGAAACTGACCATGCTGGCACCCTGATCTCGGACTCCCAGAACTGTGAAAAATAATTTCTGTCATTTACGCCACCTGGTCTATGGTATGTTCTTATAGTAGACTGAGTAGACTATGGCACCATTGCCCCCGTTTGAACCATAATGTGGAGGGTCTCCCTTACATCCTGCCCAATCAAGTGACATTTTTACATGTTGCAGGACAAGGTATTGACAGTTCTAGAGTGGGATAACTCTCAATTCCCCTTCTAGATATCCAGTATTTCCAGGGGAGGGGGATTTTCTACATATTACCAGGACTTCATTGTATCCTTTTCCTTTTTTATTTCCCCACATTGACAGCCATGGTTGCTGACCTCATTCATTCATTCTACACTTACTAGATGCAGGTACTCTTCTAGGTTCCTGGGAGACCTCCATGAATAACAAAGATCCCTGCCCTCCTGGAGCGTATATTCTACTATGGGAAACGGGTAAAAAGCAACTTAATAAAAAAAAAAATTTTTTTTTGAGACAGAGTCTCTCTCTGTTGCGCAGACTGGGGTGCAGTGGTGTGATCTCAGCTTACTGCCACCTCCGCCTCCTGGGTTAAAGTGATTCTCCTGCCTCAGCCTCCCAAGTATTTGGGATTATAGGTGCACACCACCATGCCCGGCTAATTTTTATATTTTGAGTAGAGATGGGTTTTACCATGTTGGCCAGGATGGTCTTGAACTCCTTATCTCAGATGATCTGCCTGCCTCAGCCTCTCAAAGAGCTTGGATTACAGGCATGAGCCACCGTGCCTGGCCATATTTTAAAAGATGATAAATGCTGTAGGAAAAAAAAAAGACCATAATGTAGGTGTTATGTAATGAATGTGTTCCACTGAAGTTTGTATGTTGATGCCATAATCTCCAGTGTGACTATATTTGGAGATAGGGTCTTCGGGAGGTAACTAAGGTTAGGGGGGTGGGGCCCTGACCTGATAGAACTGGTGACCTCATAAGAAAAGGAAGAGATCTCTCTCTTTCTTTCTCTCTCCACATGAGCACGGAGAAAGGCCACGTGAGGACACAGTGAGAAGGAGGCCATCTGCAAAGAGATTTAGCAAAGGCCAGGAAGACAGCCCTTGGCAGAAACTAAACCCACCAGCACCTTGATCTGGGACTTCCAGCCTCCAGAACTGTGAGAAAACAAATATCTGTTTTTAAACCACTCAGTTCATGGTGTCCAAATAAAAATCAAAGCACAGCCAAAGGGAAGTCATCATCTCAGACAAAGGGGGATCATCTCAGGAAAGACAGAAAATTGCACAATCCTTGGAGGGTGCGTGACAATTTTGTGGTGGATGGCTTTATTGACTATGCTCTCTCACTCTCTCTCACACACACACACACATGCACACACCCACAAACACACCCTGGCCCACCACAACACAGCCACATTAGCCCAGCCAACCCCAGACTCCAGCTTGGCAGTGGAGGTCATTCCTATCAAGGGGAAACTTGAGTGTGGGGATTTCCATTCTGCCACCACTTCCTGAAGATGCCCGCCTTACTAGGAAGCGCCCCACTCTAGAAGAGAAATTGCTTGTCAACAAAGGCCTGTGCAAGCCTCGGAGGCACAGCCGAGGGCGTTGCATTACAGAATGCTCACACGGCCGCAGCCTGCCACAGCTGACACAGGCGCAAAAAGCAGCTCACTCGTAACAAACCAGAGGTTGGCTGAGTAAGTCATAAGACAGTCATTCAATAGAATGACAAGCAGCTATTAAAATTAACATGTTGGTGTTATATTTAAGAATGTAGTGAAATACTCAAACAGATACTGGTAAGTGCAAAAAGTAAGATATAAAACTATGAGTAAAATCTGATCCAAATGTTGTAAAGAAAAATAAATGACAAGGAAATATACCACAATGTTAGGATTATTTCTGGGTTATTTTCTCTTCAAGGGCTTTTGTATTTTCTAGATTTCTACAGTGAACATGTATTACCATCTGAAAATAATGGCCATATTAAGATAGTAAAGGTACTCACATTCAAAGGCTTATATGTATGATTAATTCTCCATGTAGCCAGCCTTCCCGAAATTCCTACTGAACAAATTCATTCAAAAGCACAAAATCTATAAAGGAGCCATTGACATCCAAAATTAAAAGTACTCTCCTTAGAGATAATTCTGCTTCTAAGTGCTTTGAACTATATATTTTTGCCTTACTCTTTTTGACAGTGAAGAGTCTTTTCAGGAGGAAAAAAATCATGATTTTTTCCAGGGTTCTCTGTTCATTGCTTTCAATTTTCCATCCTTTTATGACATTTATGAGGCAAAGGCCATCTCCTCCCTCATCTGGTCAGTACGTTTCAGTCTGATGGGCACCTGCTGTAAAAAAGCACACGTATGGCACAGGACTTTACGTGACTTTGCCAAGTTTACAAGGCCAGCTATGGAGGGAACTGACAGGGGTGGAGCTCAAATCAGAACCGAGCTGGGGCAGTGGAGAGGGTAAGTCACCACTCCTGAACTAGTGGTGTCACAGAAACAGAATCAAGAAGCAAAATAATGGGACCCCAAACATCCACATGAGGAAAGAGAAAAGGCCAGAGAGGAGGCAGGAATTATGAACAGAAAGCAAGATTCTGGGACCAGTGAAAGGACAGTCTTGTGAAGAAAACCAGCACCCCTTGAACCGCCTCAGATACCTGAAAGTTAGGGCAAGTCAGAAGAAAAGCAATGAGCCAGCTACTCAGGCGGCTGAGGCAGGAAAATCGCTTGAACCGGGAAGACAGAGGCTGCAGTGAGCTGAGATCCCTCCACTGCATTCCAGCCTGGGTGACAGAGGGAGATTCTATCTCAAAAAAAAAAAAAAAACTATGAGCATCCAGCTCCCATTTGTTGGTGACCTGCTTTGTCACAACAGTCCTATGAACTGCTAATATCTTCATTTAATCAGATGAAGAGAGTCACTCAGAGAGTGGTTTGCCCAAGTTTATCCAACTGGTAAACAGTGGGGTGGGGATTTAAAAATCTAGATGTAGTTAACTACAAATCCCACTCTCTGTGCACTACGAATCTGTTTCAATTAGCAATAATTGCGCCTCAAATAAACCTCATTGGCTACCTTACTGCCACTGCACAAAGCTTATGAATCTGTTACAGACTACAGAACCAGGCAACAGTGGAAAGGAAGGTGACTCCTTAGAGTCAGAGATGAAGAAGGCATGGTAAGATTGTGGCTATGATATCCATTATGGTTGACCAACCAACCCCAAGAGGAAATCATCCAACATCACATGCAGTGACTGTTGAAGGATGATGATGATGAGTCTATCTGAAGTCTTTTCTCTGTCTTTGATTTTCTGCAGTTTGAATACGATATGGCTACATGTAGATATTTTTATATTTATACTGTTTGGTGTTCTCTGAGCTTCCTAGATCTATGATTTGATGTTTTGGAAAGTTCTCAGTCATTATGACTTCAAATAATTTTTTTATTCCTTTCTCTCCTCTCCTTCTGGAAGTCCCATTTTGCATATGTTACATCTTTTGTAATTGTCCTACAGTTCTTGGAATATTAAGTGCCAAGTTTTTATTACAAATATTATTATCAAGCCAGGCGCAGTGGCTCATGCCTGTAATCCCAACACTTTGGGAGGCCGAGGTGGGTGGATCACAAGGTCAAGAGATCAAGACCATCCTGGCCAACATGGTGAAACCCCGCCTCTACTAAAATTACAAAAATTAGCCGGGCATGGTGGTGCATGCCTGTAGTCCCAGCTACTTGGGAGGCTGAAGCAAGAGAATCGTTTGAACCCGGGAGGCGGAGGTTGCAGTGAGCTGAGATTGTGCCACTGCACTCCAGCTTGGGCGACAGAGCGAGACTCCATCTCAAAAAATAAATAAATAGATAAATATCATTTTTCTTATAAATATTATTCCAAATAGTGCTATTATGACATCCTTTATCTTTTCATACATCCCTGATTTGTCCTTAAAAAAGTTTCATTATAGAATTGATGGATGAAGACTTCAGATCTGTTCCACAGGGGCTTCTGAAGCCAGGGCTTTCAGTTCTTATGCTAGGACTCCTTATCTTACAGTCTGCTGTTCATTTTAGTGCTGTGCTAAAACTGTAGATGAGAGTACTAGTATCTTTGTCATGCAAGCCTTGGGACCTGTGATGGTTAATATTAAATGTCAACTTGATTGGATTGAAGGATACAAAGTATTATTTCTGGGTGTGTCTGTGAGGGTGTTGCCAGAGGAGATTAACATTTGAGTCTGTGGACCGGGAGAGGCAGATCTACCCTCAAGGTGGGTGGGAACCATCCAATGGGCTGCCAACACAGCTAGAAAAAGCAGGCAGAAGAAGGTGGGATACACTGGCTTTCTGAGTCTCCTGGCTTTCATCTTTCTACTGTGCTGGATGCTTCCTGCCCTCAAACATCACACTCCAGGTTCTTCAGTTTTTGGATTCTTGGACTTACACCAGTGGTCTGCCAAGGGTTCTTGGGCCTTCAGCCACAGACTGAAGGCTGCACTGTCGGCTTCCCTATTTTTGAGGTTTTGGGACTGGGACTGAGACACTACTGGCTTCCTTGCTCCTCAGCTTGCAGATGGCCTATCGTGGGACTTCACCATGTGATCCTGTGTGTCAATTCTCCTTAATAAACTCCCTTTCATATATACATATATCCATTAGCTCCACCCCTCTGGAGAACCCTGACTAATACGAGATCCCCACAAGACACCCATGAATACATGCAGACAATAGCAAAATGGTTTTATTCCTCTTACCAATAAGCCAACTTTTACCCCCACTACACCCCCCTGTCAGCAAGAAGTTAAAGCAATCGTTAGCCTTTTCCCATCTCTGTAGCTCACAACTCAAGAATGAAGTACGGTCAAGCTCAAATTGGGGATGGAAATTGTCTTTACAAAAATTATGGCAGTGAGAGAAATCTGACATACCTAACTCACTCTTGCTTCTAACCTCTCAAACCAACTGTCTTTGCTCTTTCCTGGGCATATGCTAAGCTAACTATGGGAGGAATTAATTTATAGTTTAACCTTAAAGCAAGGATGATAATAGCCCCTCCTTGTTCAAGGATAGAATTGCCTTTGTAAAACTCATGACAGCCCACAAGGTTAGAATTATGGGAGGGGCCTGAATTCTGCTAAGACCCAGGCATAAATGATAACTAGTCATTGTTTACTGCTCAGGAGGCACATGGGGTGAGCACAAAATTTGTAAGTTCTCTAATCACCCCTACAGACAACATTCCTATTGTAAAACCTAAGACTGGGGTTTGAGATATTTTTCAGACTTTGCATTCTAGTAGAATAACATCTCCCAGACTGATGACCCTCACCCAGGAACTGACTTACCACACAAAGGCAGTTTTGACAGCCCTATGATTTCATCCCCAGCCCAACCAATCAGCAGTCTCCATTCCCTAGTGCCCTGTCTATCAAACTATCCCTAAGAAACCCTAGCTTTCAAATTATCTGGGAGACAGATTTGAGAATTAACTCCCATCCTTCCACTTGGCCAGCCCTGTGATTATTAAACTCTTTCTATGAAGCAAAAAAAAATTATGGATGAAATAAATGATATGCAGAATA
This sequence comes from Homo sapiens, assembly GCF_000001405.40. Lineage (NCBI taxonomy): Eukaryota > Metazoa > Chordata > Mammalia > Primates > Hominidae > Homo > Homo sapiens. The sequence goes on along the minus strand of NC_000007.14, from coordinate 141,049,766 downwards.
CTAAGGCTGTTTAAAACTGAACTAATAAATTTCATACCAAAAAAAGTGTATAGCAATTTCCATTCCTATAGAAGAGTGTGAGCATTCTTGGTCCTTCACAGCCTCAACTATCCTGAGTAAAATACCTTTTTAATCTACACCAACATGATTACTGGGGGGACGGGGGTTGGAAATCATATAAAGTATTAAACACACCATATGTTTAATACTAAATGCTAAATAGACCTATTTCCCATATTTTCAGAAAGCATGCTAAATATACCTATTTCTCATTTCTTCAGAAAGCATGCAGTTGAACTCATCACAAAAAAAGTGTTTCTGAAAATGTGTCTATGGAGTAGAGAGGATGTCTTAAGTGAAAAAAAAAAGAATCCTCATCAGTTAGTTTAAGCAGAAAAGGGATTTATTAAAAAGTATTAATAGCTCACAGAATCATTTGGAAAGCTGGAGCAACAGTCTCAAGGCTCAGCTTCAGTGCCACAGAACTGGACTTGTGAGTCAACTTTTGCCACCACCAATGACCAAATGCCAGATGAAATTCCTGATTTAGAAGTACTGATGTGGAGTGATTGAGGAAAAGGCGGAATTCAACTCAACTCAGCTTTGGCTCAGAATTGGCATACTTACTGTCTCTTCCATTGGCCCAAGCAAGTGATATGGCCAAGTCTGAAAATGGGGTGGGGTAATATTCTGCCCCTATATGGAGGCATGAGCAGACACCGGTGACAGGCAGATTATATATATATATATATGAGACAGATTTTTCCTCTATCACCCAGGCTGGAGTGCAATAGCACAGTCTCAGCTCACTGCAACCTCCCCTTCCTGGGATCAAGGGATTCTCCTGCCTCAGCCTCCTGAGTAGCTGAGATTACAGGCATGTGCTATCACACCCAGCTAATTTTTGTATTTTTAGTACAGACAGGGTTTTGCCATGTTAGCCAGGCTGGTCTCAAACTCCTGACCTCAAGTGATCCACCCACCTCAGCCTCCCAAAGTACTGAGATTACAGATGTGAGCCACTGTGCCCAGCCAGAATAAAATATTTTACTTGCCTCTTTCCTTGACTTCCTCAAATGTAAAAGTATCTTCAAGTACCATTCTTGCTCTGAAATTCTAGAATTTTAAGTAAAACTTTATACATTAAGTCAAATAGTTAACTCACTAGGGTGAATATTAATAGGAAATATAAAGAAAGCTTGGTTTAAAGTGAAAAATAATTTTACATGCAAATAATCACTCCTCAAATAGACATTTCATAAATCTTACTTCTCAAATACCAGCTTCTCTTAAATTAAAACTCATTTAAATGTCTCTGCTTTTACTGTATCAACAAGTACAAAAAATCTAAAATGTAAAGGTCAATAAACTGTGGACTTTAGGGAAAGATTAAATTTTATTTTAAATTAAACAAGAAGCTAGAACATTTCCAATATTTTCATTTTGCTTTAGTGGCTACCAAATACAGTTAGGCTACAGACTAACTCAAGGAGCATGGATATTAGATATGAAGGCTTTTGAAAGAAAATTCCAGGCTGGGTGTGGTGGCTCATGCTATAATCCCAACACTTTGAGAGGCCAAGACGGATGGGTTGCTTGAGCCCAGGAGTTTGAGGCCAGCCTGAGTAACATGGCGAAACCTTGTCTCTGCCAAAAAAATACAAAAAGTAGCTGGGTGTGGTGGCTCACATCGTAGTCCCAGCTACTCAAGAAGCTGAGATGAAAGAATCACTTGAGCCCGGGAGGCAGAGTTTGCAGTGAGCTGAGATCATGCCACTGCACTCCAGCCTGGGTGACAGAGCAAGACTCTGTCTCAGGAAGGAAGGAAGGAAGGAAGGGAGGGAGGGAGGGAGAGAGGGAGGGAGGGAGGGAATCCTGACTTGATGAAATGACAGGGAAAGGAAATAAATTGCAGTAGGACAAATTAACACAGTAAGGAAATATAATGTCTAGTATTGAGGATTTAGATTGAAGAGTTAGTCTACTCTTTATTCTGAAGTCCACATCATGTAGCAATAAAAAAATTGCTAAAACGTTAATTTTGAGAATCCTGTGCCCCAAGTCTCTGGTGCCTGACCTGAGCATCGAAATCCCACTGCAACATTTTTGTCTTTGACTTGTTGCTATCTCATGTGGATATTGCTGATTTAGGAAATAATGTATGCTACAAGGGTAACTAATAATTAGGGATGCATGAAGATCTCTGAAAGTTCTCAAAAATCACAAAGGTTTATTATATTTTTTAAAGAAGACATAAACAAGTTTTTAAAAGAAAAATACATCTTTATAAATGAGGCACAAGCTACCATGCATAATACAAAGGTCAATAGTCCAATTGTCAGACGCAACATTAGTTAAGACTCTTCTTGTTGCAAGTGACAGAAACTCACCTCAAATTGTTGTAGGCAAAAGGTTTGGGCTTGTTATTGAAAAGTCTCGGGGATTGTATTAATCTGTTCTCACACTGCTATAAAGAACTACCTGAGACTGGGTAATTTATAAAGAAAAGAGGCTTAATTGACTCACAGTTCCACAGGCTGTACAGGAAGCATGGCTTGGGAGGCCTCAGGAAACTTACGATCATGGCAGAAGGTGAAGGGGAAGCAAGCACGTCTTATCATGGTGGAGCAAGAGAGAGAGAGAGTGCAAAGAGGAGATGCTACACACTTTTAAGCCATCAAATCTCATGAGAACTCACTCACTATCATGAGAACAGCAAGGAAGAAATTCACCCCCGTGATCTAATCACCTCCCACCAGGTCCCTACCCCAACAATGGGGATTACAATTCAACATGACATTTGAGTGGGGACACAGAGCCAAACCACATCAATGATTTTCAGGCCTGACTTGATCCAGGAGCCCAAATGATGTCGTTAGGACTCAGTTTCTTTCCAACTATCATTCAGTCGGCAGCTTCCTCGGCTCTCATCCTCCCAGGTTGTATTCCAGCAAAGAAGAATCTCAGTGTCTCAGGTGTAAGTCCCTGGATTCATATTGATTGGATCAGTTTGGGTCACTGGCCTGCTCCTGATTAATCTGGCCTTGGTCACATGTGCTGCCTCTGGAGAAAGAAGGGAGCCCCCACCCAATCCACAATCCACAGGAATGGAGTCCTGGAGAAATGGTTTTCCAAAGGAAATTCAGGGTGCCCTAATCCAGAAAAAAAAGCAAATGTGTAATAGGTGATCAAAACAGTAAATGTTGCCTATGGATGCTGATATGGTTTTGCTGTGTCCCTGCCCAAATCTCATCTTGAATTGTAACTCCGACAATTCCCACATGTCCTAGGAGCAACCCGGTGGGAGGTGATTGAATTATGGAGGCGGGTCTTTCCTCTGCTGTTCTTGTGATACTGAATGGGTCTCACGAGATCTGATGGTTTTAAAAATGGGTGTTTCTCTGCACAAGCTCTCTTTGCCTGCTGCCATCCACGTAAGATGTGACTTGCTCCTCCTTGCCTTCAGCCATGATTGTGAGGCCTCCCCAGCCACATGGAACTGTAACTCCAATAAACCTCTTTCTTTTGTAAATTGCCCAGTCTCAGATATGTCTTTATCAGCAGTGTGAAAACAGACTAATACAGTTGCTTAAGATAAAATCGAAGGAATCTGTGGCTTCAATAGATGAACGCCAGATCCTAAGCAAGTGTAGGTGCAGTGTCAAACTCTCCCTGTTTGGAAAGCAAGGGAAAGTCCCAGGACTCTGGCCAACACAAGTGTTCCAGCAACTGTGGTGAAGCATAGCTGCTCCATGACTCCCCAAGAAAAACATCCTAAAACTTCTGTAGTATCTGTTGCCTATCTGCCTTTGGAAGTTTAACCATTAATGTAATTGTCAGAGAAACCACACCACCAGCTCAGTGTTGTGTCTGAATTAATGACCTTATTTTTCATTGAGCCAGCCTTCAGTATATCCAAATTTATTCCTTAATCTGTTTATTTTTGTGTAATTAGCAGAACCAGGAGTGCCTGCATTTTTTAGGTATTCGTTTTTGTGCTTTTTTTTTTTTTTTCGAGACAGGGTCTTGCTCTGTTGCCCAGGCTGGAGGGCAGTGGTGCAATCACAGCTCACTGCAGCCTCAGCCACCCAGGCTCAAACAATTCTCCCACCTCAGCCTCTCGAGCAGCTGAGACCACAGGTGCAAGCCACCATGGCTGGCTAAGTTTTTGTAGAGACAAAGTCTCACCATGTTGCCCAGGCTATTTTTGTGCTTTTAAACACATGTTGGAATAAACGGTGCAATATATTTTGGGGGAAAAAAAACTTGATTTATGCTACTGGAATTTTTGAACTAGCATTAGACTATGTAGAAGATAAACACTAACCTAAGTGTGTGCATTTTTTTCTGAGGAGGGTCCACCCCATCTCAAAGGGGTTGATGACTCAAAAAGTGTCCAGGGCACTGGACTAAGCCCATGACCTGCAGAGCACATTTTTCCCATATCAAAAAGGCCATGGAGCATGATGAGGACATGCCAAGGCAATGAGGTCAGGCTCAGAGTTTAAACCTTGGCTCTACTCTGCGACCTCAGGCAAGTTACATGGTCTCTCTGCGCCTCATTTTCCTCATCTATAAAATAAGGATAATAATAGCTCCTACCTCAAAGGCTTATGGTGTAATTAAATGAGATAATTTACGTCAAGTATTTGAATCATTAACTGATCTGTAACAAGTAATGAATAAATGTTAGTTATTATTATAACTACATAAATTTGGTTTTCATATTTCTCTTCCTTAAACTTTCAAACTCTATTTGTTACAATACAATTAATCCATGGTTTATGCAACCTCAAGATGTCTATGCTCACCATATAGTAATATATTTACATAATGAGGACATACACACCCGGAATTCGGTACTAAAAATTTACAAATTAAATATCTTGTATTTACTACATATGTATATAGCACTAACTGTGTGTTGAGGCTGTTACTAAATACTTTACTAATATTAACCCATTTAATCCTGAGAATAATCCTATGAGGTAGGTTCTATCAGTATCCTTCCTTTACAGATGAGGAAACTGAGCCACAGAGAAATTAATTAACTTACCTAAGATTACATAGCTGGTAAACATCAGATTTAGGTTTGAACCCAAATAATCTGCGTCCAGAGTCAAGGACTTTAACTACTTTGCCATTTGTGTTTCATTTTTACTGCTCATTTGATGGAGAAGGAAGGGTTAAAGAAAGAGAAAATAATCAATCATCAACTTCTGGCATTTAGTAAGCACCTACTGTGCTGCGGCTTTCACACTTTAATACTTTCATCTTTCATCTCTGTTAAGACTTTTAAGAACAATCATAAAAAGATTTTTATAGAGCACTTAAATACCAGAGGTTATCTCATTTAATATTTTAATAGCACTACAAAATAGGTGCTATTATTACCGCCATTTTACAGATGACGAAAGTCAAGCTTAAAAGGATTAAGTGATGTGTCCAAAGTCACATGGGTAGTAAATAGTGGAGCTGGGCTTCAAACCCACAGTCTGGCTTTGAAACTCTTGTGTTTAACCATAACACTCTCCTGACTCCCTAACCCTCTAGGGTACGTATTATGATGCTATTATTATGAATAAATCACATGAAGTTATTCGGCCTCCATTCAGAGGATACTGACCACTGACACTGTTATCTATCACTTTGGAAATGGGAGAGTAAAGCCACGGAGACTAAAGAGATACTAGAAAGACCCAATGAAGTGTCAGTCTTGTCACTGGGAAAGCTTACTGCAGTCCAATTTGGGAAGCAAATGAGTGTTCCTCGAGGGTTTCCAAGCTCTCTTTCAAACCTGTCTTTCATCCTGGGAACTCTGATTCCGCATGGTGCTATTGGAAAATAATACATTCTCTCCAAATCATTATGGCTCGATTAAGAACTCAAAATGGGTTAGGGAGGATATGATGAAATACAAATGTGGAATTCTCAGAATGCTAATCCTATCATTAGACTGCTCAAAGGCAGGATGTTTCCGTTAACTAAGAATTTCTAACATTCTGGTGTGTATCTGAGGACAAGAACTCCCTGTCACCCAGGGCAGAATTGTGGAAAAAACTTTGAGAAAACTTTTGGATTCAGAAATTAAGAAATATGGAGAACTTTTTTAAAAAGAGTCTACTCAGGAGTCTGATCTACTGGTAATAAATGCCAGAAACAGAGTTTAATTTATGGAATTTCTTCTTCCTTTCTTTCTTTTTTTTTTTTTGTTTTGTTTTGTTTTTTGAGATGGAGTCTTGTTCTGCTCCCCAGGCTGGAGTGAGCTTCCTAAGTAGCTGGGACTACAGGCGCGCACCACTACACCTGGCTAATTTTTGTATTTTTAGTAGAGACGGGATTTCGCCATGTTGGCCAGGCTGGTCTCGAACTCCTGACCTCAAATGATCCTCCCACCTCGGCCTCCCACAGTGTTGAGATTACAGGCATGAGCCACCGTGCCCTGCCTTTTTTTTTTTTTTTTTTTTGAGATGGAGTTTCGCTCTGTCACCCAGGCTTGAGTGCAGTGGTGCGATCTTGGCTCACTGCAACCTCCATCTCCTGGGTTCAAGCGATTATTCTGCCTCAGCCTCCTGAGTAGCTGGGATTACAGATGCACGCCACCATACCCGATTAATTTTTGTATTTTTAGTAGAGACGGGATTTCCCCATGTTGGCCGGGCTAGTCTCGAACTCCTGGCCTCAGGTGATCCATCCACCTCGGCCTCCCAAAGTGCTGGGATTATAGGCGTGAGCCACTGCGCCCAGCCTAATTTATGAAATTTCTGTTGACCAAGTCCAGAGATACTAAGTTTCTGGTAACTCCTAGGAGGGCAGGTTCAACTTTAAACTGAAAGGAATGACTAATGGCAAACACACACCAGGTAGTTCACATATCATGCTTATTAATTTTACAATTGCTTTGCTAAGTAGCTGTGACCAACCTGTTTTATTAATAAGGAAGAATATCTAAGCGTCATTGGTAGGAAAGATAGGATTCACACATAGTTCTGTCTGACTCCAAAGACCTTTTAAAAAAAAAAAAAATGCTGCTCCTGGGAGCCAAGAGAAAACATGCCTCTCCCAGGATTGCAAAATTCACTCTAGTCATGAGATAGGTAAACAACCAAAGACCAAGCTGAGAGAAGCAGCCAGTCTAACACAAGCATGTGTGCCTGTAATTTACAAATAGTATTGTGCCCCCTTAAACGAGAGTTCTTCTACGTGGTCCATTGGCTATGCTAGGCTGTGTTAATCTCTCAGACACTGCCTCCTGCCCAAGTGATCTAAATGCTAGGATTTCTGGATACCGATGGGGATGTATTTTCCAATGACCTCTATGACATCAACATCTTTGTCTGGATCCTTTCCCTTTGGTATTGGAAGGTGACTTTCTGCTCTGTCCAAATTGTAAGTTCCAAGATTTGAGTTCAGGTTTGGGAGTAGGCCACGTCAGCCCAGATCTTTATATTCATGAGTCCTTAGGCCAAAGTACCATGATAATGTCACTCATCAGCACTTCATTACAAGGTCCCGAATAAGCTGGGGGTTTTTGTCTTTACTTTTGTTTTTTTCAAAATAATACTTGTACTTTTAAAAATACACTTTATATTTTAGAGCAGCTTTAGGTTCACAGCAAAATTGAGCAGAAAGTATAAAGAGTTGTCACATGTCCCCAGTCCCCCAGTGCACAGCCTCCCCCATTATTAACACCCCCCACCAGCCTGGGACATTTGTTACAACTGATGAAGCTGCATGGACACATTATTATCACCCAGAGTCCAGAGTTTGCATTAGGGTTCACTCTTGGTGTTGTTCATTGTGTGAGGTTTAGAAAAATGTATTCACCATTGTAGTATCACAGAGAGGAGTTTCACTGACCTAAAAATAATTTTTACTCCAACTATTCATCCCTCCCTCCCTGCAGCCCCTGGCAACCACTCATCTTTTGACTGTCTCCATAGTTTTGCCTTTTGCAGAATGTCATATAGTTGGAATTATACAGTATGTGGCCTTTTCAGATTAGCTTCTTTCACTCGGTAATATGCACTTAAGCTTTTTACAGGTCTTTTCATGGCTTGATAACTCATTTCTTTTCAGTGCTGAGTAATATTCCATTGTCTGCATATACCACAGTTTATTTATCCATTCACCTACTAGAAGACATCCTGATGTTTCCTGGTTTTGTTTTAAATGAAGAAAAAAGTCCAAATCATTTAGACAGGTACATTGAAATATGTGCTAATGAAATCATACTATTGTATGTTTCCATGATGTTTTTAGGACTTGCTTCAAAATAATAATCACGTGAAACAAGACAGGGAATGGGTTGATGTCACCTGAAAGTGGGTAATGAGTAAGTAGGGATTCTTCACATTATTCCTCCACTTGTATATATGTTTGAAATTCTCTATAATAAAAACATTTTAAATACATTCCTGGCACCAAGATTTTGCTTAGAACATTCTCACAGCCTGTTACACGTTTCCCTTCTTCTCTGAAAACTCGGTCCCATTGCTCTGATTCTTCAATCAATGCTGCTGCTGAGGGGCTTCTAGAAGTCCTATGAGCGGGAAGAAGCTAAGATCCACTGTGCAGGCCTGAGGTCATTATTCCACTAGCAAAGTATTAAGAAAAAGAGTTAGGTAAACCTAGTGAACAAGCAAGATCTGGAAAGAATCTATGATGTGCTGATCATATGATGCTTGATTAAGAGAAACTGGCTAAGAACCCAGAAACAAGAGCAATTAACATTACTTGAATTAAGAATAGCTAGAGATGACCAGCTGGGCATGGTAGCTCATGCCTGTAATTCCAGCACTTTGGGAGGCGGAGGCGGGTAGATCATTTGAGGTCAGGAGTTCGAGACCAGCTTGGCCAACATGGTGAGATCTCGTCTCTATTAAAAATACAAAAATTAGCTGGGCGTGGTGGCACATGCCTGTAATCCCAGCTACCCAGGAGGCTGAGGTAGGAGAATCACTTGAACCCAGGAGGCAGAGGTTGCAGTGAGCCGAGACCATCCTACAGCACTCCAGCATGGGTGACAGAGCGAGACTCTATCTCCAAAAAAAAAAAAAAGCTAGAGAAGAACACTTTTTTTTTCAGTTAGACTGGCTTCAAGGATATCTTCCTCCCACATTCCTTCAATCAATCTGTAAATTCTGATTGAATTTTTACTATGGAACAGGCTCTGCACTAGCCTTGAAGGGTACAATGACAAAACACTTATAATCTCTACCCTACAAGAGCCTAAAGTGCAGAATATACACAAGTAAATAATTATAACAAAAAAGGAAAGAGGGCTGGGTGCAGTGGCTCATGCCTGTAATCCCAGAACTTTGGGAGGCCGAGGCAGTGGATCACCTGAGGTCAGAAGTTCAAGACCAGCCTGGTCAACATGGCAAAACCCCATGTCTACTAAAAATACAAAAATTAGCCAGGCGTGGTGACAAGTGCCTGTAATCCCAGCTACTCTGGAGGCTGAGGCTGGAGAATCACTTGAACCCAGGAGACGGAGGTTGCAGTGAGCTGATATCACACCATTGCACTCCAGCCTGGGCAATAAGAATGAAACTCTGTCTCAAAAAAAAAAAAAAAGGAATATCATTTTTATACAGCTAGAATTCAATGAGCACTTACTCTGTGACCATCACTGTCCCAAGCATATTACATGTGTATTAATTTATTTGATTCTTACAACAATTTCTGGGAGGTGGGTACTATTATTATTGCCATTTCACAGGTAAGAAAATTTGAGTCGTGAAGAAATGAATTTGCCCAAAGTGCCATGGTTGAGAAATAGCAGAGCCATGATTCTAACCTAGGCACTCTTTATACTCAGTCTAACCACAGACTTTACCTGCAGGCTACCCTGTCCCTCACTACACAATCACACACACACACACACACACTCACTCAGTCACCAACACAGTTTTAGAGCAGCAGGAAAGTCTATTTGAAAGAAATGCTACCTCATCTGAGAAAAAAGACGAATTAGTCAGAGGAGAAAAGAGAATGTTCCAAGTAGAGATACATCCTAAAACTGAAAACGACTCAGCAAAACCAGAGTGAGAATTTTGAGGAAGGGAGTGGAGAAATATGAGGCTGTAGGCAGAGAAGCCAGCTTGTGATGAGACTTGTAAACCATGCCAAAGAGAAATGGCCAAAGAGAAATGGGAAGCCACCGGAGAATGCTGGGGCTGTGGGGAGTGACGTAATCAGATTTGTATTTCAGAAATACAAATACTCTTGCTACAGTGAACAGAATCAACTGGAGGGAGAGTAGGCTGGAGGGAGGAGACTAGTTAGGAGGTCATTATAATGTTGTGGATAAGAAACAAAGGGATTTGGAGGGTGGATGTGGGGGAGGAGGGATGGGAACTCAGAGATAACCCCCAGACTTCTGACCTGAGCATCTGGAAGGATAGTGGTATCATCACTGAGATGAATTACATGGAAGAAGGAACAGCTTAGTGTGACAAAAGAGAGGGGAATGATAATGAGATAAATGAGATACAATCTTGCTAATAATCCAGAATATGCATATTAGATGTTATTTCTCCCCAAGCTTAACAAATCTGCTCATATGAAAATTAGAAGTGAGAAAACAGAAATATTTATATATTTCTACTGGGAAATTAGTATGACCATTTTAAAATGTTTTTAATTGACAGATAAAATTAGATTAGATGTATTTACTGTGTGCAACATATTGCTTTGAAATATACATACATTATGGCCAGGCGTGGTGGCTCACCCATGTAATCTCAGCATTTTGGGAGGCTGAGGCGGGTCAATCACCTGAGGCCAGGAGTTCGAGACCATCCTGGGCAACATGGGGAAACCCCGTCTCTACTAAAAATACAAAAATTAGCCAAGTGTGGTGGTGGGCACCTGTAATCCCAGCTACTCAGAAGGCTGAGGTACTAAAATCGCTTGAATCCAGGAGTCGGAGGTTGCAGTGAGCCAAGATCACACCACTGCACTCCAGCCTGGGTGACAGAGCAAGACCGTCTCAAAAAAAAAAAAAAAATTGAAATATACATACACTATGGAACGACTAAATCTGGCTAATTAACATATGCATTACCTAACATAGTTATCATTTTTATGATGAGAACATTTTACATGCACTCTCTTAGCATTTTTTAAGAATACAATATATTGTTTGCTTTTTTTTTCTTTTATTATTATACTTTAAGTTTTAGGGTACATGTGCACATTGTGCAGGTTAGTTACATATGTATACATGTGCCACGCTGGTGCGCTGCACCTACTAACTCGTCAACTAGCATTAGGTATATCTCCCAATGCTATCCCTCCCCACTCCACCCACCCCACAACAGTCCCCAGAGTGTGATGTTCCCCTTCCTGTGTCCATGTGATCTCATTGTTCAATTCCCACCTATGAGAGAGAATATGCAGTGTTTGGTTTTTTGTTCTTGCGATAGTTTACTGAGAATGATGATTTCCAATTTCATCCATGTCCCTGCAAAGGACATGAACTCATCATTTTTTATGGCTGCATAGTATTCCATGGTGTGTATGTGCCACATTTTCTTAATCCAGTCTATCATTGTTGGACATTTGGGTTGGTTCCAAGTCTTTGCTATTGTGAATAGTGCCGCTATAAACATACGTGTGCATGTGTCTTTATAGCAGCATGATTTATAGTCATTTGGGTATATACCCAGTAATGGGATGGCTGGGTCAAATGGTATTTCTAGTTCTAGATCCCTGAGGAATCGCCACACTGACTTCCACAATGGCTGAACTAGTTTACAGTCCCAGCAACAGTGTAAAAGTGTTCCTATTTCTCCACATCCTCTCCAGCACCTGTTGTTTCCTGACTTTTTAATGATGGCCATTCTAACTGGTGTGAGATGGTATCTCATTGTGGTTTTGATTTGCATTTCTCTGATGGCCAGTGATGATGAGCATTTTTTCATGTGTTTTTTGGCTGCATAAATGTCTTCTTTTGAGAAGTGTCTGTTCATGTCCTTTGCCCACTTTTTGATGGGGTTGTTTGTTTTTTTCTTGCAAATTTGTTTGAGTTCATTGTAGATTCTGGATATTAGCCCTTTGTCAGATGAGTAGGTTGCAAAAATTTTCTCCCATTTTGTAGGTTGCCTGTTCACTCTGATGGTAGTTTCTTTTGCTGTACAGAAGCTCTTTAGTTTAATTAGATCCCATTTGTCAATTTTGTCTTTTGTTGCCATTGCTTTTGGTGTTTTAGACATGAAGTCCTTGCCCATGCCTATGTCCTGAATGGTAATGCCTAGGTTTTCTTCTAGGGTTTTTATGGTTTTAGGTCTAACGTTTAAGTCTTTAATCCATCTTGAATTAATTTTTGTATAAGGTGTAAGGAAGGGATCCAGTTTCAGCTTTCTACATATGGCTAGCCAGTTTTCCCAGCACCATTTATTAAATTGGGAATCCTTTCCCCATTGCTTGTTTTTCTCAGGTTTGTCGAAGATCAGATAGTTGTAGATATGTGGCGTTATTTCTGAGGGCTCTGTTCTGTTCCATTGATCTATATCTCTGTTTTGGTACCAGTACCATGCTGTTTTGGTTACTGTAGCCTTGTAGTATAGTTTGAAGTCAGGTAGTGTGATGGCTCCAGCTTTGTGCTTTTGGCTTAGGATTGACTTGGCGATGCGGGCTCTTTTTTTGGTTCCATATGAACTTTAAAGTAGTTTTTTCCAATTCTGTGAAGAAAGTCATTGGTAGCTTGATGGGGATGGTATTGAATCTGTAAATTACCTTGGGCAGTATGGCCATTTTCATGATATTGATTCTTCCTACCCATGAGCATGGAATGTTCTTCCATTTGTTTGTATCCTCTTTTATTTCATTGAGCAGTGGTTTGTAGTTCTCCTTGAAGAGGTCCTTCACATCCCTTGTAACTTGGATTCCTAGGTATTTTATTCTCTTTGAAGCAATTGTGAATGGGAGTTCACTCATGATTTGGCTCTCTGTCTGTTCTTGGTGTATAAGAATGCTTGTGATTTTTGTACATTGATTTTGTATACTGAGTCTTTGCTGAAGTTGCTTATGAGCTTAAGGAGATTTTGGGCTGAGACAATGGGGTTTTCTAGATATACAATCATGTCATCTGCAAAGAGGGACAATTTGACTTCCTCTTTTTCTAATTGAATACCCTTTATTTCCTTCTCCTGCCTAATTGCCCTGGCCAGAACTTCCAACACTATGTTGAATAGGAGTGGTGAGAGAGGGCATCCCTGTCTTGTGCCAGTTTTCAAAGGGAATGCTTCCAGTTTTTGCCCATTCAGTATGATATTGGCTGTGGGTTTGTCATAGACAGCTCTTATTATTTTGAAATACGTCCCATCAATACCTAATTTATTGAGAGTTTCTGGCATGAAGGGTTGTTGAATTTTGTCAAAGGCCTTTTCTGCATCTATTGAGATAATCATGTGGTTTTTGTCTTTGGCTCTGTTTATATGCTGGATTACATTTATTGATTTGCGTATATTGAACCAGCCTTGCATCCCAGGGATGAAGCCCACTTGATCATGGTGGATAAGCTTTTTGATGTGCTGCTGGATTCGGTTTGCCAGTATTTTATTGAGGATTTTTGCATCAATGTTCATCAAGGATATCGGTCTAAAATTCTCTTTTTTGGTTGTATCTCTGCCTGGCTTTGGTATCAGAATGATGCTGGCCTCATAAAATGAGTTAGGGAGGATTCCCTCTTTTTCTATTGATTGGAATAGTTTCAGAAGGAATGGTACCAGTTCCTCCTTGTACCTCTGGTAGAATTCGGCTGTGAATCCATTTGGTCCTGGACTCTTTTTGGTTGGTAAGCTATTGATTACTGCCACAATTTCAGATCCTGTTATTGGTCTATTCAGAGATTCAACTTCTTCCTGGTTTAGTCTTGGAATGTATCCATTTCTTCTAGATTTTCTAGTTTATTTGCGTAGAGGTGTTTGTAGTATTCTCTGATGGTAGTTTGTATTTCTGTGGGATCAGTGGTGATATCCCCTTTATCATTTTTTATTGCATCTATTTGATTCTTCTCTCTTTTTTTCTTTATTAGTCTTGCTAGCGGTCTATCTATTTTGTTGATCCTTTCAAAAAACCAGCTCCTGGATTCATTAATTTTTTGAAGGGTTTTTTGTGTCTCTATTTCCTTCAGTTCTGCTCTGATTTTAGTTATTTCTTGCCTTCTGCTAGCTTTTGAATGTGTTTGCTCTTGCTTTTCTAGTTCTTTTAATTATGAAGTTAGGTTGTCAATTTTGGATCTTTCCTGCTTTCTCTTGTGGGCATTTAGTGCTATAAATTTCCCTCTACACACTGCTTTGAATGCGTCCCAGAGATTCTGGTATGTTGTGTCTTTGTTCTCGTTGGTTTCAAAGACATCTTTATTTCTGCCTTCATTTCGTTATGTACCCAGTAGTCATTCAGGAGCAGGTTGTTCAGTTTCCATGTAGTTGAGTGGTTTTGAGTGAGATTCTTAATCCTGAGTTCTAGTTTGATTGCACTGTGGTCTGAGAGATAGTTTGTTATAATTTCTGTTCTTTTACATTTGCTGAGGAGAGCTTTACTTCCAAGTATGTGGTCAATTTTGGAATAGGTGTGGTGTGGTGCTGAAAAAAATGTATATTCTGTTGATTTGGGGTGGAGAGTTCTGTAGATAACTATTAGGTACACTTGGTGCAAAGCTGAGTTCAATTCCTGGGTATCCTTGTTGACTTTCTGTCTCGTTGATCTGTCTAATGTTGACAGTGGGGTGTTAAAGTCTCCCATTATTAATGTGTGGGAGTCTCAGTCTCTTTGCAGGTCACTCAGGACTTGCTTTATGAATCTGGGTGCTCCTTTATTGGGTGCATATATATTTAGGATAGTTAGCTCTTCTTGTTGAATTGATCCCTTTACCATTATGTAATGGCCTTCTTTGTCTCTTTTGATCTTTGTTGGTTGAAAGTCTATTTTATCAGAGACTAGGATTGCAATCCCTGCCTTTTTTTGTTTTCCATTTGCTTGGTAGATCTTCCTCCCTCCTTTTATTTTGAGCCTATGTGTGTCTCTGCACGTGAGATGGGTTTCCTGAATACAGCACAGTGATGGGTCTTGACTCTTTATCCAATTTGCCAGTCTGTGTCTTTTAATTGGAGCATTTAGTCCATTTACATTTAAAGTTAATATTGTTATGTGTGAATTTGATCCTGTCATGATGATGTTAGCTGGTTATTTTGCTCGTTAGTTGATGCATTTTCTTCCTATTCTCGATTGTCTTTACATTTTGGCATGATTTTGCAGCGGCTGGTACCGGTTGTTCCTTTCCATGTTTAGCACTTCCTTCAGGAGCTCTTTTAGGGCAGGCCTCGTGGTGACAAAATCTCTCAGCATTTGCTTGTCTGTAAAGTATTTTATTTCTCCTTCACTTATGAATCTTAGTTTGGCGGGATATGAAATTCTAGGTTGAAAATTCTTTTCTTTAAGAATGTTGAATATTGGCCCCCACTCTCTTCTGGCTTGTAGAGTTTCTGCCGAGAGATCTGCTGTTAGTCTGATGGGCTTCCCTTTGAGGGTAACCCGACCTTTCTCTCTGGCTGCCCTTAACATTTTTTCCTTCATTTCAACTTTGGTGAATCTGACAATTATGTGTCTTGGAGTTGCTCTTCTCGAGGAGTATCGCTGTGGTGTTCTCTGTATTTCCTGAATCTGAACGTTGGCCTGCCTTGCTAGATTGGGGAAGTTCTCCTGGATAATATCCTGCAGAGTGTTTTCCAACTTGGTTCCATTCTCCCCGTCACTTTCAGGTACACCAATCAGACGTAGATTTGGTCTTTTCACATAGTCCCATATTTCTTGGAGGCTTTGCTCATTTCTTTTTATTCTTTTTTCTCTAAACTTCCCTTCTCTCTTCATTTCATTCATTTCATCTTCCATTGCTGATACCCTGTCTTCCAGTTGATCGCATCGGCTCCTGAGGCTTCTGCATTCTTCACATAGTTCTCGAGCCTTGGTTTTCAGCTCCATCAGCTCCTTTAAGCACTTCTCTGTATTGGTTATTCTAGTTATACATTCTTCTAAATTTTTTTCAAAGTTTTCAACTTCTTTGCCTTTGGTTTGAATGTCCTCCCGTAGCTCAGAGTAATTTGATCGTCTGAAGCCTTCTTCTCTCAGCTCGTCAAAGTCGTTCTCCATCCAGCTTTGTTCCGCTGCTGGTGAGGAACTGCGTTCCTTTGGAGGAGGAGAGGCGCTCTGCTTTTTAGAGTTTCCAGTTTTTCTGTTCTGTTTTTTCCCCATCTTTGTGGTTTTATCTACTTTTGGTCTTTGATGATGGTGATGTACAGACGGGTTTTTGGTGTGGATGTCCTTTCTGTTTGTTAGTTTTCCTTCTAACAGACAGGACCCTCAGCTGCAGGTCTGTTGGAGTACCCTGCCGTGTGAGCTGTCAGTGTGCCCCTGCTGGGGGGTGCCGCCCAGTTAGGCTGCCGGGGGCCAGGGGTCAGGGACCCACTTGAGGAGGCAGTCTGCCCATTCTCAGATCTCCAGCTGCGTACTGGGAGAACCACTGCTCTCTTCAAAGCTGTCAGACAGGGACATTTAAGTCTGCAGAGGTTACTGCTGTCTTTTTATTTGTCTGTGCCCTGCCCCCAGAGGTGGAGCCTATAGAGGCAGGCAGGCAGGCCTCCCTGAGCTGTGGTGGGCTCCACCCAGTTCGAGCTTCCCGGCTGCTTTGTTTACCTAAGCAAGCCTGGGCAATGGCGGGCGCCCCTCCCCCAGCCTCGCTGCTGCCTTGCAGTTTGATCTCAGACTGCTGTGCTAGCAATCAGCGAGACTCCGTGGGCGTAGGACCCTCCGAGCCAGGTGCGGGATATAATCTCGACGTTTTTTAAGCCCGTCGGAAAAGCGCCGTATTCGGGTGGGAGTGACCCGATTTTCCAGGTGCCGTCCGTCACCCCTTTCTTTGACTAGGAAAGGGAACTCCCTGACCCCTTGTGCTTCCTGAGTGAGGCAATGCCTGGCCCTGCTTCGGCTCGCACGTGGTGCGCGCACCCACTGACCTGCGCCCACTGTCTGGCACTCCCTAGTGAGATGAACCCGGTACCTCAGATGGAAATGCAGCAATCACCTGTCTTGTGCGTCGCTCATGCTGGGAGCTGTAGACCGGAGCTCTTCCTATTCGGCCATCTTGGCTCCTCCACAATATATTGTTAATGATAGTCACTTGTTGTACAATACATCTCTTGAACTTTCTCCTATCTGAAATTCTGTATCCTTTAACCATCTCCCCAACCCCATGCAACTGCCCCAGCCCCTGATAAGTACCATTCTACTCTATACTTCTATGAGATCAACATTTTTAGATTCCACACGAGAATGAGAAGATATTTGCATTTTTGTGCCTGACTTATTTCACTTAGCATAATGTCCTCCAGGTTCATCCATATTGTCACAAATGACAGCATTTCCTTTTCTTATGGCTAAATTATATCCCATTGTGTATATGTTCCACATTTTCTTTTTCCATTCATCCACTGATGGACACTTAGGTTTGATTCCATATCTTGGCTATTGTGATTGATGCTTTAATAAACATAGCAGTGCAAATATCCTTTTGACATACTAATTTCATTTCCTTTGGATATATACCCAGTAGTGGGATTGCTGGATCATATGGTAGTTCTATTTTTAAGTTTTTGAAGAACCTCCACGCTACTTTCCATAATGGTTCACACAACCATTTTTTAGATCAATTCAGTGATGCCTAATAAAGTTGAAAGTTATATCCTTTAAACCAGTGATAACATTTCTAGGTGCCTTACCTAAAGAGATTCTTATGCATATGCTAAAGGTGACTTATAGAAAATGTTCATTGGATCATTGTTTCTGATAACAAAAGATAAAAAATGGAAACAACTGTCCCCTTATTGTAAAAAGAATAGCTAAATAACTGTAATTTATTCATACAGTGGAATACTCTACATAAATTAAAATGGATGAATTAGATCTGTATATATTAACATGGATTAATCTCAAAAACACAATTTTAAGTGATTAAAGCAAGCTGCAAAAGATTCATACAGAATAATAGCATCTATATAATTTTTAAATAAAAAATAGTTGTATGTATATTATTTACAGATACATACATATGTCCTAAGAGTTAAAATGGACACCTGAGAATAATACACACCAATTTCAGAACAATGCTTATCTCTGGGAAGAAAGAAAGTGAGAGAAAAGGTAGGAGGGATAGAACTTCAGCTATATCTGTACCACCTTTTACAGAGCAAAATCTAAATTTTAAAAAGGAAAAAGTAAAGGAGGCATTCATTCAAAAAGCTATAAAAAGAATATCTCTTTTTTAACAATTCAGGTTTCTTGTGATGTAATTCCATGCCATAAAATTCAGCCTTTTTAGGTATACAGTTTGATAAGTTTGGGGAAACATATTCTGTTGTGTAACCACTAACATAATTTAAAAACATTTCCATTACCCAAAATGTTCCTTCATGCCACCTTTGTGTTCAATCCCCTCCCTTCGTGTCCAGCCATTGACAACCACTGATCTGTCCCTATAGTTTCCAGTCCTTATGGTATTACCTTCTCCAGAATGTCATATAAACGGACTCACACAGCATGTAGTCCTTTGTGTCTGGCTTTTTTCACTAAGCATAATCATTCTGGGATTTATTCACACTGTGGTTATGTATCAGTAGTTTATTCCTTTTTATTACTTAGTAGTATTCCATTGTATATAGGTACTACATTTGTTTATCTCTTCACCAGTTGATGGACATTTAGGATGTTTCTCAGTTTGGACTATTATGAATAAAGTTGCCATAAAAATTGGGGTACAGGTTTTTCTGTAAACATATTTTTTCATTTCTCTTGGGTGGAATGGAATTGTTGGGCCTCTTGGTAAGTATTTTTTACCTTTATCATAATCTGCAAATTGTTTTCCAAAGTGGCTGTACCATTTTTCAATCCCATTAGCTCCACATCCACATCAGCACTTTTTATTGTTTGTTTTTAATTTTAGCCATTCTACTCAGTATGTTGGCTTTAATTTGCATTTCCCTAATAACCTATGGTGTTAGGCATCATTTCATGTGCCTATTTCTCATCTGTACTTCTTTGGTGAAGTGTCCACAGCATTTGCCCATTTTTTTGGTTGTTGTTTTGTTTGTTTGTTTGTTTGTTTTGAGAGGGAATTTCATTCCTGTCACCCAGGCTGGAGTGCTATGGTGCGATCTCAGCTCACTGCAACCTCTGCCTCCCAGGTTCAAGCAATTCTCCTGCCTCAATCTCCCAAGTAGCTAGGATTACGGGTGTGTGTCACCACACCTGGCTAATTTTTTGTATTTTTAGTAGAGATGGGGTTTCACTATGTTGACCAGGCTGGTCTCAAACTCCTGAACTCAGGTAATCCACCCACCTAGGCCTCCCAAAGTGCTGGGATTACAGACGTGAGCCATCACACTTGGTTTGCCCAAGTTTTAATTGGGCTAATAATTGGATTGATTGTCTTAATTTTTAGTTGTAAGAGTTACTTAATATTCTGGGTACAAATCCTTTTCAGATATATTTTTGCAACTATTTTCTCCCAGTTGTGGCTAGTCTCTTCATTTTTTAACAGTTTATTTCAAAGATCAGAAGTTTTTAAATGCTGATAAAGTACAATTTAACAATTTTTTATGGTTTATGTTTTTCCTGTCCTATCAAATCCAAGAACATTTTGCCTAACCAAATTTCACAATAATGTTCTTATATGCTTTCTTCAGAATTTTATAGTTTTAGCTCTTACATTTAGATCTGTGTGTGATACAGAACTGTCTGAATCAAATCAAGTTGCTAGCCTGCTAAAACAAACAAACAAAAATCAACATTCTCTAGAGAAATTAAACAGGCCTGAGAGACCTCACAATATAATATTCAGATTTTCCAGGATACAGTCCATGATTACTCAACATAGAACCAACAAACTGTGAAAAATCTCAAGGAAAAAGGAAATCAAGAGATCACTACCTCAAGATTACCCAGATGTTAGAAATATCAGACAAAGACATTAAAGCCTATCACATCTATGTTTCATGAGGTAAAGGTAAACACTCCTTAAGTGAATAGAAATACAAAAGTCATCAGATGCTGGGTGCAGTGTTTCATGCATGTAATCCCAGCATTTTGGGAGGCCAAGTGGGGAGGATCACTTAAGCCCAGAAGTTTGAGGCTGCAGTGAGCTATGATTGTGCCACTGTACTCAGCCTGGGCAACAGAGTGAGACCCTGTCTCTAAAAAGAAGAAAAACATTAAAAAATTTAATTTTAGAATGCGAACAGAAAAAAATAGAATAACAAATAATCAAATGCAAATTTTAGGACTAAAAAATATAATACATGAAAAAGTCATTGATTGGGCTCAATAGCTGAATGGAGATAATGACAAAGGAAAGAGTCAATGAATGTGAAGATGGGTTAATAGACATTAATCTGAAGAACAAAGAGGTAGGGGGAAGAAATGAACAGAACATCATCAAATTATCTAACATTCATTTCACTGGAATCCAAGAAGGATAGGAAAAGTAAATTGGTTCAGAAAGAATATTTGAAAAAATAAAGGCCAGAACTTCCCTAATTTGATGAAGGACTTAAATTATAGATTAAAGCAGCTTAGAATCCCAAACAGGACACCTCCAAAGAAAATCAACTGTGGCCAGACACATCAAAATCAAACTTCTGAACACCAAGTTTTATTATTCTTGTTGTTGATCTTGAAAACAGCCAGAAAGAAACGTGGCACATTATATAAAGGGGAAGAACTATTCAAATGACTGCTGATTTTACATCCGAAATCATGGAGACCAGAAAACAGTGGAACAACATCTTTAAAGAACTGAAAGAAAAGAATTGTCAAACCAGAATTCAACATTTGCTGAAATTATCCTTCAGGAATGACCGTGAGATAAAAACATTTTTACATGAAGAAAAAAAAGAGAGTATGTAACCAGCAGACCTGCTCTAAAAGAAATGTTGAAAGTTCTTCAGGGCAACAAGAAATTATATTCAAGAGGGACACTTGAAATTTTAAGAATAAAGGAAGAACAACAGAAATGGTAAATATCTGGATAAATATTTTTGTCCTTTAATTTATTTTATTTTGTTTTAATTTATTTTAGACAGAGTCTTACTCTGTTGCCCAGGTTGGAGTACAGTGGCGTGATCTCAGCTCACTGCAACCTCTGCCTCCTGTGTTCAAGCAATTCTCCTGCCTCAGCCTCCAGAGTAGCTGGGATTACAGGCGTGAGCCACCATGCCTGGCAAATTTTTGTATTTTTAGAAGAGACAGGGTTTCACTATGTTGGCCAGGCTGGTCTCAAACTCCTGACTTCAGGTGATCCACCTGCCTCAGCCTCCTAAAGTGCTGGGATTGCAGGCATGACCCACCATGGCTGGCCCTTTTAATTTATTTAAAATAGATGAGACTATTAAAATAGACTGTTGAAAGCAAAAATTATCACATCCCCTGGTAAGAGTTCTAATATATGCAGATGTAATACTTAAGACAACACTAGCATATAAAGGGTGGAGGGTAAATGGAGTTCTATGGTTGTAAGTCTTGAAACAAGAAACTGAGGGAACATAGGAAATAAAGGACCTGGGGGGATGCAAAAACTCTTTGATAATATGTCTTTATATATCTATGCACTGTTAAATCCTTTCACAAAAAATTGACATTTTTAACTGTGCTGATGTAAGAGAAAATGTATTTAAATTCATTTGATAAGATAATTTTTCCTACATTGCTAAGTTTTATTTCTCTTTTACTAATCAACTTCTTTGTATAAAATAGTATGCAACAAATATATGAGAAGGGAGTAACAGAAACAAAAAGGAAGAAAAGGTTATTTGTAGTAGTATGTACCACCAGAAGAAAACTTTGCTTTCCTGTATCCATAACTTTGATTAAAACTACATAATGGTTGGGCATGGTGGCTCCCGTCTGTAATCCCAGCACTTTGGGAGGCTGAGGCAGGTGGACCACCTGAGGTCAGGAGTTCAAGTCCAGACTGGCCAACACAGTAAAACTGCGTCTCTACTAAAAATACAAAAGTTAACTGGGTGTGGTGGTGCGTGCCTGTAGTCCCAGCTACTTGGGAAGCTGAGGCAGGAGAATCACTTGAACCCAGGAGGCAGAGGTTGCAGTGAGCTGAGATCGTGCGGGCAGGTGGGGAGGAGCAAGTCCTGAGGGCCCTGCTTGCTTTCTCACTGGGGAGGCTAGTAGCCTGGAGCAAGATCTCAGCCCTGCTTGCCAGCTGTCTGGATATAAATTTAGTGCTGTTGGTGGGGCACAAAGGGAGTGAGAATAGCTTTGCTGGCTATGGGAGCTGGGTGAGGCCTGTCACTGCTGGCTTTCCCCACTTCCCTGGTGACCTGTAATGATGCAGCAGAGACAAATACAATCCCCCTGGGAACATAATTCTATTGGCCTGAGAAGCATCCCCCTATCCCCCACAGTGGCACAGCAAGTTCTGCCCAAGGAGAGTCTGAGCTCAGACACGCCTAACACTGCCCCCTCCTGATGGTTTTTCTCTACCCACCCTGGCAGCCAAAGACAAAAGACATAAACTCGTGGGAGCTCTATGGCCCCACCCATGACCTGAGAAAGCCGATTACTTATCTGGCAAATGTAGGGCAAGCTTATATCCCCCTTCTACTACTGCAGGTGGGGCTCTCTTGAAAGCACCACCTCCTGGCTGGAGGCCAACCAACTCAAGCCATTACAGCAACTCATAAGAGAACAATCCTGCTCCAAAGAAGGAGAAAACAATAGCTAATTCCACCACCTGCAACATCCTGGCCAACCAGAGGTCCCGAGTCTATCTGTGTGACAACTTCACTGCTAGCATAACCAGCATTCGAGAAAACCAGCACACTAAACAAAACTACAACCAAGGACTTTAACTGAGTCTAAGTCTACTTCACTCCCCTGCCACCTCCACCAGAGCAGGTGCTGGTATCCACAGCTGGGAGACTTGAAGATGGATCATATCACAGGACTCTTTGCAGACATTGCCTAGCACCAGCCCAGGGCTCAGAAGGGCAATAACAATCACTGCAGTCTAGCTCTCAGGAAGCCCCATTCCTAGGGGAAGGGGGAGAGCACCACATCAAGGAATTACCCTGTGGGACAAAAGAACCTGAACAGCAGCCCTTGAGTTCCAGATCTTTCCACTGAAACAGTCTGCCCAAATGAAAAAGAAACAGAAAAGTAAGTCTGGTAATATTACAAAACAAGGTTCTATCACACACTCAAAAGATCACACTAGCTCTCCAGCAATGGATCCAAACCAAGAAGAATCTCTAAATTGCCAGATAAAGAATGCAGACAGTTGATTATCCAGCTACTCAAGGAGGTAACAGAGAAAGGTAAAAACCAATTTGAAGAAATTTTTTTTAAAAAAAACAGGCCGGGGGAGGCATGGTGGCTCATGCCTGTAATCCCAGCACTTTGGGAGGCCAAGGTGGGAAGATTATCTGAAGTCAGGAGTTCGAGACCAGCCTGGCCAACATGGTGAAACCCTGCTCTACTAAAACTACAAAAATTAGCCAGGTGTGGTCATGGGCAACTGTAATCCCAGCTACTCAGGAGGCTGAGGCAGGAGAATCGCTTGAGCCCAGGACGCAGAGGGTGCAGTGAGCCGAGATCATGCCACTGTACTTCAGCCTGGGTGACAGAGCAAGACTTTGTCTTAAAAAATAAAAAAAGCCAGGCCTGGTGGCTCACGCCTGTAATCCCAGTACTTTGGGAAGCCAAGGTGGGTGGATCACGAAGTCAGGAGATCGAGACCATCCTGACTAACATGGTGAAACCCAGTCTCTACTAAAAAACACAAAAAACTAGCCAGGCAAGGTGGCAGGTGCCTGTAGTCCCAGCTACTCAGGAGGCTGAGGCAGGAGAATGGCGTGAACCTGGGAGGCGGAGCTTACAGCGAGCCGAGATCGCGCCACTGCACTCCAGCCTGGGCGACAGAGTGAGACTCCATCTCAAAAAAAAAAAAAAAAAAACAGGTCAGGCAGTGACTCACACCTTCACACCTGTAATCCCAGCACTTTGGGAGGCCGAGGTGGGTGGATCACCTGAGGTCAGGAGTTCAAAACTAGCCTGGCCAATGTGGGGAAACTCTGTCTTTACTAAAAATACAAAAACTATCCAGGCATAGTGGCATGTGTCTGTAATCCCAGCTACTCGGGAAGCTAAGGCAGGAGAATTGCTTGAACCTGGGAGGCAGAGGTTGCAGTGAGCCAAGATCATGACACTGCACTCCAGCCTGGGTGACAAAGCGAGACTCCTTCAAACACACACACACACACACACACACACACACACACACACACACACACACACATACACTACAGGATATGGATGAAAAACTCTCCTGAGAAACAGACATCATAAAGAAAAGGCAATCACAACATCTGGAAATGAAAGACACACTTAGAGAAATGCAAAATACACTGGAAAATTTCAACAATACAATCGAACAAGTAGAAGTAAGAACTTCAGAGCTCAGAGACAAGGCTTTCTAACTGACCCAATTCAACAAAGACAAAGAAAAAAGAATTTTAAAAAATGAACAAAGCCTCCAGAAATTTGGGATTATGTTAAGCAACCAAACATAAGAATAATTGGCCCTCCTGAGGAAGAAGAGAAATCCAAAAGTTTGCAAAACATATTTGAAGGAATAATCAAGGAAAATGTCCTTGGTCTTGTTAGAGATCTAGACATCTAAATACAAGAAACTCAAAGAACACCTGGGAAATTCATTGCAAAAAGATCATAACACAGGCACACAGTCATCATGTTATCTAACGTCAAGATGAGGGAAAGAATCTTAAGAGCTGTGAGGCTAAAGCATCAGGTAACATATAAAGGAAAACCTATAAGATTAACAGCAGACATCTCAGCAGAAACCCTGCAAGCCAGAAGGAATTGGGATGCTATCTTTATCCTCCTTTAACAAAACAATTATCAGCCAAGAATTTTGTAGCTGGCAAAACTAAGTTTCATAAATGAAGAAGAGATAAAGTTTTTTTCAGACAACAAATGCTGAGAGTATTCACCACTACCAAGCCAGCACTACAAGAAATGCTAAAAGGAGTTGTAAATATTGAAACAAAACCTTGAAGTACACCAAAATAGAACCCCTTTAAAGCATAAATCTCACAGGGCCTATAAAACAATAACTCAATGAAAAAAATGGTAGTCAAGCAACAACTAGCATGATGAAGAGAACAGTACCTTACACCTCAATACTAATGTTGAATATAAATGGCCTAAATGCTCCACTTAAAAGATACAGAATGGCAGAATGGATAAAAATCCACCAACCAAATATCTGCTGTCTTCAAGAGACTCACCCAACACATAAGGACTCACATAAACTTAAGGTTAAAGCATAGAAAAAAATACTCCTTGCAAATGGAAACCAAAAGGGAGCAGGATTAGCTTTTCTTATATCAGACAAAACAGATTATAAAGCAACAACTGTTTAAAAAGACAAAGAGGGATTATTATATAAAAATAAAAGGATTAGTCCAACAGGAAAATATCACAATCCTTAATATATATGCACCTAAAACTGGAGCTTCTAAATTTATAAAACAATCACTACTAGACCTAAGAAATGAGATAGCTGGCAATACAATAGCAGTGGAAGACTTCAGTACTCCACTGGCAGCACTAAACAAGTCAAGACAGAAAGTTAACAAAGAAACAATGGACTTAAACTATACCCTAGAACAAATGCACTTAACAGATATTTACAGAACATTCTACCCAACTGCAGAATATACATTACTTTCATCAGCACAAGGAACAATCTCCAAGATAGACCATAAGATAGGCCACAAAACAAGTCTCAATAATTTAAGAAAACTGAAATCATATCAAGTACTCTCTCAGATCACAGTGCAATAAAATTGGAAATTAACTCTAAAAGGAACCCTCAAAACAAAACAAATACATGGAAATTAAATAATCTGCTTTTGAATGATCTTTGGGTCAACAATGAAATCAAGATGGAAATTAAAAAATTCTTTGAACTGAATGATAATAGTGATACAACCTATCAAAATGTCTGGGATACAGCAAAACGGTGCTAAGAGGAAAGTTCAGAGTATTAAATGCCTACATCAAAAAGTCTGAAAGAGCACAAACTGACAATCTAAGCTCACATCTCAAAGAATTAGAGAAACAAGAACAAACCAAGCCCAAACCCAGTAGAAGAAAATGAATAACAAAGATCAGAGCAGAACTAAATGAAACTGAAACAAAAAAACACACATACACAAAAGATAAAAGAAACAAAAAGCTGGTTCTTTGAAAAGACAAAATCAATACAACCTTTGTAGATTAAATCAGGAAGAAATAGAAACTCTAAACAGACCAAAACCAAGTAATGAGGTTGAAACAGTAATTTTAAAATTGCCAACAAAAAAAGGGTCCAGGACCAGATGGGTTCATAACTAAATTCTATCAGACATTCAAAGAAAAATTGGTACCAATCCTACTGAAACCATTCCAAAAGATAGAGAAAGAGAGGATCCTCCCTAAATCATTCTATGAAGCCAGTGTTACCCTAATGCCAAAACCAGGAAAGGACTTACCAAAAAATAAAAGAAAGAAAGAAAAAGAAAACTACAGATCAATATCCCTGATGAATATAGATGCAAAAATCTTCAACAAAATACTCGCTACTGAATCCAACAGCATATCAAAAAGATAATACACAATGATCAAGTGGGTTTCATATCAGGGATGCAGGGTTGGTTTAACATATGCAAGTCAATAAATTTGATATACCACATAAACAGAATTAAAAATAAAAATCATGTGATCATCTCAATAGATGCAGAAAAAGCATTTGACAAAATCCAGCATCCCCTTATGATTAAAACCCTCAGCAAAACTGGCACAGAAGGAACATATATTAAGGTAATAAAAGCCATCTATGACAAACCCACAGCTAACATTATACAGAATGGGGAAAAGTTGAAAGTATTCCCCCTAAGAACTGGCACAGGACAAGGATGTCCACTCTCACCACTTTTATTCAACATAGTACTGGGTCCTAGCCAGAGCAATCCGACAAGAGAAAGAAATAAAGGCCATCCAAATCAGTAAAGAGGAAGTCAAAGTGTTGCTGTTCACTGATGATATGATCATATATCTAGAAAACCCTAAAGACTCATCCAAAAAGCTCCTAGATCTGATTAATGAATTCAGTAAAGTTTCAGGATACAAAATCAATGTACACAAATAAGTAGCACTGCTATACACCAACAGCAACCAAGTTGAGAATCAAATCAAGAACTCAAGAGCTGTTTTACAACAGCTGCAAAAAATAAAATAAATTAAAATAAAATAAAATATTTAGGAATACAACTAACCAAGGAGGTGAAAGATCTCTACAAGGAAAACTACAAAACACTGCTGAAAGAAATCACAGACAACACAAACAAATGGAAATACATCCCATGCTCATGGATGGATAGAATCAATATTGTGAAAATGATCATACTGCCAAAAGCAATCTACAGATTGAATGCACTTCTCATCAAAATACCACAATCATTGTTCACAGAACTAGAAAAAAAATCCTAAAATTCATATGGAACAAAAAACAGCCCACATAGCTGAAGCAGGACTAAGCAAAAAGAACAAATCTGGAGGCATCACATTACCCAGCTTCAAACTATACTATTAATACAAGGCTATAATTCCCAAAACAGCATGGTACTGGTATAAAAAGAGGCACATGGACCAATGAAACAGAATAGAGAACCCAGAAATAAAGCCAAACACTTAACAGCCAACTGATCTTCAACAAAGCAAACAAAATTTCCACTGGGTATTTACCCAGAGGAAAATAATTCATTACATGAAAAAGATACTTGCATACGCATGTGTATAGCAGCACAATTTGCAATTGCAAAAATATGGAACCTGCCTAAATGCCCATCGATCAACGAGCAGGTAAAGAAAATGTGATATATATATCATAGAATACTACACAGCCATAAAAAGGAACAAAACAATGGCATTCACAGCAACCTGGATGGAGTTGGAGACTATTATCCTAAGTGAAGTAACTCAGGAAGAAAAGCCAAACATTATATGTTCTCACTTATAAGTGGAAGCTAAACTATGAGGACACAAAGGCATAAGAATGATATTATGACTCTGGAAACTCAGGGGGAAGGGCAGGAGTGGGGGTGAGGGATAAAAGACTACACACTGAGTACAGTGTACACCGCTCGAGTGATAGTTGCACCAAAATCTCAGAAATCACCACTAAAAAATTGATCCACGTAGGGCCGGGCGCAATGGCTCATGCCTGTAATCCCAGCACTTTGGGAGGCCAAGGCGGGTGGATCACAAGGCCAGGAGATCGAGACCATCCTGGCTAACACGGTGAAACCCCATCTCTAAAAATACAAAAAATTAGCCGGGTGTGGTGGCACGCACCTGTAGTCCCACCTACTCGGGAGGCTGA
Organism: Homo sapiens; assembly: GCF_000001405.40. NCBI lineage: Eukaryota > Metazoa > Chordata > Mammalia > Primates > Hominidae > Homo > Homo sapiens. The sequence goes on along the minus strand of NC_000007.14, from coordinate 141,021,250 downwards.
GGCAGGAGAATCACTTGGACTGGGGAGGCGGAGGTTGCAGTGAGCTAAGATTGCACCACTGCACTCCAGCCTGGGTGACAGAGTGAGACTGTGTCTCAAAAAAAAAAAAACATTCATGTAACCAAACACCACCTGTTCCCCACAAAACTACTGAACTGCAAAAAAAGGTCTCCCTGTGTTGCCTAGACTCTCGAACTTCTGAGCTCAAGAGATCCTTCCGCCTCAGCCTTTCAAAGTGCTAGGATTACAGGCATGAGCCACTGCACTTGGCCAGTTTACATCATTGCTTTTTCTCCTTGAAGTTATATTCTACTCCTCTCACAAAATGTTACTTTATCTTAATATGTTTTTATGCTTGAAAGCTTTTACTGACCATGTGTCATATTTTCCTGCAACAAAATATTTGTCAATTGAATTTTAACTTTTTTAACTTCTATGACTAAAAGTATGTGTTGAAAATATTTTTCCCTTTGGGTTATCATTACAACTTTTTGTACACAAATGATCAAAATGACTTAAATATATCATGAATTTTGATGAACACTTATAAACAAAAAACTTCTTAACATATCCCTTGATAGATGAAGTTTTCCCCATGTAGTTAATATAGTCAAATATGAATTTTTAATTGCTTGGAGGGGACAGCATCAATCCTATTACTATCTTCACTTAAATGGATGTAAGCATTGAGAAAATGTGTTCACATAAGTGGATGGAAATGGGAAAACCTGTGTTATAGCAGTATCACACAATTTTTTTAAACCATGGTAAAAAAAACACAGAACATAAAATTTACCATCTTAACCATCTTTAAGTGTATAGTACAGTAGTGTTGACTATATGCACATTGTTGAACAATAGGTCTCTAGAAAATTTTAATCTTGCAAAACTGCAACTGTGTATCCATGGAACAACTCCCCTTCCTCCCTCCCTCCACCCCCTGGCAACCACCATTCTACTTTCCATTTCTAAGAATTTGACCACTTTACATGCCTCATATAAGTGGAACCATGCAATATTTGTCTTTTAGTGACTGGCTTATTTCACTTAGCATAATGTCCTCAAGGTTCATCCATGTTTTAGCGTATGACAATATCACCCAATTATTTGAACTCTCTCTGAGTTATATGACAAAGGTACATAGAAATCTATCACAAAAATTATTTAATTATCTGTCAGCTAAAAACTTACCTAGTCCCTTCTTCTTTTTCTGAAAACAAAGAATTACTTTCAACCTGACTTTTAAGAGCATGTATTATACAGTCATTCGCTTTCACAATGTTTGGGAAACATACCAAAAAGGCAACACCAAGATTTGCAAAATCTATATTTGTTCTGTTTTCATTTAGAATCACCTTGTTTTATCCAGGAACAGTGGCTTACACCTGTAATCCCAACACTTTGGGAGGCCAAGCGGAGAAGGATCACCTGAGTCCAGGAGTTCGAGTCAAGTCTAGGCAACATAGCAAGACCCAGTCTCTACAAAAACTTTAAACAGTAGTCAGGCATGGTGGCTCATACCTGTAGTCTCACCTATTCCAGAGGCTGAGGTGGGAGGATCTTTGAGCCCATCAAGGGGTTAGTAAAATGGATATATTGTTAATTTTGATACAAAATATCTTTTATAAAATGATTTATATCATCATGCACTTTATACATTTTTGCCAAACCTTGGAGCTGTAGATATGGCTTATTCAATTTATAGAAAACACCCATCAGCCACATAATCTAATTAGTAAAGTTAATCCTCATTGTCAAACCAATCATCTAGGTCAGATTTACTTTCCAACCTCATTTTTAACTAAATGTATTAGAATATGTATTCTTAGTTTTTTTAAACTAGGAAATTATCAAATACATCTCATAATCTCAATTATTAAAAGCAGCCAAGATTAAAATGATATCAAAACTATTAGAATTGGTTTATCCATTTTTATAATAAGCCATAAAACCAAGAATAAATCTATATGGTTTTTCTCATTACTTATTTCCTAATAATAAAACATAATGTGTGAGATGAATGTTATTTATGAATTAGAGTATAACAGACAATATTCCTTCAGTATGTCTGTGTGTATATTGAACTTTGGTTTTCAGCTTTTAGGAATAACTGAAGAAGAATAATATATAAATATTCTAGAATAGCTCTAAACAATTTTTTGGAAATCATAATCAAAATGTTTCCTATATATTTAATGAAGAATAAAAGAATATGCTATTTAAAAAGTAATCAGCCTAGAAGCTAAAGCATAATTTTATTTTTGTTAATAAGAGGCAGAAAGAAAGTCAGGATTGAAGTATTTCTCTATTTCATAATAGAATTTGATAAAAATAAGTGTATCAGACAAGATAGGCTAGGTCATGCTCCAATAACAAACAACAAATTTGTATGACTTAAAACAGAGGCATGTGAATTAAAACAACAACGGCTCATTTCTAACAAAAGCTATATTTCCAATATGGCTGGTGGAATAGGATCAGCCCTTCATAACAACTCAGGAGCACAGGCTGACAGTGCAACAACTCTCTGTCTCAGAAGGGAAGGAGAGCTCTGGAGTTTCATCAGGGTAAATAACCACCTTAATCGGAAGGTGACGCTTCACATCTGCTCATAACTCATTGGCCAGAAAAAGTCCTAACCATGATCCTAACCAATCTCAGAATTCCCATGAAATACAATCTAGCCAAAGTGGAAGGAAATGGAAAAGATTTGGTGAACTGTATCAGTGATTATCACAATACATTTTCACATTCATTGAACAACACACACCAAATCTAAAATAAAATTATGTATGACTTTTGCACAGTTTATTCCAGTGCAATGTGAAAAATATGAAGGTACCTGAAAATGATCTGTATGATATTTATAATGATCAGTGTCACGGCCAGGGGCGATGGCTCCCATCTGTAATCCCAGCACTTTGGAAGATGGAGGCAGGTGGATCACCTAAGGTCAGGAGTTTAAGACCAGCCTGGCCAACATGGCAAAATTCTGTCTCTACTAAAAATACAAAAATTAGCTGGGCGTGGTGGCAGGTGTCTGTAATCCCAGCTATTCAGGAGGCTGAGGCACAAGAATTGCTTGGACCCAGGAGACGAAGGTTGCAGTGAGCCGAGATCATGCCACTGCACTCCAGCCTGGGCAACAGAGTGAGACTCTCTCCAAAAAAAAAAAAAAAAAAAAAATCTGTCACAAAGCTCTACTACTTCAGCTGTTCAGAGTTGCTTTTCTTTCCAGATAATGCTATATCCTATGGAGAAGTACTGAGAATAGCTGAAAAGAATTGCTTAGGTTTAAATATACGGGAAAAAAAATTGGCTTCGATACTTTCTTCAGTGCTGCTTTGCTCTGCTCTTACCAGATTCTCCTTCAAAAACACTGCACTTTTCAACAGAGGATGGAAGACATCTGATGGTTAAAGGAAAATTACTGTCACTCTTACCACTAACATTCACACAGTATATCTGATTTCAGAAAATCACAACAAACCAATTACCATATTTCTGACAGCCGTACTTCACCCTTAAGTGGAATATATGTAAGATAGGAAAAGACATGAAGCCTAAGAAGGGTTGATGGTGCCTTGATTGATCATTAGAGGAAGCTTCCTCCAAAACATTTTGAATCTTCCTTTCATCTGTCATCCTGGAAGGTATATCCCTCACACCTTCAGTGATGGATATACCTTTCTTTTGTAAGGTCCAAGAACTACTGTAAATGCAGATGTAAAAAAGAACCTACATGATGCTAAGAAAGAATACTTATGAAAATACGGTATCTGTAAATTGATTTACTTAAAGCAATAAATATTCCCCTGCCCCTTGGACTATGCCACACCATAAGAACTTTAAGTTGATGTAGCTTTAATTCTTGCCCTGCCTAATGACAAAGAACATTTGCCAAAGAGTATGATGAATAATGAAATCACTTAAAGTGGAGGCTTTCCATTTTACCACAACCTACAGCAAGAAATATATTTATATTATGATCCAATGCACATATACATATTGTTTCATGAAACAATAATTACCCCTACTACATGTGATGCATTTAGATATTTTTTATCCTAATGTCTTTCTTTTAATGCTGGTCTCTATTCACTAAATTGATTTCACAGCCAACTAATGATTCACAGCACACAATTGGAAAACACAGGACTACAGAAAATAGAAATATATAAGGAAATATCTGATTTATAGAGCAATCTCTGATTATAAAAAGTGCTCTTAAAACTGCATTATCTTGGCGGTGTAAATGGGTAAGCCAAGGTCTGGTGAAGTCAATATCCATAGGAGGTTCAATTTTATTCTATTCATTTCATTTTTCCATCCCTAATATTCCAACTTTCCTATTGATAAGTAACAGTCTCTGATTGGCCAATTTCAATGGCTTACTCCTTCTAATCCTGTGGTAGGCTAAAACTGTTCCCCAAAGATAACAGAGTCTAATCCCTGGGACCTGCAAATGTTACCAGATACGGGGAAAAGGCCTTTGAAGATGTGACTAAATTAAGGATCTTCAGATTGAGAGAGTATTTTGGATTAGCTCCATGGGCCTTAAATGCAATTACACATTCCTAAAAGGGAGGCAATGGGAAGTCTGACACACATAGTGAAGGCAATGTGAAAAGGGAGCAGAGATGTGAAGATGTTGGCCTTGAAGTCTAAAGTGATGTGGCCACAAGCCAATGAATGCCAGCAGCCACCAGAAGCTGGAAGAGTCAAAGAACTGATTCTCCCCTAGAGTCTCTGGAGGGAACACAGCCCTGTCAACATCTTGATTTTGGCCCAGTGATGCTGATTTTGAATTTATGGCCTCTAGAACTGTAAGATAATAAATTTCAGTTGCTCTACAACACCAAGTTTGTGGTATTTTATTATAGCAGCCTCAGGAAACTAATATGAACCCCCATGAAATTGACTTAATAAAAGTGATAGTGCAAAGTACCTAAACAGTCACCTGAAACTCTATATACCTAGCTATGTTTCAAGAAAGATTTATGGTAGCTTATAGTAATTCACAAAACATTGATAACACCAATAATTCATACGTGAAAAGGAAAAAACAGGAAGGATATACAAAACGAAGCCAACAAGGTTTATGCAAAAAATATATATATGTGTGTGTATATATATATATACACACACATATATATAGCTCTTGCCTCGAGCCAATTAAAATTTGGCTTTAAACCAGCAGCTTACACGTAAAGGAAGTCTTCTTGTTTATATGATTCAGTGGCCATTACATAAAAACAAGCCAACTCCACAGAAACAAGTACAAAAGACAAGACGAAATTTCTCCCAGGAGTTTCGCTCCTTAGGACTTCTTTTCTGGACTGTAGCCATGTATAGGATACTCATTACCCCTTTGTAAACTTAAATGTAGTCACTAGACCCAACTTTATAAGGCTGTTTACTATATCATATAAGGCTGATAACATGTCAAAACTTAACTTGATAAAAGCAAATCCTATAGCATAGATTGATTAGACGTCAAATTCTAACTTAAAAGTAAATTCTGTAGGAGGAAAGAGGGTGTAAATACAATACCCACTAGGTAGGCAACTCACTACCGATATTAATTCCAGGGTACATTTTGAAATATTTATAAAATGCCTTGAACGATACTCAGAAAACGAGTACAGTTTCCTCACCCAAACTATCAAACATTGAGTAAGTGCTGCATACAATGCCTATGGGATGTGGCTTGCTTGAAAACAGATTTAGTATGGGGTGAAATACTCACAATGCTTTCTACTATCTGCCCAGCGAGGTCTAAGATAACTACTGAGGAGACAAACGTTCCATCCCCTACTCCCTGAAGAAGCTCCTGGGTCAATGGGGGAAAGCGCTCCTAACCCAGTAGCAAGGAAGGCTTGCAGCTAGGGATCCTAATTAACTATTAGAAGATGAGCAGATAGATGGAAGGGGAGGGGGATGGCGCCGCAAGTCGGTCAGAAAGACCACACGGCACACGCATCGCCATTGCTTCAGAGCTTTTGGAGGCAGGTCTGTAGCCATTCCCACCAAAACATACTACCGAACCGTGCATGCCCTTCCAGGAGAGCCAGACCTTTCTAACTCTCCCCAGCCCACCACCTCCCCGGGTCCTCCGCACAGGCGGCGGCGCTAGCCTTACTGCGCAGGCGCCAGGTACACCTCGGAGGCCTCAGGAGGGGGAGCCAGTAACTCCGGGTCGTTCACTAGGGCTCCGCTCTAGCTGCCAAGCTTCCGTTTCTCTACTGCTCCCCGTAATAGTTGCCTGCGCGAGCTTGGAGCCGGGTAGAGGGCGGGCCTTCCGGGACGAGGGCGCGTGGGTGAGGAAGGTCAGGTCTAGGTAAGGCTGTCGGTGACTTTGGGGGTCTGCAGCAAGGGGCGATGGCTGCGAAGTCTACGGGGGTCTCCAACCTTGTAGAGTCGCCAGGAATAGGGCGAATCCACTTCATTAGTGACCAGCTCGGGCGGTTCACGTGCATCACACAAATAACTTGGCCTTTTTCTGCCTCAGTTGGGGGATTTCTTAAACGTAGAATACCCGCGTTTCCGCTGCCGTAATTTCCTCTCAGGCGCAATTACTCTCTTCCATATTGGTTAACAGTAGAAGGCTCAGTTTCTCTGCTCATCACACGGCCTTCGGCACTGTAGCTTTGGGTGGTGGGCTGCAGATTAATTTTGTAACCACCTTAAGAAAAATACGGTAAGGTGATATTTAAGAAAAATATTTGCGAAATGCGCTCCCGAGTCAAACATCGGTTGACTTGACAATACTACAGTTTCCATCACAGTCAGGCATGATCGAGTCAGGTGGAGGGAGTTGAAGATTGTTCTTGATGAACTGAATGCAGCTAATACATTTTCAGTGCCGTTGATGCCTCTATGACTCCGTAAAATAATCGGTACCGGGTTTTTTTGTTTTTAAGCATTCTGTTGAGATTGTTTTTATGTTTAGATTGTTTCTATGACAACGTGTGTACACTGTATGTGAATTCCTTGGATCCTGATGGTTATTAGGGTGGGCACTGTGCCGTGAATTTTGCATATTAGCTTCACATCGCAGATAGTATGACTGTCCTCGTGTAGTCGATGAGAGAACCTGGCAGAGAATAAGCACCATTACAAAAACGACGTGGCCATTAAAAGGCAGAGGCGAGATTCCAACCAGCTTTTTTATTCTGCAGCTGGTGCGTTCTGCTAACCAATGGTTTTTGGGAAACTGGAGAAAGCTCTCTCCCAGAACAATTTACACACACACATACATACACATATCGGCATACAGATGTACACTTCCACTGTTTTCAAAACGCTGAAGCACATCCCGGTTAAGAACTCTTGCACTTCATCTTTACCTTTCAAAGAGAAAAGGCAAACCTAATACAAAGCCACTTATTGAAATAATCTTTTAAATGCATCAGACCTATCAAAAAGATCAAAGAAGTTTGCCCTGTTATGCCAAAGTAAAAATATGGGAATTTTCTTCTCATGTGGGCTTAATTTGTTTTGCTCAGCACATTTGAGTAATTTGTTTTTGCTTAGCATTTTCAGCTCCAGTTAACTTTTTTCATGAGAGTACAGTTTTCTTTAGTTCACATTTAAAGAAAGGTAACACTTAAAGTGACTTGTACTCCCCGAGAATGGTTTCATGTGAATCAAAATGTAATTGACATGCACGTTGTAAGAAAAGCTCCCGTGTTATTCTTCGTGAGAGACATGTGTCTGTGCACTGTGGAAGGAAACAACAAAGCAGTGTCATTGGTAATTGTTAAAACCACTTTCAGTTTCCTCCTGTTTAGCAAGTGGGCCTTTGTTTCTAGTAAGGGATTCAGGTTTGAAAAGGCTTATTCCCTTTCTCTGTCATAAAACTTTAGGACTTGGATTTTATGATATAACCATGTTCCAGCCTATTCTAGTGTGACCTTTTTACTTACAAGTTATGTATCCCAGTAATTTGCCACATTCCAAAATGGGCATGGACATAACAGCAGCATCCTGTGATGGCTTCAGTGACTACTGTCCTACTGAGTCCCTTCCTCCTCCTGGCTATCTTGTCAAGTTATCAAGGTGCTGGTCCTCTCCCTATGTTTCTCTGGCTGTCAGTCTTTGTAAATGAGGTCATCATTCCAGGGAGGCACAAAGTTTTTACTATATGGAGTATCTATCTGTCTGTCTCTCTCTCTTTTTTTTTTTTTCTTAAACATGATTAAGAACAAGGAATAAACAAATGTGTCTATGTAGAATATATGAAAACCAAACTTACAGATCTGGGCTCGTTCTTTTTTGTAAGTTACCATTTACTACTCAGTGCCACTGTTACTCATTTTCGCACTAGTCATGCAAGCTTTGTTTTCAGAAAAGGAGACTCAGAGAAGATGAGTAACTGTTCACAATAACCCAAGGATTAAGTGACAGAGCCAGTAGTCAAACCTAGGCCTCAGGAATCCCTGTTGCCTCTTCATTGACAAATAAAGGGACTTGGAATTCAGAACAGATTTTCCTGAAAACACTGTAACAAACTGATAGTTCCCATACCAGCTTACAGATAACTAACTGTGGAAATACTGTGCAATTACAGCAGAAATATATTCTGATGCCACAATGGTAATTAAGCAAACAAAGCAAAGTTGATGAAGCAACTATTGTTTTTTAATCTAATGTTTGGAAAAAGGTAACTTTAAAGGGCAAAGGAAGAGAAAAAGCATGCAAAGAAACTAGGTGACTCTGGACATTTGCAAGGCTTTTTAGAGGTTTATGGCACTGATTTGTTTATACATTAAACTGCTAAATGAATTTTTTTCACCTTGAGACTATAACCCTAGTCCTAACAACCCCACCCCCAACCAGAGTTGGCAAAGAAGTGAATCAGGAAACTGAGAATGCTGAATGGAAAAGGAAGAACAGGCTTGTAGGTGATCTGCAGATGGTGGGGAGGGAGGGGTGGACGTTGGATCTGACAGTTCTACCGTTGCCAGCCTTCAGGTGGCACTATTGACCCAAAATTGCTTGGTTGGTGTTCTGAATGGTTTTGAGGTTGACAGTGGTTTGAGATCAGCCTCTGCTTTTTTTTTTTTTTTTTTTTTGACACACAATCTTGCTCTGTCACTCAGGCTATAGAGTACAGTAGTGCAGTCATAACTTAGTGTAACCTCAAACTCCTGTGCTCAAGTGATGTCCCCCTCCTCAGCCTCCACGAGTAGCTGGAACTACAGGTGTGCACTACCATAGCAGACTAATTTTCTTATTTTCTTTTGTTTTTTGTTTTTTTTTCTGTAAAAACAAGATTTCTCCATGTTGCCTGGGCTGGTCTTGAAGTCCTGACCTCAAGCGATCCTCCCACCTCAGCCTCTCAAAGTACTGGGATTATAGGCATGAGCTACCATGCCCAGCCTCCTCTGTTAATGGATCTTGAAACAGGCATTAAAACTTCCTTAATTTAAACACGGTTTGTTTTCTTACAAGAACTATTTTGAAATTCACTTGGCACCATTTTTATGTAGGAGGGTTTTTGGTACATTTCTCCCATTGGTTTTTCAAAGTTTATGCCTTTTTCCTGCTTGAATATCAGCACCTTTTCATCTCAGCTGAACTGTTTCCCAGGATAGTCTCTGAGTCAGCAAAGATTCTCATCTCACTACTAAAATTTCTCATAAATTGGCATATTCTGCCAACAATAACCCCTACGTCTGGTCTAAACTGAGTTGAGATAGTTATTCCACCAGCAGCTTTCTTGATTTTTATGTATCCCCTGTATAGTTTTTTATGTCTGTTAGCTGTAATTCGTGCATATCACGGATATCATTCTTATACCCATTTCAGTGTTGTATGTCTCTGAAGAAAAAGCTACTGTTTCCAGCTGATAAGAACTTAGGTAGTTTGCATTAAAGCAGAATATATAAGATGGAGGATACAGCAAGTAACCTTACAATTCATACGTGCCTTCTATTTAGTAAGAAAATGGATCTTTTGAGCTATTGGATTTATTTTTATAGGGCTACTGTCTGTTTTTCCCAAATGGCTCTCAGTCTCTAGGCAAAATTCAGTTCAGTAACCTAGAAGCCAAATGACCTCATAACTCATTAGCAGCTCTCAGAGCCTTCTGGAGCCCTTGAGGAGAACAGTGTTCAAAGGACTGATAGTAAAGACAACATAATTATGTCTCTGCCATGATTACACCTTTTGATGGCAAGCAGTCAGCATATTAATGCTGCAGATTGCTTAGGTGGGTGTTTTCTGAAGGTATAATGATGCTGGATTAGGATAACTTGTTTCCCTGTCTTCTTCATCCCCAGCCTACAAATAGGTAAACTGACTGTCAGTAAATAACCTGGTGAATCACAAAATAGTTGGTTGCAAAGGAGGCAATACAGCAAGGAAGTAATAGCATGTAAACACGAAGTGCAAAAATCGCAGCTGTAAAGCATGGAAAGGAAATAGCCATTTGGACTGTGGATACTTCTCCACTCCAAGGCATATCCTGCCAACACTGCACTGATCCATGAGTGGCTTGCTGTGTTTGCATTTTCTAACTTATTCATTAGCTAATCTTGGAATTTCTTACCCTAACCTGTTTAACTTTCTTCTCATTTTCAATAGGAACTCTAACTCCTTGCCACTCAAGAAATGTCCTCCCTTTCAGAATATGCCTTCCGCATGTCTCGTCTCAGTGCCCGGCTATTTGGTGAAGTCACCAGGCCTACTAATTCCAAGTCTATGAAAGTGGTGAAACTGTTTAGTGAACTGCCCTTGGCCAAGAAGAAGGAGACTTATGATTGGTATCCAAATCACCACACTTACGCTGAACTCATGCAGACGCTCCGATTTCTTGGACTCTACAGGTGATGACAAACACAAAGAGGGACCTATGAGAGACTTTTTTTCAGTAGATCAGAAAAGGAAAAAAATTAGCCTTTCTATCCTTGTAGTTTTGTTCTTATAATAGAGCCCAGGTAGTTCAAAAGGTACAGTTGGCAGGAGAAAGTCTTCTTTCAAAATACCCATAATGGAGAGACCAAAAAAAAAAAGGAAATTCATGCTTGTTGGAAGATATATTTTAATTATGTCTACAACATGACTAATGTTGAATAGATACTGAGCTGTAGAGAGGTGTTTAATCATTTGTTAATCTAAGAGCACTCTAAAAAGGATGCCAAGAGGCCAGGCGCAGTGGCTCACGCTTGTAATCCCAGCACTTTGGGAGGCCGAGGCAGGCAGATCACGAGGTCAAGAAATCAAGACCATCCTGGCCAACTTGGTGAAACTCTGTCTCTACTAAAAATACAAAAATTAGCTGGGCATGGTGGTGCACGCCTGTAGTCCCAGCTACTCGGGAGGCTAAGGCAGGAGAATTGCTTGAATCTGGGAGGCGGAGGTTGCAGTGAGCCGAGATCGCGCCACTGCACTCCAGCCTGGCAACAGAGTGAGACTCCATCTCGAGAAAAAAAAAAAAAAAACAATGCAGAGAAAAACTGGTCCAAGTACTGAGGAAGAAAGCCTCAGAAACACCAAGGTTGCCAGGGCAGTGGGCTCTTGTTATCAGATGAACAGAGTCCCTGACCGACACCTGATCTGCTGCTTAACTGGTATGTGGGAGCCTTCTTTCTCTTCTGGTGGCATTTTTGTTGACATTTCTTCCTACTGTCTTCTGGCATTTTTATTTTGTACCCTTTTTGACATATTAATTTGGTCTAGATAAGCTGTAGTTTGCCTTTAAGGATAATACGTAAATCACACAGGTTCTTAACACCATGTGTTTGTATGTGTGTGTATGTCTAGGGAGTAGGTGCTTAGAACTGTGTGCATCTCTGAAAAAAAAAAAAAGATCAGGCCAGGCACAATGGCTCAGGCCTATAATCCCAGTGCTTTGGGAGGCCGAGGCAGACAGATCATCTGAGGTCAGGAGTTTGAGACCAGCCTGGCCAACATGGTGAAACCCCGTCTCTACTAAAAATACAAAAATTAGCTGGGCGTGGTGGCACACGCCTGTAATTCCAGCTACTTGGGAGGCTGAGGCAAGAGAATTGCTTGAACCCAGGAGATGGAGGTTGCAGTGAGTCAAGATCATGCCACTGTACTCCAGCCTGGGTGACAAAGCAAGACTCTATCTCAAAAAAAAAAAAAAATCAAATACCTGTGTGATCTTTCTCATTAAATTATTTTTTTGGCCAGGTATGATAGCTCACAGCTGTAATCCCAGCGCTTTGAGAGGCCAAGGCGGGCAGACCACTTGAGGTCAGGAATTCAAGACCAGCCTGGCCAACATGGTGAAACCCCGTCTCTACTAAAAATACAAAAATTAGCTGGGTGTGGTAGCACATGCCTGTAATCCCAGCTACTTGGGAGGCTGAGGCAGGAGAATCGCTTGAACTCAGGAGGAAGAGGTTACAGTGAGCCGAGATCGTGCCACTGCACTCCAGCAACAGAGCGAGATTCGGTCTCAAAAAAAAAAAAAAAAATTATTTTTTTAATTACCAAACTAATACATGCCCATTACAAAAGAATTCAAATAGTACATAATTGTATAAAGTTAAAATACCTACCATCTTTTTAAAAATTTAACAAGTTGTAATTGGAGTTGTCTTTGGGCAACAATACTAAAATTATTGGGAACCATTTATTCTAATACAATAGAATTAATAGTACAGCACAACATTCATTGCAGATCACTAAAGATTGGTACATTCACTATCCAGTGGATATTTCTTACGTACCTTCCACGTGCAGGCACTTAAGATGGCACTAGGGGAACAGCAGTGAACATAATAGATGTGCTTGGTTAACATTAGAGGTTACAATCTATGACATGTTTTGAATGTTTGGAATTGCTTTGGGACTACCTCTCTTGCCATTAGTCTGGGCTCAGAAAATAAAAACTAATTTTATTATAACCCAAAATAAAATATTGGGAGGCAGATATCCTGAGGAGAAGATTATAACCCATGAAAAAATCACATTCAGTTATTTTAATTGATCTTTTTGCTGCTGCTGTCTGTTTGTTTGAAAAATAAAGACTTAACTATCTTTGGGGACAGGGAAAAATAGTTATCCATAGAAAAACAAGATTATTTTCACGTAGTCACTAGGTATGGTAAATGATACCTCTAATGCTAGGCCTCCTGTGGCATCAGGCAGGATGAAACTAGACAGTCTCCAATAAAGAAAATATTATTCAGAGATCTGCAAAAGAGGGAGGGAAGCACCAGTTCTCAGAAACAATTGATTCATTCAGTTAACCAGGTACCTAGCTTGTATCATCAACAGAGACAGAGTCGCCAGAAAGCTTTCTTTCTGTCCAACGGTTGATGAGAATGAAGGAGGGACAGAAGAGGGGGAAAAAAAATAAGTAAATTATAGGATCTGTTACAAAGTTGAACATGCTGTGGAAAAAAATAGTAGAGCCGGCTGAGCAGGATCCAGAGTGCTGACGGGGCCTGCAGTAGGTGGGGAGAGGCTAGATTACAGGATGAAACAGGACAGTCAGGGTCAGCCTCGTTGAGGAGTTGAGGTTTAAGCAGAGGCTTGAAGGTGGTGAGTGAGCCAAGTAGGACTTGGGGAAGAGTTTGCAAGGCAGAGGGGCAAGAGCACAGCAAAGGCCTTGAGGTGGGAGTGTTCCTTTCCAGGAGGCGTGCAGGTACCGGGAGGGTGTGGGACTGGAGACGGATTGCAAGGGGCTGTGAAGCCATAGTAAGGACAATGGCATTTGCTCTGGTTGAAATGGGGAACTATTTGCAGGGCTATGAACAGGAGTAGCATGATCTGACATATATTTTAGAAGAATTATACCAGCTGCACTGTTGAGAATTATTTGGGGACACTCACCACTAATCCCAAAGAGTTGTATACTGTCCATGATGTTCATGGATAGCCTAGAGAGTTAAAACTTAAGCTCAGCACACCCCTCTCTTACATTTGATTCATACACTGTTATTATCCATACTTTACAGGTTAGGAAACTAAGGTGCAGGGAGGTAAGGCCACTTATCCAAGGTGACAGATCTAGTAAATGGTGGAGCCGTGATTTGAACCCAGGTTCACATGGAATCCAGAGCTTACATGTTTAAACACCATACCAATCTTTAGGTATCTGGGCTTAAGATGTGGACTTTTTTTTATAATATAAGCAATCATCAACTTCTGTGCCATCCACATACTTACGTAGTCCTGGCTGCTTTGATTCCTTTAGTATCTGTCTTTTGATTTGGCTTCCTTCTGCCTGAGCCTTTCCCCAGCAGCCTTTTTGTGTGAGTTACCTGCTGCCACTAAGGTTTCACCATGTTGGCCAGGCTGAGCTTCCTCCAGACCTCACCCCATTCTGAGTAGATGCTAGTTCCTAGGGCAGTCAGGGTCTCTGTGTAGCTATTGAAGCAGATTCCCACTTTGTCTCCTCTCTGTTTAGTCTTAGTGTTGCAGGGAAATTTGGGGTAATCATTAGTATTGTGTCATTGTTATGTAGGTTTATGTAGGCTGGCCTGGGAATTTCCCTGCAGCTTGTGGCAGTGTTTCTGTGAGGGGAAACGGACTTACAAGTGAACTTTTGGAATACACCGCATCTCTGTGTTAGGGACTCCCTATACTTTTTGTTCACCAAGCTGAGCATGTGGCTAACTTGTAAAAGTCAAAGATCGATAACCAGAATGACCTAAGAGAGCAGTGCGTGCTAGATTAGTGTACTTTTCTACTCGTAAAAATAACTGGTTAATTATTTTTTCCTTCTTCATTCAGAGATGAGCATCAGGATTTTATGGATGAGCAAAAACGACTAAAGAAGCTTCGTGGAAAGGAGAAACCAAAGAAAGGAGAAGGGAAAAGAGCAGCAAAAAGGAAATAGTGTTGGTCCCTCAAGAGGGAGACTTTCTTCCTCAGTGGCGGAGAGAAGAAAGTGCATTTATTGTCTTTCCACCTATTGGAGGAATGTCATCTTCCTAAATGAAGTTTATTTGGAGGAACACAGTCATCTCCTTGGTGAAATCTAATCCGGTTACATTGTGGCTGGTTTCTTGAACACATTCTAACTGTGCAAAATTATCTTGGCCTTGGCCGTGTAATGTGAGGTTTACCTGATTCTCTAATGAAATAAATACCTAAGTTATTGTTTGATGATTTGTTTGGGGTGGGATGGGATGCTGGGGGAATGGAGGGGAAACCTCATTAAGTGAGCATCCTATAGTGTCCTCATTTCTCCCTTCTTGCTTACTGACTCACCCAGCCCTAAACTTCTTTCATCTTGGGCCTTTCAGCCACTGTCTCCACCACCAAGCTCACAAACTTTGTGTGTGTCTTCACCTACTCCTTTGAGAAATCTATTAAGATGAATTTGTAGAGTAAGTATCTTTTAAAAGGAAGTATTGAATACCTGCTCTGTACAAGATATTGGGGCCCTGGTAATACACGTGGTTAGCAAGAGAAATACTCCCTACCTCATGTAAGTTTCAGTCTTGTGGGAGGGACTAATATTACATAATTACATACAATTGTATTACATGCTACAAAGGAAAAAGCCAGACTTCTATAAGAGCATGGATGGATGGATGAATGCAGAGAGAGATAGCCAGAAGCCCAAATCACATTAGGGAGTTTAAAGAAAGCTTCCCTAAAGAAATGATATTTAAGCCAGGCGCTGTTGCTCACACCTGTAATCCCACCACTTTGGGAGGCCGAGGTGGGTGGATCACAAGGTCAAGAGATCGAGACCATTTTGGCCAACATGGTGAAACCCCACCTACTAAAAATGCAAAAATTAGCTGGGCGTCGTGGCATGCACCTGTAGTCTCAGCTACTCGGGATGCTGAGGCAGGAGAATCGCTTGAACCCGGGAGGCAAAGGTTGCAGTGAGTTGAGATCACGCCACTGCACTCCAGCCTGGCAACAGAGCAAGACTACATCTCAAAAAAAAAATGATATTTAAGCTGAACCTTGAAGAATAAATAAGAGGTTGCCAAAAGGAAAATGGTGAGAAAGGGGTTTGAGGCAGAGAGTACTATTTGCAAAGCCCTAAGGTATGAAGAAATTGTCTGTTCAAGAAACACTGAGTTTGTTCATGGTTGGCTGTAAGAAAACAGAGGCCAGATCATGAAGGGCTTTGGAAATTCTGTGGAAAAGCTTGAACATAACTAGAAGTTCTATGAGGGATGACTGTTGTATAGATTTGAGTAGCTCGCTGCTGGTTTTATTGTATTCCAGCAATGAGTTTCCAAAGAAATTGTGAAGGCTTGGCCGGGCACAGTGGCTCACGCCTGTAATCCCAGCACTTTGGGAGGTCGAGGCGGGTGGATCACGAGGTCAGGGGATCGAGACCATCCTGGCTAACATGGTGAAACCCCGTCTCTACTAAAAAATGCAAAAAAGTTAGCCGGGCGTGGTGGTGGGTGCCTGTAGTCCCAGCTACTTGGGAGGCTGAGGCAGGAGAATGGCAGGGAGGCGGAGCTTGCAGTAAGCTGAGATGGTGCCACTGCACTCCAGCCTGGGCAACAAAGCGAGACTCTGTCTCAAAAAAAAAATTGTGAAGGCTTCTCTGATTTTTTTTTCCAACAGTTGTTCTGAATCTTTAGCATGTCCAGTAATTTTTTAATAACTTTTTATTATTGTAGTAAAAACATAAAATTAATGATCTTAACCATATTTAAGTGTACAATAGTGTCAATATTCAAACATATTATTCAAAAAATAATCAAAATATAAAAGCATTTTAGTGCGATAGTATTTATTGGAGTATGTATAGCAGCTACTCCAGCCACAGTTTTCTTTCTCTGTAACACTCAATGATTCCTGAAGTAGAAAGATTCCCAGTACATATGTTTAAATGAATGCTATTTTTAAAGATACCTAATCCAGATGGTATGGCTAGGGCCTATTTTATAGCCTGTTTAAAAAAATAAAATAAAATAAAATTGGGTGGTTTGTATGTGGTAGAAGTGAATTCCAGCAAAAGGAGAATTCATTCATTTAGACCTTTTTTTTTGTTTGAGACGGAGTCTCACTCTCACCAGCTGGAGTGCAGTGGCGCAATCTCAGCTCACTGCAAGCTCCACCTCCCGGGTTCACGCCATTCTCCTGCCTCAGCCTCCCAAGTAGCTGGGACTACAGGCGCCCACCACCACGCCCGGCTAATATTTTGTATTTTTAGTAGAGAAGGTGTCTCACTGTGTTAGCCAGGATGGTCTCAACCTCTTGACCTCCTGATCCACCCACCTCAGACTCCCAAAGTGCTGGAATTACAGGCATGAGCCACCACACCCAGCCCATTTAGAACTTTTTACTGAGCACCTGCCATGTGCTCGACACGTGATAGTTGTAGAGGATACAGAGACAAATAGACTTAGTCCCTAAGACTGTGTGAATGAGCATGTGTGTATTACAAAGTATTGGCAAGATCTCAGAAACGTGCTTAGAAAAGTGCAGATGCACTGTTATTCTTGGCCAATGCAGCTGAGCCAGGTGTAGGTGGATGACTACCCCAGGATGTTGAGCTGAGAAACAGGATCTCAGCCTGAACCCAATGTAGCTCAGCAGATGTTTGAATTATGTGATCTCCAGCTTTTGGGAAAGATCTGAATGTAAGAGGAACTTAAGAGAATTAGCATGATATTTTAAAGAGAATAACTGCATTACATTCTAACAGCAGACCTGAGTCGGAAAACAAGTAAAGAATCGATGTATTGGTTTGCCGATGGAAGAGCTTCAGTGAGATCTCAGACCCTGACCCTGCAGTGAGCCTTGGCAATGATTGACAGGGAAGTTTGTAGATAACGCAGAAGTAGATTAGTGTGCCACTGCTCCAGGCTGAAAATCAGAAATGAAAGCTAAAATACATTTGTACATAAGCTATACCTTCAATTGATAGAGCAAGCTGTGTGACTCAAAACAGCCTGTACAGAAGTACGATGGACCAGCTGGAAGGTATCAATAGAAGATAAGGAAAAGTTAACTCTTGACACCAGGGAAGTCAACAAATTTCAGGACAACAGTGACCAATGGTTAAGATGGTGACTAAGTGTAATCAGAAAAAAATCTTTAACTCCAAGTTTAGACTAGCCAGTTTGTTTAATTGGATTTCTCTGGTCAAAACCTAAACTATTGGTGCTTTCTAACCTGTGGGGATCAGTGTGCATAGACCATTTTGCCCTCGATTTCAGCATAACATAGTAAAAAGACTGGGTTTTAGATTCAAAAGTCATGGGTTTGTGATACAGTGTACTTACTGATTATGTGACGTCAGTTACTTCTCTGAACCTCTTTCCTTCTCTATAAAATCATAATGCTTCACTGGATTAATGAAATAAGATATTTGTGAAAAGAACTCTGTAAATTATAAAAAGTTAAAAACTTTTACATATAGCACATTATGTGACTAGTAAGTACTGCTGTGTCTTACTAGCGCAATTTTCTGTGGCAGCATTGACACGTATCTCCTAAAAATATAAAGTTCCCCACGTTTACAAGCAGCATGATAGGTTCAGGAAGAGGAGGTAGATGAGAGGTAACATCTTATTATTTATGTAATTATGGGCTCCATAAGTTTATTTTTTAAGCACCATATATGTGTGTGTTTCAAAATAAACATAAGGCATCATATATTTAAACATATATAACCATAATGCTTGTATTTATAAATCATTTTCCAAGAAAGAATAAATCAAAATTTGAAATTCTGCCTGCTTCACCCCGTCTCTCTTTATTCACACATTTCTCCCAAAGATCCTATGTGCCTAATTTTAGAGATTTAGAGCAGGGAACAAACTTCAGGAGCAATAAATAGGGGGAAACATCTGTTATCCTGCCAACCCTGTCTTCATGGCTTTCGTTAAGTACTCAAGAAAGGTTCAGAAGAAAGCATTTCTTAAAAAAAAAAAAAAAAAAAAGAGAGAAAGAAGCAGCAAAACAAACAGTATTACATTCAAGGATACTTAGATAAAACAGAGAGACTGTCCAGCCCTGGATACTAAGATAACTGGATAAACAGTAAAACTTTTATGCTGAACTTAAAACAGTGAAATGTTTTTTAAATGCCATAAAGGCAACAAAATGGAGAGAAGGGTTATAAAACTAGCCAGATGCAATTTTGTAACTTAATTGGAGATGTGGCAATATTACAGATTCACATTAAAGTAGAAAGTAGAGTTAAACCAAGGTAGATTCTAAGACCTTTTCCATTCTACTTAAGGAAATATGTGTTTTCTGAAAGGATGGATTCATTTATGGAGAATGTTCTGTGTCCCTGTTGCAGAAGACCGAGCTCCACCTAGCCTTGTCTCAGTAAGACAATCTAAATTGGGCTCAGTGCAGAATCATTTTCCCGATAGAGCCACAAACAATTGGCCTGTTGAGTTTAGAATAAAAACTATTCTAAACAGAAATTGAAAGACTAAGGATACAGATTAATCTAAAAAGAGCTCCAGTCTGAGAATATCTGTGAGAAATGGCCAGTGGGTTAAGCACCAAACTAGTAACAAGTTAATATTTAAAAAGAGGGTTAGAGATAAAAGAGGTCAATGTTTGCATCATCAGGAATGACTTCCCAAGCAGGACAGCAATAAATACAGATAAGGCCAGCATTTCTGGAGTGTTTAATACATTGTGCTTTGCAGGCTATATCTTATTTGACGCCCCCCCATATGATAAACATCCCCATTTTGCAGATAAGGAGACCAATGCTCAAGATCACACAGCTATAAATGTCTAGACTGAAGTTTTAAATTCAAACTGCTGACTCTAAAACATGTACCTTCTTTTTTTTCTATTCTCCATCCCTGGTAGGTGACAAACCCTGTACCTTTCATCACACTCTTAATGTAGGATTTTCACAAGCAGAGAGAAAGGGTTGAAGCAAATGGTATGAACAAAGACCCACAAGCAACCATAAAAACTTTGCTTAGTGAGAGCTATGGTGCATGACCTGGCAACCTCAGAGTCATAACCTGAATAAACCAACACTGAGCCCTCAAAGTCCCACTGTCTTTTCCTGACCTGGTGATGTAGCTCTAACCTCTCTGAGTATTATTATACCAGTAACTATCATTTGTCAAGTGCTTCACCATTTGCTAGACACTCTGCTTCACTCTTTTTTTTTGAGACAGGGTCGCGCTCTGTTGCCCAGGCTGGAGTGCAGTGGCACCATCTTGGCTCACAGCAACATCCGCCTCCCAGGTTCAAGCGATTTTCCTGTCTCAGCCTCCCAAGTAGCTGGAACTACAGGCGTGCGCTACCACACCCAGCTAGTTTTTTTGGTTTTTGTTTGTTTGAGACAGAGTCTCGCTCTGTCGCCCAGGCTGGAGTGCAGTGGTGCGATCTCGGCTCACTGCAAGCTCTGCCCCCCGGGTTCACGCCGTTCTCCTGCCTCAGCCTCCGGAGTAGCTGGGATTATAGGCGCCCACCACCACGCCCGGCTAATTTTTTTGTGTGTTTTTAGTAGAGACGGGGTTTCGCCATGTTGGCCAGGCTGGTCTCTAACTCCTGACCTCAAGTGATCCACCTGCCTCGGCCTCCCAAAGGGCTGGGATTACAGGCGTGAGCCACCCGGGCCTGCTTCACTCTTACTGTAAGTTGTATCACTTAATCACTACAACGGCTCTAAGAGGTAAGTATTATTTTCCCCCATTTTATACACAAACAAGTTCAGAGCTGTGGTTCTCAACTCTGGTTATGCATTAGAATCAAGATTCCTGTCACCGGTCCCCCTCCAGACTAATCAGAATAGGGGTAGATAGAGAAAAGCTCCTTAGGTGGCTCTACTGTGCAGCCAAGGTTAAGAAATATGGTTGGCCGGGCGCGGTGGCTCACGCCTGTAATCCCAGCACTTTGGGAGGCCGAGGCGGGCGGATCACGAGGTCAGGAGATCGAGACCATCCTGGCTAACACGGTGAAACCCTGTCTCTACTAAAAATACAAAAAATTAGCCAGGCGAGGTGGCGGGCGCCTGTAGTCCCAGCTACTCCGGAGGCTGAGGCAGGAGAATGGCGTGAACCCCAGGGGGCGGAGCCTGCAGTGAGCCGAGATTGCGCCACTGCACTCCAGCCTGGGCGACAGCGAGACTCCGTCTCAAAAAAAAAAAAAAAAAAAGAAAAAGAAATATGGTTTAACACAGTATTTCTCAAACTTAAGTATTCATCAGCAGCATCTTGAGGGTTTGTTCAACATAAATGGCTAAGCCCCACTCCCAGTTTCTTGTTCAATAGATCTCCAACAAGGCCCAAGAATTTGTATTTGTAATAGGTTCCCAGGTGTGGCTGATGATGCTGGTCTGGAGATCACACTTTGAGAACTATGGTTTAAAGTAACTTGGCCAAAGTCCCCCAGCTGGTAGATTCCTGTGGCCCTCTAGCTCCCTAGTGGAATTCCATAGCCATCCTGGAGCCTTTCCCTAACCCTAAAGGAGCACATCTTTAGAACCTGACAGCAAAACAAACAAAAAACAAAACAAGATGTAACACATAAGGAGAAAGTTTTAGTTAACATGCCCAAGTAAAGATGTTGTTTGGACCATGGAGCAGGGCACCCACCAGGGCTGCCAGCTGCTGTGTGAAAGGTGCCTGTCAGGGATATGACAAGCAGGCTGAGATCTGGTTCAGCAACATCACAGCCAAAGCTGTTGCTGATGCTATTAAAACAAGCCTTGGACCAAAAGGAATGGGAAAAAAGATTTAAGGTGGAAAAGGCAATGTGATCACTACAAATGATGGTGCCACCATTCTGAAACAAATGCAAGTGTCACATCCAGCAGCAGAATGCTGGGGGGGCTAAGATATAGAAGCAGGAGATAGCACTGCATCAGTTGGCACTATTGCTGGCTCTCTCATAGGTTCCTGGGCCAAGCTTCTTCAGAAAGGGATTCATCCAACCATCACTTCCAAGTCATCCCAGAAGTCTTTGGAAAAGGGTATTGAGATCTTAAGTAACATATCTCAACCTGTGGAACTGAATGACAGAGAAACTTTGTTAAACAGTGCCACCAGTTCTTTGAACTCACAGGTTGTCTTTCAGTATTCAAGTTCTGCTTCCTCCGACGAGTGTAAATGCAGTGATGAAAGTGACCCAGCTACAGGTACTACTGTAAATCTTAGAGATATTAACATACAGTCATGTGTCATGTAACAGTATTTCAGTCAACAACAGACTGCATATGACAGTGGTTATAATGCCATGTATTTGCTGTACATTTTCAATGTTTAGATATGTAGTATTCAGTATAGTAACATGCTGTACATGTTTATAGCCTACAAGCAATAGGCTATACTATGTAACTATGTGTGTAGTAGGCTATACCACCTAGGTTTGTGTAAGTACACTCTATGATGTTTGCATGACAAAATGACCTAACAATGCCGTTCTCAGATTGTACCCCATTGTTAAGCAATATATGACTGCGGTTAAGAAACTTGGTGGAAAAATTGATGACTGTGAGTTGGTGGAAGGTCTTATTCTCACCCAGAAAGTGGTAAATTCTGGCATAACCCAATTTGAAAAGGCTAAGATTGGGCACATTCAGTTTTGCTTATCTGCTCCCAACAGATTTGGAAATCAAGTAGCAGTTTCTGACAATGTTCAGATGGACTAAATGCTATGAGAGAGAGAGCCTATATTTTAAGTTTAGTATAGCAAACTTTTACAAATGGGATATAATGTCCTTCTCATACAGGACACTTTAGAGACGCTCCTAGTGATCTTGCATGACATTTCCTGAACAAAATTATTATGTTGGTTAAGAATATTGAAAAAGAAGATGTTGAATTCATTTGTAAGACAATTGGAACCAAGCCAGTTGCTCGTACTGACCAAGTCACACTGACATGCTGGGTTTTGCTGAGTTAGCTGAGAAGGTCAGTTTAAATGGTTCTGGAAAACTGCTCAAGACTACAGGCTGTACAAGTGCTGGAAAAACAGTTAAAATTGTCATAGGACTGAAGAATTGAGCCTTCCATTCACGATGTGCTATGTATTATTTGCTGTTTGGTGAAGAGAGCTCTTACTGCAGGAGGTGGTGCTCCAGTAGAATTGGCCCTATGGTTAACTGAATGTTTGTGAACATTGAGTGGTATGGAATTTTACAGTGTTCATGTTTTGCAGATGCTATGGAGGTCATTCCAACTACACTAGCTGAAAATGCTGGCTTTGAATCCCATTTCTACAGTAACAGAACTAAGAAATCAACATGCCTAACAAGAAAAAAATTGCAGGCATTAGTATCAAAAGGGCAGTATTTCCATTTTGGAAAACTGGTTGCCCAACTTTTGTGATTTCATTTATTGCTCTGACCCTAGCAAATGAAACTGTCCAGAGAATTCTGAAAATTGATGCTGTGGTAAATGCTCAGAAATCTGGATAATACTGACTGACTTACACTCTTATAGCTACTAGTATTGTGGCTGAAGGGGAAGATCACCTTAGTGCTCCTTATTATTTGGAAGATTGTTTCCTCTATGAATTCCTGGGCTTGGTCTTCCAATTGGCATTTGCTTGAAATTGCATTGATACAATTTAGTGAACACATTAAATATTTGGTTTCCCAAAAAGATAATTATTTACATTTAATTTATATAATTTATCTTATAATTTTTATCAAAATTTTAATAGACATTTTTGGAGTGCAGTTGGAAAAACAATCCATTTGGAAAACCAAATAGGAGAGAACACAAGAGAAATTGTAAAATGCAAGAATAATGTGGGGACCCATATGAGATGTTGAAAATTATGTAATTAAAATTGATTTTTAAAAATCAGACCACTGACATTGGTGGTCTCAAAGAGGTATTTGTACACTCATGTCTACAGTGACATTATTCAGACAAATGGTCTGCTTCTGAACACAGAAGTGCATACAAAGAGGTAGCCATTGTTGTTGCACCTCCTCCTATTCTTGCAAGCCCCTCTGCCTTTAGCTGAAGTGACTTCAGGGGATTTAAAGGGTAAGAACCCTCTTTTCTCCTCTATTTTTCTCATTTTACCCTTTTGGGAGCCAGGCATTTTGTCACTACAAAAAAATACAAAAGTTAGCTGGACGTGGTGGCATGTGCCTGTGCCTCTAGTCCCAACTAATCAGGAGGCTGAAGCAGGAGGATCAATTGAGCCCAGGAGGTTAAGTCTGCAGTGAGCCATGTTCAAGCCACTGCACTCCAACCTGAGCAACAGGAAAAAAAATACACACACACACACACACACACACACACACACACAGAAATGATAAAGGAATTTAAACATTTCTCTAAAAAAAATAAAGGAAAGTTATATAAAAATTAAAAGAAAATGAGGAACTAAAAAGCCATAAGGCATGTAGAAAACATAGCAAAATAACAGAAGTCCCTGCTTATCAGTAATTACTTTAAATACAAATGGATTAAAGTCTCTAATCAAAAGACAGAGATTAAAAGAATGGATAAAAACACATGATCCAACTATATGCTGTCCATAAGAGACTCACTTTAGATCCAAAGATACACGTAGAATGAAAGTGAGAAAATGGAAAAAGATATTCCATGAAAATATTAACCAAAAGAGGATGTCTCTATTGCCTAGAATCTGACTCAGTTGGCATCACTAAATTTTTGTTGAATGAATGAAAGAAATATCCAAACTCACCTGGATTGAAGAATAAATGAGGTACATTTTTCTCATTATATTAAAAGAGAAAGTAAGAATAAAAGGAAAGAGAGTAGGAGAGACAGAAGGATGGAGGGAAGAATAAAGAGAAAGATAGATGAATGATAATCCATTTGAATTGACAATATGATTTAGTAGAACTGGAAAAATTGGTGGCAGTGTGTTTAGTTTAAACTTACTGAAAAAAAATCTGGCAGCATGTATACTTAGCTGTTAGTAATATCCATGTTTTTTGACTCCAAAATGCAAGTCGTAGACCTTGTTTTCTTTTTTTTTTTTTTTTTCTGGGGATTGAGTCTTGCTCTGTCACTCAGGCTGGAGTGCAGTGGCACGATCTCGGCTCACTGCAAGCTCCGCCTCCTGGGCCCACACCGTTCTCCTGCCTCAGCCTCCCAAGTAGCTGGGACTACAGGTGCCTGCCACCACGCCCAGCTAATTTTTTTTTTTTTTTTTTTTTGTATTTTTAGTAGAGACGGGGGTTTCACCATGTTAGCCAGGATGGTCTCGATCTTCTGACCTCGTGATCTGCCCTCCTCGGCCTCCCAAAGTGTTGGGATTACAGGCGTGAGCCACCACGCCTGGCTGACCTTGTTTTCTAAATACTATTCTCCAACAAAAGAAATTGTGGTTCCTTGGAAAAATAGTGGATTCCAGAGTTGGGAGAGGTTAAGACACAAATTATGCTAAAAAGTGATGAAGTGCCCCCCCATAAAAAAAAGGATGGGGATCTTGTCGAAAGGGCACGAGAGCCAAACTGAAAGAGCCCCCTATGGCCAAGGCTGAAACAATTTGAGCAACAAAATAAATAAGAATACTACTGGATTAAGCATAGTACTATATTATGATAGTACTAGATTAAAACCCAATGGTTAAATAAAAATCTTTGAGTCCATACAGTATAAATAAATTGAGGAGAAGGTACTTTACTTTACAGAAGAATTCCAATTGTAAAATGTAAGGAATAAGGAAATAGAAAATCTCGGTTAGAATATCGCAGTAATAATAACTGCAAGCAGTATCCACTGATGGATGCTAAAACTGATGGGCAAAAGTTTAAGGAGAAGCAGGATATTTGTATGCTCTCAAAGTATCCCCCCCACAAAAAATATTATTTACAAAGAGAAAAGTAGTAACTTTACGGTGGAAAAAAATTTCTTAGTTTTGATAATTATACTCTGGTTATAAGATGTTAACATTAAGGGAAGTTGGGTGAAGAATATACAGGAATTCTCTGTATATTTTTGCAACTTTTTGGTAAGTCTAAAATTTTATTTAAAATTTTTTGAATTGTACTTTCAAAAAGCTTTTTTGGCTGGGCACAGTGGTTCATGCCTGTAATCCCAGCACTTTGGGAGGCCGAGGCAGGTGGATCACCTGAGGCCAGGAGTTCGAGACCAGCCTGGCCAACATGGTGAGACCCTGTCTCTACTAAAAATACAAAAATTAGCTGAACGTGGTGCACACCTGTAGTCCCAGCTACTTGGGAGGCTGAGGCAAGAGAATCGCTTGAACCCAGGAGGCAGAGGTTTCAGTGAGCTGAGAACACACCATTGCACTCCAGCCTGGGCAATAAAGCGAGACTCCATCTCAAAAAAAAAAAAAAAGTTTGTTTTTTTTAAATATGTTTCAGGAAAAAAAAATTGACACAGGGTCTTGTTCTATCACCCAGTCCGGAGGTCAGTGGTGCAATCATGGCTCAATGGCAGCCTCAACCTCCTGGGCTCAAGCAATCCTCCCACCTCAGCCTCTCAAATACCTGGCACTACAGGTGCATGCCACCACACCCAGCTAATTCTTTTACTTTTTGTGGAGCCAGGGTCTCATTATATTGCCCATGTTGGTATTTAAGACTATTTTAAGACAACATAGGCCAAACACAGTGACTCACGCCTGTTATCCCAGCACTTTGGGAGCACTGTGGGAGGATCACTTGAGCCCATGAATTGGAGACCAGCCTGGGAAACAAAGTGAGACCCCGTCTCCACAAGAAAATTAAAAATTAGCTGGGCATGTTAGTGTGTGCCTGTGATTCCAGCTACTCAGGAGACTGACGTGGGAGGATCGCTTGAGCCTGGGAGGTTGAGGCTGCAGTGAACTGTGTTTGGGCCACCGTACTCTAGGCTGGGCAACAGAGATCCTGTCTCAAAAAATTTTTTAAAAATGAATATACGAGTTCATGTATAGAATGCTGTCAGTTATCAAAAGAAAAATGCAAATGAACAAAAAGACTGGAGGAACTATGCCCAAATATTAACATTTGTTGCTTATGAGAGATGAGACTATGGTTGGTTTTCTTTTCTACACTTTCTGAATTTTCCGTCACGAATGCTTACCATTTCATAATAATATGCAAAAAAAAAAACCAAAAAACGTTAAAAGAGCTAAAGGAGGGCGGGGCATGGTGGATTATGCCTGTAATCCTAGCACTTTGGGAGGCCAAGGCAGGTGGATTGCTTGAGCTCAGGAGTTTGAGACCAGCCTGGGCAATATGGTGAAACCCCGTCTCTAGAAAAAAAATACAAACATTACCTGGGTGTGGTGGTGCATGCCTGTAGTTTCAACTACTTGTTGGGGCTGAGGCAGGAGGATTGCTTAAACCTGGGAGGTCGAAGCTGCAATGGGCCAATATCACACCACTGCACTCCAGCCTGGGGGACAAGGTGAGATTCTTATTCAAGAAAAAAGACAAGGCCATGCATGGTGGCTCACACCTGTAATCCCAGCACTTTGTGAGGCCAAGGCAAGAGAATCTCTTGAGTCCAGGAGTTTGAGACCAGCCTGGGCAACATAGGGAGACCCTATCATTACAAAATAAACAAATTAGCCAGGCATAGTGGTACGTACCTGTGATTTCAGCTATTCAAGAGGCTGAGGTGGGAGATCACTTGAGCCTGGGAGGTCGAGGCTGCACTCCAGCCTGGGTGATCGAGCAAGACCTTGACTCAAAAAAAAAAAAAAAGTTGAAGAAAAAGCAAGAGGGACAAAAATGGGAAGAGAGAACATTCCAGGGTGAGGACATAACATGAGGACACAAATGTGGCATTGGAAGATGGCATAGACTTAAAAAGAGTAAGGCTGGGCACAGTGGCTCATGCCTGTAATCCCAGCACTTTGGGAGGCCAAGGCGGGCAGATCACGAGGTCAGGAGATCGAAACCATCCTGGCTAACACGATGAAACCCCGTCTTTACTAAAAATACAAAAAAATTAGCCAGGCGTGGTGGCAGGCCCCTGTAGTCCCAGCTACTCAGGAGGCTGAGGCAGGAGAATGGCGTGAACCAGGGAGGCGGAGCTTGCAGTGAGCTGAGACCGTGCCACTGCACTCCAGCCTGGGCGACAGAGTGAGACTCAGTCTCAAAAAAAAAGAAAGAAAGAATAAGATGTTCGCTATAGCTAGAGCATAAGTGGCATTTTGGGGAAGATTTGAGAGAGAGAGAGAGAAAGAGAGAGAGATCAGGCTGGTGAGATAGGGCCTTGTGGGCCATTGTGAATTTTGGCTTTACCCTCAGATAATGGGGAACTATTAAAGGGACATGGCAGGGTAATGATGTCAGATCCATAGTTTAGAGAGTTTCCTCGGGCAGCCAAACGGACGGTGGACTAAAATAGACTAAAAAAGGTGGAAGGAGGTAAGTCAGGAGAGCACCAGGGTGGTCCATATGACAAATAAGGAGAGATTGATTTGATCAGGGACAGTGGGAATGGTGAAAAAGATCCTTTTAGGTTGGACCCAGGACCAGGAGGACCAGCAAGAGCTATAAGTGCTCCCACGCCAGTCAGTTTCATTTATATTTCCAGGGAAAATGGCCCATATCAGACTCCTAGAAGGCTGGTGCCCTCAGGATTTTAGAGTTAATCCCAGAGCCAGATAAATGGCCAGCCAGACCAGGGCAACAAGTCTGATGGGCGATGTAGGGGCTGGGTCACTCTGGGTCTCCAACCACAACTTGACAGGTCAGCTGGGCAACAGTGGAGCAGAACCCAGGAAGAGCCAGGCCCTCGGGCAGTGTGTAAATCCCACACAGGGATACAGGAACCCAGAGGCAGAGTGATCCCTGAGAGATAAGAGGTCCACCTTTGCCAACAAGGGGCTGGAGCTCTCGGTAAACAAGCAGCTCTGCTGCTGTGAGGCAAATGGCCCTGGGTGCTCTCTGTAGCTGGTTCACAGGCAGTTCAATTCTGGATGGAGAGGCTGGCATAAGTATGCCATAAGTATGGCATAAGTAGAAGAGAAAAAAAAGATGACAAAGTCATTACCACATTAAAAATCAAAAGTGGATACATTGAGTTAGACTTAAGGGAAAGTAAAGATTAACTGACACAAATTTGATTATACACAGCCTTTTAAAAATACCCCTATGATGTAAAAATTGAGGTTTGTCTATTTTGTGTTTTCTCTGCTTTGGATCTCTTCCCTTCTTTGCCCGTAGCTTGTGGTGGGAGACCAGCAGGGGTAAAAACATGACTTTCTTTCCTAGTGTCACGAGACCTACATTTTTTGTTGTTGTTGTTTTTTTGTTTTTGTTTTCCTCAAGTGCCTTGTCAATTAGTGTGAATTCACTAAGGCAATTATGCTCGCAGGATGGGCTCAATCCACCTACTGAGAATCATCAGGGGCTTCTCTGAGTCAGCAGGCTGGGCTGCAGCCCAGGAATCTGCATTCCCAACAAGCTCTTCCAGGTGTTAAATATGCCTCTAAAACATGAGAATCCCTTTTAGGAATTCTGGTGGAAGCAAAATTGAAAGAGATAAACTCTGGTTCCAAGCTGCTTATTTACTAAGCCCCAAGATGCAGGCATCCAGATGACCTGGGCTCTTACTTTGTGCTTGGGAATATATCAAAGATGCATTGACTTTGCATTGTGGTGTCCTCATCACCTAGTCTCCTTCAGCCTCTGGTTTTATCATTCTCTCCAACAAGCTCAGACATCTGTCTTAATTTATCCTTCGTGAGTCCTTGGTGTTGATAATTGTTTATCCCTCTAATATGATCTAGCATGATCTCTTGTTTCTGCAACAGTCTTTATGTGGGGATGTTTTGGGATAGAGGTAGTAAGCCCATTCCAATCCCTGGGTGCTAAATTGTAGCCATGTGGTCTGCTTCAAGCTATCTGTATAGGTTGTAAATTTTATTAGGGAAAAGAAGGCATGTCCACAATGATCTTTCTTGTGAAAAATAATCACCTAATCTCTCCCCCTCCTTCATTAATCTTAAGAAGTCTCCTATTCCATTTCACAATCAGCATAAATATCAGGGAAGATGAAAGTGAAGAAAAGCTCAGTGACCTCATTTTGAGATCACAATTTGTCTCTAGCACAACAAGCGGGCCCCCCCAGCTCTTCTCCAACTGCAGATAACAGTTTGCCATATTACCAAACCCTCACTGGCGCCAACACCCCAAGGAGGGTAGGCAACTGGGTGATGTATGGACAATAGAAAGAAGAGGAAATGAGTCCAAATCATCTACTGAACTATGACCACCCCAAAATGTTGTGGGTTTTTTGTTTTGTTTTGTTTTTTGTTTTTTGTCAAGTGTTCTGCAAAGGACAAGTGCCTATTTCTATGATTTTTTAAATGGTTTTTTTAAGGAAAAAAAAGTTTTGAATTTAAAACAAACCATTCCAAGTGATGTAGCTATTTTCTCACTAAAAATTAAATACCTGAGAAAGCATCATCAAAAAAAACTCAAAGGGGTGATTGGTGTTATGTTTTTCTAATTATTATTATTATTCTGAAGGAGCCCCAACCAATTTAAATCTTGTGAAAATACTACGTGTCTGGCTTTCTTCCCACCTCCTGCCACAGTCCCCTCACACTAAGGATTTCACCATTGCCCTGGATGCACAGGAACTAGCCTGGCCTGCCAGGACCTTTCCCTCACCTTTCCTGTAGTGCTTGCTCCCATGTCATCTGGACAAGTGGCCTCCAGGATGAGTCACTCTATTTATACCTGGGCTGGTGCAGGTACAATGCAGAATCTGTTTCTGAAATATCACAGTCTCAAAAAGAGGGCCTTTAGATACTTGCTATAAATTTTCTCGTGGCAAAAGACAAATGTGTGATCTCCATCTTGTTTCTAGGCTACACCAAGTAGCAGGCCTGGCTGAAACACACAACAGTTTACAGTGCTTAGAGCCTTTCTGCTCAAAGTGTGGTCCCCAGGCCCCTGGGATCTTGTTAGAAATGCAGAATGACAGGCTCGCTCCAGGCCTTCTGAATCAGAACCTGAATATTACTGTGCTCCAGATGGTTTGTATACACAGAAAGTGTGAGAAGCACTGGCCTAGGATTTGCATTAACTTTCAGAGTTCTTAGAGGTCACAGGTGTATAAGGAATCCAAAAGCCTTTCTGCCTTCACTCGTGCAATTCATTATTCTCTTTGCCTGAAATGTCTTCCATTATGTCTTACCAACCTAGAGCTCCTACTCATCCTTCAAGGGCCACCCCAAAGATCATATATCCATTGAAATTTTTCTGATACCCTCAGTCAAAACTAATTATTTCTTCTTCTCTGCTCCCTTGATATTTTACACCTACATCCAGTATATGTCAATATTACACAGCCTTCATATCATAACTACGTGCTCATTTGTCTGTGTCCCACAAAAGTGTGTTATTCAAGGACAAAGAACATTGATGTCCTTGTTCATCTGTGTTCTTTAGCACCCGGCCCAAGACTTGGAAGAGAAACTCAATACATATTACTTGAAAACTATCTTTTCATCTTTCCTTCCATTGTTTTAAAGTCACATAATAATAAACCTTATGCTGCCTAAAGATTTTAACCTGCTATATTTTAAAAACTATTCTATTTTTAATATGCTAATTTACAGCAATAATTCAAAAGCACTTCTGTTGGCCTGGAAACAATCTCTGAGTATACATTGGATTGGGATAACTATTTCTGCCCCCTTTCCCTCACACATACACCCCTTTCACAAAACATGACATATTCATTGCAGATGAAAAGCCAGACTACTGGATAAAACAGATATTTTTAGGAGGGATTGTGGGTGGAATAATAAAATAAACTATTATATTTATTCATTTATAGTAAGCCTTTCTCAGTACCTCTGATATTTTCTTACAGATATATAACTGATATTACTACATCAATTGTGACTAAAAGATGAGAAAATAGTAAGGAGAAGAAAGTAAAGTAGAAGTTAAATAGTGATCCAACTGTCGCAATAATTAATAGCTGTCTGCATTCTTAAAATAAACACAACAGAAAACATGTAGGTAATAATGGGCACTTAACAGAGTTAGCATAACCCCTCCAGTTAACAATTAACTCTTGGGAGACTGTAATCATGTACCAGCCTGCATGAGATAACACATAGTTTGCAAGTAATATACAAGGGCAACTCTCCCTTCTCTGTGCTGATAGCAATGCACACATGGCTGATTGTCACTGCTCTGTGGTGACCAGCAAGCAATGCACAGCTGTAAGCAGCTCATGGACCATAAGACTCATCCAAATGACCCACAAATTTGACTTAGCATTATTCACACTTGTTGCTAACATATGCTTCTCCCAGTGGTCATTAAGAGAAGCTATTTAGCTGCACTTTGTGCTTTCTACAGTGCAATAGTCCTTGCAATATTTATCAATAGGTTAAATATGAATACCCTTTGACTGAGGAATTCCACATCTATACCACAGAAAATAGAGGCAAATGCACAAAAATGTCAGTTGCAGTTTTTTGTTTTTTGTTTTTTTGAGACAGAGTCTCACTCTGTCACCAGGCTGGAGTGAAGTGGCGTGATCTCAGTTCACTGCAACCTCCGTCTTGTTGGTTCAAGTGATTCTCCTGCCTCAGCCTCCCAAGTGGCTGGGACTACAGGCCCACACCACCAGGTCCAGCTAATTTTTGTATTTTTAGTAGAGACAGGGTTTCACCATGTTGACCAGGATGCTCTCAATCTCTTGACCTCATGATCTGCCCGCCTTGGCCTCCCAAAGTGCTGGGATTACAGGTGTGAGCCACAGTGTCTGGCCATTAGTTGCAGTTTTTTATAGAAAAAGAAAGCAATCTACATGTTCATCAATGGGAAAATTAGTATATGAGTCATACTACATCCATACCCTAGATATTATAGAACTACATTAGTTATATATAAAAAAACAGAGGTATATGTATATGTACTGACATGGGAAAATGTCAGTAATATAGCATTTTACAAATCAAGCAGCGGGCCAGGCATGGTGGCTCACGCCTGTAATCCCAGCACTTTGGGAGGCCAAGGCGGGCAGAACACCTGAGGTCAGGAGTTTGAGACCAGCCTGGCCAACATGATGAAACCCCATGTCTATTAAAAATGCAAAAATCAGCCAGGCATGGTGGTGGGCACCTGTAATCCCAGCTACTTGGAAGGCTGAGGGAGGAGAATCGCTTGAACTCTGGGAGGCAGAGGTTGCAGTGAGCCAAGATTGCGCCACTGCGCTCCAGCCTGGGCGGCAGAGTGAGACTCCATCAAAAAAAGAAAAGCAGCAAAATATTCTATTGTATAGTGGAGTATGAACCTACTAGAAATTGTACAGGAACAAACATGGAGACACATACGTATACATGTCTTTGTATATGCATAGCAAAAATTTAGAAAGCTACTCACCAAATTATTCATTGTGATAAGATCTGAGGAAAGAATGAAAGAAGAATAAGAAATCACTTTGAAATCCCTTTCCCTTTTTTAAACAGATACTTTTATATTGTTTAAATTTTGTTAAATTTTTATTTTGACAAAATTTCAGACTTATACTACGTTACGAAAATACTGTGAGGAGGCCAGCTGCAGTGGCTCATGCCTGTAGTCCCAGCACTTTGGAAGGCTGACACAGGCGGATCACGAAGTCAGGACTTTGAGACCAGCCTGGCCAACATGGTGAAAATCTGTCTCTACTAAAAATACAAAAATTAGCTGGGCATGGTGGCACGCGCCTGTAATCCCAGCTACTCAGGAGGCTGAGGCAGGAGAACTGCTTGAACCCGGGAGGCAGAGGTTGCAGTGAGCCCAGATCGCATCGCTGCACTCCAGCCCGGATGACAGAGCAAGACTCTGTCTTGGGAGGAAAAAAAAAAATAGTACAAGGAATTACTTTGTAACCTCTACCTAGATTCCCCAAAAGTTAACATCTGTCACATTTGTAATGGATGTTTTATCTTTCCCTCTTTCTGTTTTTTTCCCCTCTGCAATCTCTGCATGTGTGCGTGTGTGTGTGTATGTGTGTGTGTGTAAATTTTAAAAACTGTTTGAGGGTAAGTTGCAGATATGATCCCCCTTATCTCTAAATACTTCACCATGTATTCTCTAAACACATTCTGTTACATAACCATAGGATAATACTAAAATCAGGATAATTAAGACATTAACACTGATAAGACACTATTAGCTAATCTATAGAACATATTTAAATTTCACTAACTGCCCCAATAATGACTTTTATAGAAAAAGAAAATCCCAAGTAGTGAATCGAATGTAGTTGTCAGGTTTCTTTAGTCTCCTCTAATTAGAAACAGTTTCTTACTTAGTCTTTCCTTGTTTTTCATGACCTTGATATTTCTGATTAATACAGTCCAGATATTTGTGTCCTTCAATTTGGGTTTGTCTGATATTTCTTCATGATTCAAGTCAGGTTACCATTTTTGGCAATAAATTCACAGAACTGTTGTTGTATTCTCAATGTTTCACGTCAGGAGGCACATGATATCCCATTACAACTGATGTTAAACTTTCAACACTACTGGCTGGCAAGGTGGCATGCACCTGTAATCCCAGCTACTCAAAGGCTGACGCAGGAGGATTCCTTGAGCCCAAGAGTTACAGACCAGCTTAGGCAACATAGCAAGACCCCTGCCTCATAAAAAAAAAAAAAAAGAACAAAAAATACTTTGAACACTGGTTAAAGGGATGTCTGCCAAGTTTTTCTGCTGTTAATTTGCTACTTTTCCCTTTGAAGTGGTGATTTTCTGATTCCATCATTCCTTCTACATTAATTAGTTGGAATTTTACTATCAAAGAAAGCTTTCCCTTTTCCCCATTCATTCATTCTTTCATTCATTCATGTCAGTATGGATTCTTTATCCTCATTATTTACTTTGATGCAGAATTATTTATTGTGATGTAGAATCCATATTGCTATGGATTCTTTATCCTCATCATGTATTTTGATACACAAAATTGCCCCAGATTTGGCCAGTGGGGGACCCGGTGGAGCTGGCTCCCACATCCTTTAGACATGTCCCCTCTGTCTTTGAGCACTTCCTTACTTTCTGACACAAAGATGCTCTACACCAGCGGTCCTCAACCCTTTTGGCACCAGGGACTGGTTTCGTGGAAGACAGTTTTTCCGTGGACCCAGGGGTGAAGGATGGTTTTGGAATGATTCAAGTGCATTACATTTATTGTGCACTCCAACTTTTTTGGCACCAGGGACTGGTTTTTGGTCCTCAACCTTTTTGGCACTGGGGACTTGTTTTGTGGGAGACAATTTTTCCATGGACCCGGGGGGTGGAGGATGGTTTCAGAATGATTCAAGTGCATTACACTTATTGTGTACTTTATTTTTATTTTTATCACATTGTAATAATCAGGCATCAGATTCTCACAAAGAGCAGGCAACCTAGATTCCTTGCACAGTACCAGTCTGTGGCCTGGAGGTTGGAACCCCTGCTCTACACTCATTTTGTACTTTCACAGCCCCAACCTTGCAGTCTGCCATTTCTCCAAGGATATTTGGTTCTTTTTAATGAAGAATGGCACTTGGAAGTTAATTGCTACTGGCTTTCATTCTTTTAGGCCTTTTTTTTTTTCTCTTTTTGACAGAGTCTTGCTCTGTCCCAGTCTGGAGTGCACTGGCATGACCTTGTCTCACTGCAACCTCTACCTCGTGGGTTCAAGCTGTTCTCCAGCCTCAGCTTCCTGAATAAACACGATTTCCCCATGTTGGCCAGGCTGGTCTTGAACTCCTGACCTCAAGTGATCCGCCCACCTTGGCCTCCTGAAGTGCTGGGATTACAGGTGTGAGCCACCATGCCGGACCTTTTTTTTTTTTTTTTTTGAGACAGAATCTAGCTCTGTCACCAGGCTGGTGTCCAGTGGCAGGATCTCGGCTCACTGCAACCTCCGCCTCTTGGGTTCAAGCGATTCTCGTGCCTCAGCCTTCCGAGTAGCTGGGATTACAGGTGCACGCCACCATGCCCACCTAATTTTTGTATTTTTAGTAGAGACGGTGTTTCCCCATGTAGGCCAGGCTGGTCTTGAACTCCTGACCTCAAGAGATCTGCCACCTCGGCCTCCCAAAGTGCTGGGATTACAGGCATGAGCCATCACGCCCAGTCTGCTTTTAGGCCTTCTTAACAGGGTTAGGAAATATATACACAAATGCATACATACGTTCCCCCACCACACACACACACACACACACACACACACACACACACTTAAATTTATTTCTATACCATATTTATGTAAATATGTTTAAAAAAACCCATAAATTCATACCCATACCTTCGATTCTAATCCAATACCACTGGTTCACTTTAGCCTTCCACTTTCCCTATTTATAACTAATATATTTAACACTGGGACACATGACTCCCATTAATCACAATGTATTTACTTTGTTGCTGAATCTTAGGATACACAAAAAGTAGATTTAGAGTTGTTTGAATGTTTTATAAGAATGTATGACATTTGCAATTTGAAAGTCGATTTAAAAACAAAGAATAACATAGATCTGCTTCTGGAAGTATTGATTGGTACACGTCCTTTCTTTGAGCATTTCCTTACTTTCTGACACAAGGCAATTAGATAACGAACTTTAAATATGTGAAGTTCACTTGATGCTCAATTTTACTTCTCAGAATTTAGTCTAAGAGTAGAATGATATCTGTTTACAAAAATTTAGCCACAAGAACGATCATCACATTATTATTTAAAATAATAACTTAGAAACTACCTAAGTACTCAGAAATGAGTACTTTGTTAAATAAATTTTATTCAAGTGATGGACAACAAAGAAGTGGTAGAGTATAGTGGTTAAGAGCAGATTTTAAATCCAAGCAGACTAGATTTGAATCCTAGCTCTACCAATTATGACATTGGGTAATTTACTCATCTTCTGTGTTCTTCAGTTACCTTGTGTGTAACATGAAGCTGATAATAGTACCTTCCTTATAGGGTAGCCATGAGGATTAAATGAGGCCAAGGGACCTCGCCCAGCCAGATGCCTTCTTAAACATAAATTTTGGAGGACCATTTAAGACTAAAAATTTGGCCGAGTGCAGTGGCTCACACCTGTAATCCCAGCACTTTGGGAGGAAGAGGTGGGCGGATCTCTTGCGGCTAGGAGTTTGATACTAGCCTGGCCAACATAGGAAACACTGTCTGTACTAAAAATACAAAAATTACCTGGGTGTGGTAGCGGTTCCCTGTAATCCCAGCTACTTGGGAGGCTGAGGCAGGAGAAATGGCTTGAACCCGGGAGGTGGAGCCTGCAGTGAGCCTAGATCGCACTACTGCACTCCAGACTGGGAGACAGTGAGACTCTGTCTTAAAAAAAAAAAAAAAAGGCTAAAAATTTATCATCACTTTTTAATTTCACTCATTCAAAAAGCTGACTTTTCATGATACTTTTCCTGTAATTAGTCTATGTGCCATCAGGTGGCAGTAGTGCCTTAATCATGGCCAGTTTCTTTGCCTAGTAACAATTTACCGTAGGAAGATATTCTAGTATGTATGTTTTTATTCTTTGCAATGTTTTAATTCTTTATTAAAATATTTGAATTTAATTGAATATGATAGATATTTCTTATATAAAGTCATATTGGCTGGGCGTGGTAACTCACACCTGTAATCCTAGCACTTTGGGAGGCCAAGGCGGGCAGACTGCCTGGGCTCAGGTGTTCAAGACCAGCCTAGGCAACACGGTGAAACCCCGTCTCTACTAAAATACAACAAATTAGCTGGTCATGGCAGCGTGCACCTGTAGTCCTAGCTACTGAGGGGGCTGAGGCACGAGAATTGCTTGAACCCAGAAGGCTGAGGTTGCAGTGAGCTGAGATCACGCCACTGCACTCCAGCCTGGGCAACACATCAAGACTCATCTCCAAAAGATAAAAATAAAAAACAAACAAACAAAAACAGTCATGCATTGCTTAACAATGGGTATATGTTCTGAGAACTGTGTCGTTAGGCAATTTTGTAGTTGTACAAACATCACAGAGTGTACTTACACAAATCTAGATAGTATAGCTTACTGCACACCTAGGCTGTATGGTGTACCCTATCGCTCCTAGGCTACAAATGTGTATAACATGTTACTGTGATGAAAACTGTAAACAACTGTAACACAGTGATAAATATTTATGTAGCTAAACATAGAAAAAGTAATATATTGTGCTACCATGTTAGGACAGCTGGGATGTCACTGGGTGTTAGAAGCTGTCATTATATGTGGTCCATCACTGACAGAAACATTGTTATGAGGTACATATTGTATCAAGATTTGTTATAAACAAAGAAAACAGAAAAATCCATCTAAAAAAGAGAACCAACATAGTAAAGTTAGAGACAGCCTACTCGATTAAGAGTTACTTAAAGGAATAACATAAATTTGTCTTTCTAGTATTCCTGATTAGCTAAAAAGTTCTGGGCTGCTTCCTATGACTCTCCTAAAATGTCATTTTTATATAGGTAAAAAAGAAGAACAAGAAAAGTTATGTTTGTTAGATTTTTCCTAATTGCAGGATTTTTTAAAATTCAAGTTTTAGAGCTAGGTGGGACCTTAGTGATTTAGCCAAAGCCCCAATATTACAGTTAAAGAAATTGGTATTCCAAGAGCTGGTGTTTTGCCCACAGTCCCTTGAAGATGCAGAACCAAACCCCAAGTTTTATAACAACCCTTGACAAGTGAGCTCAAACAGGACACACATGTTGACTTGTGAAATTTGTGGTCACTTTATAAAGCTGAGTTTACAAAGCCAGTTCTTCACAAACTAAGCAGTTCCTCTTAGTCACTATACCTGCTGTTCAGATAGGTTAAAGAATGAAACCTAGGCAGTAGCTAAGAGACCCGTCAGTTAGGCATTTTCCAAGTAAGAATGATTATGAGGACATACGTTACAATTTCAGTTTTTAAGAAATGTCCTTGCTAAACTGGTCACCAAAACAAATGTTTAAATAATCCACAGGGGTAAAATAAAAATAAACAGGTCCACAGTATAGATAAAATTTTATTAAGTATAAATATTTACCTTTCTCATGTTGAATTTCAAATTGTATGATGTGTAATCTAATTATGATATCCTTTATTTCATGTCAAAAGGGAAACTTCCAACTTCCTCTCCCTCTGGCTTCACAACTACAGAGACCACCTTCCATACCCTTAGACTCAAGTTTTCTGTTTAACAACCTGCTTCTGTTATCACAGGAAAAGATGGTAAGAGACTCCCGGGCATTCCCAGACCATTTCTTTCAGTTCTCTAAGCTTTTAGTTGCTCTCAGTTTTTTTGAAAATGAGGAACTTCGTATTCTACAACCCACAGCTCCTTTAAGTCATCATTCCTTGGATCCAAGGTTGCTACACATACATTTCTTCTAGAAACTCAGAAAAAAAGAGAAGAGAGTGGAGAACATGAGGAGGCCTCAGAAAAAAGAAGAGTGGAGAACATGAGGAGGCCTCAAGTTCAATGTGAAAATGCAGTCAGGAAAAGGATTCTCTAGCAGCCTCCTCTTTGTCATCCCCAACTCTTCATAATAAGCCACCCATCCATGGTAACAAGTTTTTCTTTCAAATGCTCTTATTGAAATTTGCGGTCCAACTGGTTCTTAATAAAGGACAGCTTTAACTTCTTGGTGAATCACTACCTTTGCTTTCTTTAAGTTGATTGGTATACCCTCTGACTTTCAGGTGTATGTGTAGGTGTGAGGTGTATGTGTAGGGGTGTGTGTGTGTTACATTTTAAATAATGTATGTATATACAGCAAAAGATGGAGAAAAACTTTATTAAATCTCAGGACTGGAGATAACCTTTCAAGGTTAAAAATAATAAAAGAGGCTGGGCGTGGTGGCTCACGCCTGTAATCCCAGCACTTTGGGAGGCCGAGGCAGGCAGATCATGAGGTCAGGAGATCAAGACCATCATAGCTAACACGGTGAAACTCTCTACTAAAAATACAAAAATTTACATTTTTTTGTATTTTGTATTTTTTTGTATTTTTTTTTTGTATTTTGTATTTTTTGTATTTATTTTGTATTTGTAACAAAAAATTAGCTGGGCTTGGTGGCACATGCCTGTAATCCCAGCTACTTGGGAGGCTGAGGCAGGAGAATCACTTGAACCCATGAGGCGGAGGTTGCAGTGAGCCGAGATCGCACCACTGCACTCCAGCCTGGGTGACAGGGCAAGACTCCGTCTCAAAAAATATTAATAATAATAAAAGAAAACAAAAGATTGAAAAGATGGACTGCAGCAAATATTTAAACTTCTGTGTATCAAAAAGATATGTGTAGGTTTGAAATATAAGCAATCATTTGAGGGAAATAGGAAAACAAACATTAGGGACTAAGTACTAAATAAGCTCATACAAATGAGTAAAATTAAAAACAATTCTAAATTCTCAATAGTAATGGACAAAGAATATGAATACACAATGCATATGTGATTAAATGATCAACTTCACTAATGATCAAATAACATAATTAAAACTACAAATATATAATACTTTGCCTACCTGCCAATGTAACAAAGATGTATTAAAATGTGAATGCCCCAAACTGAAGGTGTACTGAAACAGTTTCTTTCATGTACTGCTGGTGGTAGGAATAAAAACTAATATGTCCTTTCTTAATAGCAATTTCGTAATGTGTTTAAAGAGGCTTTGCAATTGCATCAAAACAAAAACTGACAAAAAAAACTGACCAAAAAAACTGACAAATGGGAACTAATTAAACTGAAGAGCTTCTGCACAGCAAAACTATCAACAGGGTAAACAAGCAACCTACAGAATGTGAGAAAATATCCTCAAACTATGCATCTGACAAAGGACTAATGTCTAGAATCTATAAGGAACTTGCACAATTCAACAAGCAAAAAACGAGCAACCCCATTAAAAAATGGGCAAAAGACATGGACAGTTCTCAAAAGAAGACATACAAGCAGTCAACAAACGTGAAAAAATGCTCAGCATCACTAATGATCAGAGAAATGTGAATCAAGACCACAGTGAGATACCATCTCACACAAGTCAAAATGGCAATTACTAAAAGGTCCAAAAAGTAACAGATACTGGTGAGGCTGCAGAAAAAAAGAGAAACCCTTATACACTGCTGGTGGGAATGTAATTAGATCAGCCACTGTGGAAAGCAGTTTGGAGATTTCTCAAAGATCCTAAAACAGAACTACCATTGTATCCAGCAATCCCATTACTGGGTATATATACAAAGGAAAATAAATAATTCTACCCAAAAGACATATGTACTCATAGGTTTATTGCAACACTACTTGCAATAGCAAAGACATGGAATCAACCTAGGTGCCCATCAATGATGGTTTGCATAAAGAAAATATGGTACATGTATACCATGGAATGCTAGGCAGCCATAAAAAAGAACAAAATTATGTCCTTTGTAGCAACATGCATGAAGCTAGAAGCCATCATCCTATGTGATTTAACGCAAGAACAGAAAACCAAATACTGCATGTTCTCACTTATAAGTGAGAGCATTGGGCACACATGGACATAAAGATGGAAATAATAGACGGTGGGGACTTCTAGAAGTTGGGGAGAGGGGAAGAGGGGAACACCTGAAAAACTACCTATTCAGTATTATGCTCCCTTCCTCGGTGACAGGATCATTCACATCCCCAAACCTCAGTGTCATGCAATATACCCATGTAACAAACCTGTACATGTACCCCCTAATTCTAAAATAAAACTTTGATTTTTTTTAGATTCATAGGGGGTATGGGCACAGGTTTGTTACATGGGTATATTGTTTGACACTTGAAATTATTTAAAAAGACACTTGAAATTATTTAAAATGTTCTACTTTCTGATCCTGTAATTTCGGGGCGGGGGTTGTTTATTTGTTTGTTTGGGTTTATTTATTTATTTATTTGAGACACAGTCTCACTCTGTTGCCCAGGCTGGAGTGCAGTGGCACTATCTCGGCTCACTGCAACCTCTGCCTCCCAGGTTCAAGTGGTTCTCCTGCCTCAGCCTCCTGAGTAGCTGGGACTACAGGTGCATGCCATCACACCCAGCCAATTTTTGTATTTTTAGTAGAGACAGGGTTTCATCATTTGGCCAGGCTGGTCTTGAACTCCTGACCTCAAGTGATCCACCCGCCTCGGCCTCCCAAAGTGCTGGGATTACAGGCATGAGCTACCACGCCTGGCCTAATTTCAGTTTTAATAATCTGTACTAAAGAAATGACTCGAAGGAGGCACAAATATTTTAATATTAAGATAATCAATGCAGCATTCTTTTTTTTTTTGAGACAGAGTCACTCTGTCGCCCAGACTGGAGTGCAGTGGCATGATCTCGGCTCACTGCAACCTCCACCTCCCGGGTCCAAGTGATTCTCCTGTCTCAGCCTCCTGAGTAGCTGGGATTACAGGTGCGTGCCACCACGCCCCGCTAATTTTTGTATTTTTTAGTAGAGATGGGGTTTCACCATGTTGGTCAGGCAGGTCTCGAACTCCTGACCTCATGATCCGCCCACCTCGGCCTCCCAAATTGCTGGGATTACAGGCATGAGCCACTGTACCCAGCCAATGCAGCATTTTTATGCAAGTGAAAAGTTTGACGTTAACTTAACATCTAACACTTGGGGTCTGTTTAGACAAATTTCATAAGTAAAACACTAGTTAGCCATTTGAAATGATAGGCATAATAATTTTTTAAATAAGAAAAATGTATATTGTATAATATTACGTGTAAAAAGCAGGGCATAACTTTTTTATAATGCAGGGGGAAACAGACTGGAAGAAAGTGTTTCCAAAGGTTAGCAGTGTTTCTAACTGGGAGATGGGATATCAACTTATTTAATTTCTGCTTCTTTATACTTTTCTGCACTTTTAAAACTTTCTGGCCAGATGCGGTGGCTCACATCTGTAATCCCAACACTTTGGGAGGCCGAGGTGGGTGGATCACTTGAGTTCAGGAGTTTGAGACCAGCTGGCCAACATGGTGAAACCCTGTCTCTACTAAAAATACAAAAATTAGCCGGGTGTGGTGACACGCACGAGAATCACTTGAACCCAGGAGGCAGAGGTTGCAGTGAGTTGAGATGGTACCACTGCACTCCAGCCTGGGTGACAGAGTGGGACTCCATCTCAAAAAACAAACAAACAAACAAACAAACAAAAACAAAAAAACAAAAACAAAAAAAACTTTCTATAGTCATCATGTATTACTTTTCTAATTAGAATAAAAGAGAAATTAAAATAAGGAATAAAAGGAGAAAAGCCAAAGAACAAAATATGTATTAATGAAACTACTGTGATTTCTCCATCTTCCTGAAAAAAAAAAAATTCTTTAGAAGACCCTACAAAGCCAGCCTCTAGGTAGTCCTCCTTACCCTGATGTTTACAGAGAGGTGTTGGTTTATTGCAATATTAATGTGGTAAATTGAGACATGCCCTAGTTCCTGCCACATGACTTTATAGGGTGCTGAGTTCTCTGCAATAACATGCATAATAATCTTTTTAGCAATCCCTGCAATTAGGGGGTTGCCAAACTGGAATTGTTACTTTATTTGAGACAGGTACACACACATATGCACGCACACACAATACTGGAGATGCAGAACCAACTAGCCCCTTGAAGAAAAACAATGTAATTAGATCTCCTTTAGATGAAAAGATATTCTTCAACAACCTAAATATAAAAAGATTTTGTACTTATTTTTCCTTTGAAAAATACAGATCACCAATTTCTACCACATATTAGTGAGAGGTCAGGTAGGTGACACCACATCTCAGTGGTATCATAGGTGCTTTGGACCTTAGAATGAAAAATTAAATTGGCCACTTGTAGAACACAGAGACCCACTCAAGCTTTGGAGTTGAAGAAGCCACGAAGGAAGTTCTCAGGTTGCACCGTGAGAACCAATTTTCTCAAGCAGAACTTAATTACAACTGTACAACTATGAAAACATTTATGGAGAATGCTAACCTTACACCCACTGCTGGGCTTCTATTAAGCTGATTTCTTCGAACTGAATTGTTTCCATCCAGTGTGCACATGTGTATATGTGAGAGAGACAGACAGAGAGAGACAGAGAGAAAGTGACTTGGAATATCTACTGTTTCTGCTCAGTATCAACAATTTCCCTCCCCTCATCTTGTTTATAAAGCAGAATATTTTCTCTTTGCCTGTCAAGAATTCAGACAGAATAATATCTTAGGACCTAGTACTATTTGCCTCCCCCCATCCTGTTTATAAAGCAGAATATTTTCTCTTTGCCTGTCAAGAATTCAAACCGAGTAATATCTTAGCACCTAGTACAAGTCCAACTCTTGCTTTAAATATAAGAAAACCACTTTTGGCCAGGCGTAGTGTCTCACACCTGTAATTCTAGCACTCTGGGAGGCCAAGGTGGGCGGATCATAAGGTCAGGAGTTTGAGACCAGCCTGATTAACATGGTGAAACCCTGTCTGTACTAAAAATACAACAAAATTAGCTGGGTGTGGTGGCGCACACCTCTAATCCCAGCTACTCAGGAGGCTGAGGCAGGAGAATCGCTTGAACTGGGGAGGTGGAGGTTGCAGTGAGCAGAGATCATGCCACTGCACTTCAGTCTGGGTGACAGAGCGAGACTTCATCTCAAAAAAAATTTTTTTTTCCAAAGTTATACACCTTACTAGTGATAGTGGATTTACTGGAACCCAGTTGTATTCCACTGTTCCATTGCCTTAGCTGTGTGGTACACTTCCTGGCTTTTCCCAAAGATAAAACTAAGATATGAATATTTAGATTGTGCCTTTGAATGCAAAGAAAAATAGAAAAGTAAGTTAATGAACTAAATGATTCTGTAGGGGGAAAAAAATAGCCATTTGTGATGTGAAGGACTCTCGCCCTTCTGGGGTGACCTTGGAGCTGATTCAGAGATGGTCCCTGCACCAAGGATTGTGATCCATGCAAATGAGAAGGTCACACCCACATAGGGAGAGGAAAGAAAAGGAGTCATGACCAGGTAGATACCAGCATCAAGGACAATCAGATGATTTAGGAGAATGGGTGGGAATGGAGGAGACAGGGGTTAAACATTCTGTTTCAGCCCATTATTTGAAAATAGGGTGGCGGGTCTTTGGAAGAACCATGGGAGGGAAGTGAATAAGCACCAGTTAACCTTTCCAGCCTAACACACACACACAC
Source organism: Homo sapiens (assembly GCF_000001405.40). Taxonomy (NCBI): domain Eukaryota; kingdom Metazoa; phylum Chordata; class Mammalia; order Primates; family Hominidae; genus Homo; species Homo sapiens. Next base: position 140,976,278 of record NC_000007.14, on the reverse strand, counting down.
ACACACACACACACACACACACACACACACACACACACACAAAGTACACACCCCCAGGGCACCTCTTAGACTCACCGCCTTAGAACAGTACTGATACACAAACATGCCCTTTGGCCTCTTTCCTTTTGACCATGCAATTGCTTCTACTTTACTCCTCTGACCAGGATAATTTTTACTTGTCCTTAAACACTTAATTCAAGCAACACTTCTCCTGGACACTGTCTCTGAGCTCCCTCATTCCCCCTGCTTTCACCCAGGCTAGATTACATACTTCTCTTCTGTGTTCCTGAAACAACTTAGACGTACCTTACTAAAGTGCTTTTCACACTGCATGGCAGTTGTCAGTTCATTGGTCCGTCAGCCACGAAGGGACCAGCAGCTGTTGGAGAGGCAGGGACCTTGTCTTTCTTCTTTATATCCCAGTACAGAACACTGGGCTTGTCACATATTATTGAGTAAATGAATCCATTCATTCAACCTGTGACCACTGAGCATCTACTCGGCTAGGCCCTGGGGATATAGCAGCGGCGACATACAAATGGTCCCTGCCCTCAAGAATCTCCTGTTCTGTTAAGGGACACTGGCCTACTCCAAAAGCTTCTCTGAAGAAATTGTTTAGCTTAATGGATGAATGTCAGATCAGTCTGACATATAAATAAATAAATGTTTATTCTGCAGCACTGTCCTACTTCAAATGTGAAAATAAACCTGAGGAGAAGCATTTACCGTGACTTGGGTTTTCTTAGATAAGCTAAATCTTTTTTTTTTTTTTTTTTTTTTGAGATGGAGTCTCACACTGTCACCCAGGCTGGAGTGCAGTGGCGCCATCTCGGCTCACTGCAAACTCCGCCTCCTGGGTTCACGCCATTCTCCTGCCTCAGCCTCCCGAATAGCTGGGACTACAGGCGCCCGCCACCACGCCCGGCTATTTTTTTGTATTTTTAGTAGAGACAGGGTTTCACCGTGTTAGCCAGGATGGTCTCGATCTCCTCACCTTGTGATCTGCCCGCCTCGGCCTCCCAAAGTGCTGGGATTACAAGTGTGAGCCAGCGCGCCCAGCCTGATAAGCTAAATCTTAAAAGGAGTGCTCACAGAGAGATGGCACAGATAAACTGGCCTGAGGCTGAATATTAATCTTTCACAGCAACGCCTAACAAGATTAGCATTCGATATATATAGTAGAATAAAGACACTCACTGCCAAACCTTACTTTATTGAACTCTGCTAATTTTGGATTTTTAAATTACTCACTTAGAAACTTGGCTGACCTGTACTTTGACATTGCATATAGAGAATTTGGTTTTCAGCGAAAATTAATAATAAAAATGAATCCTTAAATAGCTCTTGCAAGTTTGTCTTTCATATATTTTATTTTATTTGATAATGAGACTGTAACTACTGCCACCTTGGGAATCTTTACCTGTGAGTTTTAGCTCTTCTCAATAGGAGATACTGAAGAAAATGAAGTTTGATGAACCATTGTCCTCTCTGAACTGAGTTGGCCATCACTTGGGAAGGGCACTCAGTTCAGGTGATGATCCCACTATTGACTTCATCCTCACACCATTCCCAAGGATCCCAGGGGTTTCAGTTTGAAATATTATGGGTTTTTTAATTTATTTACTTACTTATTTTTATTTATTTATTTATTTATTTATTTATTTAGAGACTGAGCCTCACTCTGATGCCCAGGCTGGAGTGCAGTGGCACCATCTCAGCTCACTGCAACCTCTGCTTCCCTGGTTTAAGCAATTCTCCTGCCTCAGCCTCCTGAGTAGCTGGGATTACAGGCATGCACCACCATGCCCAGCTAATTTTTGTGTTTTTAGTAGAGATCGGTTTTCACCATGTTGCCCAGGCTGGTCTCGAACGCCCGGCTCAAGCGATCCACCCACCTCAGCCTCCCAAAGTGCTGGAATTACAGGTGTGAGCCACAGCGCCCAGCCTGTCTTTTTTTTTTAAAAAAAAAATGTAGGCTTATGCCTCTAAGAATAGAGCTAAAGAATCTTAATTGACTACTTCTTTTATTTCACCATGTTCAAATCTTTAGAGAAAAGTGAAACTTAGCAAAATATTTAAATGGAATTTTCAGCTGAGACCCCAAGGCTCTAGATATTAGATACCAAAATGAGTTTTGAGACAAACCATCCTAAAGGAGTCTTAAAGTAGATACCTGAAAACTGGTAACATGGCTCATAACAACCCTTGACCTATATTGAGAGCATAAAGGAAGCAAATTGTTTTTAAAAGGAGAAGAATTTGTGGTACATGTACCTGCAGAATATGATTCTGTGATTGTCTCTCTGCCCACCTCAGGGGAGTAGTGGAGGGCCCTTCTCCCTTTACATCAAGTGAGTGGATTGGTGCCTGACTCCCATTTGGAAAGTCCTGAAGCCAGAGACTTCAGGCTGGCATTACATGCAGAAGCAGGATAAAGACAAGGGAGTGAAGGGCAGGTGGCCTGTGCTCCTACAGCGTCAGAGCAAAGGATGTGTAAGTGTTTTTAAGGCTCACTGAGCCCTCTCAGTGGAGAGCCAGATTGCCATTTTAAATCCTGCCCCAGGGAACCACAAGAAAGAATGAGGGGACATCAGAAGACAAGAGTCTATGGCGCAAACTTCTGAAAAACCAGAGAGAGAATTGACCAACCTGTCGAATCACTACTTTCACCCACATCACAGGAAATGCAGCCAAATGTTCCAGGGACAGCCTCTAGAGAACCACCCAAGAAGAGTCCCAGGAGAGAAAAAGTCAGCTTTAAACCCCTGCCAGACCCTGAGTTGTGAAGCCATTTTCCAAGCATACCAGTAAAATAAGAACTTTCCTGCAGTACCATGCCAAGCCCTATTGGAGCCCGAGGCAACAGGGAAATCTATGCCCCTATATACACACTTACCAAAATACCCTCCCATATTGTGAACCAAGTGGAAAAGTTAATAAAGGCTCTCCAATAAAAAACCGTGATTACACATAATGTCCCAGCTTGCCCAATCTGTTCACATGCCGTCGTAAATCTTCATAAACCCACCCATCAAGGGACACCATGGCCCTATAGCCCGTGAACCTCAGGCTGATCAGAAACACTGATCCCATTGAGCAATAACTCAAGGTCATAGAACAAACAAAAACAGACAGCCTTTCTTTGTTTACATTTTTGGTATTCAGTTCATCCTGGATGTTTTGCATTTAGACTTAAAGAAAAATATTGCAGGGCCAGGAGCAGTGGCTCATTCCTGTAATCCCAGCACTTTGGGAGACCGAGGGGGGTGATCACTTGAGCCCAGGAATTAGAGACCAGCCTGGGCAACATAGTGAAACCCTATCTCCACAAAAAAAAATACAAAAAAAAATTTAGCTGGGCATGATGGTGCATGCCTGTAGTCCCAGCTGCTCAGGAGGCTTACCTGGGAGGATTGCTTGAGCCTGAGAGGTCGAGACTACAGTGAGCAGTGATTGTGCCACTGCCCTCCAGCCTGGGTGACAGAGCAAGACCCTGTCTCAAAAAAAAATTGCATTAATCTTTATCTTGATTCTGAGCCCCCTTAAATTTTGCATGAGGTGAATGCTTTACTGCTGGCCCTACTTTCCTGCTGTTTTCCTTCTTTATTCATCATCTTCAAGCTCACAGAACCCAGGAACTGTGCTTAACAAGGAGGAAAGTGGAATCTAAAATAGACAAACTCACAGAAGCAGAAAGTAGAATGGTGGTTGCCTGCAGCTGGGGGAGGGGAAATGGGGAGATATTGATCAAGGGGTACAAAGTTTCACTTATGCAGGATGAATACGCTCTGTAGACCTAATACACAGCAATGTGACTATAGTTAACATACTATCTTGTATACTCGAAATTTGCTAAGAAGGGAGATTTTAAGTGTTCTCACCACACACTCACACAAATAAAATAGTAACTATGTGAGATGATAGGTATTAATTAGCTTGATTGTGATGATTATTTCACAACGTATACATATATCAAAACAGCAACCTGTACATCTTAAATACATACAATTTTTGTTTGTCAATTATACATCGATAAAGATGGGGGGAAGACTGGGTGTGGTGGCTCACACCTGTAATACCAGCACTTTGGGAGGCCAATGTGAGCAGATCACTTGAGGTCAGGAGTTTGCGACCAGCCTAGCCAACATGGAGAAACCCCGTCTCTACTAAAAATACAAAAACTAGCTGGGCATGGTCGTGCTCACTTGTAATCCCAGCCACTTGGGAGGCTAAGGCAGGAGAATCACTTGAACCCAGGAGGTAGAGGTTGCAGTGAGCTGAGATCACACCACTGCACTCCAGCCTGGGTGACAGAGTAAGACTCTGTTCTCAAAAAAAAAAAAAAGATGGGGGGAGCTTGGAGGAGAGCCATAGTAACTTCATTGGTTAGATGGGCAATAAGACACTCTAGTTAAGTACTGTATAAACAGAAAAGTGCTATAGAATGTTGACAATGATCATCCTCGTTGTGCTGTCCTTGCTGTTGTTCTGTTTCTGCAGGCCAAGCATCAGGGCTACCAAGGGCATTCATGTTGGTTATTCTCTGCATACCATGGTGTGCCTTTAATATTGTAGTTTTTGTGAATGGTGGCCCCTGGAATTGGGCAGCCAAAGGTAGTTGCCCTGTCAAAATTTTATTTCAAGGACAATCAATAAACCTTAAAAGTTTCTGGTGTGTTGTGGTTTTTTTTTGTTTTTTTTTTTCTTGAGACAGAGTCTTGCTGTGTCACCCAGGCTGGAGTGTAGTGGCGTGATCTCGGCTCACTGCAACCTCTACCTCCCGGGTTCAAGCAATTCTCCTGCCTCAGCCTCCTGAGTAGCTGGGATTACAGGCGCGCACCACCACGCCAAGCTAATTTTTGTATTTTTAGTAGAGATGGGGTTTCACCATGTTGGTCAGGCTGGTCTCGAACTCCTGACCTTGTGATCCGCCCACCTCAGCCTCCCAAAGTGTTGGGATTACAGGGGTGAGCTACCATGCCCAGCCAAGTTTCTGGTTTTTTTTTTTTTTTTTTTTTTTGGAGACAGAGTCTCGCTCTGTCACCCAGGCTGGAGTGCAGTGGTGCGATCTTGGCTCACTGCAAGCTCTGCCTCCTGGGTTCATGCCATTCTCCTGCCTCAGCCTCCCAAGTAGCTGGGACTACAGGCGCCCACCAGCACGCCCGGCTAATTTTTTGTATTTTTAGTGGAGACAAGGTTTCGCCGTGTTAGCCAGGATGGTCTCAATCTCCTGACCTCATGTTCCGCCCGTGTCGGCCTCCCAAGTGCTGGGATTACAGGTGTGAGCCACCGCGCCCGGACTTTTCTTTTTTTTTTTTTTTTTTAAGAAAAGGTCTCGCTTTGTTCACTCTGTTGCCCAGGCTGGAGTGCAGTAATGATCATAGCTCACTGCAGCCTCCAATTCCTGGATACAAATGATCTTCCTGCTTCAGCCTCCTGAATGGCTAGGACTACAGGTGCCTGCCAACTCACCTGGCTGATTTTTAACTGTTTTGTAGAGACAGGATCTCACTTTGTTGCCCTTGCTAGTCTCAAATTCTGGGCTTCAACTGATCCTCCCACCTTAGCCTCCTGAGTAGCTAGGACTACAGACGCATGCCACTGTACTCAACTAATATTTTAATTGTTTCTAGAGATAGGGCCTCATCTGTTGCCCAGACTGGTCTAGAACTCCTGGCTTCAAGCCATCTACTACTACTGCCTTGGCCTCTCAAAGGCTGGGATTACAAGCATGAGCCACCGCATAGTATTGTCAAAATTAATTTGTAAAATACCTTTTTTTTTTTTGAGATGGAGTTTCTGGAGTGCAATGGCGCGATCTTGACTCACAGCAACCTCCACCTCCTGGGTTCAACCAATTCTTCTGCCTCATCCTCCCGAGTAGCTGGGATTACAGGCATGCACCACAACACCCGGCTAATTTTGTATTTTTGGTAGAGAAGGGGTTTCTCCATGTTGGTCAGGCTGGTCTCGAACTCCCAACCTCAGGTGATCTGCCCGCCTTGGCCTCCCAAAGTAGTAGGATTACAGGTGTGAGCCACCGCGCCTGGCCAATTGCTCTATTTAATTGGCTTTAATAATAATAATAAGCTATTGGCCGGGCATGGTGGCTCACGCCTGTAATCCCAGCACTTTGGGAGGCTGAGGCAGGTGGATCGTGAGGTCAGGAGATCGAAACCATCCTGGCTAATATGGTGAAACCTCGTCTCCACTAAAAATACAAAAAATTAGCCGGGCGTGGTGGTGGGCGCCTATAGTCCCAGTTACTTGGGAGGCTGAGGCAGGAGAATGGCATGAACCCAGGAGGCGGAGCTTGTGGTGTGCCGAGATGGGGCCACTGCACTCCAGCCTGGGTGACAGAGCGAGACTCCGTTTCAAAAAATAATAATAATAATAATAATAATAATAATAATAATAATAATAAGCTCTTATATAAATTAAGTATCCCTAAAACTCCCAGGAAAATAGAAAATGACCCATATACTTTTTAAGTTCATGTGACTTGGGAAAACTTTGGTAAACAAAAATATTGTTGGTTTAGAAAAAAACTTAAAAAACACCAGACATGTTTTCAGAGTAATCAGCATTAAGTGTAATACAGGCACACAACTTCTTCTACCCAGTTTTACTAGTTAAAAATAAAATTTAAAAAAGGTTATCTTTATGCTACAAAACTTATCAGCAAGAAAAATAACTTAAAATGATGCTAGTTATTTAGTATCGCATAAAATTTTCATAAGCAATCCAAACATAATTGTTAAAAATAAGTGAATTAAATAGTCATATATAAAATTAAAGCTTATAAATAAACTTTAAAAAATAGTTTCAGAAATCTCTTTGGTAACTTATACCCTGCAGTTATACTAAGTTAAATTAAATGATGGATAGTCATTGAATATTTAGATCATTTCCAAATAAAATAAAATCCTGAAATATTAATTGCTGAGCATGTTTATTTACTGTTAGCATTGAAAGAATTTGGAACACACCACCCTAAATATTCCACTCTCTCATGTTGACTATTTTGAGTTAAAAGCACTTGAAAAATGGGAGATGCAAAAAAACAAAAACAAATCAACAACGAACTCTAAATTTCCATCTTTTTCTTAAAAGCTAACATGAAAATTTATATTTAAAAATATATTTCTGAAAAAAATATGTATATTACAAAAATTGACTCAAGAAGATATAGGAAATTATTCTCCATCAACAGACACCATGCACAGAAGTTTTACAAGAGAATGTTACCTAATTGCCAGGGAATCTCTATCTTATACAAACTGTTTCAGAGAATTAAAAAAGCCTGGACCTGGAGAATGCATTGTATCAGATCTGGACTGCCTATCTATCCTCAAACATCTTGTGGCTTGAGACAAATAATGCTCTGTTTAATAGTCACACTGAAGTTTTTTATTACTTGTGGCTCAAAATATTTCTGATTATGAATTTTTTCAGAAATGACAAGCTGCAAGAAAAAAAAAACTAAATTGGGGGATTAGCTAAGAAAAAGTAGGCCAGAGGCTACCAAGAAGCCAATCATTTAAGGCTGAAGAGCTGGCGACATTTGGTGTATGGTGATTAAACATTTGAGCAGATTGTCACCAGCCATAGCTTGGAATATATACCATATGCTTACTAGGGCTTCTGACTGTTAGTGAATAGTAAGAAAATTTCAGAATGTTGACACAATGCAGTATTTTTTCTTTTTAAGTTAATATTTGAGTTTCTACTATGTGCTGCTACTACCACATACCAGGCATTGTTCTAGAAACTCCAGATACAGTGGTGAATAAAACTGACCAAGACCCCTGCTCTCATGGAGTGCAGTGGCATGATCTTGGCTCACTGCAACCTCCATCTCCCAGGTTCAAGTGATTCTACTGCCTCAGCCTCCCGAGTAGCTGGGATTACAGGCACCCATCACCACACCCTGGTAATTATTTTATTTTATTTTTTTAGCAGAGACGGGATTTCACCATGTTGGCCATGCTGGTCTCGAACTCCTGACCCCAAGTGATCTGCCTGCCTTGGCCTCCCAAAGTGCTGGGATTACAGTTGTGAGCCACCGTGACTGGCCTCATGAGGTTTCTATTCTAGTGGGGGAAACAGGTAATAAACAAATACATATATAATGTATAATCTAAGAAGTGCTATGGGAAAACAAATTCACAGATTAAAAGAGATAGGTAGTTCCCAAGATAGGATTGCTATTTTATATGAGGAGTCAGAACTCCGATAATTTGCCAGGTAAACAGATGCTTGAAGTATGTGAGAGAGGGAGCCAGGAGGAGACCTGGGTGCCCTGGCTAAGCAGGGAAAATAGCAGGAGTGTCCTTGTAGTGTTCATGAAAGAACATGGAGACAAACAGAAGGATAGCAAAAACTGATGCAGAGGCGTGTGTCCTGGGGGAGGGGAATGAGATCTGGAAAGGCCTTTTGGACTGAAAAGACTTTGGCTTTTCCTCCAAGTGTGCTGGGAAGCTGTATTTCTTGCCACCTTCAACGAAGACCTCCAAAAGAGGAGCAAACTGAGACTCAAGCCAGCCAGAATTTGAGCAGAGAGGAAAGAGAAGATGGAGAACTGCATGGTCAACAGGGGCTCACTCTGCAGAGAGCCTCCAGTTCTGAGGTAGAGAGACTTGTGAAACTGAAAAGGCCTAATGCTTAAGCACCTCACCCTGAGGTCCCACCAGTGGAGCTTTGCAGCAGCAGACCTGGCAGGATGGATGCCCAGGAGCCCAGAACTTTATCCAATGCCTTCATTTTAAGAATGGCTTTGCCAGGCAAAGAGGCAACACCAGCTGAAGAAGATGAGATTAAGGATGTTGTCCTCTTGACGTTCGTAAGAATGCCTCAAGGCAGTGGCCATTAAATTCTGAGGGTAGGGGATTGGCAGAGCATTAAGGCCAGCCTAACAGCCAAACATTCTCAGGACTGAAGTCTGTCTAGAAAATATCTGGGCTCTGGTTACTTGCATGTAAAATTAATTGAAAATAGATTATCCAAAAGTCTACTGAGTTTGAGAGAGAACTGTATTGATTAAAAAACAAAAAACACTGAAGCTTGTAATCTGGTCTTAAAAGAAAAAAAAAATCCAAATCTGATAATAGCCCGTGGCTATTGAACCCTAAGGAAATCTATGGGCCCTCAATAGTACCAGCAGGTGGAGAAGGGCATTATCTACAATGCAATGAGGGGATAATGGGGACAGGAAGAAGACTGGGGCTGCCAGATTGGCTAAGCAAGGAACTTATTTCACAACCAGGGCAGAGAGTCCTCACAGATCTTGTCCAGCAGGACTTAGTAATTGCCCAGCAGGATTTGATAATTTGTCAAGATTGGTAATTGCTGTAGTTTCCCGTTCTCCCCTTTTCTCTGAGCAGGAGTTTTTGTTGCAGTTGTCTTCGTTTTCTTCACCATTGTATATTAGGTGTCCTGGACATTGGCAATTTGTCTTTAAGCCTATGGGTTGCAGGACTGTGGGAAGCCAAGTTCACACCTGATGGAAAGGATGGCCCTCCATCCAGAGATCCCAAATGTCGAGCTGGACATGGTCCATGGATAATATTTTTTTGCTCCATAAGAGAAGAAGAATCTGTACAGGAAAATATGAGGTAGCAATTGGAGGTGGTCTGACCCAAGCACCCAAGCTCTAGCCTCTTTATCTCTTGACTGCTGAACCATACAGGCCGTAAAGCTATTTCTAGTGTTAAAAATTAAACTTTAGACAAATTTAACAGTTTGAACAAAGAAAAACTCATGAATCAGGTAGCACTCAAAACTGGAAAATAGAGACAAGCATGTTTATTGCAGGATTGTTTGTAATACAAGAAAAAAGGGAAATGGAAGACTTAAATACCTATCAAGAAAAAGATTAATAGATAAATGTTGCTATTACTCATTAAATAGTAAATGTTATTATATTCAATTAAAGTAGTAAGTATATTATTATATCATTTATATAAATTTTTAAAACTTGCATAGTCATTCTATATCCTGTTTATGGATATTTGTATACATGAAGTGCAAGTATAAAAAATGCCTGCGAAGAATAAACATGAAATTTAGTACAGTGCTTGCCTCTGGAGAAGGAAGGGGGTAATGTCATAAGGGTTTCAACTATGTCTCTTATTTTTTTTTAGCATAAATTTGAAGCAAATAGGTAAAATAGTAATCACTGATATAGGTTGGTTACGGGTGACCTGGTGATTTATTATTTTCTCTATTTTTCTCTGTGATGTTAATATTTCATAATTTAAAAAGGAAAAGAAAAGAAAAAGGATTCAAGGCAAATACTAGAGCAGAAGCAAGGTAACCTCAAAAAGAAAAATAAACACAGAAATATTATCGGACAGAGAAAAACATACTGATTAGAAAAATGACAGTCATAGGTTTCAGATGCTCCTGCTTCAAATGTGTAAGTGCTGCAAGCCACTGTCTGCCTTCCAATTAATTCACCAAGTCTCTGTGATTTGCTAGATCAGAAGGAAGAATAAAAGTCTTTTGATGCTAAATTGATTTGAGCCCCAGAATACTTGAGGCATGAACACACCAGGGGAAGTTTTCAGATGGACTTCTTTGTTCAACAAACTTGGTAATTACTAACATTTATTTTGTACTTACTATTTTCCAGAAACTGTGCTAAGAACTTTGTATGTATTATCTCATTCCATCTTCACAACAACCCCATGTGGTAGGTATGATTATTATCCTTATTTGACAAATAAGGAAATCAAGGCTAGTCACTGGCTAGTAGGTGGTGAAGCTCTGATACAAACTGAGCAGTTTCCCTCCAGGGGGCTTCACTCTTAACCACCTTAAAATGTGCCATGCAGTCAGGTGCCGAGGGGCCAGGACTTCATAGAGTTGCATGCACAAAACAATTTTATTAATTTGTTCAATTCTATGTCAGAGAGTCCTGCTTGTTCAATGGAATAATTACACAAAGATTTTTTATGTCCCCCCTTCCCCTTTTTCAGTCTTATTACAGACTCAGGGATCTAAGATACCTTTTAAAAACATGATGTTTGAAGACAGTGTGAAATTGGAACAGAACAATGGAACAGAATCAACAGCCTAGGCTGTAATATAAACAGCATTAGTAAGATTTGAAAAGATCAATAAATGTGACTATATATATCTATATATATATTTTTTATTTTTGAGACGGAGTCTCACTCTGTCACCCAGGCTGGAGTGCAGTGGTGTGATCTCAGCTCACTGCAACCTCCACCCCCTGGGTTCAAGCAATTCTCCTGCCTCAGACTCCTGAGTAGCTGGGATTACAGGCGCCCATCACCACACCTGGCTAATTTTTGTATTTTTAGTAGAGATGGGGTTTCATCATGTTGGCCAACCTGGTCTTGAACTCCTGACCTCAGGTAATCCACCACCTTGGCCTCCCAAAGTGCTGGGATTACAGGTGTAAGCCACCTTACCCGACCAATTAAATAAATTTATTTAAAAATAAATATATTTTTTAAAAATAAAATAAACAAGCAAAACTCTGTTCTTTGGAAGACGGCTTTAAGAAAATAAAAAGGCAGCCAGGTGCGGTGGCTCACACCTGCAATCCCAGCACTCTAGGAGACTGAGGCGGGTGGATCACGAGGTCAGGAGATCGAGACCATCCTGGCTAACACGGTGAAACCCCGTCTCTACTAAAAAATACAACAAATTAGCCAGGCGTGGTGGTGGGTGCCTGTAGTCCCAGCTACTCGGGAGGCTGAGGCAGGAGAATGGCGTGAACCCGGGGAGCAGAGGTTGCAGTGAGACAAGATCGCACCACTGCGCTCCAGCCTGGGCGACAGAGCAAGATTCCATCTCAAAAATAAATTAATTAATTAATTTAAAAAAAAAAAAAGAAAAGAAAAAGGCCAGAGTGGGAGAGGATATTTTCAACACATATAATTAACAATGAGCTTGTATCCAAAATAAAAATACTCCTACAAACCAGTAAGAGCCAGACAACACAAAATAACGTGGGCAAGAGAGTTGAACAAGCACTTCACCAAAAAAGGCTATTCCAATGGCTGATGAACATAGGAAAAGGTATTCTCAACCTCATTAGTAATCAGGAAAATTTAAACTATTGTGATAATGATCTAAAATTTAAAAAATAGATTTAGGGGGTACATGGCCCAGCGCGGTGGCTCACACCTGTAATCTCAGCACTTTGGGAGGCCGAGGCAGGCAGATCACGAGGTCAAGAGATTGAGATTATCCTGGCTAGCCCGGTGAAACCCCGTCTCTACTAAAAACACAAAAATTAGCCGAGCGTGATGGTGCACACCTGTAGTCCCAGCTACTCGGGAGGCTGAGGCAGGAGAATGGTGTGAACCCGGGAGGCGGAGGTTGCAGTGAGCTGAGATCAAGCCACTGCACTCCAGCCTGGCGACAGAGCAAGATTCCGTCTCAAAAAAAAAAAAAAATTCAGGGGGTACAAAGTGCATTAGCACTTGGTACTTATATGATAAAAAATTTTTAGCCAGGTGCAGTGGCTCACACCTGTAATCCCAGCACTTTGGGAGGCCGAGGCGGGCGGATCACCTGGGTCATGAGTTTGCAGCCAGCCTGGCCAACATGGTGAAACCTCGTCTCTACTAAAAATACAAAAAGTTAGCCGGGCATGGTAGCACACCCCTATAGTCCCAGCTACTCTGGAGGCTGAAGCAGGAGAATGGCTTAAGACCGAGAGGCAGAGGTGGCCGTGAGCTGAGATTGTGCCACTGTACTCTAGCCTGGGCGATGAAGCAAGACTCCGTCTCAACAACAATAACAACAACAACAACAACAACAAAATATATATATATACACACACACACACATATATACACACATATATATACACACACATATATATACATATATATATATAAAATCTTAAGAAGTTTTTGGAACATCGACTGAAAACTCTCCTACACTGATAATGGCATTGTAAGTCAGTAAAGAAGTTTAGAAAATAACTTGTGTTATTTAACAAGTTTGAACATACCCAATCTTCTGACCCCAAAGTTAACATTCCTACATCTATACCCAAGAGAAAAGATAAATGTTTTCTTTTCTTTTCTTTTTTTTTTTTTTTCTTTGAGACGGAGTTTTGCGCTTGTTGCCCAGGCTGGAGTGCAATGGCGTGATCTCAGCTCACCACAACCTCCGCCTCCTGGGTTCAAGGGATTCTTCTGCCTCAGCCTCCCAAGTAGCCATGATTACAGGCACGCACCACCACGCCTGGCTAATTTTGTATTTTTAGTAGAGACAGGGTTTCTCCATGTTGGTCAGTCTGGTCTCAAATTCCTGACCTCAGGTGATCTGCCCACGTTGGCCTCCCAAAGTGCTGGGATTACAGGCGTGAGCCACTGCACCCAGCCGAGAAATGTTTTCATAGTCACAAGAATGTTAATTGTAGCACCTAATAGCCAAAAACTGGAAATAATACCAAAGTCTATTATCAACAGAATAGATTTTTTGTTCAGAGTATATCACTTGTGGTATATCCATGCAATGGACTATTGTGCAGTGATGAAAATGAACTGTGGGTATATAAAAAAATAGGGATAAACTTGACAAACAGTATTAAGCAAAAGCAATATTCAAAAGAATATATACTCCAGTTTATTTACATAATGTGAAAGACAGATTGGGCCAGGCACTGTGACTCATGCCTGTAATCCCAGCATTATGGGAGGCTAAGGAGGATTATTTGAGTCCAGGAGTTCAAGACCAGCCTAAACAAAATAGTGAGACTCCATCTCTACAAAATAATAAGAATAATATGATAGACAGATAGATAAATAGACAGGTAGAGGATAGATAGAGGACAGGCCAGTCCACAGTGTTAGAACAGTGTGAAATTTGAAGGGATGAAGGTGCACACAGGAGGCTTTGGGGGAGCTTCTATTGTTCTGTCAAGGTTTTATTTTTGTCTGAGGAGTTTTAGGCAGCAGAAAAACCTGTGCAAGAAGGAACAAGAGCCACATGAGGAGAAGGAGGAAGAACCATGACCCGCAGCAGGGGTGCAGGTGTGAGTCTAAAATTTTATATATTTTTTTTGTTTATTTTTATTTTATTTATTTTTTTGAGACACAGTCTCACTCTGTCGCCCAGGCTGGAGTGAGCGTCACCATCTCGGCTCACTGCCTCAGCCTCCCGAGTAGCTGGGATTACAGGTGCCTGCCACCATGCTTGGCTAATTTTTGTATTTTTAGTAGACTGGGTTTCGCCATGTTGGCCAGGGTGGTCTGAACTCCTGACCTCAAGTGATCCACCCACCTCTGCCTCCCAAAGTCCTGGGATTACAGGCATGAGCCACGGCACCCGGCCGAGTCTAAAATTTTAAGTACCATAAAATATCATAATATTTAACAATGTATATGTAGTAATAGAACAAATAAATGCAATAAGTGAACTTTATTTAAGATAAACTTTTTTCTCTCCCTCAGGTGATAGTTGGTAGTGGGAAAAGATAACCCTGGTTGACTTCTGTTTCTCCACTTTCTCATTCTTTTTGCTCCCTAATCAACTAGACATGGTTTCTGCCCCCTCCAAATTTAGGGTAAAAGAAAGGAAGGGAAAACCGGGTGTGGTGGCTGTCGCCCGTAATCCCAGCACTTTGGGAGGCCAAGGCAGGTGGATCACGGGGTCAGGAGTTCGAGACCAGCCTGGCTAAGATGGTGAAACCCCGTCTCTACTAAAAATACAAAAATTAGCTAGGTGCTGTGGTGGGCACCTGTAATCCAGCTACTCGGGAGGCTGAGGCAGGAGAACTACTTGAACCCGGGAGGTGGAGGTTGCAGTGAGCGCCACTGTACTCTAGCCTGGGCGACAGAGCAAGACTCCTTCGAAAGAAAGAAAGAAATAAAGAGAGAGAGAGAGAGAGAGGGAGGGAGGGAGGGAGGGAGAGAGAGAGAGAGAAAGAGAAAGGAGGGAAGGAGGGAAGGAAGGAAGGAAGGAAGGAAGGAAGGAAGGAAGGAAGGAAGGAAGGAAGGGAAAAGTGGTAAGAGACAGGAAAGATTCTATCTAGTTTGTAATTAGCATCTTAATTTATAATACTCTAGTTTGGGTTAGTAGCAACTTAATTTTAATAGCCTACAAAAACCTTATTTCTATAAACTGCATTCTCCCCCTACTCCTTTGTGCTGTTACTGTCATACAGTATATAGTGCACATGCATCAGTGCAGATTTATAATTATTGCTTTATGCAGCTGTGTTTAAATCAAATAGGATAAATAAAGAGTTATAAACAAAACATGCATTTACATTGTTCTTTATATTTACCTATCCATAGCCGGGCCCAGTGGCTCACGCCTGTAATCCCAACACTTTGGGAGGCCAAGGCAGGTGGATCACTTGAGGTCAGGAGTTCGAGACCAGCCTGGCCAACATGGCAAAACCCTGTCTCTACTAAAAATACAAAAATTAGCCAAGCCTGGTGGCACATGCCTGTAATCCCAGCTACTCGGGAGGCTGAGGCAGGAGCATTGCTTGAACCCGGGAGGCAGAGGCTGCAGTGAGCCAAGATTGCGCCCTGCACTCCAGCCTGGGCAAGAGAGTGAGACTCTGTCTAAAATAAATAAATAAATAAATAAATAACCTATGCAGTTACCTTTACCAGTACTCCTTATTTTTTCATGTGGATTCAAGTTCCTGTATAATGTTCTTTTAGTTCAGCCTGAAAGACTCCTTTTAGTGTTTCTTATAGGGCAGTTCTGCTACCAACAAATTTTCTCAGTTGTTGTTTATATAGAAATGCCTTATATCTTCTTTACCTCTAAAATATGTTTTTTTGACATATAGAACTCTTGGGTGGCAGTATCTTCTTTTAGTATTTTGAATATGTGATCGCAGGGTCTCTAGGTTTTCTGGTAAGAAATCAGATGATATTTTATTGAGGCTCCCTTGAATGTGACGAGTCACTTCTCTCTTGCTGCTTTCAAGATTCTCTCTTTGCCTTTGCCTTTTGAGTTTGATTGTGATGTGTCTAGGTCTGACAATCTTTTAGTTTATCCTACATGAATTTCATTTAGCTTCCTAAATGTGTAGATTGATGTTTCTCATCACATTTTGGGAAGTTTTTAGCCATTATGTCTTCAAATATTCCTTCTGCCCTTTCTCTGTCTCTTCTCTTTCTTGGCTTCCCTTTATGCATATGTTAGTGTATTATACTTCATGGGGTCCTAGAGGTCTTTGGGGGCTCTGTTCATTTTTCTTCATTCTTTTTCCTTTTTCTTTCTCTTCTTCACACTGGGTAATTGTAATTGAGCTATGTTTGTTTGTTTGTTTAGTCTCGCTCTGTCTCCCAGGCTGGAGTGCAGTAGTGCAATCATAGCTCACTGTAACCTCGAACTCCTGGGTTCAAGCAATCCTCCCGCCTTAGCCTCCTCAGTGGCTCAGTCTACAGATACACACCACCACCATGTTGACCAATTAAAAAAAAAATTTTTTTTGAGACAGGTACATACCACCAGCATACTAAGCAATTAAAAACAATTTTTTTTTTTTTGAGACAGGGTCTCACTGTCACCAAGGCTGGAATGCAGTAGTGTGATCATGGCTCACCGCAGCCTCGATCTCCCAGGCTCAGCAATCCTTTCACCTCATCCTCCCTAGTAGCTGGGACCACAGGCATGTGTCACCACACACTGCTAATTTTTGTATTTTTTGTAGAGATGGGGTTTTGCCAAGTTTCCCAGATTGGTCTCAAACGCCTGGACTCAAGTGATCCGCCCCCCTCAGCCTCCCAAAGTGCTGGGTTTACAGGGGTAAGCCATCATGCCTGGCCAATTTTTTTGTAGAGATGGTGTCTCATTATGTTGTCCAGGCTGGTCTTGGACTCCTGGCTCCAAGCAATCCTCCAGCCTCCCAAAGTGCTGGAATTACAGGCATTAGCCACCTCGCCGAGGCTTAACTGAGCTATCTTTAAAGATCACTGATTCTTCCTTCTGTCTGCACAACTGTACTGTTGAGCTCTTCAAGTGAAATTTTCATTTCAGTTAGTTTACTTTGCAACTCCAGCATTTCTAGTTGTTTCTCTTTTATTATTTCTATCACTTTATTGATATTCTATATTTGGTGAGACATTATTCTCATACTTTCTCTAAGGTCTTTAGTCAGGATTTTCTTTAGTTCTTTGAACATGTTTCATTTTATTTATTTATTTATTTAGATGGAGTCTCGCTCTGTGTCTCAGGCTGGAAGGTAGTGACATGATCTCGGCTCACTGTAGCCTCCGCCTCCCAGGTTCAAGTGATTCTCTGCCTCAGCCTCCCTAGTAGCTGGGATTACAGGCATGCACCACGATGCCCAGCTAATTTTTGTACTTTTAGTAAAGACGGACTTTCGTCATGTTGGCCAGGCTGGTCTCAAACTCCTGGCCTCAAGTGATCCAACTGCCTCAGCCTCCCAAAGTGCTGGGATTAAAGGCGTGAGCCACCACGCCTGGCTGAACATATTTTAAATTAGCTGCAAAGTGTTTGTCTAGTAAGTCCAACATATGGGCTTCCCCAGGAAGAGTTTCTATTAAATGTTCTTCTTCCTCTGTATGGGCTACACTTTCTTGTTTCTCTGAATGTCTCATAATTTTTTGGTTGTAAAACTGGACATTGAGATAATTGAATGTGTCAACTCTGGAAATGAAATATACCACCCCCTTCCCTGGGCTTGTTTTTATTGTTGTTAATATTGTTTATCTAGTGACTTTTCTGAACTACTTCTATAAAATCTGTATGCTTTGTCATGCGTGGCACTGAATTCACTTCTCAGTTAATTTAGTTTTTAGTGACTGAATGTAGATTTTTTTTTAATGCTTGGAACCATTAAGTCTCCCAGTATTTGCTGAGGGGCTCTGTTTAAGGGTTGGGGCATGCCTTCAACACTCAGTGAGGCCATTCACAACTCTTCCTTTGCCTTCAATTCATGTTTGCACAGAGCCCAAGGTTAGCCCAAGATGAAAGCCTACAGATTCTCAAGTAATTCCTGAACATGCACACATCCTAGGGCATGTGCATAGCCCTACACATATTCTGACCTCCTCCCATGAATCTTGAATGTTCTTAATGGTATCTAGAATGGTGAATCCTTCACAAAATGTTTTCAATTTACTTTGCCCAGATCCATCAGAGTAATCATTATCTATGGCAGCAATAGCCTTACAAAATGTATTTCTTAAATAATAAGACTTGGAAGTTAAATCACTCCTTGATCTGTGAGCTTCAGAATGGATATTGCATTAGCAGGCATAAAAACAACATTCATCTCCTTGTAAATCTCCATCAGAGCTCTTGTGTGACCAGGAGCAGTAATATTTTGAAAGAAATCTGTTTTTGAGCAGTAGGTCTCAACAGTGGGCTTAAAATATTTAGCCAACTATGCTGTAAAAGGATGTGCTGTCATCCAGGCTTTGTTAGAGTAGTCAGAGTAGAGTAGATTTTGGGTCATTCTTAAGGGCCCTAGGATTTCCGGAATGATAAATGATCATTGGCTTCCATTTAAAGTCACCAGCTGCATTGGCTTCTATCAAAAGAGTGAGCCTGTCCTTTGAAGCTTTGAAGCCAGGCATTGCCTTCTCCTCTCTAGCTATGAAAGTCCTGCATGGCATCTTCTTCCAATGGAAGGCTTTTAAAATCTACATTGAAAATCTGTTGACTGTAGCCACCTTCATCAATGATCTTAACCAGATCTTCTGGATTACCTGCTGCAGCTTCTCCCTCAGCACTTGCTGCTTCATCTTGAACTTCTATGTTATGGACATGGCTTTTTCCCTTAAATCTTATTGAGAGGTAACAGTGTGCTGTCAGTCCTCACAGCCCTCGCTCGCTCTCAGCGCCTCCTCTGCCTTGGGCTCCCATTCGGCGGCACTTGAGGAGCCCTTCAGTCCACCGCTGCGCTGTGGGAGCCCCTTTCTGGGCTGGCCAAGGCCCGAGCCGGCTCCCTCAGCTTGCAGGGAGGTGTGGAGGGAGAGGCGCGAGCAGGAACCAGGGCTGCACGCCGAGCTTGCAGGCCAGCTGGAGTTCCGGGTGGGTGTGGGCTTGGCGGGCCCTCACTCGGAGCAACTCGCCGGCCCTGGCAATGAGGGGCTTAGCACCCAGGCCAGCAGCTGCGGAGGGTGTACTGGGTCCCGCAGCAGTGCCAGCCCACCCGCATTGTGCTTGATTTCTCGCCGAGCCTTAGCTGCCTTCCGGCGGGGCAGGGCTCGGGATCTGCAGCCCGCCATGCCTGAGCCTCCCACCCCCTCTGTGGGCTCCTGTGCAGCGGGAGCCTCCCCGATGAGCGCCGCCCCCTGCTCCACGGCGCCCAGTCCCATCAATCACCCAAGGGCTGAGGAGTGCGGGCGCACTGCACAGGACTGGCAGGCAGCTCCACCTGCAGCCCCAGTGCAGGATCCACTAGGTAAAGCCAGCTGGGCTCCTGAGTCTGGTGGGGACGTGGAGAACCTTTATGTCTAGCTCAGGGATTGTAAATACACCAATCAGCACTCTGCATCTAGCTCAGGGTTTGTGAATGCACCAATCCACACTCTGTATCTAGCTACTCGGGTGGGGCCTTGGAGAACCTTTCTGTCTAGCTCAGGGATTGTAAATACACCAATCGGCACTCTGTATCTAGCTCAAGGTTTGTAAACACACCAATCAGCACCCTGTGTCTAGCTCAGGGTTTGTGAATGCACCAATCAACACTCTGTATCTAGCTACTCTGGTGGCGCCTTGGAGAACCTTTGTGTGGACACTCTGTATCTAGCTAATCTGACGGGGACTTGGAGAACCTTTGTGTCTAGCTCAGGGATTGTAAACGCACCAATCAGCGCCCCGTCAAAACAGACCACTCGGCTCTAGCAATCAGCAGGATGTGGGTGGGGCCAGATAAGAGAATAAAAGCAGGCTGCCCTAGCCAGCAGTGGCAACCTGCTCGGGTCCCCTTCCACGCTGTGGAAGCTTTGTTCTTTTGCTCTTTGCAATAAATCTTGCTACTGCTCACTCTTTGGGTCCACACTGCCTTTATGAGCTGTAACACTCACTGCGAAGGTCTGCAGCTTCACTCCTGAAGCCAGCGAGACCACGAGCCCACCGGGAGGAACAAACAACCCCAGACGCCCCGCCTTAAGAGCTGTAACACTCACCGCGAAGGTCTGCAGCTTCACTCCTGAGCCAGCGAGACCACGAACCCACCAGAAGGAAGAAACTCCAAACACATCTGAACATCAGAAGGAACAAACTCCGGACACGCCGCCTTTAAGAACTGTAACACTCACCGCGAGGGTCCGCGGCTTCATTCTTGAAGTCAGTGAGACCAAGAACCCACCAATTCCAGACACATAATGAACCTCTGCCAGCCTGCAACTTTTCTTCTTCAGCATTCACACCTCTCTCAGCCTTCATAGAACTAAAGGGAGTTAGGGCCTTGCCCCGGATTAGGCTTTGGCTTAAGAGAATGTTGTACCTGATTTGATCTTCTATCTAGACCACTAAATCTTTCTCTCTGTCAGCAATAAGGCTGTTTTGCTTTCTAATCATTCGTGTGTTCACTGCAGTAGCATTTTTAATTTCTTTCAAGAACTTTTCCTTCATATTCACATTTTGGCTAAGTGTTTGGCACAAGAGGCCTAGCTTTCTGCCTGTCTCAACTTTTAACATGCCTTCCTCACTAAGCTTAATCATTTCTAGCTTTTGATTTAAAGTGACATATGCATGACTCTTCCTTTTACTTGAACACTAAGAGGCCATTGTAGGGTTATTTTATGGTTGGGTTATTAATTGGCCTAATTTCAAAATGTTTATGTCTCAGGGAATAGGAAAGCCCAAGAAGAAGGAGAGAGATGGAGGAACAGCCAGCTGGTGGAGCAGTCAGAACACACACATTTATCAATTAAGTTCATCATCTTATATGGGCGCAGTTCATGGCATTCCAAAACAATTATAATAATGATGTCAAAGATCACTGATCACAGATCACCATAACATACATAATAATAACATAAACGTTTGAAATAGTGTGAGAATTGACAAAATGTGACACGGAGACACAAAGTGAGAACACGCTATTGGAAAACGGCGCCAACAGAGTTGCCTGATGCAGACTTGCCACAAACCTTCGATGTGAAAACAGCACTATCTGTGGAGCACACTAAAAAGAAGTGCAGTAAAATGAGGCATGCCTGATACAAAACAGATGAAGATAAAATGACAGAAAATAAATATTCTAGCCAAATATTAACCGGAAGTAACCTAAGTGTCATAGCAAACAAAATGGATATTAAAGCAAAAAACAAAAAAACATTGTTAAGGATGGAAGTTTCACTATGCTTTCTTGTCTTGGCACCCCTGACATTACATTCATTTAGTTTTCTACTGATTTATTCTTTCCTGTTTCCCAGTGCTTTTTATGAATACTCTTTGTTTCTGTGACTTCTAAATGTTAGCATGTTTTAGTCCTTAGAACTTGACTCCCTTTTCTTAACCATCTTTAGTCTCTCTCTCACTAGTTTCATCCAGATCCAAGAC
The DNA here is from genome assembly GCF_000001405.40 of Homo sapiens. Lineage (NCBI taxonomy): Eukaryota > Metazoa > Chordata > Mammalia > Primates > Hominidae > Homo > Homo sapiens. The sequence continues at coordinate 140,954,783 of NC_000007.14, read as the reverse complement.
TTTATAAGAAGCTGGCAGACCCTTTTCCATAAGCATTATTTCATTTTACACGTCAACCAACAATATATGAGAATTCAAGTTACGGTTGTTCACATCCTTGCCAACATTTGGTGGTGCTGTTCTTTTCAAAACTAGCTATTTTGGTGGAAGTATAGTAGTATTTCATTGTGACTTTATATTACATTTTCTTCATGACTAGTGATGATGAAGATTTTTGTGTACTTATTAACTTTCTTGTAAATTCTCTGTTCAAATTCTTTGCCTGTTTAAAAAATTGAATCATTTGTCTTTCTATCATCAAGTTGTAGAAGCTCTTTATTTCCTGGGTACCAGTCCTATGTTAGAAAATGATTTTATAACTCTCTCTCTCTCTCTCTCTACACACACACACACACACACACACACACACATATTATTTTTTGTTTTCAAGACAGGGTCTCACTGTTGCTCAGGCTGTAGTGCAGTGGTACAATCTCTGCTCACTGCAACCTCCACTTCCCGGGTTCAAGCAAGTCTCCTGCCTCAGCCTCCTGAGTAGCTGGGATTACAGGCAAGCACCACCATGCCCAGCTAATTTTTTGCATTTTTAGCAGAGATGGAGTTTCGCTATGTTGGCTAGGCTGGTCTTGAACTCCTGGTCTCAAGTAATACGCCTGCCTTGGCCTCCCAAAGTGCTGGGATTACAGGCGTGAGCCACTGTGCCCAGCCCTATGACTATATTCTTCCAGTCTATGACCTGCTTATTTATTTTCTTAAAGGATTCTTTTGATGAGAAGTTTTAAACTTTTATTAAGTCTAATTCACCAATCTATTCTTTTATGGCAAGATAGTTCTGTGTTCTGCAAACCTTGCCTACAAGTCATGAAGATATTCTCCTATATTTTCTTTTATATGCTTTGTAGTTTTCACCTTTATATTGAGGTCTTTAATCAGTTTAGAATTAATTTTTGTGTATAGTGTGAGATAGGTCTTAAGGTTCGTTTTTTTCCATAGTGATATTCAGTCATTCTAGCATTTTATTGATTATTTATTTATTTATTCATTTTATTTATTCATTTATTTATTTTTTGAGATGGAGTTTTGCTTTTGTTGCCCAGGCTGGAGTGCAATGGTGTGATCTCAGCTCACTGCAACCTCCGCCTCCAGGGTTCAAGCGATTCTCCTGCCTCAGCCTCTCGAGTAGCTGGGATTACAGGCATGCGCCACCACGTCTGGCTAATTTTGTATTTTTAGTAGAGACGGGGTTTCTCCATGTTGGTCAGGCTGGTCTTGAACTCCTGACCTCAGATGATCTTCCCGCCTCGGCCTCCCAAGGTGTTGGGATTACCAGGCATGAGCCATCACGCCCGGCCTGATTTTTTATTTTTTATAAAGACAGGGTCTTGTGTTGTCCAGGCTGGTTTCAAATTCCCGGGCTAAAACGATCCTCCTACCTCAGACTCCCAAAGTGTTGAGATTACAGATATGAGCCACCTCACCCAGCCCATATTTGTTGCAAGATTTTCCTTTCTTCATTGTATTGCTTTGGCGTCTTTGTTGAAAATCAAATGATGATATGTGTGATTCTGTTTCTCAGATTTCTCCTCAGTTCTATTCACCTTTTTGTTGATCCTTATAGCAGTACCACATTGCCTTACTTTAAACTTATAGTAAATATTGAAGTCAAGTAATGTTAGTCCTCCAACTTTGTTTTTCTTTTACAAAATTCCTTTGGATATTCTAGGCCCTTTTATGCTTCCACACAAATTTCAGAATGAGCCTTTTAATTAAAGAAAAAAAAGCCTAGTGGGATATGATTGAGATTGCATTAAATCTGTAGATGTATTTGGAGGAAAATTGACATCTTAACAATATTGACTCAGCCAAACCACAAATATGGTATTATTTCTTTATTTAGGTTTTCTTTAATTTATCTCAGCAATGTATTGTAATTTTCAGTGTAGAGATTTTACATATATTTTGCTTAATTCATTTCTAAGTATGTTATATGCTTTCCAATATTATTATAAATGGAGTGCTTTTAAAAATTTTACTTTCCAATTGTTTGATGCAGTATATAAATATACAACTGATTTTTATATGACCTTATTATATCCAGGGACCTTGCTAAATTCACTTACTTGTTCTAGCAGTTGTTTTATGGAGGCCATAGAATTTTCTTCACATTCAATCATATTATCCACAAATACAGGGCAGACTCAGCATTTTATATACCATCAATATTTCAATCTCCCCTAAATCTCTATCTCTATTGTGGCCTCTTCCCTGGGCTGCTGACTTGTATACATACCAAATTCTTGACATTTTCCCTAGGCATTTTTTTATTTTGAATTTTTAAGATAAAACTTACATAACATTTATCATTTTAACCCATTTCAAAGTATACAATTGAATGAATGGTTTTTAGCATATTCCCAAAGTTAAGTAACCATCACCACTATCTAACTCCAGAACATTTTCATCACCCCTAAAAGATACCCTGTCCTCATTAGCGATCATGTTCTATTCCCTCTTCCCCTCAACCTCTGGCAACCACTAATCTACTTTGTCTCTATGTATTTGCCAATTCTGCACATTTTATACAAATGGAATCACAAAATATGTAGACTTTTGTGTCTGACTTCTTTCATTTAGCATAATTTTTTCTAGGTTCATCCATGTTATAGTATGGGTCAGCACTTCCTTCCTTTTTATGACTGAATAATATTCCACTATATGGATGTATGACATTCATCAGCTGATGGACATTCGGGTTGGTTTTTCTTTTTTGCTCTTATGAATAATACCGCTATGAACATTCATGTACAGGTTTTTGTGTGAGCACATATTTTCAGTTCTCTTGGGTATATACTTAGGCTTGGAATTGCTGGGTCACATGCAAACTTTACACTTTGCTTTTTTAGGAATGGCCAAATTGTTTTCCACAGTGGCTGTACCATTTTACATCACCACCAGCAAGGTATGAGGGCCCCATTTTCTTCACATCCTTGCCAAAGCTTGTTATTTTCTGGATTTTATTTTTGTTTTAACTGTAGTCATCCTAGTTGGTATGAGTTCATACGTCATTGCTGTTTTAACTTGCATTTTTCCAAATGGCTTGTGATGTTGAGCATCTTTTCACATGTTCATTGGTCATTTGTTTATCTTCTCTAGAGAAATATCTGTTCAAATCCTTTGCTTATTTTAAGATTGTGTTGTTTGGGTTTTCTTTTTTTTTTTTTCTTTTTGAGACAGAGTCTCACTCTATCACCCAGGCTAGAGTACAGCAGCGGTGTGAACATAACTGTAACCTTGAATTCCTGGGCTCATGTCATCCTCCTGACACAGCCTCCAGAGTAGCTAGGACCAAAGGTGTGTGCCACCATGCCTAGCTATTTTAAAAATACATATTTTTTGTAGTGATGAGATCTTGCTATGTTGCCTAGGTTGGTCTTGAACTGCTGGCCTCAAGTGATGCTCCTGTCTCAGCCTCCTGAGTCACTGAGATTACAGGTATGAGCCACCATACCTGGCCCCGATTACCCATTTTTTCTTTGGTTGCTTGTATTTTTGGTGTCATATTTAAGAAACCATTGCCTAATCTAAGGTCATAAAGATTTACACCTTTGTTTCCCTCTAAGAGATTTGTAGTTTCAGCATTTATCATTAGATCTTTGATACATTTTGAGTTACTTTTGAATATGGTGTGAAGTAGGGGGTCCAAATTCATTCTTTTGCATATGAATATACAGTTGTCCTAGGACCATTTGTTGAAAATACTATCATTTTCCTATTGAATAATCTTGACATCTTTGTCCAAAGTTAATTGATCAGAGATGCATGGGTTTTCCCTAGGCTTTTAATAGGTCAAGTGTCCAAAGAAGAACTTCTGTTTTGCCCCTCTGTAATAAATATATACAGGTCATCTTCATTAGATGGTACACAAATCGTAAAGCTCACACACCTATTAGCGTAAGCAAGAAAGTAATACGGGGGCCAGGCGCAGTGGCTCACACCTGTAATCCCAGCACTTTGGGAAGCCGAGGCAGGTGGATCACGAGGTCAAGAGTTTGAGACCATGCTGGCCAACATGGTAAAACCCCGTCTCTACTAAGAATACAAAAATTAGCGGGGCATGGTGGTGCGTGCCTGTAATCCCAGCTACTTAGGAGGCTGAGGCAGGAGAATTGCTTGAACCCGGGAGGCAGAGGTTGCAGTGGGCCAAGATCATGCCACTGCACTCCAGCCTGGGTGACAGAGCAAGACTCTGTCAAAAAAAAAAAAAAAAAAAAAAAGTAAGACGGAAGAAAAACAAACTGTGAAGAAAATACACCAGGGATTGGGATGGAAGATGAGACCGGCAAGAAAAGGAGGTCTGGTTCATATAGGGTCTTTTAGTCCAGGGTATGCAATATGGGTTTTATTCTAAACGCATTAGGAAGCCATTGGATAGGGTTTTTGTTGTTGTTTTTTAAAAACATTATTTATTTATTTATTTTGTAGAGATGGAGTCTTGTTCTGTTGCTCAGGCTGGTCTCAAACTCCTGGCCTCAAGTGATCCTCCTGTCTCAGCCTCCCACAAAGTGCTGGGATTACAGGTGTGAGCCACCACACCCAGTCCATTGGATAATTTTGAGCAGGAAAGTAAGATAAAAGGATTGATATTTTTAGAAAACCATCTGGCTGCCAGGTGAATTCTGGAGCATAAAGTGACAAAGGTGAAAGCAAGGAGACCATTAGGATGTTATCATAGTATCTAGGTAAGAGATGATGATCTTTTAGACAATGTGGCAGTAGTGACAGGGGGGAGAAGTAGAAAGATTCAGGATATGTTTTAGGGGTAAAGATTTGGAGGGGCCAGGCGTGGTGGTGGCTCATGCCTGTAATCCCAGCACTTTGGGAGACCAAGGTAGGGGGATTGCTTGAGGTCAGGTGTTCCAGACCAGCCTGGCCAAAATGGTGAAACCCCATCTCTACTAAAAATACAAAAATTACCTGGGTGTGGTGGCGCATGCCTGTAATCCCAACTACTCAGGAGGCTGAGGCATGAAAATCTCTTGAACCCGGGAGGCGGAGGTTGCAGTGAGCCAAGAGATTGCGCCACTGCACTCCAGCCTGGGCAACAGAGTGAGATTGTATCAAAAAAAAAAAAAAAGAAAAAAGATTTGGAGGTAGACGTAATGGATGGCGGTGCTGTGGAGAGCGAAAAAGAGGACTCAAGAGTGATTTTTAAGTTTATGGCTTGAATACCTGGGTGGGTGACTGTTCAGTTGCTTCACTCCACTTGCCTGAATGTGTAAAACTAGAGGAGAGGAACCAGTTTAGGGGGTTGGGCAAGCTGGGAATTCATGTAGAGGACAGGCCTGGACCCTGAATTCTACAAGAGCAGTCAACACAGGGAAATTAAGTTGCATGTGTGCAGATGGGTCTTGTATGTTGATAAACATCATATGTGACTCTCACACTGAGAAGATAAATAAAAGGTGACTTCAAGGATGTGATAACAAATTGTGAGAATGATAGGAGAAGAGGAGGTGGGGGAGGAGGTGAGAGGAAGGGACTGAGGGGGAAGGAAGATGTGTTGAAGGTAGAGGGGGTGGTATGGGTATGTGGATATATGTAGAAAGGATTATGTACTTTTCTCAATTCTGCATTAGGGTTACTAGAAAAGCCTGCTGCTGCATTGTATAATCAAGCTAGTCTTCAGGAACAAATTATATTACATTTTTTGTTTCTTTATGGGGTTTTTTTTGAGACAGAGTCTTGCTCTGTTGCCCAGGCTGCAGTGCAATGGCTCACTACAACCTCCGCCTCCAGGGTTCAAGCCATTCTCCTGCCTCAGCCTCCCAAGTAGCTGGGACTACAGGCATGCGCCACCACACCTGGCTAATTTTTGTATTTTTAGTAGAGTCAGGGTTTCACGATGTTGGCCAGGCTGGTTTTTGAACTCCTGACCTCAAGTGATCCAACCACCTCAGCCTCCTGAAGTGCTGGGATTATAGACATGAGCCACCACGCCTGGCCTTGTTTTGTTTTTTGAGACAGGGTCTCACTCTGTCACGCAGGCTGGAGTGCAGTGGCACAATCTAGGCTCACTGCAGCCTTGACTTCCCTGGCTCAGGTAATCCTCCCACCTGAGCCTCCCATGCAGCTGGGACTACAGAAGCATGCCACCATGCCCGGCTAATTTTTTGTATTTTTGTAGAGATGGGGTTTCACCATGTTTCCCAGGCTGGTCTTGAACTCCTGAGCTCAAGTGATCCGCCTGCTTTTCCCTCCCAAAGTGCTGGGATTACATGTGCCATCGTGTCCAGCGAAATTATATATTTGGAATGTGAATGGACACTAAGCTAGAACCACTAATTCACTGAAACTCATACTTGAGAAACACTATAGGTATTATTATTATTATTATTATTACTATTATTATTGAGACAGGTTTTTGCTGCTGTGTTCCCCAGGTTAGGGTGCAGTGGTGTGATCATAGCTCACTGCAACCTCAATCTCCTGAGTAGCTGGGACTGGTGCACATCACCACCCTCAGCTGATTTTTTATTATTATTATTATTATTATTATTATTATTATTATTATTATTCGTAGTAGAGGGGAGGTCTCGCTTTGTTACCTAGGCTGGTCTTGAACTCCTGGGCTCGAGGCATTCTCCCATCTTGGCCTTGCAAACTGCTGGGATTACAGGCGTGAGACACCATGCCCAGACGTGTAGGTATTCTGATCAATAATATAAATAAATTTTGGGCAAGATATGTAATAATACTTGTTTACAGTGTCATTCAGAAGATTAAATGAGTTTGATGTATTTTACTGCCTGGCATATAGTAACCTCCTAATAAGTGATAACTATTATTGTTAAATGTAAAAAATGAAAGATCAGAATCAGCAGAAATTGATGGTAATGATAGCAGTATGTTAAATGGTGTATTTAATTAATGTGGGGTTCTTTTATTGTAGTTACTCTCGATAAAATTCGTGGTTTCTGTATTTTTAAAAACAGCTTTGTTTTTAATGTATGTATATGTGATTTTTTTCTTGAGATTTTACCTCTCTTTTGTAAGGCTGTAACAATGAAGAATGCCAGATTTCTTAAATTATAGCAGCTTGTAGTGTTGTTTGTAATAAAACTATAAACAGTTAATGAGGCTGGGCATGGTGGCTCACTCCTGTAATCCCAGCACTTTGGGAGGCTGAGTCAGGTGGATTACCTTAAGTCAGGAGTTTGAGACTAGCCTGGCCAACATGGTGAAACCCCGTCTCTACTAAAAATACAAAAATTAGCCAGGCATGGTGGTGTGCTGTAATCCCAGCTACTCGGGAGGCTGAGGCATAAGAATCACTTAAACCCGGGAGGCGGAGGTTGCAGTGAGCTGAGATTGCACCACTGCACTCCAGCCTAGGCAACAGAGGGAGACTCCATCTCAAAAAAACAAGCAAAAAAAAAGTTAATGAAATGGAATTATTGTAATGATACTTAAATTTCAGTATATCAGACTTTATTATTTTATAAATGATCATACATAATACTTTTTAATACTTTTAAATTAACAAAGAGACTACATAGAAACACAGAGAGAGAGAGAGGCTACGCACGCACACACACACACACCCTGAGCATTGCCTATGTGTGAATATGTGTGAATTACTCCTGGTTTCCATTTTCCCCATATTCTTGCTCCTTTCTGGTCAACAATGTTTTCAAACTTATTAGAAACTTTATGGTTTTATTATTTAGTTTAGAACAAAGGTATTAATAAATACAATCTACTTATCTGCTGATGATAAAGATTAATTTTAGAACATCCTTTGACTACAAAATAAGAATTGAACACTGTTCCACACAATACTCTTAGACAAGATAGCTTGATAACTGAGGAAACATTTTCTTTCTCAGTATAGGTTTGACTCCATTTTTCCCCCAAAGTAGTGTGCTTTTGGTGCATCACCTATGCTTATGTGAACACATCCATTTGCTAAAGGCATGGCATTTATTTGAAAGTTCTTATTTTGAGTTCCTAGTTGACAATGAAGACTGAATTAAACATAACTTATATTTATTTCTTGTCTTTCACCCCATTATTTTCTGTCTGGCATATAATTGCTTTCTTTGCATATTCTGTGGCTTTTTACAGAAGTGTCTTTGATATTTCTTATGATGTCCTCCATCATCAGAGACAATTCAGACATATATGATGCCTTGTAGCTTCAATTGTCCACTCTTAATAACATAAAACACATGTTCTTTGAAAATACAAATAATATTTTTAAACTCTTACCAGTCTAACTAAGGAGAAATAAAGAGAATAAACATATATAAAACTAAGAATGAGAAAGGAGACATACCAGAGATAAAGTGATTAAAAGAATTATAAGAGATACCACATATACACATATACTTTGGTGTCAATAAATTTGAAAACAGGAGGATAAAGAGATGATTTCCTATATAAACAAAACTCACCCAAGAAAGAGACTAAACATAAATAGAAGAATAACCGTTGATGAAATTGAAAAAGTGTTAAACTCTAACATTGCAAAAATCACCAGAGACAGATGGGTTCCCAGCTGAGTTTTATCTATTCTTTAAACAGCATAAAATCTCAAAGTGATTTATACTATTCCAGGCTATTCAAAAAAAGATAAAAAGCCCATCAATTTATTTTAAGAAGTCAGCAAACTGTAAATCTAAACCCAATAAAGACAATGCAAACAAAACAAAGCCAAACAAAACAGGAAACTGTAGCTCAGTCACATTTATGTGTATAGATGCACATTTCTAAGTTTATGAATATATATGCACGATTCCACACAATTACACTGAATTCAGAAATGTAATCAAGATTTTTTAAAGGTGGTTGACTAACAGAAAACCTGTCAATATAATCCAATATATCAACAGATTTAAGAGGAAAACTATATGATCACGTCAAGATACATGATATGTATGATCATGAAAATATAATTGATATAATTCAATAGCCATTCCTAACAAAAAATTCTACACAAATTAGCTATAGAAGAAAATTATTAACATAATAGACTATTTACCAAAACCCAACAGGAAATGTCCTAAATAACAAAATGCCAAAAATTGTTTTATTAAAATGAATAACTAGTTGATTTTAATAACTACAACACCATGCTATATCAGCAGTGTTATTACTTAACACTGTCTTGAACAGTGTAGTACCTTCAGTGAGAGGAAAAATGGTATAAATATAAGTGGCGTGAGCCGAGATCGCACCACTTCACTCCAGCCTGGGCAACAGAGCAAGACTCTGTATCAAAGAAAGAAAGAAAGAAAGAGAAAGCATTCATGTGCTTGGATGAGAAGACTACTATTAAAACGTGGGAGAGGAACTGAGGAGATGTAGATCAGAAGATACAAAGCGGTGGATATGCAGGATGAACAAGTTTCAAGATTTAATGTAGATGAAGACCCAAGTTAATAAAATTGGTCAGGCGCAGTGGCTCATGCCTGTAGTCCCAGCACGTTGGGAGGCCGAGGTGGGTGGATCATTTGAGGTCGGGAGTTCAAGACAAGCCTGGCCAACATGGTAAAACCCCGTCTCTACTAAAAATACAAAAAAAAAAAAAAAATTAGCCGGGTGTGGTGGCAGGCACCTGTAATCCCAATTACTCAGGAGGCTGAGGTAGGAGAATTGCTTGAACCTGGGAGGCTGAGGTTACAGTGAGCCGAGATTGTGCCACTGCACAACAGCCTGGGCGACAGAGTAAGACATCATCTCAAAAACACAAAAACAAATAACAAATAAAGTTAATAAAATTGCATTAGGGATGTTTGTTGAAAACAACAGAGTAGACTTTAGCTGCTCTTGTCACCAAAAAAGAAACTATGTGACATTATAGATGTTAATCTGCTTCACTTTAGTAACCATTTTACTGTCTATTTGTACCCTATAACATCATGTTTAAACCTGAAATATACACAATAACATCTATTTGTAAAAACTAGGTAAGACAATTTTCCCAAAATGATGTGTAAATTTAGTTACATTGCAATTAGTACTCGAATAGGCAGTGGGTGATCTGGATTAAATATCTTTAAGAGTTACATGGACAGGCCAGGCACAGTGGCTCATGCCTGTAATCCTAGCACTTTGGGAGGCCGAGATGGGTGGATCACTTGAGATCAGGATTCAAAAGCAGCTTGGCCAACATGGTGAAAACCCGTCTCTACTAAAAATACAAAAAAATTAGCTGAGTGTGGTAGCAGACACCCGTAATCCCAGCTACTCAGGAGGCTGAGGCAGGAGAGTCACTTGAACCTGGGAGGTGGAGGTTGCAGTGAGCTGAGATCACTCCACTGCACTCCAGCCTGGGTGACAGAGCGAGACTCTATCTCCAAAAAAAAAAAAAAAAAAAAAAAAAGCAAGAAAGAGTTACATGGACAAATAAATGACTGAGAATAGCAAGAAAAAAAGTGAGGGGAGGCTGGGCGCAGTGGCTCACGCCTATAATCCCAGCATTTTGGGAGGCCGAGGTGGGCGGATCACAAGGTCAGGAGTCGAGACCATCCTGGCTAACACGGTGAAACCCCATCTCTACTAAAAATACAAAAAGTTAGCCGGGCGTGGTGGCGGGTGGCTGTAGTCCCAGCTACTCGGCAGGCTGAGGCAGGAGAATGGCGTGAACCCAGGAGGCAGAGCTTGCAGTGAGCCGAGATCGCGCCACTGCACTCCAGCCTGGGCAACAGAGTGAGACTCCATCTCAAAAAAAAAAAGAAAAAAAAGTGAGGGGAGATTTGGCAGATAGTAGAACAAACTGAAAAATCACTGTTACCAAATCATTAAAGAACTGTAGAAGATTAGACAAACATCTTGATGGAATGGAATAAGGACCCAGAAAGAGAACTCAGTATATATACAAAAAGTAATATGTGATAAAGGTGGTAGTGCAAATCCTTGTGAAAAGATGAATTATTTAATAAATGGTGCTGGCACAACTATCTAAAAGAAAATAAACTGGGCCAGGCGCGGTGGCTCACGCCTGTAATCCCAGCACTTTGGGAGGCCAAGGTGGGCGGATCACGAGGTCAGGAGATCGAGACCATCCTGGCTAACACGGTGAAACCCCGTCTCTACTAAAAATACAAAAAATTAGCTGGGCTTAGTGGCGGGCGCCTGTATTCCCAGCTGCTCGGGAGGCTGAGGCAGGAGAATGGTGTGAACCTGGGAGGCGGAGCTTGCAGTGAGCCGAGATCGCGCCACTGCACTCCAGCCTGAGTGACAGAGCGAAATGCCGTCTCAAGCAAAACAAAACAAAACAAACAAAAAAACAAAAAACTCAGATATCTAGCTTATGCCAGACACAGAAATAAATTACAGATGGATAAAAAATTAAAAATCAATCAAACAAAATCTTTGAGAGGGAAAAATCTAGGAAAATATATACTTAGGTAGGAGAGACACAAACCCAGACATGACAAAAGAAAAAAATAAACGTATTAGACTATAAAAGTTTAAAACTTTTTTTTTTGATATTAAGTTTGTCTCTGTTGCCCAGGCTGGAGTGCAATGGCATGATCTCAGCTCACTGCAACCACCGCCTCCTGGGTTCAAGCAATTCTCCTGCCTCAGCCTCCCAAGTAGCTGGCATTACAGGCACCTGCTACCACGCCTGACTAATTTTTGTATTTTTAGTAGAGATGGGGTTTCACCATGTTGACCAGGCTGGTCTTGAACTTCTGACCTCAGGTGATCCACCTGCCTCCGCCTCCCAAAGTGCTGGGATTACAGGCGTGAGTCACCACGCAGGACCAAAACTTTAAAACTTTTATATGAATAAATGTGGAAGAGATACAGTAATCAAAATCAATAGATAATAAAGGCAGAGAAAATATTTATAATACATAGGAGAGGTAACTATTCCATAATGATACTGTACAAGGAGTTTTTACAAACTGATGCAAAAGAGAATAAAAGACTAGTAAGAAAGTCTTGAAATATATGAACAGACAATTCACAGAAGAGAAAATCTAATGGCTAATAAACATTTGAAAATACAGTAAATGGGTCAGGAGTGGTGGCTTACACCTGTAATCCCAGAACTTTGGGAGGCCAAGGTGGGTGGATCACCTGAGGTCGGGAGTTCAAGACCAGCCTGACCAACATGGAGAAACCCCATCTCTACTAAAAATACAAAATTAGCTAGGTGTGGTGCTACATGCCTGTAATCCCAGCTACTCAGGAGGCTGCGGCAGGAGAATCGCTAGAACCTGGGAGGCAAAGGTTGTGGTGATCCAAGATTGTGCCATTGCACTCCAGCCTGGGCAATAAGAGCGAGACTCCATCTCAAAAAAAAAAAATAAATAAAATAAATAAATAAATAAATAAATAAATATATATATATATATGTCAAAAATTTAAAAGAGTGATAACGCCTATTATTGCAAGACTATGGCGAGAAGGAGATTCTCATAAATTGTTGGTGGAAACAAGAAATATTTTAGCCTTTTTGTAAAACAATCTGGCAATATATATTCAAATTACATTTACTTGTATCTTTTCCCAAGCAATGACAAACCTGCTTTATATCCCTTAGGAGTAAAAGCACGGAGAAGATCACACATAGAAGGATGTTCTCTTTGGCTTTGTTCATAGTAGAAATTGATAAATAAATAAAATAGAGTTCTGCAAGTTGACTTTAAGAGTTATAAGATATTTTTGGTATTATTGAATGAGAAAAGCAAGATGTCCAATGTGATCAACTTGCCATCAAGTTGCCAATGAGTCTCCTCAGTAAATGGTGCCCTATCAGGGGCTCAACATTGGTCTTCCTAGCTGGCAGGTTAGACATTCAGTGACAGCAGCAGTTAGAACAGACTTGGTAAGTGGGAGGTCAGGTCACTGGGCCCATGCATAACCTCAGAATATTGTTTAGCCAAATATCTACGAACCCTGTAGACCAGTCAGGTTGACACATTAAAATTAACCATCACAAGTCCACCCCTTGTCAGGCTGGCAAATATACACATCTCCTTAAATCATATTTAATCTCCAAATAAAGACAGAACCAATGTCATAACTCCACCTAACATGACACAACTATCCTGCATACAACTGGAAACACATTAATCCCTTCCCCAGCAGAGGAGGTAAAATCCTTGAGTGACATTTACTCTTGTCCTTTGTATCCCACAACTTAAATACTATGATGTAAAATTAACACTACTTCAATACTATGATATAAAGCCAATACATCTTATGTTACATGATAAAGGAATAAAAGAGGGAAGAAACAAAGTTACTTATCATACACACATATTTATAACAAAATAAAGGAGATAAATGTATGACAATTACAGTCCTCGTTTTTGTAACTGGTCACACGATCATAGTTGGTATTGATAATCACCTCCTTCCATGACCCCTTTTGTTTTCCTTTTGCCTTCAGCAGGCACCTTGGCTGGCTGGGGTTCATTACCAGTGGGGTGACCCAAACCTTCATTCCTGAAGGGTCTGGGCTATTAATCCTGTCTGGATTGCGTTGTTGTAGTTTTCATTGACCTTAGTCACAGGGCATGATAATAATAAGATTGCCTGTATTTCTGATATACTCTCCCTTATGCCCAGTGTGGAGTAGTAGTCCAATTTCCCCCTTGGCAATCAGAATTAATTATTCCAGTCAACAGAGATACTCCCTTCTTAGTCTGTTGGTTCAGAGGCATGAGGAGCCCAGAATGTCTGGGCCACAGTCTTAAATTCCAGTGCAATGGAATCACTGTTGTGTCTCCTGATGGAAACATTTCTCCCTGTGGAACTAAAACCTCTAGGCAAGCAGAGCATAAGGTCATGGGAAGAGGTAGCAAAATTTTGCTAGTGGATTACTAGAGATAACAGTGAGTGGTGCCACTCCCATTTCCACCCACTACTTCCTAGATCCGTGAGTCCTGGCTAAGGTAGAAACGGTACCACGTATTGGATGCTGATTCAGAGCATATAAAACTTCCTGGAGAACCTTGCTTCAGCTCTGCCACCTAACTGGAGCTGTAACTGTGTCTTCAAAAGGCCACTCCACCATGCAGTCAAGCCAGCTGTTTCAGGGTGGTGGGGAACATGGTGAATTCCATGAACATGGGCCCATTTCTTTACCTCTGTTTTTCTGAAACGTTATTTCCTTGATCAAAAGCAACGCTGTATGGAATACCATGATGGTAGATGGGCATTCTATAAATTCACAGATGGTAGTGTTGGCAGAAGCACTGCATTCAGGGAGGGCAAATCTATATCTAGAATAAATGTCTGTTCCTGTAAGAACCAAATGCTGCCTCTTCCATATGTCCAATGGTAACCTGCTATCAGGTAGCTGGCTGATTACCCCAGTGAATAGGACCATATATGGCGTGTTCAGTGTTGGTCTCTGCTGCTGGCAGAATGTACACTCGGCAGTGGCTACAGCCAGGTTGGCCTTGGTAAATGGAAGTCCATGTTGCTGAGCCCATGCACAACCTCCATCCCTGTCACCATGGCCAGTTTGTTTATGAGCCCATTGGACAATAATGGGGTTGTTGGGGAAAGAGTTTCACTGGTGATATGGTTTGGCTGTATCCCCACCCAAATCTCATTTTGAACTATAATCCCCATAATCCCCACATGGCATGGGAGGGACCCAGTAGGAGGTAATTGAAACATGGGGACTGTTTCCTCCATGCTGTTCTCGTGATATTGAGTAAGTTCTCATGAGATCCGATGGTTTTATAAAGGGCTTCCCCCTTTGCTTAGCCCTCATTCTCCTGCTGCCCTGTGAAGAGGTGCCTTCTGCCACGACTGCAAGTCTCCTGAGGCCTCCCCAGCCATGTGGAACTGTGAGTCAATTAAACCTCTTTTCTTTATAAATTACCTAGTCTTGCATATTTCTTCACAGTAGTGAGAGAATGGACTAATACCGCTGGTATCCACACATGGGTTATTCTATCCACTTGATTATTAAAATCCTCCTCTGCTGACATCACCTTTTGGTTTGGTGAGCATTCACATGGGACACAAATAACTTCAGAAGTTTTTTGCTCAGGGATGTCCACCCACATATCTCTTCCCCAAATTTCCTTGTCACCAATTTTTAAATCATGTTCTTTCCAAGTCCCTGACCACCCAGCCAAATCACTGGCCACAGCTCAAGAATTGATACATAATTGCACATCTGGCCATCTCTCCTTACAAGCAAAGTGAACAACCAAGTGCACTGCTCAAAGTTCTGCCACCTGGGAAGATTTCCCTTCCTACAGTATTTCAGGGATGTCTCAGAAAGGGACTGTAATGTGGCAGAAGTACACTTTTGAGTCGTACCTGCGTAGAATGCAAAATCATCTGTAAACCAGGCCTGAGTCTTCTCTTCCTCTGTCAACTGATTGTAGAGAATGCGCCATGAGGCCACAGGTGCAGGCTGTAAGAGAGAAGGTAATTAGAAGTAGTGGGGACCATGGGCATTTGGGCCACTTCTTAAATAACTTAATTGTACCTTCAGGGCCTATGTACATATATCTCTATAAGATTGATCTATCTAGCTAGCTATCTACCTACCTACCTAGAGATAGAGGGAAACAAATGCAATTATAGAGGCTGACAAGTCCCAAGATCTGCAGTTGGCAAGGTGGAGACCCAAGAGAGCCAATGGTGTTTTTCCAGTCCAAGTCTGAAAGCCTGAGAACCAGGAGAGCCAATAGTGTAGGTATAGTTCAAAGCCTAGCAGGCTAAAGACCAGGAAAACCAATGTTTCACTTCAAGTGCAGAGGCAGGACAAAACTGATGCCCCAGCTCCAAGTAGTCAGGCAGGAGGAAACTCCCCCTTACTTGTAGGAGACTCAACCTTTTTGTTCTATTCAAGCCTTCAACTGATTGGACAAGACATACCCACATTATGCGGGCAATCTGCTTTACTGAGTCTACCAATTGAAATGATAATCTTGCCCAGAAACATCCTCACAGACACACCCAGAATAATGTTTGACTAAATTTCTGAGCACCCCGTGGCCCAGTCAAGTTGATACACAAAATTAACCATCACATGCCTTATCCATGTTGGATGCTCTCTGGTGGATAACTGTTTATTTTTTTGAGATGGAGTCTCACTCTGTTGCCCAGGCTGGAGTGCAGTGGCGCAATCTCGGCTCACTGCAACCTCCACCTCCTGGGTTCAAGCAATTCTCCTGCCTCAGACTACCGAGTAGCTGGGACTACAGGTGTGTACCACCATGCTCGGCTAATTTTTGTATTTTTAGTAGAGATGGGGTTTCCCCATGTTGGCCAGGCTGGTCTCCAACTCCTGACCTCAAGTGATCTGCCCACCTTGGCCTCCCAAAGTGCTGGGATTACAGGCATGAGCTACCACACCCGGCCTGATGTTAACATTTTGACATAGGACCTGCATATTTTTTGCTAACTCTCAAGTGTCTATTCACACACTTCTTCCCTAGACTTTATTTGCCTCCAATCTGTCAGTCTTTGACTTCTAGGCCCCTGATCACCGGCCACTGCCGTGGAATCTGCATATATTCTTATCTTGGGCAACTCTTCCTTCCACACAAGGTACCACTCACAGCTTGCCAATTGGGAAGAGTTTCCCTGCCCAGTATTGTTTAAGGGCATCTCTAAAGGTGAATATAATGCAGCCACATACATATTCAGTTTGCACCCATGTAACTCAACAGACACATCTGCAAACAAGGTTTGGGCTTTTCCCTCTTACATTGTTTGGCTGTGTCCCCACCTAAATCTCATCTTCAACTATAGCTCCCACAATTCCCACAAGTTGTGGGAGGGATGCAGTGGGAGATCATTGAATCATGGAGGTGGTTTCCCCCATACTGTTCTCATGGTAGTGAATAAGTCTCATGAGATCTGATGGTTTTATAAGGGGTTTCCCCTTTCACTGGGCTCTCCTTCTCTCTTGTCTGCCCCATGTAAGATGTGCCTTTTGCCTTCTGCCATGATGTGAGGTCTCCCCAGCCATGTGGAGCTGTAAGTCCATCAGACCTCTTTTTCTTTATAAATTACCCAGTCTCGGGGACGTCTTCACCAGCAGCATGAAAACGGACTAATACATCTTCCTTTAGCTGGCTGTATGGGAACTCTCCCCACAACACAGTCATAAGTGTGAGTTAGGGTAGGGGTACCTGTGCATCTGTGGCAGGGGACATCAGTCTAGGCTACCTTTCCCTGAAGCTTACTTGTGCCTTCTGCTCTGCTCACATTTGACCCCAAATGTACCATTTCAATTTTTTGATGGACTGCTCCTGGGCCCACCTGTCTTTATGACTTGGCAAGTCTGGCAAAATGCCTAATGGGCATTTCTGGACCCATCACCCCCTGGTTCCCTATGGTCAAATTTTCTCCCAGTAATGTGCCAGAAAATTTTTCTATAATTCTCTTCTTCAGATGGCATGTCTTCTCTCCAGAGCGGTCTACACTGATTCTCCCACTAGAGCTTGCCATAAGCTCTGCCCTGAACAGATTTAAATTAAATATGACCTTTTTGCAGATTTACCTCAAAACCCAGGTGTAAGTAGGAATGGAGAACAATCTGAATGATGGATATTACGCTATTCTGAAAATCACTCAATTTAACACAGGTTCATAGTCTTTGACCCACCTACAAGCCATCCCAGACCCCCATGCAAATGCATGCTGCCAGGCCTGTCTCATCAGTCCACCAAATGCACTTGAATTTGGAACACTGCTTATACTCCCACTGGCTCCTACTATAAGACAACCCAACAATCTCTGATAAGAGTGGTAAAAGCTAAGTAACGAGGACCCCCAGATGTTATCAGACCATATGAATAAAATGAGGATGTATTAACTCAAAACTCAAAATCATAATGGCTTGGTCCCTACAAGTTTGATAGCTTGAACCTCAGTGGCCCATG
Organism: Homo sapiens; assembly: GCF_000001405.40. Classification (NCBI taxonomy): domain Eukaryota; kingdom Metazoa; phylum Chordata; class Mammalia; order Primates; family Hominidae; genus Homo; species Homo sapiens. Next base: position 140,936,904 of record NC_000007.14, on the reverse strand, counting down.
AAAAGCAGCCTGTAATTATTTCTGGGAGTCTCCAAAAGGCATGCTTCCCAAGACCAGGCAGACACATTGCCCAATTCCGGAATGCATGACCGACATGGTATTCTGGGTGAATATCACTCCCAGGGCCCAGCTGAGAGTCACAGGGAGTAAAATGTGGATGGAATGGTATAACATGGGCCCTGCACCATTCAGCTGTTCTCACGCCATTTCCCACTCAGGACCACCATGTTCTTTCTCTTCTACTTTGGTTGGCCCTGGCTATTGCCCACTGCCCTTGACACTGCTTGAGGGAGGATCACTGACACTAATGCTGACAGCACCCTTTGTGGGCTCCGCACTATCAGGCCAAGGTTGTAGCCCCCTGATACTTGCAGAGCCATTTGTTTGCACATTGCCAGAACAGGGCTGGGTCCTGTGTGGATATGGGGAGAAAGGCCTGCTCCCTCCATTCATGACACTTTGCTTCCCAGGTGCTCAAGCCCAAACCTCATGAGGTCTCTCACAGAGTGCCCTGTTGACTTCTCCTCTCCATTCATTTTTCATCTCTGGCAAGCTTCTCTCAGCACTAGCTCCCTACCAACCAGAGAGTCTGCCTTAGCCATAGAAGTAAGCAACTGTTTTCGTATATTCTGTCACAACACTTAGCACACAAACATCCCCACATGCCTTCTCCAACCTCCATCCAAAAAGACAAAGTAGCATGCATCTAAGTCAGAACACTTCATTTATGTGGTTATTTTGATTATGACTTTATTTTTTAAATTTTATTTTATTTTATTTTTTTTTGAGATGGAGTCTTGCTCTGTCACCCAGGCTGGAGTGCAGTGGTGTGATCTTGCTTCACTGCAACCTCCGCCTCCCGGGTTCAAGTGATTCTCCTGCCTCAGCCTCCCGAGTAGCTGAGACTACAGGTGCGCACCACCACACCCGGCTAATTTTTGTATTGTTAGTAGAGACAGGGTTTCACCATATTGGTCAGGCTGGTCTTAAACTCCTGACCTCGTGATCCACCCGCTTCGGCCCCTCAAAGTGCTGGGATTACAGGCGTCAGCCACCGTGCCCGGCCTATTTTTATTTTTTTGAGATGAGGTCTGTCATCCAGGCTAGAGTGCCGTGGTGCCATCACAGCTCACTGCAGCCTTAAACTCCTTGGCTCAAGCGATCCTCCTGCCTCAGCCTCCTGAGTAGCTGGGACTATAGGCACGTGCCACCAAGCCTAGCTAATTTTTAAATTTTTTCATACAATCAGGGATGATCTTGCTATATTGCTGAGGCTGGTCTCAAACTCCTGGGCTCAAGTGATTCTCCTGTGTCAGCCTCCTGAGTAGCCGGGACTGCAGGCACACACCACAGCACCCAGCCACAATGACTTTATTTTTTGAGGAAAAACAGGGTTCAGTGTTTGCTTATATCTAGACCCATTCTCAAAATAAAGAGTTGTAACTTTTAATTTTTAAAACTCTTTAGTTTACCAAGCATAGTTCATATTTCCAAAATGATTTTCCTAGGACCGATTTTCCCATGGAGAGTAATTAAATAAATCACACCCAAAGATGTGAAGTTGCCTGTACCTGAAAACATGACAATAATATAAACTTTCAGGGACAGAGAAAACAAAACTGGTTTCACATCTCCCATAACTTGAAGTTTCCAGCACCCAGCAAGGTCAAATTACAAGGACATATGCCTTGAGGAAAATTATAATGGTTTTGAAGTAATTGTTCCAGTTCCACATTAGCAAGAAAACTTTAATATTCAGTGTTCACAAATACTTTGTAACGGGCATGTCGGTTCAGCAAGGGCAATAAATGGGTACCTTCAGGCTTGGTAAAAATCAGCTAGTTAAGAAGATGGATGATTCCCACCTTGGTGGCTCAATTCTTAGCCATGTCCATTCTTGAAGCATAAGGCTTTTAAATTTCTTTATTGTGTCCATTTTGCCTTTAACTTGTTTATTTTTAGCTAGAGACTTCTATAAGTACTCTTCAGTATAGGGTTGGGAGTTTCAACCTTGATCTATATACTCAAAAACTTTTAATAGCATGAAGCTGCTGCCTGAATTTCTCAATATCCTATAAGCCAGCAGCAGTAAAATTCAGGTTCAGGTTGAGTCTCGCCTGGCTGGCTGCTGCCACCACAGCCCTGCTCCCACTGAGAAGTCTCCTGCTTATAAATTTTAAAGGCAGTTTTAGCCACATCTTCTCTTCAACATTTCAAAAATCTTTGGGCCTGGTCTCATCCAAAACAATCCACTGCACTTATGTCCAAAATGTATTATATAACATGAAATGTAAAACGATAAAATAGTCAATCTTCTCCTTAAAGTAACAGGGCTCCTCCTGGCTTCTGAATTTCCTAACCTCCAACTTCTTCTATTATTTTAGTCACTAATAACTTTTCCTAGAGAGTGAATGATTGTCCTGTACAAAATCAGGCATGACATGTTTATATTCATGAAAACAAATTCTTTTTTTTTTTTTTGAGATAGAGTCTTGCTCTGTCGCCCAGGCTACAGTGCAGTGGCCCGATCTCAGCTCACTGCAAACTCTGCCTCCCAGGTTCAAGCCATTCTCCTGCCTCAGTCTCCCGAGTAGCTGGGACTACAGGTGCCAACCACACCCAGCTAATTTTTTGTATTTTTAGTAGAGATGGGGTTTCACCATGTTGGCCAGGATGGTCTCAAACTCTTAACCTACACTGATCCTCCCATCTCGGCCTCCCAAAGTGCTGGGATTACAGACTTGAGCCACCACACCCAGCCTATATTTATGAAGAGAAATTCTTATATGAAAAGTGCCATCTACAAAACCACACTAATTCTGAATAATGTAAGAGAGATACATATATATATATATATATATATATATATATATATATATATATATGCATCTCTGAGTAATTAGAATATTTGCCTCCCAAGCCATTAGGTTACTTTAATGTATAAAATATATAAACTGTGATTGACATATATACTAGCAATCTAAATCAGATATAGCTATAAAATGTTAAATTAATATTTGGCCTATATTATCTAATAATGAGCTATTAAAAGCATAAGGAAATGATTAAGGCAGATGCTGAAACCAGAACTTCAAACCCAGGAGCAACTGAGATGGCCAGAGAAGTATCAAAGTAATAAATAAAAGAGTTTTAAAAGGGAAATATTCATATTTTCCTTCAGTAGAGGACACCTAATGTGGAAAGATGTGAAAGTGAAGACATATACATTTACCAAAGTGCTGTTGAAAAACTTCTGAAGTAGCTGAACTCAATTACTGAAAATGATTACAGGGATTCAATGAAAGAGATTTATGTTATATCTGCAACAGAGAATAAAGGATAGAATTAGTATTTGTCTTTAAATAATAAAGTTAAAAGGTGGTAACTAACTGAGATTTTTAAAAATTACAGGTTGAATAGCTGATGAAGCAGAAAGTGGGAATTGTAGAGCTCAGCTTGGGACTTGCCAGTTTGGCAGTGTTTGTGATATATTCAGGTGCAGACATCTAGTAAGTAGTTGGATACAACAGGTTGAGGCCAGGGAAAACATTATTGTAAATAAAACCAATGGAATGGGTAAGAGGGTAGAAGGAGTTCTGCAACAGACCAGATGTTTGTGTTCCCCCCCAACAAGTTCATACGTTAACGTCATAACCTCCAATATCAGGAGGTAAGGGCTTTGGGAGGGTCATGAGGATGAAGCCCTCATGAATGGGATTAGTGACCTTATAAAAAGGGGCCCCAGAGAGCTCTCATGTCCTCTTTCTGCCACATGAGAACACAACGAGAAGACAGCAGAGTGTAACACAGAAGAGGGCCCTCACCAGAACCTGGCTATGCAGGCACCAGGATCTCAGACTTTAGCCTCAAGAACTCTGAGAGATCATTTCTGTTGTTTTAAAGCCACCCAGCCTGTAGTACTTTGCCATAGCAGCCTGAACTGACTGAGACAAGTTCTGTAAGAAAAGAAATAGGCAAAGAATGGAGCCCCGTGTTATACCAACAGTTAAACTGCAGATGGTCAAAACTGACCCCATTAAGGAAACCGAGAAAGAACTGGCCTTCAAGAAAAGAAGCAGGAGTATGTAGCATCATGACATCTAAAGCAACAGATATTTTCAAGAAAAAGGAAACAGCCAAAAGTATCAAATGCAAAAAGAGGAGCAACACTTCATATTGTGAGGCAGAAAAGGAGGTAAGAATGAACAAAAATGCATAGAAGTTTATAGTTGTAATTTGAAGCTACAGAGTTCATATCTTACAGCCTATATTTTCTCTGTGGAGTGGGAAGCAAGATCTCATAAAAACATATCTATACCTAAGGATCAAACACAAGAGCAAAGCACAGATTTGAAAATCGGCATCAGAGATATTAAACACACAAAAACAGGCCAGGCACAGTGGCTCACGCCTGTAATCCCAGCATTTTGGGAGGCTGAAGCAGGCTGATCACACGGTCAGGAGTTCAAGACCAGCCTGACCAACATGGTGAAACCCCATCTCTACTCAAAACATGAAAATCAGCCAGACATGGTGGCGTGCGCCTGTAATCCCAGCTACTCAGGAGGCTGAGGCAGGAGAATTGCTTGAACCCGGGAGGCAGAGGTTGCAGTAAGCTGAGATCGTGCCACTGCACTCCAGCCTTGGCGACAGAGGGAGACTCCGTCTCAAAACAAAAACAAAAACAAAAAACACACACAGAAAGAGAAGTTCTGGTATCTGTAAAAGTGGGGGTACTATTAGATATGTACTCTTTAACAGTGTACTGTATTTAAAGCTCTCCTACAGTAATGATAAATGTTAAAACAAACAAAAAAAATCTAAGACTGTCATTGTTCAGATTATATAAACAGCCTAGCACAGTAGCTGGCACACAGCACACAGTAGCTATGCGATAAATATTTGTTGAATAATTGAGGAAATAAAAAAATGGAACTAGGGGACACCATAAAAATATTTTAAGAAGAAACCAGGAAAGGTTTTGCTGTAAATGTTTATAATTAAAAAAGCGTATTCCATATAAACACTTAGAATAATATACCTATATTTAATATATGGGAAAATTCCTACTTGATAGGTAGAGATACATTACAAGGTCTTATTAAAACTTGATCAAAACCCATAAAAAATGTTGTCTTGGCTGGGCATGGTGGCTCACACCTGTAATCCCAGCACTTTGGGAGGCTGAGGCAGGCGGATCACCTGAGGTCGGGAGTTCAAGACCAGCCTGACCAACATGGAGAAACCCCATCGCTACTAAAAATACAAAATTAGCCTGGTGTGGTGGTGCATGCCTGTAATCCCAGCTACTTGGGAGGCTGAGGCAGGAGAATCGCTTGAACCTGGGAGGCAGAGGTTGCAGTTAGCTGAGATAGCACCATTGCACTCCAGCCTGGGCAACAAGAGTGAAACTCCGTCTCAAAAAAAAAAAAAATATTGTCTTGCAGACTCTTATTGTCTATGAATCATGATGCAACACGGTTTAATTCCAAAGTATCAGAAAACAAAAAGCATTTACAAAGTAGATTTATCAGGAATAGAGTTTAGGCAGATAATGCAAGAAAAAGGTAACAATACAATAGTAACAGTAATAGATACCTAACACGTTGTTAATTGTCTGTAAGAAACATTCCTTTAGAAACTCAATACAACATTTTAATACCATAAATGTATATTATTTTTATATTACAAAAGAAAAATTTCTTTCAGATTTTTTTGAGAAAATTTCAAATATACAGAAAACTTAAAACATAGTATTACAGGGCCAGATGTAGTGGCTCGTGCCTATAATCCTAGCACATTAGGAGGCTGAGGCAGGGGGATTGCTTGAGGCCAGGAGTTTAAGACAAGCTAGGGCAACACAGTGAAAGCCTGTCTCTACAAAACATTTTACAAAATTTAAAAAAGAATAGCATTACAAACAATTACTATATCCTTCATCTAGATTCTCCAGTCGTTTTTCTTCCCCAATTGTTAATATTTATCACATTTTCTTTATTTCTCTGTCTCTTTTTCTGAACTACTTAAAAATTGAAGACATGATATTTCATCCCTAAACACTACTTCCTCATAAAATAAAGAACATTAATTAAATTAATTACCATTAACTCAAAATGATAACTTGGTATACAGCCCATATTTAAATTTCCCCAATTGTCCCAAAAATATCCTTGTAGTTTATTTTCTTATTCAGGATTCAGTTGTTTCATGCATTGTATCTGGTTCTTACATCTCCTTAATCTCTTTTAATCTAGAATAATCCCCTCTGCTTGACTTTTTTGTTCCTCATAATACTGAATTTTTAAAGAGTTAGAGTGATTTGTCTTGTCCCACATTCTGGATTTGACTATTTCCTTATTATATTCAGGTTAAGCATCTTTTTGGCCCAAATACCTGCACTACATAGGTGATGCTTTGCACAAGCACTTACGTAATGTTCAACTGTATCCCTGTTTGTGATGCTAAATTTGTTAGCTTGAGGTGACTGCCACATCTCTCCATTTTAAAGGTAGCATCTCCCTTTGTAATTGATAAGGTCTGTGTGATGGTACTATGAAGCCATGGGACTGTCCTATACCTCAAAAATCTTTCACCCAATAATACTTTTAGCAACTCTTGATGGTTCTGATCTGGAGTAGTTTTTATATTGGCGGTCGCAAAATAGTCATTTTTCTAAATCCGTCATTCATTTTTTCTATAGTAACTAGAATTCATCCTTAAAAGAAACTTCACTTCTTACCTTTCTTTCAACACTTTTCTTTCACACGATCTCTTTCTCTCTCTCATTACTATGGACTTACGGATTTAAAATAATTAAATATATTGCAACCCATTCCTGTCATTATTATTTCTTATCTTTCTATTGTCCCATTTTGGACCAATGGGGGTCTTGTAGTTGGCTCCTTTTGACATGACCTAGTAGTCTTTAATAAAGTCCTTGCTCTCAAGTATACCAAGGCTCATCATATGCAAGCTCAATTTATAAATTTCCTGCCCCAGATCTGGCATCAGCCATTTCTCAAAGGAGCCCTGGTTACTTTTAGTGGAGAATGGCATTTCAAAATCAAGATGCAGGTACCAGGTATACTTATTGTTACTCCTAAGCACCCCTTTCAATGGGCAGAGCTAAGAATACATGAATACACACACACACACACACTCCTATGTTCATATTGCTACCTCAAATTCAAATACAACACCAAAGCATTCTTCTTCAATTTCCCTTGTTCTATATTTGTTTCTCACTTTTTCCACAGTAAAAACCCTGATTCCCAACTTTAACATATGTACTCATTCAGTTCTATTCCACAATAAACACAAAATTGTTTCAGAATTACAAAACCAATATTGCTATCAATAACAAACCTTCTAAATAAAGTTAAAGATTTACTTGTAGTTTGTTTTGTCCAAATTTGGTTGCAAGAAACCAAATTTGCAAGGACCAAATTTGGAACGGTATTCAATTTATAGGTCTATGTTTTAAGAGGAACACTGAAAAGAGTATACAGCAAGAAGAGAAAATGCTCGGGAGAGAAAATGCTAAAGCAAACAGTTTCCTTCAAACACTTAAAAGCAGTTACACAGAATAAGAAATAGGCTTATCCTGTGTTCCTCTAGAAGGCAAAACTCAGACCAGAATATAGATGTCATAAAGAGGAGGATTTCAATTCAACTTCAGAAACTGTTAGAGTTGGATGTACTATATTAGTAAGGTCCCCATCATTAAAGTATTTAGACAGAGTCTGGAATTCCACAAAGGGGTTTCTGAGCATTTCTCAGTGGGAGAGTTGTGCTGAATCAGCTCTATAATTCTATTTTCTGTTCGCACCCAAATAGCTTCTGGAAGCAGCCCTCCATTAAACAATACAGGAGGTGTTGTTATTCATAATAATGACCTTGATTCATATAGAAAATATTGAACTATGATCAGTTATACATCATTGAATCTGGTTGGCACTGCAGAAGCTTCCTAGAGGCTGCTTGCTTGTTTTCCAGTAGTTGATCATATCAGTGTGGGATCAGACCTGGCTGGGCAGGCCTGGCTGGCTGGTGGGACTCTCCAGCATCCATTAAAATAGAATGCAAGATTCGAGATAGAAATGCTGGTAGGAAATAAACTTGTGTCCGGGGAAGAAAGGGTCAGACCTGGCAGTAAAGCTCTGAATAGTGTCTCAGTCATCAACTGAAGCAATGCTTGAGCAGTACCTCTCACCTAGATTTGTTTTCCAACTTCCTGTGAATACATGAATGCCTTAGGGCGAAAGGGGATTTTGAAGAAAACCTAAAAGAGCTGTGTTGATTAAAATGTCTCTAAGACTTTAGAATGCAAGATAATGCTGCTTTGATGCCCATATGGCACATTACAACACAAAAGGGAGGTGTTCAGTTTTGGCTCAGACTACACACCAGCTTAGCTCATTATGGGCTATGGGCTGCAGGGACACTGTTTTGTGTAGAGGGTTTCAGCACATCAACACTGCCTATGGCAGCACTGGGGGTTTGGGGGAGGTGCTCAGAAGACAGGCTGTGTCCAATGGCAAAGGACTTGTATCTATTTATGCATGCAGTGGAGGCCTCAGAAGCTGAAAAAAGAAGGTAAGGGCTTGTTCATTAGCATACTGTATTAGTCCATTTTCACACTGCTGATAAAGACATACCCGAGACTGGGCAATTTATAAAAGAGGTTTAATTAGACTTACAGTTCCACATGGCTGTGGCTGGGGAAGCCTCACAATCATGGCAGAAGGCAAGGAGGAGCAAGTCAACGTATTACACGGATGGTAGCAGGCAAAGGGAGAGTTTGTGCAGGGAAACTCCCGTTTTTAAAACCATCAGATCTTGTGAGACTCATTCACTATCATGAGAACAGTGCAGGGAAGATCTACTCCCATAATTCAATCAGCTCCCATGGGGTCCCTCCCACAACACATGGGAATTCAAGATGAGATTTGAGTGGGGACACAGCCAAATACTGAGATGTGTCTTGGTGATTACTAGTAATAAAGAGGAGAGAAAGTTGACTGGTGTAGAACGCTTTGGAAGAAGGTTTGTGTGCGGCTGCAGATAGCCAGTTTATTATTTTAAACATGACGTGGTGGTTTTAAAACATGGCTGTAAATTCTTTGACACTTCATTGAGAAGTGGGCTCAATATCCCCTCTCCTTGAATTTGAGCCCGACTTACTGACTTGCTCATAATATAAAATGATGCAGCAGAAGTCATGCTGTGTGGCTTTGGAGGCTAGATCATAAAATGCAATTCAGCTTTAACCTTGTTTACTGAAACACTAGCATTTGAAGCCCTGAGCTGCTTCGTAAGAAGTCTGACTACTCTGAGGCAGCCATGCTAGGAGGAAGCTCAGGCCACATGAAGAGTAGATTTAGGTATTCTGGCTGACTGCCCTATCTGAGGTCCCAGCTTCAACCACCAGCCATGTCAGAAAATATGCCTCCAAAGGATTTCAGTCTTCAACCATTGAGACACCCCCAGGCACTGAGTCTTCCCAGCTGAAGCCCCAGACATCATGGAGCAGAGATAAGCCATCTTTGCTATGCCTTGTCTGAATTCTGACTGAGAGGGTAATTTTATATTTTTCAAAGGGTGAAAGTATAATGTTTGATCCTCACAATGATAGTTTGGCAGGTTGGGCTAGCATTATTATAACCTTCATTTTATAGATTAAAAAACAAAACAACAAACAGGGATTTAAGCTTACCTGCTTTGAGATTGTATAGCTAAGGTGTGGAGTGCTGACGCTAAAATCCTGATCTTTGGACTCCAAAGCTTATGCTTTCTCTCGTTTCTCATCTGGATACTGTAGGACTTTAGAATGGCCTAAGGAAGTAAAACAGGATATATCCAGAATTTTAAGGCAAGGTCAGAAAATGTCAAATGAGTAGAACGCTAAGAAGAATCAATATTAAATGGATGAGACCAGTCATCCTGTGGAGAAATAATCATGGAAGATCTGAACTACAGACTGATACTGACAAATAAGGCTAGAATTCAAAATGGAACCAATGTGAGGATAAAAGCCTTTAAAACTTTTAATGTTATAAGGAAGTGTTATAATGATATAACATTTTTAGCAGCTAATTTTTTAAAAATGAAATAGGACAGTTAGAGAATTAACAAAAATCTTGCCAGTTGTGTTTCTGATGAAAGGGTGATGAAAGGGTGATGAAAGGGGAAAAGGTGCCATGACTGGCTAATGGTGCTATTTCAGTCTGCTTCTAAGTATGTCCTTATAGTAAAGGGTGCTTCAGATTAGTTTAGCTTGATGACATCATCCCTTGTGATCATTTACTCTACATTTGCCAAGCCACTTTTTGATTTAAATTTATTTCCTCATAGAAACTTTCCTACTTGGAGGAGAATGTACAATGAAGTTAACAAAGCATACCATGTTCATGTTTTTTTTTTTTTGGAGACAGAGTCTGGCTCTGTTGCCCAGGCTGGAGTTCAGTGGTGCAATCTCGGCTCACTGCAACCTCTGCCTCCCAGGTTCAAATGATTCTCCTGCCTCAGGCTCCTGAGTAGCTGGGATTACAAGTGTGCACCACCACACCAGGCTAATTTTTTGTACTTTTAATAGAGATGAGGTTTCACTACGTTGGCCAGGCTGGTCTCAAACTCCTGGCCTCAGGTGATCCATCCGCCTCAGACTCCCAAAGTGTTGGGATTACAGGCGTGAGCCACTGCGCCCGGCCTACAATGTTCATCTTATAGGTTATATTTTTTCAATGCAGAAGAATGTTAGTATTCTCATTCATCAAGCAGCCTCACACAGCATCCTTTACCTGAGAGTAAGCATCAGCTCCCAGGCTTACGGTGACCCTAATCAATATGAAGACACCCTGTTTCAGAAGTCAGTAGGACACCTTTCTATTTCTTGAATCATCCAAAATACAGTAAGGAGGTCGCTGGTGACTTCCCCCATGATGGGAAGTACTAAAAGGCAGAATCCACTTAGTTTTTCATGACTTCATGTTTAGGTTACTTTGGTGATTCACTCCAGGCCATTGGGAGCCCACAGTAATTGTTTCTCATTCCCGTTTCTCTCTTCCTTAAACTTTTCTTTTCCAATTATTTATTCTTTATTAGATCCATGTATTTTTAATAATGAATTGAATTTCATTCTGTAATTGGGCTTCTCAAAGATAATTGACCTCTTCTCTCCCAATTGTTTTCATGCGTATTTTGCAGAGAATGCTTGGAATATTCTGTTCATGAAAGGCACAAAGTACATAAAATATTTTGAGTGATTTTCTTCAAAATAAAAATGATTAGTTTTGATGCTTCAGATGTCTAGAATGCTATGTGCCTTGTACAGGCCCTACGGCATGGAAAGTGCTCAACTGATATTTGTTAAATGAATGAATCTGGAAAACGAAAAATACACGAAATATTTTATTCCTCAACAATGAAGAAAAAGCTTTCAGACTTCCATTTAGACTCGTTTTAACTGGCTGAATTCTTCAATGAAAAGAAAACACGCGTCGCACTGCTAATTTAGCTGTTCCTAAATATATTTCCATCAAATTCTGCTTGGCTGTTTCAACCTTGGGGTTGAAGTTCTTATTTTGATGACACAGAGACGTTCATTGCAGTGGAAATAGCAAGTAGTATTGGCTTCCCCGCCTTCCTCCCTCTAGGATTTCAACTTCTCCTCCTCGAACACCAGCCCTGCTCTTCTAGTAAATCCCACATTACAGAACAGGCTGAGGACGGAGGAGACAAGAGGAAAGTAGGAAACCGGAGCCATGGAAACGGCGGAGCGGAGGCAAAGTGTGAGAGCGCGGGTGGTTAGAAGGGAAAAAACCCTCCCCGGACGACGGCGCGAAGGCGCGCCTCAGATTACGTCACGCACCGGGGTGACGTCACGACCGTGACACGCGGGTGACGCCGTTGCCGCGGCGACTTCTCGTCGTCTCCGCCCCCTTCCCCCGCTCCCCCCCGCACCCCCGCCTAGCGTCCTTCCCCCAATCCCCTCAGGCTCGGCTGCGCCCGGGGCCGCGGGCCGGTACCTGAGGTGGCCCAGGCGCCCTCCGCCCGCGGCGCCGCCCGGGCCGCTCCTCCCCGCGCCCCCCGCGCCCCCCGCTCCTCCGCCTCCGCCTCCGCCTCCGCCTCCCCCAGCTCTCCGCCTCCCTTCCCCCTCCCCGCCCGACAGCGGCCGCTCGGGCCCCGGCTCTCGGTTATAAGATGGCGGCGCTGAGCGGTGGCGGTGGTGGCGGCGCGGAGCCGGGCCAGGCTCTGTTCAACGGGGACATGGAGCCCGAGGCCGGCGCCGGCGCCGGCGCCGCGGCCTCTTCGGCTGCGGACCCTGCCATTCCGGAGGAGGTGAGTGCTGGCGCCACCCTGCCGCCCTCCCGACTCCGGGCTCGGCGGCTGGCTGGTGTTTATTTTGGAAAGAGGCGGCGGTGGGGGCTTGATGCCCTCAGCCACCTTCTCGGGCCAGCTCCGCGGGCTGGGAGGTGGGCATCGCCCCCGTGTCCCTCTCCGTCATGCAGCGCCTTCCTACGTAAACACACACAATGGCCCGGGGGGTTTCCCTGGCCCCCACCCCAGATGTGGGGATTGGGGCAGCGGTGGTTGAGCGGGAGGCTATCAATAGGGGGCGAAACTCAGGGTTGGTCCGAGAAGGTCACGATTGGCTGAAGTATCCAGCTCTGCATCTCTGTGGGGTGGGGGCGGCGGCGGCCTCGACGTGGAGGATATAGGTTAGTTGCTGGGGCTGAGACAACAGCCCGAGTTACTGTCGCGTGTAATTCTTACATGGTCGTGGGGATGATGGGGCTCATCATTTCCTCTCTCCTCTCCCGGACTGCCCCCCTTCTCAGTCCGCTGCCCTTTTTCACTTTTCTATTTGGGGATTTCTCTTCACCTGTTTTACCCAGCAAATTATTTTGATTTAGTCTTTACTTTTTCAATCCTAAATCGCAGTTTCCGATGCCTTTTCTGGTCTCTGGTCCTCTGTTCCTAATGTTTGTCAGCGCTCTGTCGCTGATTGGTAACCCCCATTCTATTCCCATCTACCGCCCGCTCATTTTCCAGTTGTCGGACCTGCCTGCCTTCTAACCCCAGCTCCCACTTAAGAGCATTTTTGCACTTCTCTTACCCTGGTCCTCTTGAGGCTCTGTACTTGATCTCACCACTCCCTAACATTGTTGTCTGTTGTTATCTTCACAAATCCTCCTGGACACTTTGGAGCTACTTGTTTTCTGAGCCCAGAAGCTGTCAAGATTCCATCAGGTTTCACTTGGCTCTTTTCGCGCTTGCACTACTGGCACTTTTTGGCTAGTCGTCCATTGTGCATTCACACCTCTTTATTCCTACCCATTTTTATAGGTCTGATTGATTTCTTAGTGTTGTCCTCCTTTTTGTCCTATTTTTTTCCTTTTCCTTTTTCCTCTCCAGTCCTTGCTTCTCTCAGCCTGTTTTTGCATTAGTCAGCCTCTTAGCACTGTGTCAAATTATTTACGTTTTTTTATTACATAAAATTTATTACAAATATTTGGTATTTTATTACAGAAAATAATACTTTATTATGCTTTACAAATAAGATATGGTATAATAATTGTGGTTTACAGTTATTGATTAGGTAATGTGACTTACTCTGTTGACTTTGCTCGAAGTTCTCTTTGCTACTTACTATTAACATCTAATTTCTCAATTCTCATAACATCTCATTCTCTCTGCAATTTTTTTTTTGCATCATCATCTTTGGAAATTCATCCAATATGCTTGCTTTATTCAGCATCAGCTTGTTTATGATAATGTTTGTTTTCTACTCTTTATATCATCTTTGTTACATGCCCAAAATGTGTTCTGTACCATCATTTGATCTGTTCTAAAATTTCTCATTTTTAAGTTTCTTAAAATCATTCCACTTTTCAGTATGCATTTTTGCTTAGATCAGTTTCCTCTCATATCTGTTCCTTTCCCCCAGCTTCTTGATTTCTAAGGAGAAAGCTCTTCTCTACTTCAATTTCCTAGTTTATTCTGTTTCCCTTGTTTCCAGTTACCATTCATTTTGCCTTGTTTCCTGGCTTTTGGTACTTAACTTTCTGAAGCTTCCTCTTTTCTTCTCCACACCTCCACGTTCCTTCTTATTTATAAACATCTTTGTTTCCTTTGACATGGAAATTTATTTTTAGGATACATTGTTTTTAATGGATAAATACTAGGGGTCACATCTGCTGTCTGTTTTCTCCAGGAATCGGATATGCCTTTGTCTTAACCAGGCACAGGTGCCTCTGGATTTTATTTTACTCTGTAATAGATGTGTAGTTTTGTTGAATTGTATCTTGTTTGAAGACTACTACAGAGTGGAACAATGAGTGAAGTAATAAGTAGGGGTTATGAAATTGTAATTCTCTGATTATAAAATTGTTTATCTTGGGAACTTTGCTGCAGAGTTATTAGAACCGTTTGCAATTCTGTAAAGAAGGCTTTTGTGAAGTAAAATCTCTACCCTTCTATTTTATTTGAAAGGGCCAGATTGTTTGGAACTGTACCCCCTGAAGAGTCTGATTTAGTAAGTGAGAGCGAGGGCCATGGATTTCTGTATTTGGCACATGTCTTGAGCAGTTCCCATGTACCAATCCTTGAGAACCTCTAGGCTAGCTGAATTTAAGTATAAATTGCCAGTAATTGGAAAGCATATTCATATCTTCTGAAACTATAAGGATACTCTCATTTTACTTGGTTAAAAAACAAGTGTTTCCTACTGTCCTCTTTACCCAGGTTTTAATGTTTAGTGGTGAACAGTAGTTTTCCCTCTACATTTTTTTCTGAACTGATAATAAATGTATTTGGCTGGGAGGGTGACATTGATTAAAAAATGTATCTCTTGAATGTAAATATCAGTATTACAGATGATAAAATAAATTCCTCCAAGAAATAATTTTAAATTTGAAGTTGATATTCAGTGGAAACTGAAATGTGCTGTGGTCTTTTATTTGAAGTCTTCCTTACATTCACTTAAAGGGATCTTTTACTGCAAATTACATGGAAAGAATGAAAAGGTTTGCTTGTGTGTAATGACACATTTTATTCTGAAGATTTATTTTACCTAACAGTAAAATGTAGGTTTTTTTTTTTTAAATAAAAGTTTCCCAGAGGGAAATTTCATCTAAAAAAAAAGTCTGATTTCAAAGGGAAAGCAAGTCATTATCAAAAATTAGAAAACTATAAGTACAAAAAGTAAAAAATCATCAGTAATTTTGCCACTAAGATATTATTACTATAGACATTTTGGTGTATTCCATCTGTTCTTTTTTAATGCTTTTATAACACTATGTAGTTTTGTATTTTAAAAAACTTAAAGCAAAAATTTCTACGTATTATTAGACATACTGTGATTTATTTAACTAATCATTTTTTTGGGGTGTTAGGTTGTTTTTAATTTTTTACTGCCATCAAACATCTTGAACATAGGATGTAGATTTTAGTCTTTAAAATATGTTGGGGAATGAACAAATTTCACATCCTGTATTTGTAGTATTAATACTTTGTAGGTGCTCAAAATAGAATATTCTGGTAAATGATTAGTGCTTATTAAATATTTATCAAATGAATGTACTTGTACTTTTGGCATTAAACATTAACATCTGACCATTTATATTTACCTGATTTTTTTTCTATGGCCATATGGTATGAAATAGTGTATGGTATAAATTAACCATATGGTATAATAAATACATTTTTTTAAGTGTGATACCAGAGTGATATTTATTAACTGTTCTTCCTGTGCTGTTTCTGTAGAAGGGAGCTTCTCACAATTGCATTAGAATTACAATTTTATTATGTTCTGTTTTCAAGATCTCTGATCGTCAGTCTTAAACTGTTTAATTATAATAATGTATTGACTAGGGAATATTCTGGGATATAATCTCCTTTATAATGAGGTCCACTGTATTAAAATACATCTTTGCAAGCCACACCAGGTTGGATTGCATCATAACCCTGAAAAGTGGTATTCTCATTAATGCAGGTGCTTGTGCAGTTTTGGCTATTGCTGTTAATACTTATACAGATATATTCACAGGTGCCCTTGTGGCAAAAATCATAAAATAGTTGTTTGTCTTTGGTATTTCTAGTGTTCACTTTCTATATTCTTTTCTCTCTCCTTATTTACTGAACTCCCTTCTTTAGGCATCCACTCACTCCTTTTTCTGTTTAGAATATTATCTGTCAGTCATTTTATATGTTGGCCATTAAAGGAATAAACTGTCAGTAAACAGCTAAGAAAGGAATGTTGGACTGGGTGCTTGAATCCTTGAATGTAGTAAATGTGAGTGCAAACTTGATTTAATTGTACATGTATTTGGATAATAGGCCAGAAAAATTACATTAGGGTAACAGGCTAGAACAGTCTGACTTTTCTTGTTTTTCTATCCCTTGCTTTCTTGATTAGAATGAATAGGAGGTGGGTCTGGATATAGCAGCTGGAAACCTGTGTTCCATGAGTGATGGGGAAGAGAGGGAGGGAATAGGTTCCTCTGATTTTTGGCATTTTCTAAGACCTGATGCCCACCTTGTCAGAGAATGCGATGACTACTTTTGTGTTCTTCCTTTTCCCTTTTTCTCCCAATTATAAAATTGTTTTCTCTTTCAGAACTGCAGAAGTGCATTTTGTTTCTTTGACACTTTGATGTTGTTAATTTAGCTGAATACCTAGTGAACATTTTGTGTCATAATCCCCTTGTTTTATGAAATCCAGTATGGTCTAGTCACCTTACATTTCTGCCTCATATTGTCCTTAAGCCTTTTTTTGTCAGTAGCTCTTACTAGATTTTGTCTTCATCAGAAGTTAAAGTGTTTTAAGTCCTTTACTCATTCTGTTTCTCTATTTTAACTTACATTGGTTATTCTGTAAAGTCAGATGTGGCAGTAGGGCTGGTCGTGGTGGCTCACACCTGTAGTCCCAGCTACTTGGGAAGCTGAGATGGGAGCATCACTTGAGCCCTGAAGTTCGAGGCTGCAGTGAGCCATGATCGCACCACTGCACTCTAGCCTGGCAACAGAGTGAGACCCTGCCTCAAAACAAACAAACAAACAAACAAAAAAAAAACAAAAAAACTTGCTTGTAGAACTTCTGAATTCAAAATAGGTGGGCCTATTTGGGAGCTTTTCTGTTTTTAAGGTGTCAAGTACTGCTTTTTAAAATCATAAGGTTATGGATAACTTCATGTTAGTGTAAGAAGAAAAATATAGCCTCATTTGTTCCATTTCTTTCTTAAATTTTTTGTTTTCATTGCCATGTTTTTATTTTTCGATTTCAATTTTTCCAGCCTAAATCACTAACATACTTAATTAGCATGGTAATCAGAAGATACTCTTTAATACAGTCTCCACCCTAACATTAAGCAATTATTTTTCCCCCCTACCCTCTGAGATTATTTTTGTGTCCATGTTTTCTCTTGGGCTTAAAAAAAAAAACTATTATTCTAATTCCTTCCTGTATCAAGACTATGCATATAGAGGGAACTCAATGCCCAGTAACTTCTTTTTCTGGGCCCTGGTGATGTAGAATATAAAAATTGCTTTGAACTCAATTAACTTTATATCTTCTGGAAGCTCTGTAACATCGGATAAAGCGTCGTTTTCATTCTTGTAATGTAGCTGCAGTTCCTGACAGCACGTTTGGGACAAATGTACTGTGGGACGGTGGTTTTCAAAGTACGCCAGAGCTCTAGGAGAATTTTTCGAAAACATTCTATCATTGTAAATAATAATTTTTTTTTTTTTTTTTTTTGAGACGGAGTCTCGCTCTGTCTCGCAGACTGGAGTGCAGTGGCGCGATCTCAGCTCACTGCAAGCTCTGCCTCCCGGGTTCACGCCTTTCTGCCTTTCTCCTGCCTCAGCCTCCCCAGTAGCTGGGACTACAGGCGCCTGCCACCACGCCCAGCTAATTTTTTGTATTTTTAGTAGAGACGGGGTTTCACCGTGTTGGCCAGGATGGTCTCAATCTCCTGACCTCGTGATCTGCCCGCCTCAGCCTCCCAAAGTGCTGGGATTACAGGCGTGAGCCACCACACCTGGCCAGAATAAAAATTCCAAATTGCACTAATGCATATGTGAAACTGTTTTTGTCTGTTTTGTAGTTTTAAAATCTTCATCTATAATAGTACCTGGCACATAGGTACTAAAATATTTGGTGAAAGAATTAGTGAATAAAACCTTACTGGATATGAGGTGATCTGATTTTCTGTAACATTCTATTCTTTTTTTCTGCCGGTCACAAAATCACCTTATGAAATTGACAGCCAAATTGGCTGCAACAGGCAGTTTGAAAAACACTGTTTTGGGGTTTCAAGGACCTTCTTCAGAGGTTACCCCAGGGCTCTGTTTAGTGCCTCTATACCAGGGGCCCCCAACCCCTGGGCCACAGCCTCGTATCTACCAGTCCGTGACCTGTTAGGAACCTGACTACACCGCAGGAGGTGAGTGGCAGGCAAGTGAGCATTACCGCCAAAGCTCCACCTCCTGTCAGATCAGCGGCAGGAGCGTGAACCCTATCAGAAACTGTGCATGTGAGGGATCTAGATTGTGTGCTTCTTGTGAGAATCTAATGCCTGATGATCTGAGGTGGAACAATTTCATCCTGAAACCCCCTCTACCCCTGTCCATGGAAAAATTGTCTTCCATGAAATTGGTCACTGGTCCCAAAAAGGTTGGGGAGTGCTGCCCTATACCATAACTATTGAAGTTCTTCATTTATCTGCTTTACATGTTAGTTTCCTTGAAAAAAGGGTTTTATGGCTGTAAAAATTTTAGAGCTACTATGTATGGAAGAGAGGTTTGTGCTGGCATAAATCTTCTCAGGTATCATCTGTGTAGAAAATTTCAACAACTTGTGTCTTAAGGCAGAGGTCAGCAATCTTAAGGGTCAGATGGCAAATATTTTAGGCATTGTGGGACATACAGTTCCTCTCACAATTCCTCAACAATACTGTAGTAGCTCAGAAGTAGCTAATAGACAATATTTAAACAAATGAGTTTGACTCTGTTCCAGTAGTCATTTTCAGGACACTGAAATTTGAATTTCATATCATTTTCATGTGTCATGAAAATCTTCTTTTGATTTTTTTTCTACCACTTAAACATGTAAAAAGTATTCTTAGCTTGTGAGCTATACAAAAGCAGATAGTGGGCCAGTTCATGGGCTGAACTGTTCTGACTCCTGGTCTAAGGGAGACTATATATGTTATATTTGAGGTTCTCAAAGTAAGATGTAGGTTAGAGGTCTATAGAAAGTTCATAATTGCTTTTGTAAAAACTAGATTGATTTATTTGAGAGGGAGAGAGAGGTGGAGTTTCACTGTATTGCCCAGGCTGGACTTGAACTCTGGGCTCAAGCAATCTTCCAGCCTCAGCCTCCCAAGTAGCTAGGACTACAGGCATGCACCAAGCCCAGCTCCTAGTTCCTCTTTGCACTCAGTTTCATCTTCTACCCTCAGCCCCTGGCAAACACTGGTCTGATCTCTGTGCCCTTTCCAGAAAGTCATATAAATGGAGTCATATAAAAGTCATATCAGTGGGGCCGGGCATGGTGGCTCACACCTGTAATTTCAGCACTTTGGGAGGCTGAGGAGGGCAGATCACCTGAGGTCAGGAGTTTGAGACTGGCCTGGCCAACATGGTGAAACCCCCTCTCTACTAAAAATACAAAAATTAGCCGAGCATGGTGGTGGGCACCTGCAATCCCAGCTACCTGGGAGGCTGAGGCAGGAGAAACACTTGAACCCGGGAGAGGGAGGTTGTAGTGAGCCGAGATCGCGTCATTGCACTCCAGCAATTGTGAAGCAGTGGTTAAGGTTCATTCATTATTTTACATATGGATGTCCAGTTGTTTCACATTTATCAAATTTCTTTTGAATCACCTTGGCACTTTTATTGAAATCAATTGCTTATGTTTGTGAGTTTTGGATTCTACTGTTTTATTGATCTGTGTGTGTTTTCTTAGGCTAATACCCCACTACCTTAGTTATGATAGCTTTATAGTTAAATTTAAAATCAGGTAGGTCCAGTTGAGAAGATTTTTAGAACTTTGACTTTTTAATTTCTTGTTACCATACTTTTGGAAGGAGAAGACTCATAATTTTATTCAGGTTTTCAAAGGTGTCTTCTACCCCCAAATACTTAAGACTTCAGTATATAGTTAATATATCTCTGTCTTGAATTATGTGGTGGTGAGGTTCATGAAAAGTGACAGGTAAAAGTTGCAACCAAAATTAATTTCCTTATAAGAAAGGACATATTTTAGTAGGTTGCACAGAAAAGTCAATCACGTCCTTTTTACCGTGTTGCATTATGAGGTGTAATCAAAATGTGTATAGGGGAAAATGAATATGTTAAGATGTTTATTCACCAAAAAAAGTCACCGAAAGTGTCAATTAGGTTGTGAAAGATACTAGTTTACAATGTGTTATTCTCCATCTTCATTAGAAGAGTTCTTCCATTTGAAACCTATGTCATGTTCTGTGATATTTCAGAGTTAGTATCTTTATGAATCTTAGGGGCATCATTAAATCATTATGTTTCTTCTAAGGAAAGGCATATGGTAGTAGTTGGTCATATTTCTACCTTTTTCAGTGGGGCCTATAGGGCCCCTTTACTTTGTTTTAAACTGCACTGATAGCTTTTTACTGGTTAGCCCAGGGAATTATCCCTACAGTGTAAAATGATGTTTCTCATCATGATTTTCATTTAATAATTTAAAAACAAAATAACAGGAAACACATGTTTCTAGAGAGGAAGTGTGGAATACCTGACTAGTAGAGGGTCAGGTGACAATTGCGAAGGTAGAAACTGACTAAGTTTTGACCATGTTGCAAGGAGTATCGTTCCAGTTTTGTTGGGTCACCTTGCAGAGTTTTTAAAAAAAATCCTTGGGTTTTTTTTGTTTGTTTGTTTGTTTGTTTTGGTAGAGATGCTGTGTTGCTCAGGCTAGTCTCGAAATCCTGGGCTCAAGCAGTCCTTCCCAGAGTGCTGGGATTACAGGCATGAGCCACCGCACCCAGCATCACCTTGCCGATTTTGAAACTACACTTCCAGGGAGAGAGTAATACAATATCTTGGCAGACTATTTTTAACTATTGTTCCAAAATTAATCTGTTTTTAAAAAGTAAAGAAGTGTGGATATCTTTAAAAGATACTTTAATTAGGCTGGTCACGGTGGCTCATGCCTGTAATCCCAGCACTTTGGGAGGCCAGGATGGGTGGATCACCTGAGGTCAGGAGTTCGAGACCAACCTGACCAACATGGAGACACTCCGTCTCTACTAAAAATGCAAAAAATTAGCCGGGCATGGTGGCGCATGTCTGTAATCCCAGCTACTTGGGAGGCTGAGGCAGGAGAATTGCTTGAACCTGGGAGGCGGAGGTTGCAGTGAGCCGATATTGCGCCATTGCACTCCAGCCTGGGCAACAAGAGTGAGGGAAACTCCGTGTCAAAAAAAAAAAAAAAGATACTTTAATTATATTTAAGTTGGGGAATACTTTTGTTTTATATTTTTTCTTGCACTAAATATGTAACCTTTAAGTTAATAACACCAGAAAATTTTTACTTTATAGTTTTAGAACTGCTTAATTGAAATAAAATGTTAGGATACTTTGAATTAGTCACTTATTTTGGCATATTTTAAACAGTTTAATGTACTGCTTGGGGTTGTTTCTCAATTGACTTGATATTTTTAAACTGTATTTTTTACCTTGTACCATTTATTTTGCAAAATAAATTTCTATTTTGGCTTATAGATGTATTTTTAATATTAAAGGGGATTATTGGTGTCAGCCATAAAATTGTAATTAAGTCTTAAGTAGGTATGGTTTTTTTTTTTTTTTTTTTTTGGAGACGGAGTCTCGCTCTATCATCCATGCTGGAGTGCAGTGGTGTGATCTCGGCTCATTGCAACCTCCGCCCCCCCCCCCCCCCGGGTTCAAGTGATTCTCCTGCCTCAGCCTCCAGAGTAGCTGGCACTACAGGCGCATGCCACCATGCCCGGCTAATTTTTTTGTATTTTTGGTAGAGATGGGATTTCACCATGTTAGCTAGGATGGTCTCGATCTCCTGACCTCATGATCCGTCCGCCTCAGCCTCCCAAAGTGCTGGGATTACAGGCATGAGCCACCGTGCCTGGCTGATTATTTTTATAGAGCTCTTGTTAGCGTAATTTCTGGTAATGTTTTATGGAGGTGACTTAATTCCCATCATAAAAATATCCCATCTTTTCTGTGACTAGCAAGCAGTTATTGCCTTTATAACTTTTTTTTACCATAAAAAGATAAAGTACTATTGATAATTACTCCTAATTAACTCAGAACTTTTTTGTTTTACACACATTAATATATACTTCCATGGGAATAGTGTCAGAGAACATCAAATAGGGAAGAGATTATGATTCAGAGTGGTCTTTATATTCCTATTCTAGAGCCACAGAAAATGTTCATCTCCCTTTAGTTTTTGCAGGATTGCCTCTAACACTGATGATATTCCACTCATATTCTTCCTGCACATGCCTTCTCATACTAACAGTAAGTCACACAATCTCAAATAAGTTTCATTATACATGAGAACTCAGTTGAATGCTTGCCTTTCACTGGCATCTCTTGATCCTCCTCCCCCTCCTTATGGTATGCACTGAACTTCTAGTAGGCCATATGTGTTAAGTAGATCATAGGAGTGCTATGAAAATAAAGTGAAATGATGAATATGTAAAAGCCTTCACAAAATTATAGTAGTGTTTTCTGTTGATTTTTAAGACAAAAGATAAATACTATGTATGTAAAAATTTCCTTTCAGAAATCTTTGTTCTTTTTTTTGTTTTGAATGTTCAATATGCTTAGCACAGGGCTCTAGTTAACACTTTTGGCAGTTCTTAATGTGGGACTGACTGATGATTGTCCTAGAACTGTTTCAGTGTTAACTACATTCTATTAATGTTACTTTAAAACATTATTTAATTAAAGAAACATGAAGTGGCAACATACTGATTCATGTGTTCAGTAAGCAATTCATGGGAAAGAGGTAAGCTTTCTTAATAACAGTAGAAAGACTGTTCCATTTATAGGAAAACTGGTAATTATGACTTGTGTTTTGGTATTTAAAAGCTGTGGTTGGCCGGGCGCAGTGGCTCACGCCTGTAATCCCAGCACTTTGAAAGGCCCTGGCGGGTGGATCATGAGGTCAGGAGATTGAGACCATCCTGGCCAACATGGTGAAACCCCGTCTCTACTAAATATACAAAAAATTAGCTGGGCCTGGTGGCATGTGCCTGTAATCCCAGCTACTCTGGAGGCTGAGGCAAGAGAATCGCTTCAATCAGGGAGTCGGAGGTTGCAGTGAGCCAAGATCGCGCCACTGCACTCCAGCCTGGCTACAGAGCGAGACTCTGTCTCACAAAAAAAAAAAAAAAAAAAAAAAAAAAAAAGCTGTGATTAACATTTGCTTTGTCATTCATCCAAAACTACATTGGTGACTTTTGTATTGAGTCATTTCTTAGGGCAACAGGTATTCATGTATTCAGTAAATATTTGAGTGCCTACTATATGCCAGGTAGTGATCTAGGTGCTTAGTAGTACACTTGAAAACAAAACAAAGGTCTCTACCCTTATGTAGCTGCTGTCCAGTGGAGGGGTGTGTGTGTATTGGGGGATGGGGCTGAGAAACCTTAGACATACAGAAAGGAAATTATGTAGTATGTTCAAAGGTAATAAGTGCTGTGGAGCAATGAAAGTTAAACAGTTTAGGGCTGGGATGGGGGTAGGTAGCAATTTAAATAGGGAGGTCAGGGTAGGCCTCACTTGAGAAGGGGGTATTTGAACAAAAATTTGAGAAAGGAGGAGGAGGCATTTCAGATAAACCAATTAGTTCAAAGATTCTGTGTCGGGAATGTGCCTTGCCTATTTAAGAAACAGCAGGAGGCCAAAGTTGCTGGGGCAAGGTAGAGACTAGGGGATTAGGGAAGGATCTCTTTCAGTTATCTAGGCCATATTGGTGATAGCAGAAATACTGAGAAGTAGTCAGATTTTGGATGTTTTGAAAGTAGATTCATCGGGGCTTGGTGGCTCACGCCTGTAATCCCAGCACTTTGGGAGGCCGAGGCGGGCAGATCACCCGAGGTGAGGAGTTCGAGACCAGCCTGACCAACATGGTGAAACCCTGTCTCTACTAAAAATACAAAAATTAGGTGAAATATTGAAGGAGATGTTTTGATTGAAGTGATTTTAAGAGAGAAGAGGAGGGGAAGTAAAGATGGTGAGGAATTATCCTGTAAAGGGGAACAGAGAAATGGGGCCAGAGCTAGTGAGGAAAGTGGGGTCAATAAATTTTTAATGATAAGAAAAAGAAGAGCGTATGATGATAGGAATGAGCCATTAGAGAGTAAAACGTTTCAGGAGGGAGAGAGAAGAATTGCTGAAGCACTGTCTTAGAAGAGGTAAGAGGGAAAGGGATTTAGTGTATAAATAGGAAGGATTGGCTTTCTATAGGAGCATCTATACTTTATGATAATAGGCCATTAAGCAGAGTATGTGGTTAGAAATGCTGCTAGGAAGGTCGACGTGATTGGTGGAGTCTGTACACGTTCTGTTGCAGTTGCTTTGGTTTTTTTCAGTGAAGTAAGACTTGAGGTTATCAGCCGAGAATGAGGATTGGGGATATGTGAAAGTAGCTCCGCAGCAGTATGGGAGCATAAATGAACTGGAGACAAATAGTAAAATTAATGGGCAATTTTTTTTCCTTTAAGAGATGGGGGTCTCACTCTGCTACCCAGGCTGGGGTGCAGTGGCACAGTCATAGCTCACTGCAGCCTCCAACTCCTGGGCTCAAGTGATTTTCTCACCTCAGCTTCCCGAGTAGCCAGGACTATAGGCTAATGGCAATATTAAGTTATTTTATGAGTTGTCTAGACAGCATTATGAGTCTCCTAACTTTTTGGTACTGATCTTCAGATCAGAGTTAAATGTAACTTGCCCAGGCAATTTAAACACTCAATATGAGTCATTTTCATTTGGACTCAAACATGGAATCATTGGGAAATAGAACATGAATTTATTACTCCTTAATGAAGTACCTGCCACTATCCTGCCATGAATGTAGGCTAAATTTGGAGTGGTCTGGTAACTGCTTTTCTTTTAAAAAAATTTTCTTCATCTTTTCTGTATCAAATACTTACTGGTTTTTCTATGTAGAATAACATAATCTCATCATTACTTTCTTTCAAACACTCTCCAAATTTGACTTGTCTTTGCTCATGTTTTTCCTACCACCTGAAATACAGATTTCCTCCCCCATCCCACCCTCCAAACCTTCCAGACTTACCTCACCTACCGTTTATTGTAGGAAGCTTTTCTTAACCTCTTTCCAAGTCCTAGTTTGATGCCTCTGCTTTGTGCTTTTGTAGAATCCCAGAGTTTACCTTGTTTTACTCACTATATCGTATTGTGGGGTTTTTTTGTTAATAGGTATTTCTTTTTCCTCTAGACCTGCACTGTTCAGTCATACTTTCTGTGATGATGGAAATGTTCAGTGTCGTCTTAATATGGTAGACAGTAGCCGTATCTATGTGGCTACTGTGCACTTCAAATTTGCATAGCAGGACTGAGGAACTAAATTTTATTTCATTTTAATTAATTTAAAAATAACTAGCCTGATGGCTAGTGGCTGCTTTAATCAGTGCAGTTCTAGACCCCTTCAAAGTCAAGAGTGTGTGGGATTCATACTTATTCTCTCGTTGCTTAACAATAATACTGTCTAATACTTAAATGACTGAATTCTTTTTCGGTACTCTTAGTCTGCATAGTTATAACTCACCTAGAATATGGCAGTTTTGTTCTCTAGATTTCTGTCTTTAACCATGGCTTTTCAGTTTGTTTTCAAGATTATGTTGATTTACACAGCACTGAGTTCTTCAGTCCTGCGAAGTTAGCGTTTTGGTTGGATGTGGTGGCTGGCATCTGTAATCCCAGCAATATGGGAGGCTGAGGCGGGACGACTGCTTGAAGCCAGGACTTTGAGATCAGCCTGGGCAACATAGCGAGCCCCTGTCTCTACAAAAAATTAGCTGAGTGTGGTGGCATCCACATGTAGTCCCAGCTACTTGGGAGGCTGAGGGCGGGAGGATTGCTTGAACCCAGTTCACGGCTGCAGTGAGCTATGATCACACCACTGCACTCCTGCCTGGGTGACAGAGCAGGAGTCACCCTCTCAAAAAAAAAGTGTATTTTTTCCCCTTTAGGACTGAAAAAATTGGGTGTTACAAGATTACCTCAAGGACTGGTCTGAGAACTGGGGATGGTAAGGAAGAAACTCAAGTGGCCAGCCTCTGGTTTGTGGGGGTAGGTGGGCAATTTCTGTTTCAACCAAAGCAGTTCTACTTCATAAATTAATATATTGGAATTGTGCTTGGGATTTCATTTGGAGGGGAAAAAAGTCTTCTAAACAATAACACTGTTAATTGAAGAGACAAAGCATGCATATGGCAGCACGTGATTAACCACCAAAGTGGATAACAGATCAAGAAGACATGGGAAGTTGTTATGGGCTAGTGAGGTCTTGATGGAAGTTAAGGTTTAATTTAGGTAGGTAGAAGGAAGACAAAAGGATGTAATAGGCAGTGGGAATAGAATTTGCAAAGAATTGGAGTTGGAAATACATATGTTAGTTTTGGTTAAGAAACAATGAGCTGATTATAGTTGAGCAAATTGTATGAAATAAAATTTGACAAAATTAGATGGGACTGGATTGTAGGAAAAAGTGATAGGCTGACAAAAAGTGCACTTTATATTGCATGCAATGAGATGAAATACTCGGAGGTATTTTGGTTGTTACAAAGATGGAGGAAGAGGACACTATTAGCATTTAATGAGAAAGGATCAGGGAAGTCAGCCATCCCACAATGTTCAGGACAGTTTGCACATTTAAGAATTGTTCCAAATCACCACATGACCTAGAATGACTTGCTGGACTTTGATGATGTAGGTTAAAAAAAAAAAGTGATCATAATGATGTGAGCATAGACAGTAACTCCATTTTGTGTATGAGGCACTTTTTTGTTGTTGTTGTTGTTGTTGTTGTTGTTGTTGTTGTTTTGAGACGGAGTTTCGCTCTTGTTGCCCAGGCTGAAATGCAGTGGCACCATCTAGGCTCACTGTAACTGAGGCACCTTTAATATACACTAAGATTTTCAGGAATTCAGTTACCACAATATTGGAGGAATGTTAAAGTTTTTGTTCAGAACTTTATCAGGAGTACTCCACCCCTTTAGAAAATCACGTAATTGATGGCAGTGTCACTTGTGCTGTATTGGTGACGCAAATACTCTTCAGTCTGCAGTTGTAACTGCCACAGTCACAGTGCTTGTTGTATATATGTACAAAGTACCATCAGTGTGTTATTTATTATAGTAATAGCCTAAATATTATAAAATTGCACTAAGGTAGATTATCTCTGAATTACATTTATTTTTTATTTTTATTTTTGTGACGGAGTTTTGCTCTTATTGCCCAGGGTGGAGTACAATGGCGTGCTCACCAAAACCTTCGCCTCCCGGGTTCAAGCGATTCTCCTGCCTCAGCCTCCCAAGTAGCTGGGATTACAGGCATGTGCCACCATGCCCGGCTAATTTTGTATTTTTATTAGAGACGGGGGTTTTCCATGTTGGTCAGGCTTGTCTTGAACTCCCGACCTCAGGTGATCTGCCCGCCTCGGCCTCCCAAAGTGCTGGGATTACAGGCATGAACCACTGTGCCCAGCCTCTGAATTACATTTAAGGGTAGTATAGAGAATGTACAAAATAGTTGTTGTAAAAAGGAGAAATTGATTTCTGTTTTCAGTATTGGAAGACTGGGTTATTCAGATGAAAACAATTAAAATTCTTGGAAACAGTATTAAAAAAAAAAAAAAAAAAAGAAAACGTAGAGCAGTTGCAGAGCTGAAAAGATAGTGGGGAGCTGCCAGGCCAAATTCTAGGAATAAACAAGAATCCAAATAAATAAGTGGATGAAGTAGCTTTTGCCCTAAAGGCAGTTGCCAATCTGTACAAGTTGGGCTTTGGTTTTGGTGGACCATTGGGGTGAAGAGGACAGAAATCAAGTCCTAGAGTTCATCTAAAGTGACAGTCAAAAAGAATAACCTCAGTTTTAGATGGGACCCCAGTGACTCTATCGTTAGGTTAAGGGTGAAACAACTGAACTGTCTACACACTCCCATATCCATGTGATTGCAGGGAAGGTTGAATGGAGCAGGAGGAGGAAAAGGAAATTAAGAAAAATAAACCTTTCAAGTTGTGACCACAGTTTTAGCCTTCACAGTGATTTGCCTTGAGGGTTTGCTCTGTCTGGGTGGTCCAGGGACCCTCCATGATAAATGACCCTCCAGCCATTTATCATGGTTACTGGTTTCAGACTAGTATTACTTCCATGGCCTGGCAGATGGAAAGGCAAATCACGTGTGGAGAAAGGCCTTTCATTCTAGGGAATTGCTTCCAGTAATTTTTCAAGGACAATGAACAGTACATTGTCACAAGTAATCAAACATAGTAAAAATAAAAAAATTAGCAAGCAAAATTACCTGAGAGATATATAATATGTAATATATATGTAGAATTCTTTCAGCAATGTAATTAAAATTTGTGTGGGTTTCTTTATGTATATATACCTAAAATTACGTTTTTACAGAGGAAAAATAATAACCAAGCATGCATCCAATTGGCACTGTGAATAAGAAGAGAGCAGAAACAGATCTATAAAATCTTCAAATGTTGCAAATATCAGATGGATTTAAAACAATCACTGTTAAATTTAAAGAATTGGAGACAAACTTGAAGAACAAAAGACTCTTATAAAGTGACTTAGGGCCAGGCACGGTGGCTCACGCCTGTAATCCCAGCACTTTGGGAGGCCAAGGCAGGCGGATCACCTGAGGTCAGGAGTTCAAGACCAGCCTGGCCAACATGGTGAAACTTTGTCTCTACTAAAAATACAAAGATTAGCCACGTGTGGTGAGGTGCACCTGTAATCCCAGCTGCTCAGGAGGCTGAGGTGGGAGAATCACTTGAACCTGGGAGGTGGAGATTGTAGTGAGCCGAGATGGCACCACTGCACTCCAGCCTGGCCTATAAGAGTGAAACTGTGTCTCAAAAAAAAAAAAAAGTTACTTTGGTTCATGCCTGTAATCCCAATACTTTGGGAGACTGAGGTGGGAGGGTCACTTGAGGCCAGGAATTTGGGACCCGCTTGAGCCCAGGAGTTTGAGGCTGCAGTGATGTATGATTGTGCCACACTGCACTCCAGCCTAGGCAACAGAATGAGAAACTGTCTCAAATAAAGGAAAAAAAATGGCTGGGCACGGTGGCTTATGCCTGTAATCCCAGCACTTTGGGAGGCTGAGGCCGACAGATCACGAGGTCAGGAGATTGAGACCATCCTGGCTAACACAGTGAAACCCCACCTCTACTAAAAGTACAAAAAATTAGCTGGGCATGGTGGCAGGCACCTGTAGTCCCAGCTATTCGGGAGGCTGAGGCAGGAGAATGGCGTGAAACTGGGAGGTGGAGCTTGCAGTGAGCTGAGATCGCACCACTGCACTCCAGCCTGGGTGGCAGTGCAAGACTCTGTCTCAAAAAAGAAAAGGGGGGGAAAAACCCAACTTAATAGATTTGCAAAAAACCAAATAGAAATTCCAGAAGTGAACACTTTACCAAATATACCTAAGAGATTATGCCTAGCTGAAGAAAGAGTTCATTGCCTGGGAGACAAGGCAGAAGAAACTGTTTAGAGTGTAGCACAGAATAAAAAAGAAAATATTGAAGAGAGGTAAAGAGACATGGAAGACAGAATAAGATCTAATTTCTTTAATCAGAGCTCTGGAAAGAGAGGAGAAAGAATGGTACAGAAGTAATATTTCAAAAGATATTTCTGGCTGAAAATTTTATAGATCCAATGAGAAACCAGTTGATTGATTTAAGAAGGTTAATGAATTTCTAGCAATATAAATAGAAATCTACACCCAGACAAATCATAGGAAAACTGCATAAACCCAGATACAAGGAGAAAAGTCTTGAAAGTAGCCAGAGAGAAAAAAAGATGTTTTTCAAAGAAGCAACTATGGACTGATGGTTGACTTTTCAATAGAAAATTACATATATTCTCAAAATAACTGCCAATCTAGAATTCTGTAATTAGCAAAGAATTATCCCTCTACAATGAGGGTAAAATACTTAGTTGAACAAACTCCATCAGCTCTTTCTAAAGGAAATTATGAAGTATACATTAATACTTAAGGCAGAAAGATTCTAGATAAAAGTCTGAGGTGCAAAATGGAATAAAGAGCAAAGAGAGTGGCAAATATGTGGATGTATTAAAAGAAACGTTGACTGTATAAAGTACTAGTAAGACCTTAATTAAAATATGTGACAAGAAGCTGGGCATGGTACTTTGAGAGGCTGAGGCGGGCAGATTGCCTGAGCCCAGGAATTTGAGACCAGCCTGGGCAACATAGTGAAATCCCGTCTCTACAAATAATATAAAAATTAGCTGGGTGTGGTGGTGCATGCCCATAGCCCCAGCTACTCAGGTGGCTGAGGTGAGAGGATCGCTTGAGCCCAGGAGGTTGAGGCTGCAGTGATCCTTGGTCGTGCCACTGCACACCAGCCTGGGCAACAGACTGAGACCCTGTCTCAAAAAAAATATATGACAGGCGAAGGCCGGGTTCTAAGACCTTTGTATTGTCAGAGAGAAAGGTAGAAAGTATTAATTGACTTGACCTTGATAAATTATATGTTTTAATTTCTTTTTTTTTTTTTTTTTTTTTGAGACGGAGTCTCGCTCTGTTGCCCAGGCTGGAGTGCAGTGGCGGGATCTCGGCTCACTGCAAGCTCCGCCTCCCGGGTTCACGCCATTCTCCTGCCTCAGCCTCCCAAGTAGCTGGGACTACAGGCGCCCGCCACTACGCCCGGCTAATTTTTTGTATTTTTAGTAGAGACGGGGTTTCACCGTTTTAGCCGGGATGGTCTCGATCTCCTGACCTCGTGATCCGCCCGCCTCGGCCTCCCAAAGTGCTGGGATTACAGGCGTGAGCCACCGCGCCCGGCCTATGTTTTAATTTCTAAGTTATCTTCTAAAAATGTAGAAACCAGACTTTTAACTTCTCAACCAACAGAAGATAACAAATGATTAATAAAAATTAATCCTGAAGAAGTGAAGAAAAGAAAGAACCAGTAGGACAAGTAGCACAAAGATGGGTAGATTTAAATCTAAACATATCACCAGCTACATTAAATACAAAATGGATTAAATTATTCAGTTAAAAGCCAAAGATTGTTACACTGAATTTCCAAAAAAATTCAGTTATATGGGGTTTATAAGGAACATATCTGAAACCTAAGAATAAAGAAGATCAAAAGTAATCATCACAATAAGACATACCATGCATATTCTAGCAGACAGTATGGTACAGTTAATATCAAAGGTGGACAGTAAGGCAGAAAGCATTATTGGCAGAAGAGTCACCTCAAATGATAAAATGACCAATTCACTGTGAAGATTTAATAGCCTTAGTAATATAGTATAACCTGAAATATAGCTTTAGAATATTTATAGCAAAAGTTAAACAAAACTACAAGAAATAGACAGATTTCTCAG
Organism: Homo sapiens; assembly: GCF_000001405.40. Lineage (NCBI taxonomy): Eukaryota > Metazoa > Chordata > Mammalia > Primates > Hominidae > Homo > Homo sapiens. Next base: position 140,905,257 of record NC_000007.14, on the reverse strand, counting down.
TCTTAATGGGGTATTTTTAAACAGCTCTTTAAGTAACTGGTATAAGAAGCAGACAGGTTAGTTAGGATATAAAATATTTGTATAACACAATGAACAAGTTTAACCCAGTGGGTGTATAGAACCCATTCTACCCAACAGTGGCAGGCTACACATTCTTTTCAAGCATGTAGGATTTTGGGGGGAAAATTGACTGAGTAATAATGTTGTAAAACAAGTTTCAACAAATTTCAAAGGATTGAAACCAAAAAAGCATTTTTTTCTGTCCATTTTCATTAAAGATCTCTATCAATAGGGTAATTTTTAAAGCTTCATGTTAGAAATTGAGCAACTATTAATACTTGGAAATAATCTGGTCAGGCGCAGTGGCTCACACCTGTAATCCCAGCACTTTGGGAGGCCGAGGCAGGCGGATCACGAGGGCTGGAGTTCGAGACCAGCCTGGCCAACATGGTGAAACCCCGTCTCTACTAAAAATATAAAAATTAGCTGGGCGTGGTGGTGCATGCCTGTAGTCCCAGCTACTTGGGAGGCTGAGACAGAAGAATTGCTTGAACCCAGGAGGCAGAGGTTGCAGTGAGCCGAGATCGTGCCATTGCACTCCAGTCTGAGAGAGCGAGACTCCCTCTAAAAAAAATAATAATCCATGCATCAAAGAAGAAATCACAATGGAAGTTAGAAAATACCTTGAACTAGATGATTAAAAATTTTTGATTGATCAAATTCCACAACTTGATATATCTTAGACCATTGAAAGTGAGAGAATCAAATGTTATGTCTTTAGATACGAAGTTTCTTGACACCCCTCCCTGCCTCCCCCAAAAAAGAAATACCTACCACCTATGAAAGATTCTTGATTGGAAAAAAAAAAAATAACTGAGCTGGAGTTTCATTAAACTTCTAGATCTACTGGGAAATTCACAGTCATTTGATCTTTCAATGAGTCATAATTGTTTTGCTGTGGATGGTCTTGCCTCGATGTTGATGGCTGCTGGTTCATCCCTGGTGGTTACTGAAGGATAGGATGGCTATGCCAGTTTCTTAAGACAACAGTGAGGTTTGCGACATCAGTTGACTTCTTTTCACAAAAGATTTCTCTGTACCAGGCGATGCTTTCTGGTAGCATTTGAACCACAGTAGAACTGCTTTTAAAATTAGAGTCAGTCCTCTCAGATCTGCCAGTGCTTCATCAACTAATTCTATGTAATATTCTAAATCCTTTGCTGTCATTTTAACAGTGTTTGCTCACAGCATCTTCAGCAAGAGTAGAGTTCATGTCAAGAAACCACTTTTTTTACTCATCCATAAGAAGTAACTTCCCATTTGTTCAAATTTCATCATGATATTGTAGCAATTCAGTCACATCTTTAGGTTCCACTCCTAAATGTAGTTCTTCTGCTGCTTCTACTACACCTACAGTTCCTTCCTCCATTGAAGTTTTGAACTCAAAGTCATCCATGAGGGTTAGAATCAACTTCTTCCAAACTCCTGTTAATGTTGCCAGTTTTACCTCCTCCCATGAATTACAAATGTTCTTTATGGCATCGAGAAAGGTGAATTCTTTGCAGAAGGCTTTCAATTAATGTTGCCCAGATCCATCAGAGTAATAACGATATCTATGGCGGCTATAGCCCAATGAAAGGTACTTCTTAAATAAGGAATGTTGAAAGTCACAATTACTTCTTGATCCATGGGTTGCAAGATTTATGTGTTAGCAGGTGAGAAAACGTTCATCTTCTTGTAGCTCTCCATCAGAGCTCTTGGGTGACCAGGCACATTGTCAATGAGTAGTAATGTGTTAGAAGGAATCTTTTTTTCTGAGCGGTGGGTCTCAACAGTGGGCTTAAAATATTCAGCAAACTATGTTGTAAAAGAATATGCTGTCATCCAGGCTTCATTGTTCCATTTACAGAGCACAGACAGTAAATTTTGCAGAATTCCAAAGGCCCTAGGATTTTTGGAATGATAAATGAGCATTGGCTTCAACTTAAAGTCACCAGCTGCATTAGCCTCTAATAAGAGTCATCGTGTCCTAGGCCAGGCGTGGTGGCTCATGCCTGTAATCCCAGCACTTTGGGAGGCCGAGGTGGGCGGATCACCTGAGGCCGGGAGTTCAAGACCAGCCTGGCCAACATGGAGAAACCCTGTCTCTACTAAAAAAATACAAAATTAGCCAGGCATGGTGGCACATGCCTGTAATCCCAGGTACTCAGGAGGCTGAGGCAGGAGAATCGCTTGAACCCGGGAGGCAGAGGTTGCGGTGAGCCGAGATCATGCCATTGTACTCCAGCCTAGGCAAAAAGAGCGAAACTCCATCTCAAAAAAAAAAAAAAAAAAAAAGTCATCCTGTCCTTTGAAGCTTTGAAGCCAACCATTGACTTAGGGAAATGTTGTGGCTGGTTTGATCTTCTATCCAGATCACTAAAACTTTCTTTATATCAGCAACTAGGTTGTTTTGCTTGCTTGCTTTTCTTAAACTATTTTTCTTTTAATTCTTAGAGGGTCTCACTGTGTTGGCTAGGCTGGTCTCAAACTCCTGGCCTCAAGCAATCCTCCCACCTTGGCCTCTGAAAATGCTGGGATTATAGGCATGAGCCGTAGTGCCCGGCCTGTTTTGCTTTCTTATCATTCATGTATTCACTGGAGTAGTGCTTGTAGTTTCCTTCAAAAACTCTGCCTTTGCATTTACAATCTGGCTGTTTGGTACAAGAGGCCTGCCTTTCAACATGCCTTCTTCACTAAGCTTAATCATTTCTAGCTTTTGATTTCAAGAGAGAGACATGTGACTCTTGGTTTCACTTGAACACTTAGAAGTCATTGTAGGGTTTTTAATTGGCCTAATTTCAATATTGAAATCTCAGGGAATAGGAGGCCCAAGAAGGGGTTAGGGCAGTAGCTGGTCAGTGGAGCAGTGAGAACACACACAACATTTACTGAAGAAGTTCACTGCCTTATATGGGTGTGGTTCGTGGCACCCCAAAAGAATTACAATAGTAACATCGAAGATCATAGAACACTAAAATAGACAGCATAATAATGCAGAAGTTTGAAATACTATGAGAATTACTGAAATGTGACAGAGACATGAAGTGAGCATATGCTGTTGGAAAAATGGTGCCAACAGATTTGCTCGATGCTGGGTTGCCACCAACCTTCAGTTTGTAAAAAACAAACAAAAACCATTATCCGCTAAGAGCAGTAAAGCAAAGCACAATATGATGAAGCATGCCTGTACAGTTTATACTTCACAGTCATTGGTTAAATTTACTCATTCCTTTAAGCATAAAAAATAAATATTTAGCACCTTTGTGCTGAGTTGTATGCTAGGCACTGGGATATAGAAATGAATGATAGTTTGTCTTCAAGGAGCTTACAGTTAAGTGGTAGAAGTAGATAAATAAAGAATTAAGGACAGTGTACTGTGATGAAAGTGTGCCCCAGATGCAGAAGAATCACAGAAAAGGAGCACAATTCAATATGCTTTTAGGGGATGGAAGACAGATTTCCTAGGAAAGGAGATACTTAAACTGAATTTTAAATACTTCAGATATACAAAATCTTTATAAAGAAGAGTAATTAAACCTTATTTAGAGACAGACCACCTAAATAAATGGTACATACCCTGTACTGAGTGTGGATTGGAAGACTGAGTATGTTAAAAATGTTAGTATTTCTCAAATTGATAGTGGATTTATTGAAATCCAAATGCAAATTCCTGTAGGTTTTTCTATGGAACCTAACAACCTGATTCAACAATTTCTGTGGAAGCTTTAAAGAGGCAAGAATAGCCAAAATATACTTTAAAAACAATAAGGTAGGAAGACTTCTTTAATTCCTTTTTCCACTCGGCAAATTTTTAATGCTCTATGGTAGGCACTGCTCATCCTGGTTATTACCTTTGTGAATGTGAGATCTGGCTCCCACCCAAAGCTCACATTCAGATCCACTTGTAGTGGTATCTAGGGTTTTGAATAGAACACTTCCTGAAATACAGGTTAAGTACTGGGACTACCAACAAACAAACTTACAACACTAATTTTATTATCTCATATTTGTATTTACAATTTTTCTTGATCATATTTTTTCATACAAACTTTAATTAGTTTCTATTAATTTCTTTTAACATAGGAAGCTTAGAAATAGACACACTTTGCTTATAATAGATCTTTAATATTATGTCAGTTGGACTATGGCTTTGTTAGAAAAGGAGAGGAGAATCTACTGCTGAGTGCTGTCCAAAGAGCAGTTACCCAACTGAGCAGAGAGGGAGGATGACCTTGAGGGTCTCACAGGCATGGGTTTTTAGGCCCAGCCTGTGGAGCGTCTGAGGGACTTATAAAAGGAAAAGGGACCCAGGTGCAGTGGCTCATGGCTGTAATCTCAGCACTTTGGGAGGCCAAGGCGGTTGGATCACTTGAGGCCAGGAGTTCGAGACCAGCCTGGCCAACATGGTGAAACCCCGTCTCTACTAAAAATACCAAAATTAGCTGGCTGTGATGGTGCACGCCTGTAATCCCAGGTACTCGGGAGGTTGAGGCCCAAGAATCACTTGAATCCGGGAGGTGAAGGTTGTGGTGAGCTGAGATTGTGCCATTGCATTCTAGCCTGGGCAACAGAGCAAGACTCAGTCTTAAAAACAAACAAACAAGCAAACAGAAAACAACAGAAAGAGGAGATGAATAACAAAATGGCAGGTAATACTAAATAATATGGATGAATTTTATATTCTTACATATGGGTAGGTGGAGGGACACCTGCTCTTGTGGCAGATTAGTTGGGAAAGGATACACTTGCTGGAACAATGCCTACCATATTAAATAAATGAAGCTAGACTTCCCCATCTGTTATGCATAAAAATCAATTTCTTGTAGGTTAAAGATTCAATACAAAAGGGGAAACCCTGAAAGCTTTTAGAAAAATAAAGGGACATTATTTAAGGCAGAGAAGAATTTCTTAAGACTCAAAAAACTAGCCATAAAAAATGGACAAATTTGACTACATTGAAAATAGAAACTTTTTTCATTAAGCCCCATTAAGACACTCAAAAGGCAAGGCAAGGAATAGAAGATACTTATAACACACACTATTAGTTATCTATTGTTGTGTAATTACCGAAGACTTAGCAGTTTGAAATAACATTTCTCTCACAGTTCTGTGGGTCAGGAAACTGAGAGTGGCTTAATTGGATGTTTCTGGCTTAGGGCCTTGAGGCTGTAATCAGTCAATGGCTGCAGTCATTTGAAGGCTTGACTGCTTTGTGCTCCCTCATGTGGATGTAGCAGGCCTCAGAGCTGGCTTTCTAGAAGGGAGTAAGAGAAAACACCCAAGATGGAAACCACAGTATTTTAGTCTTGGAAGTGGCACCCCATCACTTCTGCCATATTCTTTTTGTTAGAAGCAAGGCAATAACTCCAGCTTACATTCAAGGGGAGTTTGTACAAGGCACCACCAGGAGGGTGAGGATCATTGGGAGCCAGTTTAGAGGCTACCTACTACAACATGTAAAGAATGAACTGGTATGAAAAATATACATAAAAAATTCCTATAGATTTCTAAGACAAAGACAGAACACCAAATTGGAAAAAGGGCAAAAAATCCTGAGCAGGCATTTGAATTAAAAAAAAATTTAAATGATTAATAAACATATGAAATGACCCTTAATCTAGTTAACAATTAGGGAAATAGAAATTAAAACCACAATGAGAGACCATTTCATATAGATTGGCAGAAATGAAAAAATCTGACAATATTAAATGTTGGTGAGGCTATGAAGCAGTCTGAACTGTCTTCCACTGATGGATGGGAATGTAAATTGGGGGGAAAAATCCTTTGGAAAATAATAGGATATCCTATAACCAGCAATACCACTCACTCTTAGGCGTTTGCCCTAGACTAATGGTTCTTGAGTATGCATCAAAGTCATCTGGAGGGCTTGTTAAACCCAGCTGTTGGGGCTACCCTTAGAGTTTCTGATTAAGTAGGAATTGGGTGGAGCCTGATAGTTTGCTTTGCATTTTTAACAAGTTCCTGCCGGGAGTGGGCTGAGGGGTGGGGGGGTGGGATGTTGGTGCTGCTTGTCCAGGAATCATACTTTGAGAGTCAGCCATTGCTTTAGACATAGAGAAATGTGTGAATATATGAAGTAGGAAGCATATATATAAGATTGCTCATAACAGTATTATTCATATTAACCCCAAGATAGAAAAAAAGTTCAAGTATCCTCAGTAGTGCAGTAGATATCATTGTGTGTTTACTTATGGAACAAAAAACTAGTTCAAATAGCTAAGGAAAAAAACCACACTACAAACAGCTCCTGCCTGCATCAATATGTATGAATCTCACAAATACATTAGTCATACCTTAGAACCAAGTCACAAAAGATTAAGTGCAACATGATTCTATTCGTAAACAGTTTAAAAACAAATGCAGTTAACTGTATTGTTTAGGAATACAAATATAGGTACTAGAATTATAAGTAGAGATACTAGAATTATAAGAAAAATCAAGGGAATAATGATGATAAAAGTGAGTGATAGTGACTACCTCAGGGAGGAGAGAAAGTGGATGTGATTAAGGACAAATGGGAGACTTTTAAGATAATTGGCAATGCTATTTCTTACCTTGGGTTGTGGGGTTTGCTTTACAGTTATGCTTTAATGGAACGATGTTTTGCAAACTTCTCTACATAGCTTTATAATAAAGGGAAAATTTATCTCATTTAATTTTCATCTCTGATTACTAGTGAGGTTGAGTATGTTTTCATATGTTAGCCTTTGGGTTTTTTCTTAAATTGTTTATAGACATGCCATTTGTAGATTATGCTATTTGTTTTTAGAACTTATTTTTAGGTATTCTGTTATGGATAGTCTTCTTTATCCATCATATGTCAAATATTTCCTTCTAGTCCTTTTTTATTTGTATTTTTATTTATTTTTATTTCTTTTTTAAGAGGCAGGCCTCCCACTCTATTGAGGCCTAGGCTATGGATAGTCTTCTTTATCCATCATGTCAAATATTTCCTTCTAGTCCTTTTTTATTTGTATTTTTATTTATTTATTTTTTTAAGAGGCAAGCCTCCCACTCTTTTGAGACCCAGGCTGGAGTGCAGTAGTGTGATCATAGCTCACTGCAGCCTCCTGGGCTCAAGCAGTCTTCTAGCCTCAGCCTAAGTAACTGGGACAAATGCACACCACTGTGCCCAACTAATTTGAAAAAGAAAAAATTTGTAGAGATGGAGTCTTGCTGTGTTGCCCAGGCTGGTCTCGACTCCTGGCTTCAAGTGATTCTCCCACCTTGGCCTCCCAAAGTGCTGGGATTACAGACGTGAGACACTGTTCCTGCCCTAGCCTTTCCTTATAAAGACATATGTTGTTGTTACTGTTTATGTGGTCAGATTTAGCAGTCTTTTCATTTATTTATTTATTTTGATTTTGATTTTGATTTTTTTAAGAAATCTTTCCTGGCTGGGCGCGGTGGCTCACACCTGTCATCCCAGCACTTTGGGAGGCCAAGGTGAGCAGATCATGAGGTCAAGAGATTGAGACCATCCTGGCATGGATGAAACATGGTGAAACCCCATCTCTACTAAAAATACAAAAATTAGCTGGACGTGGTGGTGTGTGCCTGTAGTCCCAGATACTCGATAGCCTGAGGCAGGAGAATTGCTTGAACCCGGGAGGCAGAGGTTGCATGAGCTGAGATTGTGCCACTGCACTCCAGCCTGGCGACAGAGCAAGACTCTGTCTCAAAAAAAAAAAAAAAAAAAAAGAAAAAAGAAATCTTTCCTATCCAGAGTTAAAAGCATATTCTCTATATTGTCTTCTGATAAATTGAAAATTTTAAAAATTTTGTTTAGGTATTTAAGCAGTCTAGTATTTGTTATATGAAGATGTCTTGGGGGATGTTATTTTCCCAACACCATTTGTACATATGTGCACAGTCTTTTTCTCACTTATTTGTAAAGCAACCTCTCATTTCTACCAGATTCCCATGGACCGATTTCTGGGCTACTTCTTAACCTGTTTGTCTATAACCTGTTTGTCCACATTACTACTTTATATCTTTGGTTTTGGTAATGCCAGTCTCTTCTCTTTGTTTATTTGCGGCAAACATATGCTCATTCACTCTTCCACGTGACCATTAGAAGAATTAGATTGTCAATGTCCTCTAAGTCTAGGTATTTGGTTAAAAAAAAAAAAAAAGAATTAGGTTGTCAAATTCTGTAAAAAGTACTATTGGGATTTTCATTGTGATTGCATTAAGTTTATATGTTAATGTAGGGACATATATATTAGAGATTTATTATGATACTGAGTTTTCCAATTCATGAACATGGTTTTTATCTTCATTTGTTTATAGGTCTCTTCCCCCCCCACCCCTTTTTTTTTTTTTTTTTTTGAGATGGAGTCTCGCTCTGTCACCCAGGCTGGAGCACAGTGGCACAATCTTGGCTTATTGCAGTCTCTGCCTCCCATGTTCAAGCAGTTCTCCTCTCAGCCTTCCGAGTAGCTGGGACTATAGGTGCACACCACCATGCCCGGCTTATTTTTGTATTTTCAGTAGAGACGGAGTTTCACCATATTGGTCAGGCTGGTCTCGAACTCCTGACCTCAGGTGATCCACCTGCCTCGGCCTCCCAAAGTGCTGGGATTACAGACGTGAGCCACCGCGCCTGGGCCATGTGTTTCTATTTTTAGTAGAGACAGGATTTCACCATGTTGGCCAGGCTGGTCTCAAACTCTTGACCTCAGGTGATCCACCCGCCTCAGCCTCCCAACGTGTTGGGATTACAGGTGTGAGCCACTACTCCCAGCTCTGTTTTTTTTTCCTTAAAAGGTTTATAGTTTTCTACATAATGTTTTCATCCTTTTGGATGTGGAGGATTGGTATTATTTGCGAGAATCTTTTTGTGCTGTTGTGAATGAGATGTTTAGAAAAAAATATATTTTTTTACTGGATATTCATATACAGAAGAATGAAACTAGACCCCCACCTCTCACCCTATACAAAAATCAACTCAAAATGGATCAAAGACCTACCTGTAAGACCCAAAACTACAAGGTGAAACCACAGTGTGGTATCATCTGGCCCCAGGTAGGATGGCTGCTATAAAACTGTAGAAGACTTGGGAAATGCAAATCAAAACCACAGTGAGGTATTGTCTCATCCCAGTTAGGGTGGCTGTTATAAAAAAGACAAAAAATTAAAAATGCTGGTGAAGATACAGAGGAAAGAGAACTCTTGGACGCTCTTGGTGGGAATGTAAACTAGTACAGACACTGTATCAGTATGGAGGTTCCTGTGATCTAGCAATCCCACTACTGGCCGTTTACCCAAAGGAAGGGAAGTCAGTACGTCGAAGAGACATTTGCATCCCCATGTTTACTGCAGCACACTATTCACAGTAGCCAAGATATGGAATCAGTTCAACAACAGAAGATTGGGTAAAGACAATGTGGTTGTATAGCATCCGATGGAATGCTATTCAGCCGTAAAAAGGAAAAATCCTGTCATTTGCAGCAACATGATTGGAACTGGAGGACATCACGTTAAGTGAAATAAGCCAGCAAAAGAAAGTTAAACCCTGCATGTTCTCACTCTTATGTGGAAGCTAAAAAGAGTTGATTTCATAGAAGTAAAAAGTATAACAGAGGATACTCGGGCTGGGAATAGTAGGGGTAGAGTGGAAGCTCTGGGGAGATTTATTCATGGATACAAAATTACAGCTAGATAGGAGGAATAAGTTCTAGTGTTCTGTAGTAGTATAGGGTGACTATAGTTAATAATATATAGTTTCATATAGCTAGGAGGAGGATATTGAATATTCCCAACACAAAGAAATGACGAATGTTTCTCCTGTCTTTAGTGAGAATGCTTCTGTTATGCTTGGTGACTTACAGACTTTTTATAGATACCCTATATGAAGTTTAAGAATGTTTCTTCCATTTCTAGTTTGCTGACAGTTGGGCATTTTTAAAAATCCTAAATGGTTGTTGAATTTTGTTAGATTTTTTTCGTACATTTATTGAGGTGATCATGTTTTTTTCCTACATTGATCTATTTAGGTAAGTAATTGTATTGGTAGACTTCCTAGTTTTGAGTAAGCAACTCTTGTGTCACTGGATACATTTTATTGTATATTCTTTTAATTGATTGTTGAATTAGGTTTGCCTAATTCAGGTTTTTATTTAGGGATTTTACGACTGTGTTTACAAGTGAGCTCAGTCTATACCTCTCTGAGCTGTTCCATGGTTTTGGTATCAAGAGCTGATTCGTTTTCTAGAGTTTTCTGTGATTTTGGCCAGTTTTTATATCAGACCAAAGAAAATGTTTCTCGAAAGTAAGTTCATTAGGCTTTAAGTAACCACTGGGCCCATTCTTTGACTTTCAACTTTTCTGAGTGAGTTTTAGATGTGGATGTTATATACAGCATTTGTTCAGGGCTTTGGTTTGTGAGCTGAGTTTCTTTTTTTATTTTTTTAATAGATGAGCTTATCTCATTTATATTTTGTTGATAAGGCAGTTCTTCCACATTATTAATTATATTTTTCTTTGGGGGCTTTGTCTCTTATGGGTATGTGTGTGTTTCCCATCTAATAGTTTTTGATGATTTTTTATAAATCTTATTCTCTTACTACCTTCATAGATTTAATATCTGTAAGCCTCCATTTCTTGATTTGTGAAAATAATCAGGACTATTTTAACTCCTTGCTAATAAAGGTAAGAAAATCAGTACACTTATACCTCCCTTTCCCCAGCTACCATTAAAAAAATTTTTTTCCATCTCTTCATATGAGATATAAACCTTGTCATTGAAAAAAATGCATTTATTTTTTACTTTATCCTTAAGTCTCAGAGTTACATGTTTGAATGGGATTAATATTCACCTTTAATTCTTTAAAACCATGACTTCTTGATTTCTAATTCTGTTTTATTTATCTTTTCATCAGCTTGATTTTCCTATCAAGTAGTTCTGTTTTTTCTGCCAAGAATGGCTTCCTTTTTTCTTCTTCAGCCATTTCTTTCTGTTTCCACCGTGGCCTTCATTTCTGAAGTGGTCTTTTTATTACCTTCCATTTCTTTCTTGAACCCTGCTAACTCACTTTTCATTTCCTATTTCTTTTTTTTGAGACAGGGTCTGGGTCTCTCACTCAGGCTGGAGTGCAGTGTTGTGATCTTGGCTCACTGCAACCTCTGCCTCCTGGGCTCAAGCCATCCTCCCATCTCGGCCTCTCAATTAGCTGGGACTACAGACATGTGCTACCACACCTGGCTAATTTTTTGCATTTTTTTGTAGAGGCAGGGTTTCATCATGTTGACCAGGCTGGTCTCAAATTCGCCTTGGCCTCCCAAAGTGCTGGGATTACAGGAGTGAGCCACTGCCTCCTGCCTCATCTCCCATTTCATCTGTTCTTCAATTTTGTTTTTTCAGTCATTTTTTTCCCCTAAAATGCATTTGATAGTGATAGATGGGGATATATCAGAGACTTCTTTTGTTTCCTTGACTAACTTCTGGTGTTTATCTGTCTTTGCCTATTATGTTTCTTCTCTCATCCCCCACTCCCTGTTTTATTGGTGGTGTGGCGGGTGGGGTTGTTAACGTTTCTCCTCATAGACCCTTTGCTGGATTGTTTCTTTTTATTACTCATCCTTGTTGTCTTTGAGTAGAGTACTTCTATTTGAGCCTGCTCTTTGCTTAAGAATGTTATGGGGGGCTGGGCACAGTGGCTCACACCTGTAATCACAGCACTTTGGGAGGCCGAGGTGGGCAGATCACGAGGTCAAGAGATCGAGACCATCCTGGCTAACATGGTGAAACCCCGTCTCCACTGAAAATACAAAAAATTAGCCAGGCATGGTGGCGGGCGCCTGTAGCCCTAGCTACTCAGGAGGCTGAGGCAGGAGAATGGTGTGAACCCTGGGGGCAGAGCTTGCAGTGAGCTGAGATCGCGCCACTGCACTCCAGCCTGGGTGACAGAGCAAGACTCTGTCTCAAAAAAAAAAAAAAAGAATGTTATGGGGAACAGCAGGGAGAATAAGCCTAAGCAGGCATAACTTTTTTCTCAGACATCTTGTCTCAGAAAGCTCGTTCACCAAATCTGTTGTGTTCTCTACCCTGGGAATACATCACTCCTCCATTTTTAATGTCTTTTTTCCCCTTCCTGCCATTTTGGGCCAAGCCAATCATTCAGTCAGGATGAAGACTCCATCCAGGCAGGAGATGGGTGAGGCTGATAGTGAAGTTGGACATCAAATAGATTCCTGTTCGATGATTTGATTTTTAATTTGTTCTGCTCAGCTGCCTTTAGCTTTTAACCTTTTATATCTTATGTTCAATAGTTATTCTCACAAAGGAACTGGTTCCCAACATAAATTTAAAATTAAAAGTGATCAGTTCTCTCCTCTAGCAAACTGTAACTGCTTTTATTTTATGTGACTTGATCTGATGTATTGTTTTGTTCCCTGGATCATTTAGGGGTGGGGAAGTAAAGACAGGGAGGTCTGTGTTTCACTTTAAAAACAAAATCTAAACCAGATAAAAACTCGTAAAATGTCATATTTCAGGTCCTCTGTGATCTTGCCCTTTCCTACCTCTCTACCCCTGCCCACGTCTATCAGCCATCCTTGCTGTGTACTAAATGCTCTAGCACAGTATTTCCTAAAGTTTATATTGTGGATACTGAATATTCAAAGTGTTCTCCCAAAGATAGGTTCCATAGTTTACAATTTTGGGAAACTTTAAATGTTCCTCCTTGTCTAACCTGTTGAGTTTCTAAGCTCAAATGAGGGGGGATACTGTGTTATCTAAATCTTATTTGATTTCTGTATTTTACATATTAAGGGATTCATCTAAAAAGTATCTGAATTGATTTGGCAAGCAGGTGATACCCTGTACTATATTATATAGCTCCCCTTTTGGGATTTCATAATTGGATATTAGCATAGTAATGGTTGAGAAGAACTGTAGTAAAGAAGCTTACCTTTGTTGATTTATTTTTTTTTTTTGACACAGATTCTCGCTCTCTCACCCAGGCTGGAGTGCAGTGGCACAATCTCGGCTCACTGCAACCTCCACCTCCTGGGCTCAAGCAATTCTGTTACCCTTCCAAGTAGTTGGGACTACAGGTGTGTGCCACCACACCTGGCTAATTGTTTTTAAATATTTTTAGTAGAGATGGGGTTTCACCATGTTGGCCAGGCTGGTCTTGAACTCCTGACCTCAAATGATCCACCTGCCTCGGCCTCCGAAAGTGCTGGGATTACAGCATTAGCCACTGCACCTGGCCTTACCTTTGTCTAAATTAGAATTGTATAAACTTCCTTGACTATGGAACATTGCTTGTGTGTAGTATATGCTAATATTCTTTGAAACATTTTAGGGAAATGCTGTTTAATACCAATCAAATCCTTGCATTTTTTCAGGGTTGTTTCCTGTTGTTTCTGGCCCTTTGTCCTAGAATGCTCTCTTCCTTCATTTTCTCCATACCACCCAATTTTTTTTTTCAATGGTTTCTGAGGTGATACTTACCCTGCTGGGAGGCATTTGGAAATATTTTGATTGTCATGCCTGGAGGATGCTATTTGGGATTTAATGCCCTCAAATCGAGGAACACAATGCACTAAAAGTCCTACACAGCAAAGAATTGCCCCACCCAAAATGCCACTTCTACAGTGGCCCTCCATATCTGCAAGTTCTGCATCCTAGGATTCACCCAACTGCAGATCAAAAGTATTAGGAAAACAGTAAAAAGTAATACAATAATACAAATACAAGATAATACAGTATAACAACTATTTATATAACATTTACATTATATTAGTCATTATAAGTAATCTAAAGATGATTTAAAGTATATGGAAAGTAAGTTATATGCAAATACCCTCCCTTTTTATATAAGAGACTTCCGCATCCAAGGATCATGGTGTTGTAGGGTAGAGTCCTGGAACCAATCCCTTGTGGATATGGAGGAATGACTGTATACTCCTTTGGAGAACACTGAACTCAGCAACTTTTACTCATCCTTTAGAATTTAGTTCTGGTTATCTTTTCCAAAAGCTTTCTCTAAGTACTTTTGTTTTCCCCTCTACCCCACACCCTCTCATTTTCTCTGCGTGGTACTCTCAGAGTATTTTAGGCACATCTTGATTATTTGAAGTAACCACTTTGTAGTATAGGAGCCTATAACTGTATACCTCTACTGTACTGTGAGTTCAAATCTTTGAGGGCAAAGACATTTTGTATCCTTGGTATATGATATATAATTAGTCTTTTAAAAAGTGCATGTTACATGAATACATTAATAAATAAGTTGTACTTTTACTTTAAATCAGAATTGTGGTATGACTCTTAAACTGTTGCTTAGACTGCATTAATAATCTTGTGCAATTGTGGAAAATAATCTCATTTTACTCTCATAATAGAAAATTAAAATATGCTTCCTTTTGCTCAGATATGGGTGACAGCTGTTAGAGTAGTGTTTTATTTGGGTTTTGACCTTGCCTGTACATCAGAAGCACCTGGAGAACTTCAGAAGGTACAGATGCCTGGGGCCCTGCACCAGAGGTTCTGGTTTTTGAGGGTGAGGCCTTGGTATCTGGATTTTTAAAAGCTTCCAAGGTGATTTTTAATCTGAAGTTAAGATTGAAAAGTCATTTAGTGAGACACTGATATGTAGCATTTTGGGAAGTCAGTAAACTTAAGAGTGAGAAGTTACTAAATCATTGAAGAACAGTGAAAGGAGTAGGGAGTTTTAGCTTAGAAAAAAAAAATCTAGATGGAGTATGTGAGTTCTCTGAGGGCTATAGGAATTTGTCCGTCTTGCTCACCACTGTATCCTCAACTCCTAGCATGAGCCTGAGCACATACAGGGATTTGGTAGATATTTATTGGCTGACAGAAGAATATGTATCATTAGGTGTTTAAAAGATAGTCATTGTAGAACCACAGAGATTATCCCCAAAAAAGTTTTATAGTAATAATGTGCCACTTAATTTTATGATTAAAAATAATGAACTGGATATTTAATTCATTTATCATTTCAGTTTATTATTTACTTTGTGCCAGTCACTGAGGATTCCATTTGATTCTCTGGTCAAATCTATGAAGTTTGTATCATTCAAATAATAGGGCTGTGTCAAGAAACTGACACTTGGGGGTTAAGTAATTTGCCTAAGGTTACAAAGCTAAGTGACAAGAGCTGGAATTCTTAAAGTCTGTACTCTTAACTGCTATGCCTTACCATAAGTCTTCACCACAACCCTAAGAGTTAGATATGGTTTAGAAAGGTTATGCAGCTTGCCTAAGGGCACATTGCTTGAGTGGAAGATTTGGGACTTGGACCCAGACATTGTGACACTAGAGTCCATGCTGTTAACTGCCATGCTATTGGAACCCCCAACCCCCTCGCTTCCTATTGTATAATGTACAACCATCTGTTTTCATGAGATTATTAACCACAGTGGACAGCTTGTGTTGCTCTCCTTATACCTTTTGGCATCCTCACTGACTTTTGACTGATGGGTTGAATTTGGATTATTGTCTTGAATCTCCTTAGTACCCTGGGCTGTGGTAGTCCTAGAAAATAAAACATTTCTTTACTAGGTTCTTTTTCTTCATTTCTTTTTCCTTTTAGTTAGGATTTTAAATTAGAATTTTAATAAACTTGCTTGCATTAATACACTGATATCTGTTAGCTTCTGTTATTTTAAGTCGGTAGTCTCCAGACTTAAAAATTTTGTTCTCTATCATAAAAAAAATTTGAGCACATTACCCCTAGTAGATATCTGTTTTATTTATGCTATATGTGTACTACTGAAGAAAATGGTAATATTTTAAAAAATATGAACTTGTTAGCATGAATTTTTTTAAAGCTAAGCTAAAAATGAAGTGAGTTTAAAATTATGAAGGGTTTTTGCTGATGTTTCAAGTTTAGCTAATGTTTCAAGTTACAACATACCATTAGGCCAAGGTTCGTTATTATAATAGTGTGTACAAATTCATATTTTAAGTAGCCTGGATAATTTTTTTAAAATAGCTAGTTTCTTGTCAGAAATTAAGTAACCTGGATAATTTTTTAAAAGCCAGTTTCTTGTCAGAGATTATTAGATTAGGGTTTCTCAACATTGGCGCTGTTGATGTTTTGAAATGGATGTAATTCTTGCTTGTAGGGTTATGATCTGCAGTTGAGTGAATCCTACGATGTAGAACTTGCAGATATGGAGGGCCACTGTAAAAGTGGCATTTTGGGTGGGGCAATAATACTATGTATTGTAGGATGTTTAGCAGCTTCCGTGGCCTCTGCTCACAAGATGCCAGTAGTACCCCCAAGTAGAAACATCAAAAATGCCGGGAGACATTTCCAAATGTCTTGAGGGGCAAAATTGCTTCTGGTTAAGGACCACTAGATTAGAATTTTTTTTTTTTTTAAGACGGAGTTTTGCTTTTGTTGCCCAGGCTATAGTGCAATGGCGCAATCTCGGCCCACTGCAACCTCCACCTCCCAGATTCAAGCGATTCTCTTGCCACAGCCTCCTGAGTAGCTAGGATTACAGGTGCCCGCCACCGCACCCTTCTAATTTTGTACTTTTAGTAGAGACAGGGTTTCTCCACGTTGGTCAGGCTGGTCTCGAACTCCCAACCTCAGGTGATCTGCCCGCCTCAGCTTCCAGAGTGCTGGTATTACAGGTGTGAGCCACTGCACCCGCGCTAGATCATTGTTTTTATCCTGTATTATGGATGACAAGCAGCTTGTAGTAGAGTAGGGAAAGTGTTAACTTTGATTTTTTCCCCTCTAGCAGCAATAATGTTTTCTTCAGTATGAAGTTTGAGATCTGTTTGTAGGAATTAATTTTAAGTCACTTGTCCATTCTATAAGGTTTAGTTAAAACTTGGTAACATAATCCATACGTTTACTTAAATCAATATATGTGAGTCATAGTATGTCACAATGAGATAAATGCAAGAGGAGAGCCACTGTCAAGTGTTCTGCAGTATGGAATGCCCAGCCTTCAGCAGACCTCTTGACTATATGTGTCACATCTCTGATACTAACCCTAAGTTAGGGTGCCTGTGTAAATATTAAATGCTGAGGCCAGGCACAGTGGCTTACGCCTGTGATCCCAGCACTTTGGAAGGCCGAGGTAGACGGATCACAAGGTCAGGAGATCAAGACCATCCTGACTAAACACAGTGAAACCCCGTCTCTATTAAAAACGCAAAAAATTAGCCAGGCATGGTGGCATGTGCCTGTAGTCCCAGCTACTTGGGAGGCTGAGGCAGGAGAATCACTTGAACCCAGGAGGTTGCAGTGAGCTGAAATCATGCCACTGCACTCTAGCCTGGATGACAAAGCGAGACTCTGTCTCAAAAAAAAAAAAAAAATTAAACGAGCATGGTGGCATGCATCTGTAGTCCCAGCTACTTGGGTGGCCAAGGTGGGAGGATTGCTTGAACCCAAAAGTTTGAGCCTGCGGTGAGCTGTGATCACACTACTGCACTCCAGCCTGGGCACAGAGTGAAACCCTACATCTCAAAAAATAAATATTAAATGCTGACTTTTTCTAAGTTTCTAGATGAACACATTAACTAAATAATGTAGCCTACCTATATCCCCAAAAAAGAGTCTTCCTATGGGCCCTCAGGTGTATGTGCATACCTATTTTGTAAACCACTTGTTTGACCATCACATTGTAACTTATTGTTCAATTTGTGTCACTGCAGCCATATTACCCAAAAGGGAAAAGTAATTTTAGCTCTCTGAACTGACCTCCACCTAACCAACTCATCAGGTTAACTGATGTTCTCCATTTCAAAAAATATTTGCGGTCAGATTAGGTGTGAATCATATTTAAAGGAAGATTGTTGGTCCTATATCAAAGATTAGAGAATGAATGTTCATTTTACAGTTTTAAGTTAAAATGTTTAAGGACAGTGTTTACCATTGCACATGATTCCCTGATTTAACTGACCTTTTCAGTTAACTAGCCACTAGACATAATTACATTGACTATAGGGGCTTCTTTTGTGCCACACCAGTGTTGGAATTGTGTTGATTTACTTGTGGAGTTGGAACTACAGTTTCTCTCAGCAGCCTGCTTATCTGGTTGTTTAAACTTGTAGCTGAATTATTATACAAAGTTTTCAAACTTTCTGTTTTGGAATGGTCAGTTACTCAAAACTGTGGCTTCCTCCTTGCTACCTTACAGGGTAGTTGTGAGAGTATTCCTCAACAATAGTTCAGACTCTCATTACTTCTTGTCTATAATTGTAGCATGCTTTTAATGGGATTCCCTGCCTCCAGTACCTCTCTGGCTTGTTGGTTAACATAAACATTATTGCCAGATTAAACATCCTAAAGTATAATGTGTAATCAGATCAAAAGCCATTTATAACAATAAAAACTACATTAAAAAATTACTTATGTCCTGGGCTTAGATGTGGTCTCTGCAATCAGATGTTCATTAAACAAATTATTTAAAAAATACATACATACACACACACGCAAATTCTGAATTGTGATATGTGCCAAAAGAAAAAATGGGGGGTGATGTGAGAGCTCAGTGAGGATCAAATATAGATTGGGAAGAAGGGTGATGAGGAAAGACTTCTTTGAGAAAGTGAGATTTAAACTATCTGAAGAAGCTGTGCTTAGTTTAGAAAAGTGCTAGGCAAAGAGTGTTCCAGGAAGAAGGAATAGCATGTGTGAAGGCTCTGCTCTGCTGCTGAAATTGTGGTTCAGTTTATTGAGTATGGCATAGAATGAATAGTGCCTGATGAGGCAGGAGGTAGGCTGGGATGAGATCTTTTCAGATCTTGCACTCTGTACTAGGAAGTTTAGGTTGTATTCTGAGTTACTGGGGAGCCATTAAAGGGTTTAAGGAAGGGGAGTGTTGTGAATCAGTTATGTGTTTTGCAGATTCTACTCTGACTACAGAATGGATGAGAGCAGAATGGGAGTTAGAGCAAAAGAAATGAGGAAACCAGTTAGAATGCCTTTGTAAGTAGTAGGTCAGAGAGAAAGGATGATAATTTTGACTAGAGTCATGACAGTAAACAAGGTAACACATGAAGTGATTATGTCATAAACTATTACCATTACCCTGTGAAGGAAGTATGAGCAGAATAAGATTTAGAATAAACTTATTCCAAGCCCATCTAATAAAGGGTGGTGTGAGGAACTGAAACAATGGGTGTTTCAGGACATTCGGTCCTTGTCTCTAAAATAAAATCCAAACTCTGTTGAAGATTTTTCAGCCTACTCTTATTATCTTTGTCTTCTCCTAAACTCTTACTCACCTATGCTATAATCATACCAAACTATTACAGTGAGTATCATGAACATTTCCTGTACCTTGATGCCACTGATGATTGTTTACTATGGCTGGAATACTCTTACTCCCACATACACTTAACAAAACCCTACTCATTGTTTAGGATCCAGATCAAATATGAATGAAGCCTTCCAAATTTGCCTCCAGATTGATATTGCCCATTTATCTTCTTTTAACCATAGTAGTTCATATTACTATCACATTATAGTATATTATTCAACAGATGTCTATGTAATTGATTATGTGCCAGGTACTATGTGTAGACATTATGGATATATCCACATACAAAAATAGACACAGTTGCCGCATTTGTGGAAACTACATTGTAACACAGACCTTGAACAAAATCTGGGCACAAATATGTAACTAAATGTTAATAAGAGGTATGAAGGAATACCTGCAGGTTTCTGAAACCCTAATAAGGCCCTTGAGGTCAAAATTATTTTCATAATCCTACTAAGATACTATTTGCCTTTTCATTCTCGTTCTTGTGAGTATGTAGTAGTTATAGGATGTATGATATTCCAACAAATTGAATACAGAAGGTGGGAGAATCCAGATATCTTTTGTTAAGGCAGACATTAAAGAAATTGGCAAAAAAAAAATTTTTTTTTTTAAAGCCACTTTGGGGCCAGGTGCGGTGGCTCACACCTGTAATCCCAGCACTCTGGGAGTCTGAGGTGGGCAGATCACTTGAGGTCAGGAGTTCAAGACCAGCCTGGCCAACATGATGAAACCTCGTCTTTACCAAAAATATGGTAGCTGGGTGTGGTAGCACATGCCTGTAATCCGTCCCTGTAATCGGAAGGCTGAGAGGCGGGAGAATCGCTTGAACCTGGGAGGCCAAGGTTGAAGTGAGCTGAGATCGTGCCATTGCACTCCAGCCTGGGCGACAAGAGCAAGACTGTGTCTCAAAATAAATGAATAAATAAACAAACAAATAAATAAATAAATAAAAATGAATAAGACACTTTGCCCTCTCATTGTTTTTTGTTGTTTTGGAAAATGTGGTTATTTTTTTCATTAAAAAATAGATCACTTTTGTTAATTAGTTTTTTTGTCATTTTAAAATGAATTTTAAACATTTCTTGGTTATAATTTTTAATGTGGTAAATACTGATAGCGATAAACTACATAGATAAAAGCTTTCTAGGGTCCTCCATAATTTTTAAGAGTATAAAGGGGCCAAGTGTGGTGGCTAACACCTGTAATCCCAACACTTTGGGAGGCCAATGCAGGAAGATCCAACATAGCAAGACCCTATCTCTACAAAAAAATTTAAAAATTAGCCAGACGTGATGGTGTGTGCCTGTAGTCCTAGTTACTTGGGAGGCTGAGGTGAGAGGATCACTTGAGCCCAGAGTTTGAGATTGTGGGGAGCTGTGGTCATGCACTACATTCCTGCCTGGGCTACAGAGTGAGACCCTATCTCAAAAAAAAAAATTATATTTTTATACACACACACACACACACACACACACACACACACACACACACACACATATCTTATATATATATAAGAGATCCTGAAACCAAAATCAGAGTCCCTGTAATGGGGAGCTGATTTAAATTGGGGGCTTCTGGAGAAGTAAAAGATATCTTATGTCTCTGTTAAACACTTATGTTCTTCTAGAAATTAGGAGTGTGGTTTTCTCCGTATTTCCAAAAACTGCAAGTCTTTTTATATAACGAGTGTGTTGGTTGAATCTAATTTTAAAAAAAATTTTTTTAATTTAAAAATTTTTTAATTTTTAAAAATATGGAGTGCTTCATGAATTTGCATGCCATTCTTAGGCAAGGGCCATGCCTATCTTCTCTGTATTATTCCAATTTTAGTATATGTGCTGCTGAAGCAAGCACCAAATTTTGTTATCAAAGTCTACTGTAGATGGCCGTTCTTTCTTTGATTTGTGGTTTGGTTGAAACCTTTGTTGGAAATACCATCTTATTTCTTATTACTGTAGGAAATAGATCTGGATTCAAATTCCTCTTGGTATGAAGCTGGGAAGATTACTTAACCTGCTAAACCTTACCATTATTTATCTGTAACATGGAATACATATTATCTTACTGTGGTGTAATGATTTAATGAACTAATGTATGTGACCTGATTCATAAGTGACCAGAACAGAGACAATCCATAAAATGGTAATTCTTTTTATTTTATATACACAGCACATACATACTGGGGTTAGTTTCAGTTAGTGAGCAGAGAGGTCTGTGGATAAATCAGGATATAACAATCATCATTCAAGGATATATTCACCATTCAAACAGTTTATCAGAAGGCAGAAAGCCAGAATGATCTATTGTGTATGGTTATTCATCTTTAGAAAAAGGAACAGAAAGTGTGGGCTTAGAATATTTTAAATAAGTAGCTCTATGTTACAATGTAGATGATTTAGGGATGGGGTAGAGTTTTATGTGTCTGGCACTACAGCAGTGCCTCACATTTACTAAATGTTTGAATAATATTAATTAACTAGAGATTCTTGAAAACACATTTTTAGAAGCCTTGAAAAAGTTATATACGACAGATTAAAGGCCAAGCCTGAGAAAGCTTACATGGCTAACTGGAAAAATAAATAAAGGTACCATAGAGGAAAAACAAAATTGCCCTGTGGGGAGAACATGTGGTGTCATATGGTGTGACTAAATAGGATCCAGTAAGATAAGACAAGGTAGAGCATCTTGGGAGTGATTCCATGTTTCAAGGTTAAAATGTTAACTACATTAAAGGTAGTAAACCAGTGAAAGAATCCTCAAGATCCCAGTGCAGAATGTTTGCCAAGAGATAAGAAGATCAACTGTTTTGGTATTCATAGCAGAAAGCCATAGGAAAATTATCTTTTTGATATTCTTTTTTGAAGAAGATAGGTCCTTTATTTATTTATTTATTTATTTATTTATTTATTTACTTTATTTTATTTTATTTTTTGAGATGGAGTTTCGCTCTTGTTCCCCAGCTGGAGTGCAGTGGTGCAATCTTGGCTCACTGCAGCCTCCGCCTCCCAGGTTCAAGCAATTCTTCTGCCTCAGCCTCCTGAGTAGCTGGGATTGCAGGCATGCACCACCATGCCCAGTTAATTTTTATTTTTAGTAGAGACGGGGTTTCTTCTCCATGTTGGTCAGGTTGGTCTCCAACTCCTGACCTCAGGTGATCCACCCGCCTCGGCCTCCCAAAGTGCTGGCATTACAAGCGTGAGTCACCGCGCCCAGCCAAAGATAGGTCCTTTTTTAAGACAGATACTTAGGGCTGGGTGCTGTGGCTCATGCCTGTAATCCCAGCACTTTGGGAGGCCGAGGCAGGTAGATCACCTAAGGTCTGGTGTTCAAGACCAGCCTGACCAATATGGTGAAACCCAATCTCTACTAAAAATACAAAAATTAGCTGGGTGTGGTGGCGTGCGCCTGTAGTCCCAGCTACTTGGGTGGCAATTCAAGGAGAATTGCTTGAACCCCCGGGAGGCAGAGGTTGCAGTGAGCCGAGATCGTGCCTCTGCCCTCCAACCTGGGTGACAGAGCAAGACTCCATCTCACAAAAAAAAAAAAAAAAAAAAGATACTTTGATAAAGAAATAATAGTTATTTCTCATTTTATTTCTCATTTGAGATGAACTCAAAGTTGGCTAAAGTGACACACAGTTTTGGACCTATAACTTGCTTACATTTTAAATATTAGGTTGGTGCAAAAGTAATTGTGGTTTTTGCCACCCAATAGAAAGGATTGTAGACATTTTTTTATTTGACAACTGTAAAGCATTGCAGGAATTATATGTGGAATTATAGGCTTACTTTGTTTTATTGTGTTTCATTTTATTGTACTACACAGATAATGTGGTTTTTTTTACAAATTGAAGGTTGGTGGCAGCCTTACATCAAGCAAGTCTGTTAGCGCCATTTTTCCAACAGCACATGCTCACTTTGTGTCTCTGTGTCACATTTTAGTAATTCTTGCAATATTTCAAACTTTGTCTGTTTTGGTGTTCTGTGATCTTGCATGTTACTATTGTAATTGTTTTGGGGTGCCACAAACCACACCCATAATAAGGCAGTGAACTTAATCAGTAAATATTGTGTGTGATCTAACTGCTCCACTGACTGGCTGTTCCCCCAACTCTTCTCCAGCCTCCGCATGCCCTGAGACACAACAATATTGAAGTTAGGCCAATTAATAACTCTACAATGGCCTCTAAGTATTCAAGTGAAACCAAGAGTCACATGTCTCTTGAAATCAAAAGCTAGAAATGATTAAGCTTAGTGAAGAAGGCATGTCAAAAAGCTATGCCTTTTGTGCCAGACAGCTAGGTTGTGAATGTAAAGGCAAAATTTTGGAAGGAAACTACAAGTGCTACTCCAGTGAATACACGAATGATAAGAAAGCAAAACAGGCTCATGCCTGTAATCCCAGCACTTTTAAGAGGCCAAGGTGGGAGGATCACTTGAGGCTAGGAGTTCGAGACCAGCCTGGCCATCATAGTGAGACGTCGTCTCCATTCATTTTTAAAAAGCAGGCAAGCAAAACAGCCTAATTGCTGAGATGGAGAAAGTTTTAGTGATCTGGATAGAATATCAAACCAGCCACAACATTTCCTTAAGTCAATGACAGGCTTTAAAGCTTCAAAGGACAGGCTGACTCTTACTAGAGGCTAATGCAGCTGGTGACTTTAAGTTGAAGTCAGTGCTCATTTATCATTCCAAAAATCCTAGGGCCCTTTGGAATTCTGCAAAATTTACTCTGTCTGTGCTCTGTAAATGGAACAATGAAGCCTGGATGACAGCACATTCTTTTACAGCATGGTTTACTGAATATTTTAAGCCCACTGTTGAGACCCCCTGCTCAGAAGAAAAAAAGATCCCTTCCAACATATTACTAATCGTTGATAATATACCTGATCACCCAAGAGCTCTGATGATGTACAAGGAAGATTAATGTTCTCTTCTGTTTTCTATGTGTGTGTGCTTTTTTTGTTTTGAGACAGGGTCTCATTCTTGCCCAGGCTGGTGTGATCATAGCTCTCTGCAGCCTTGAACCCCTGAGCTCAAGCAATCCTCCTGCCTCAGCTGCCTGAGTAGGTGGGACTACAGGCATGCACCACCATGCCCAGCTAATTTTTTTTTTTTTTTTAATAGAGACAGGGTCTATGTTTCCCAGGCTAGTCTCACAAACTCCTGGTCTCAAGTGATCCTCTTGCCTCAGTAATGTTTTTCTTAACCACTAACGCAGCATTCATTCTGCAGCCCATGGATCAAGGAGTAATTTTGACTTTCAATTCTTCTTATTTAAGAAGTATCTTTTATTAGGCTATAGCTGCCATAGATATTCCTATGATGGATCTGGGCAACATTAATTGAAAACCTTCTGCAAATTATTCACCTTTCTAGATGCCATTAAGAATGTTTGTGATTCATGAGAGGAGGTCAAAATAGCACCATTAACAGGAGTTTGGAAGAAGTTCATTCTAATGCTTGTGGATGACTTTGAGGGGTCAAAACTTCAATGGAGGAAGGAATTGCGGGTGTGGTAGAAATAGCAAAATAACTAGAATTAGAAGTGGATCCTGAAGATGTGACCGAATTGCTACAATGTCATGGTAAAACTTGAAGAAATGAGAAGTTGCTTCTTATAGATGAGCAAAGAAAGTGATTTTTTGAGATGGGGTTTACTCCTGCTGAAGATGCTGTGAACACTGATAAAATGACAGCAAAAGATTTAGAATTTTACATAAAATTAGTTGATGAAGCACTGGCAGATTTGAGAGGACTGACTCCAAGTTTGAAAGTAGTTCTACTGTGGTTCAGATGCTATCAGACCATATTGCCTGGTTCAGAGAAATCTTTTGTGAAAAAAAGTCAGTCGGCACAGCAGACTTCATTGTTGTCTTGTTTTAAGAAATTGCCGGCCGGGCACGGTAGCTTACACCTGTAATCTCAGCACTTTGGGAGACCAAGGCAGGCAGATCACCTGAGGTCAGGAGATCAAGACCAGCCTGGACAACATGGTGAAACCCCATCTCTACTAAAAATACAAAACTTAGCAAGTCGTGGTGGCACGCACCTGTAATCCCAGCTACTTGGGAGGCTGAGGCAGGAGAATTGCTTGAACCCAGGAGGCAGAGGTTGCAGTGAGCCAAAATCACGCCACTGTACTCCCACCCTGGGCGACAGAGCAAGACTCCATCTTAAAAAAAAAAAAAAGAAAGAAATTGCCACAGTCACCCTAACCTTTAGCAACCACTGACTTGATCCGGCAGCAGCCATCAACACTGAGGCAAGACCCACCAACACAAAAATGATGACTCCTTGAAGGCCCAGGTAATTGTTAGTGGTTTTTAACACTATTTTAAAATTAAGATATGTGCTTTTTTTTTTTTTTTTTTTTAGAATAATGCTATTGGACATTACTAGACTACATTATAGCTACACTTTTTTGTTGTTAATTTAAAAATTGTGGGCCGGGCTCAGTGGCTCACGTCTGTAATCCCAGCACTTTGGGAGGCTGAGGCAGGCAGATCACAAGGTCAAGAGATCGAAACCATCCTGGCCAACATGGTGAAACCCCATCTCTACTAAGAATACAAAAATTAGCTGGGCGTGGTGGTGCACGCCTGTAGTCTCAGCTACTCGGGAGGCTGAGGCAGGAGACTCTTTTGAACCCGGGAGGCAGAGGTTGCAGTGAGCAGAGATCCCGCCATTGTACTCCAGCCTGGCAACAGAGCAAAACCCTATCTCAAAAATAAAATAAAATAAATTATGGCCAGGCGTGGTGGCTCATGCTTGTAATCCTGGCTCTTTGGGAGGCCAAGGCAGGTGGATCACTTGAAGTCAGGAGTTCGAGACTAGCCTGACCAACATGGTGAAACCACGTCTCTACTAAAAATACAAAAAAAATTAGCTGGGCATGGTGGTGCATGCCTGTAATCCCAACTGCTTGGGAGGCTAAGGCAGGAGAATCGCTTAAACCTGGGAGGTGGAGGTTGCAGTGAGCTGAGATTTGCGCCACTGCACTCCAGCCTGGGTGACAGAGCAAGACTCCGTCTCAAAGGAAAAAAAAATGGATACATAATGATTATATATATTTCTGGGGTACGTGTGATATTTTGATATAGGTATACAGTGCGCAATGCTGAAGTCAAGGTGATTGGGATACCCATCACCTTAAACATTTATCTTTGTGCTGGAAACATTACAGTTCTCTTCTAGCTATTTTGAAATATATGATAAATTGTTAACTGTAATTTCCCTACTATACTGTGAAATACTAGAACTTACTGTTTCTGTCCAGTTGTATGTTTGTATCCATTAACCAACTTCCCTTTATCCCTTTCTCCCTCCTTTTCTTCCCAGACTCTGATAACCACTACTCTACTGTCTACCTCCATGAGATCCTTTATGTATTCTGGATATAGATCCTAATTAAATTCATGACTTGCAGCTATTTTCTTGCATTCTGTAGGTTTTTTTCACTTTCTTGAGAATATTCATTGCACAAAAGGTTTTAATTTTGTTGAAGAATGATTTGTCAGTTTTTTTTTGTTGCTCGTACTTTTGGTGTCATATCTAAGAATCCATTGCTAAATCCAAGGTCATTAAGATTTACCCCTATGTTTTCTTCTGAGAGTTTTATTATTTTAGCTCCTATATCATTTATTCATTTTGAGGGTTTTTAAAATATGGTGTGAGGTAGGGGTGGACATTTATTGCTATAAATTGTCCTTTGAGCATTGCTTTTGCTGTATGCCATCAGTTTTGGTATGTGTGTTTTTTTTGTTTTCATTTGTCTAAAAGTATTTTCTAATTTTTCTTGTGATTTCTTTTTTTGACCTTGTATCTATATTCAAGAGGGATATTGGTGTATAATTTTCTTTTTTGTACAGTCTTTTGTATTAGTGTAAAGGTGATGCTGGAATCATAAAGTGAGTTGGAAATTACTTACTCCTTTTCTGTTTCATGGAAGGTATTTTGTAGAGGTGGTCTTATGTCTTCTTTAAATACCTGATAGAATTTGCTACTAGAGATTTATTTTTAGAAAGGTTTTTAACTATGAGTTTAATTTCCTTAATAGTTACAAGAGTGTTCAGATTATCTGTTTTATCTTGTGAATATAAAAGATATCTTCAGATATCTTTTATCCTGTGAGAGTTTTGTTTTTCTTTGGTTTTTGAGGAATTGGTTCATTTTTTTCTAACATTTTGAATTTATGTAGAGTTTTTCATAGTATTCTTATTAACCTTTAAATGTCTGTGTGTAGGGGAGTCTGTAGTTCATTGTTTTTTTATTACTGATATTGTTAATTTGTGTCTTCCCTTTTTGTCAGTCTTGCTAGAGATTTGTAAATTGTATTGGTCTTTTCAACAAACAAGCTTTTGTTTTCAACATTTTTTTCTGTTTTCAATCTCATGGATTTCTGCTTTTTATTATTTTTGTGTTGCTTTCTTTAGGTTTATTTAGTTCTTCAAGTTTCTTAAGATAGATTTGCAACTGTTTTTCTTTGCTGATATAATAGTATCAGTTTAAGAGCAGGGCTTGGTGGCACATGCCTGTAATTCCAGCTATTTGGGAGGCTGAGGTGGTAGCATCACTTGAGCCTAGGAGTTTGAAACTAGATTGCGCAACATGCAAGACCCACCCCCCCCCCCATCTCTTAAAAAAACTAAAAAAAAAATAATGGCACAAGCTTAATGATATTAATTCACTGTAGCACTACTGTATTTGCATCCCACAGATTTAGTATGCTGTATTTTCATTCAGTTGAATATTGAACTAGCCTTGTGGTCCTGGGATTAACCTTATTGTCATGTTTATTATGCCTTTTACAATTGCTGGATTCTGTATGCTAATATTTTACTAATGATTATGAGGAATATTAGTATGTAATTTGGGGCTTCCATTTGACTCAAAGATTATTTAGAAATGTGCTGTTTAATTTCCAGGTGTTTGGAGATTTTCCTATTAACTTTCTATTTCTAGTTTAATTCTATTATGGTCAGAGAACAAACGTTTGTGGTTTTTTTTTAAGCTTGTGAAAGTTTGTCTTATGACTCAGAATATGGTCTGTTTTGGTGAGTGTTCCATGTGCATTTGACAAGAACATGTATTCAGCTGTTAAGTAGAATGTTATATAAATATCAATCAGATCAGGTGGATTGATGATGTTCATTTCTTCCATATTCTTACTGATTTTCTGTCTACTAGTTCTATTACTGAAAGGAGTGCTGAAGTCATCAAATATAATTAAGAATTTGTTTTCCTATTTGTAATGTTCTGTAAGTTTTTACTTCATGTTCTTTGAAGCTCCATTATTAGGTGCATATATATTAGTTATGCTTTCTATTATGAAAATTATATTTGAAGTGAATTACTCGTAGACTACATATAGTTGGGTCATTTTAAAAATTCATTCTAACAATCTTGTCTTTTAATTTGTATCTATAGACTATTCACATTTAATGTAATTTTGGCATGTTTAGATTTAGGTTTACCAGTTTAGTAATTTGTTTTCTGTTAGCTGCTTCTGTTTTCCATTACTCTGTCTTTCCTGCATTCTTTTAGATTGTTTGAACAACTTTTAGCCATTCTGTTTTAATTTACCTGTTGTGGCTTAAAAATTCTTAACTCTCCATATAGTTTTAGTGATCACTCCAGAGATTACATTATAAAAACTTAACATTTTCACCACCTGCTTTAAAATAAATTCATTTCTTTAAATGGATTATGGTCCACTTAAAGAAATGTTAAAACTACGTAGGTCTCTTTATCTTCTCTCCACCTTTTCTCTTATTGTTGGCTGTATGTTACGTTTCTATTAATTGAAAGCTTCATTGGGCAATGCTATTGTTTTTACTTTCAACCATTAAACATATTTAAGGAAACTAAGAGGAGAGGGTTAATGTATTTTTGTCTGCATGTTTACCATTTTGCTTACTCCTCAACCTACTCTTCCAGGTTTCCTTCCGGTATTATTTCCCTTCTGTGTGAGGAATTTCTTTTAGCAATTCTTTTAGAACAGGTCTGCTGGTAGCAAATTCTCTTAGTTCCCATTTATCTGAAAATATCTTTGTTTTATGATTGCTCTGAAAGATACTTTAACTGGATATAGAATTCTACCTTTGATAGTTTTTTTCTCTTTCAGCACTTTAAAATGTGTAACTTCCTTCTGGCCTTCATGGTTTCTGCTGAGAAACCTGTTGTCATTTGAAGTGGTGTTCCCCTATATTTTATGGATTGTTTTTCTCTGTTTTCAAGATAATTTTTAGGCTGGGCGCAGTGGCTCCCACCTGTAATCCCAGCACTTTGGAAGGCCGAGGCGGGTGGATCACCGGAGGTCGGGAGTTCGAGACCAGCCTGGCCAACATAGTGAAACCCTGTCTGTACTAAAAGTACAAAAAACTTAGCCAGGCGTGTTCGCGGGCACCTATAATCCCAGCTTCTAGGAAGGCTGAGGCAGGAAAATCGCTTGAGCCCGGGAGGCGGAGGTTGCATTGAGCTGAGATCACGCCATTGTACTCCAGCCTGGGCGACAGAGCAAGATGCTATCTCAAAAAATAATAGTAATTTTTTGTGTTTCATTTTCAACACTTTATGATGTGTGAGAGTGTGGAATTCTACGTATTTATCCATTTTTGGATTCACCGACCTTTTTGAATCTGTAGTTTTATGTCATTTGTCAGATTTGGGAAGGCTTTTGACATTATTTCTTCAGATATTTTTAATCATCCTATTCTTTGCTTTTAGAAGTTCACTGACACAGATGTTAGATCTTTTTGTTACTGTCCCATAGATCCCTGATGTATTACTCTATTCTTGAATTGCTATAAAGAAATGCCTGAGACTAGGTAATTTATAAAGAACAGAGATTCAGTTGGCTCATGGTTCTGCGGACTGTACGGGAAACATAGCAGATTCTGCTTCTGGGGAGGCCTCAGGAAACTTAAAATCATGGTGAAAGGTGTAAAGGGGAAGCAGGCATATCTCTCATGGCTGGAGCAGAAGCAAGAGATGGGGAGGGTGCCACATACTTTTAAATGACCAGATCTCATAAAAACTCACTATCACAATGACAGCACTAAGGGGGATGGTGTTAAGCCATGGGAAACCGCTTCCATGATCCAATTTTCTCCCATCAGGCCCCACCTCCAACATTGGGGATTACATTTGAACATGAGATTTGGGTGGGGACATAGATTCAAACCATATCACCTGGATTCTGTTCATTTTATTTTAATCCCCACAGCTACATCAATTGGAGACCTGGTTCTCTCCCTGCTCTCAGAATGTTGGCTCTTTTGAAGATCCTATTGTTGCCGCTGCCACCATGGGGTTACGTGAGAAAAGTGAGGGGAAAAAACTGAGACACTATCTTTGAATGTTATTTCTTTGCCTTTTTTTTTTTTTTTTTTTACTTTTTTTCTTTTAAAAAGTAAACTTTTTTTAGGCCAGTCGCGGTGGCTCACGCCTGTAATCCCAGCACTTTGGGAGGCCAAGGCGGGCAGATCACAAGGTCAGGAGATCGAGGCCATCCTGGCCAACGTGATGAAACCCCGTCTCTACTGAAAATACAAAAATTAGCTGGACATGGTGGCGCGTGCCTGTAATCCCAGCTACCCGGGAGGCTGAGGCAGGAGAATTGCTTGAATCAGGGAGTTGGAGGTTGCAGTGAGTTGAGGTCGCGCCACTGCACTCCAGTCTGGCGACAGTGAGACTCCATTTCAAAAAAAAAAAAAAAAAAGTATGTAAAATGTAAACTCACTGATGGTTTCATGATGATTCAGATCCTTGTCCTCTATCCCAATCGTCTACTGCTATTTACTTCCAGTGTTGTCGATTAGCTGCTCTATGTGTTCTGTCCAAGTTTTATAGTTGGACTAAATCTTTGAAGTGTGTTCCCACCACCCCCGTAATGTGTGACTACTAATATTTCTGCTCAATTTGTTCTTTTTCCCCTCCTTGTTTTTATTTTTATTCTTGGCTTCCTAGGGGTTGCTCCTGTCTTTCCATAGCTTAATGTCAAGCTAAAGATTTGTCAGAGGTTTTGTTCAAATATTTCAAGGCCAGTAAGGTTTCTATTCTTTCTTTGTGTGTCTATCTGTGTATCAGGGAGTATATTCAAACTTCAGGCCACCATGTTGCCTGACCTGGCTTTTGCTTTCCTCCGGGCTCCTCTGTGTCTCCTGTGTGCATGAACATGCAGAGGCTCAGTCAGTCAAGGATGTGTGGAGGTGTGGGCCCTGTCCAGACCCTGTAGCACGTGCTTGCAGTGTCCGTTCAACTAGTGGAGTGTGGAAAGTGTATTAAGCCCCCAACTTGCAGTGGAGGTTATCACTTAAATTCACAGCACTCCAAATCAATTGTCAACACCCTCACACACACACAGTCTCTAGCTGAACACATGCCAACAGAGGGAGAGATTGGTCAGTCATCTGAAGAAGGGATGGCAGCAGCCTCAAGCAAAAATGCCACAGATGGCTGGGCATGGTGGCTCACGCCTCTTATTTCAGCACTTTGGGAGGCCGAGGCAGATGGATCACCTGA
Source organism: Homo sapiens (assembly GCF_000001405.40). Taxonomy (NCBI): domain Eukaryota; kingdom Metazoa; phylum Chordata; class Mammalia; order Primates; family Hominidae; genus Homo; species Homo sapiens. Next base: position 140,873,401 of record NC_000007.14, on the reverse strand, counting down.
GGTCTGGAGTTCAAGACCAGCCTGGCCAACATGGTGAAACCCTGTCTGTACTAAAGATACAAAAATAGCTAGGCATGGTGGTGCATGCCTGTAATTCCAGCTACCTGGAAGGCTAGGACAGGAGAATCGCTTGAATCTGGGAGGCAGAGGTTGCAGTGAGCCGAGATCGTGCCATTGCACTCCAGCCTGGGCGACGAGCAGAACTCTGTCTCAAAAAAAAAAAAAAAAAAAAAAAGCCACAGACTGTGATGTTCTTACTCAGGTTCAGCCTTTAGCTGAAGTCCAGAGCACTGAAATGGTTGTTTTGACGGTTTTGTCCAGCTTTATAGTTGCTTTTGGGGGAGAGGATTTATCAATGTACTCATTTCATCATGCCAGAAGTAGTAGTATTGATATGATTTTTTATATATATCTTAGAATTTTGAAGATACTGTTTTCTTATTTTCTAGCATACAACAATCTGATTCTTGTTTTTTATTCCTTAGAATTTTATTGGTACTTTCTTATTTCCTTTTGAGTTTAACTTAGCAGGATTTGTTTAATTTTGTATCCCTCCAAGCACCCAGGCTGGAGTGCAGTGGTACAATCATGGCTCACCACAGCCTCCACCTCATGGGCTCAAGTGATTCTTCCTCTTTGGCCTCCTGAATAGCTGGAACTACAGACACATGCCACCATACCTGGCTAATTTTTATTTTTTTTTATTTTTGGTAGAGATGAGGTCTCGCTATGTTGCCCAGGTTGGTCTCAAGCTCCTGAGCTCAAGCAGTCCTCCCACCTCAACCTCCCAAAGTGCTGGGCTTACAGGCATAAGCCACCATGCCCAGCTCTTATTCTTTCTTTGTTAAAAAAGGAACTTTGGTTCTGAAGACTCTTATTTGCCTTTTGGCTCAAGGAGAAATTCTTAAATTTTCTTTGTTATTTCTTCTTCTTATTTTAATTCTCATAAAATTTCTCTTAGATGTATGTAGGATAATTTAATCTGTATTCTGGGATATTAACTTTACTCTCATAATTTAAGCTTTCATTTTACTTCATATTTTTTTTTTAACTTTTTGTTAAAGTACCATGGACTTTAGCTTTGTCCATTTTGCTAGTTAACTCCTTTTTTAGGTTTATTTCAACAGACATTTTAAATTTCAAGCTTGTTCTGTGCAATTTATTTATTTATTTATTTATTTATTTTGAGATGGAGTTTCACTCTTGTTGCCCAGGCTGGAGTGCAATGGTGCGATCTCGGCTCACTGCAGCCTCCACCTTCCAGATTCAAATGATTCTCCTGCTTCAGCCTCCCAAGTAGCTGGGACTGCAGGCATGTGACACCACAACCGGCTAATTTTGTACTTTTAGTGGAAACGGGGTTCACCATGTTGGTCAGGCTAGTCTCGAACTCCTGACTTCAAGTGATCCACCTGCCGCGGCCTCCCAAAGTGCTAGGATTACAGGCATGAGCCACCGTGTCTGGCCTCTGTGCAATTTAGTATTTTTGTTTTCTTTAGTGAGTGCAGCTCCTCCATAATAGCACTATATACAATATAATTTTCTGTGCTATGCAGTATATTAGCCAGTAGCTGCAGTGGCTGGGAATGTGGCCTGTGAGAGTGAGAAACTAAATTTTATATTTTATTTAATGTTAGTTTATATAAAATTAAATAGCCATACATGTCTAATGATTACTAGATTGGACAGCACAGCTCTACAATTTAAGAATCCTTATACTTTTTGGCTTCAAAATAATTCTGATGCCTTAGTTCATCTCCTCATTCAATTGCATGTCTGTTTTTTATGCTCTTGGTTTTTTTTAGGTGTCTAAAGGTTAATAAAGGTTAAAAATATTGGAAGTTAGAGTAGGTTTCCTCAACACTTAAGTGAGTTTCTTCTGGAGAAAGTGAATATTGAATATAAAAATCCATTAATTTCTAGTTCTACTAAGTGAGCTAGGCAGTCCTTGCTTTAGAGAATATGGGTACTTCTTCTCAATATGTGTATGTGTGTAGCCTCTGTCCCTGTGGTGGCCAGAATTTACTATAATTCTGTCTCTGGCCATAGTGTCCAGACAGAAATCCCTGTAAGCTGATTACCCTTTTCCACCAGGTTTAGATCAGATACAAATATATGGGGGCAAAGACTGAGTTACTCTTTTTTTTTTTTTTTTTTTTTTTGAGACGGAGTCTTGCTCTGTCCCCCAGGCTGGAGTAGTGGCGCGATCTCGGCTCACTGCAAGCTCCGCCTCCCGGATTCACGCCATTCTCCCGCGTCACCCTCCCGAGTACCTGGTACTACAGGCACGTGTCACCATGCCCAGCCAATTTTTTTTTGTATTTTTTTTTGTATTTTTAGTAGAGACAGGGCTTCACCGTGTTAGCCAGGATGGTCTCGATCTCCTGACCTTGTGGTCTGCCCGCCTCAGCCTCCCAAAGTGCTGGGATTACGGGCGTGAGCCACCGCGCCCAGCCAGACTGAGTTACTCTTGAACATGTGATTTGCATCTAAACCAAATTTGTTAAAAGTCTTTTTTTTTTTTTTTTTTAAGTAAGAAAAGGCAGTGATTTTGATTTGTAATGTCTTTTGTTAGGAGAAGTAAAAGAAAAAAAATTCTTGAAGAAAAGTGAGCCAGAATTACTGCCTAGGGAGTGATAGTCATGTAGGTTCACAATGAAGTTTAGAAGTGCTCTTCGTGGTTCCGTTTCCTCTTTTGCTTTAGTGTTCAGGAAACTAAAAACTGACAGTAGACTAGTTGGAAGATAGACTAGGTTTTTTTTTTTTTTTTCTAGTTAACCTAAGTCAGAAGGGTGATATCACTAGAGACTTGGAAGTAAAAAGAGCTACCTGCAAAGACTTGAAGTACTAAGATTACCTAGAATCTGAATGCCCTGTGTTACTCTGCAGATAGGGCATTTTACTGTTATGAAGAGATAAGATCTATTGTAAATAGTCTAAACTAATAATAACGAGTAAGTATGGAATTGGCGTTTTTCCTTTAAAGTTTTAGCATATAATTTTGAAATGTTTTAAGAATATTTTTGAAATGTTTCTATTTTTTAATTTCTCTTTTAGAAGTCTTATCTAAAATAAGCATGTATATCTTACATGTAAGGAATTATTAACTTCATTTTTTCATAAAAATAATCAGAGTAAGACTTTCAACAGATGTCAGGATAGCTGAAGTTCTCCATCACTGTCATACGTTTCACTTATGACAGGTTTGTAATTTCTGTTAGGGAATGTCATCTAAGTGCTCTGCATCTGGTATTTTCTCCTGCACCCTCATGACAAGAAAAAAGCCTTTGATTATTTCTCTTTTCTCTCTATTTACATGTTCACCACTGCCTTCCATGTTCAGATGTGATCTACATGCAATGATGATTACTCTTTCCTTCCTTTCCCCCTTGCCCTCTTTTATCGTCTTTCTTTCTTCCTTTTTTTGGTTGACCCTGTTTAAATGGGATCTATCAAATATACCAAGTTTCAGTGAAAGTTACTTCCTTGTGTTAAAAGTCATGACTTTCTCTTTTATTTATACACTTAATAACTTGATTATATATACTTGAATTTTGTTTTAGTGCAGAATAATTTTATAATCTTTCTGAAGGTATTTTAAAGTGGCAGTTAATTCCAACATTTGTAATACCAACAATGCAGATAACTGAGTTGAATGACAACAGCATGAATAGCCTTGATTAAGTTGTACATGTGCAGATAGCTACTGTGTATATCATGCCTGCCATCTGGACAACAGTGATTTTTTTTTCTTTTTTTTTTTTTGTTTGAGACAGAGTCTCAGTCTGCTGCCCAGACTGGAGTGCAGTGGCGTGATTTCGGCTCACCGCAACCTCTGTCTCCCAGGTTCAAGTGATTCTCATGCCTCAGCCTCCTGAGTAGCTGGAATTACGGGTGTCCGCCACCATGCCTGGCTATTTTTTGTATTTTTAGTAGAGACGGGGTTTCGCCATGTTGGCCAGGTAGGTCTCGAATTCCTGACCTCAAGTGATCTGCCTACCTTGGCCTCCCAAAGTGCTGGGATTGCAGACATGAGTCACTGTGCCTGGTCAGAAAACAGTGATTTTTAAGATGTCATCAATTGTATGGTAGAATCTGAATTCAAAGATGTTAAGAAGGGGATGGGGGAAAGGTGTCTCTTAGAACATGTAAAAGAACATGTTATTTCTGTCAACTTCCAAACTTTTATCTCCAGCCACATCTCTTACTTGATTTCAGATTTGTATACCCAGCTCCTGTTTTACATCTCCACTCTGGTTAATGTGCCTCCCGGGATATTTTAAATATAATTTTTAATTCTGCATCCTATGCCTTGTCCTCCCAACCTCAGTGTTCCTTCTTCATTCTTTTTGATTTTTGGCTCTTACATCCTTTGACTTAGGTTATAAACTGTAGAGTCGAGGATGACTCCCTTTTATCATACCTCACATCCAATTTACCAGCAAATCCTATTGACTGTACCTTTATAATATATTTAGCATCTGACACATCTTATCATCTCTTCCACTATCAGTCTGATAAAAGCCACCATCATCTTTCACTTGGCCATCATTTCCCATCTGGTTTCTTGGCATTTACACTATAGTTCATTTCCAGTATAGCAGCCAGAGTAATACTTTAAAAATATAATTGATCATATTGTTTCCTTTTTTTCAAAAGTAACTTCATTGAGTTCACCTACCATACAAATCACTCATTTAAAGTGTACAGTGCGGAGGTTTTAGTGTATTCAGTGTGCACAACAACCATCACCAAATTTAATTTTAGAATGTTTTCATTAGCCCTAAAAGAAACCCCACACCCTTAGCCATTCTCCCCCAATCCTTATATTCCCCCCATTTCTAGGCAATCTAATTTCTGTCTCTGTGGATTTTTCTATTCTGGACCATTTTATATACGTGGAATCATACACTGTGTGGTTTTTTGTGACTGCTTCTTTTACTTAGTGTAATGTTTCCAAGGTTTGGTCATGTTATAGAATGTATCAGCATTTTGTTTCTTTTTATTACCAAGTAAAATTCCACTGAATGGATATGCGACATTTTATTTATTCATCAGCTGATGAATGTTTGGACTGTTTTAACTTTTTGGCTATTGTGAATAATGCTGTTATGAATATTCACAAGTTTTTGTGTCTCCTCCTGCTGTGGACTACTGTTTCCCTAACAGAACGTATTAATTTTCTTTTGTACAAAAGCCACTCCAAAGCATAGTGCTTAAAACAACCACTGCTTGGGTCAATGAGCACACTATATTCTGCACTGCACTAACTTTGGCTGTGCTCATTCATGTCTGTGACCAGTGGTGGTTTTAGGTAGATGGCTAGTCTAGGATGGTCTTGAGTGGACAACTTGGTTCTAGTAAACTAGTCCAGGCATGTTCTCATAGAAAGGCACAGGTGAGAGAGTGAGCAAGTTCAATTGTACAAGAGGACAAGACTTGCATATTTGCATTTTAAGCTTCTCTTTGGGTCATGTTTGCTAATACTACATTACAAGGTATCACAAGAGCAAGGAGAAGCCCAGGGTCAGAATGGAAAGGGGATTGCAGAGTTACGGGTAAAAGATGTGCCTACAGAGAAGCCATTAATTGGGGGTCATTAATGCTATGTCTGTTGCACATACCAATTTTGCTTCTACCTTAATGCTTTTTGCATTTGTTTCCCTTCTGTTTGAACTAGTTTTCTCTTACATACCTGCATGCTGAACTTGTTTCACTTCCTTCCTATCTCTGTTCATGTATCATCTTACCAATGAGACCTTCAAGTTTTACCATACTACAAAATGAATAGCCACCCACCCCGATCCTGCTCACAGTCTCTGTTTTTCTCTATAACTTTTTATGACCATCTGACATTGTCTGTTTTTTTTTTTAGCGTTTATCTTCCCTTAACTAGAATGTATGCTCTATGAGGTCAGGGACTTTAGTTTAATTACACTGTCTTCATTGCCTAGAACCCTGGCACTCATTAAATATTTGTTGAATGAAAAATTAATCTACATTGATCCATTTTTACCTAAATTGGAATTATCTTAAAGTTCTAACCTGCCTTCATGCTATGGCATGTATAAAGTGTCAGTCTTTTGATTAGAATACCTAATGATGGAATATTTCTTCTACTTCTTATAGAGACATAGACCATGCAATATATGAGTAATTCTACCATTTACTTAGCTGTCTGACTTGGGCCAAGTTTTTTTTAACCTCCCTGTTTCCTCATCTGTAAAATAGGGGTAATAATAGTCCCAGCCTCATGGAGCCTGGCACAAGGTAGGCACTGTATAAGGTTGGTGCAATGTGTATTGCATAATATTTTTTATCACCTACTTGTTATTGGAGTATATGGCACAGGGAAAATGGAATTGAAAGCTGGAGCAATCTTATATTATGGAGAAGTTGCAAAATCTTTGAAAACTATTTTTTCAAAGGGACAAAGCACATAAAGCAAATGAAATAGGTGATTTTTTTTTCATTGAATGCATCATAACATTATATCCTTAAAACACTGTCTTACAAAGTGCTCTCTGAAAAATACTGTTCTTTATTTCAGGGTTTACGAAAAAGTACATAAAACTAGTGAGCATACATCTTAACTCTCTGAGAGTCTTATAAGTACCATCCTAGATGCATGGAGAGAAGATAATTCATTACTTACACTAGGTCATGCCTTAGGTCGTTAAGACTTAAGTATCTCATGGAACCCCAGTTGAGAAAGAACAAAAATATAACATCTTGACTAAGGTGGCTAGTGCTTCTCTGATCTTAACTATTATTTCTCTAGCCTCAGGTGAGCCTTCTTGAATGTGATTTCATCAGTCTCCTCTAAGCTTACCCAGAATATAGAATTTTTAATATTTTATATAGCCAGCACTTATAAACTACCTGCTTCATGCTAGGTAGTATACTTAGGTGCTAGGAGTAAAACTGATCAAGTGGGGTAAGTTCCAAATTCACAGAGCGCACAGTCCTAACAGGCTGTCATGCCTCAGTTGTTTATTTGTGACAGTGTTTCCCACAGACTTTTAATTTTGGAATGATAGGATGTGGTGCTCTGGAATGGTGTCCCAGGGTTTTGGAGAACTGAGAGTAACCTGGGAAAGCAGGTTACAGTGAGAGAAAGTTATGACCAGGAGTTGTACCAAAACGCAGGAAACATGATATGTATATTGTTATGGTGCATAAAAATACTTACAATTAAAAGTCCTGAACCTACACTACATCTATTGTTTCACATATTTTCCTTCAATTTAAATCCTGCTCCAAATACAGCTCCTTTCCGAAAATTCAGTTTTATGTGACAGAAATTTGATCTGTTTCACTGAAAACCCATTTGAATAGTAATTGTGAGCAATTGTTGAATTTGTAAATGTTACGTAAATTTAGTGGATGACTTTGTGGACAGTTTGACGTTATGGACAGTTATTCTTGATACTGTTTCCCCTCCTTTCCCCTGCCATCCCTGAAACTTTAGGGCTTAATCTGCTTTTAATTAGCCAGAAAAAAATGTTTGATCCTCTTATTCAGTTTTAGATTATTTTAGATGATTTCTAAGTTAAACTCTAAGTTAGAATAGTTTCTGCTTATTGATTTCATGAATATCACTTCTCTATTTCTACTTCTCACCTTCTGCCAGGCCAAAGGAATTGTGGAACTATGATCATCAAACTCCTAAATCATCAGCCTTTTCCTTAAAAGACTTAAAAGGGTTCTATCTATGTAGACACTTGTCTGGCTCCTGATTACAGTTTTACCATTCTCAAGTGATACTATTTGTTTCATCACAGTCCACATAATTCAGGGTCAAGATACTATTATGAAATGACTGTAAAAATTACTAATACCTTTGGCTCTCTAATTTTTCTCTCTTTTCATCATATGGGCCTGACAAAATGCCCGCTACCTGCCTGCACTTAGGCAATTGAATGTAGTGCTTTAAATGTATACCAAAACCCTCAACAGGGCATCAACAATGTCTGGCAGTGCAGCTGCTTCTTCACTTTCCCAATTAAAAATGCGTTTGCTGGCTGGGCGCAGTGGCTCATGTGTGTAATCCCAGCACTTTGGGAGGCCGAGGCAGGTGGATCACTTGAGGCCAGGAGTTCAAGACCAGGCTGGCCAACATGGTGAAACCCCGTTTCTACTAAAAATACAAAAATTAGCTGGGTGTGGTGGCGTGTGCCTGTAATCTCAGCTACTTGGGAGGCTGAGGCAGGAGAATCGTTTGAGCCCAGGACGCGGAGTCTGCGGTGAACCAACATCGCACTACTGCTCTCTGGCCTGGGCAACAGAATGAGACTCTGTCTCAGAAAAAAAAAAAAAAATTCATTTCCTCCACTCATTGCAAACCTCTCACAGCTCCCACTCCTATCTGTGGAATTCACTTCAAACTTTACTGAGAAATTAAATGCAGCTCTTGTCATCTTTTCACCACCAATTCTACAAACTTGTCTGCATTGGTCCTCTTGTTCTGTCTTCCTTTCATTTGTTATCGAAGACCATTCCCGACAGTCTGATTTCTCTACTTGTGACTCAGATTTCATCTTTCCTGCATCTCTGTCTTCCATATCATTCTTCTCCCCTCGATTAAATTCCCTTTAGCCACAAACATGCTCTATTATCTCCCAGCCCCAATACATCTGCAAATGTATGTAAATAGGAATGACCAAATATGTACAGATATACAATTCCTACCTTTCCTAATGTCTTCTAGCCACTATTATGTGTTCCTATTCTTATCTAATAAATTTTCTTAACTGAATATTTTTTCCTTCTACCTCAGTGTCTGTTTCTTTCTTTTCAGCCATTTTTGGTTTCTCTTGTAAATGTTTATGATCCCCAGGGCTGAGCCTTCTTGGCCTATACTCTCTTGTAGGTCTGCCTCCCAGTATGCTAGTGACACCCAAATATGTCTTCAGCCTCATCTCTCCTCCAGGGTTCTAAACTTGCATAACCAGCTGCCTTCTTGATCATTTAGTAAGCCTCTCCTGTTGGTGACATAATGCTTGATTTCTCTCCCTCATGGCATCACTGTCCACCCGTTGCACACATCAGAATTTCAGAATCAGCCTTAATTCTTAGTTTTTTCTCACTCTTCCTCCATGTCTAATCCAGTAGCCCTATCTCCACTGTTTTCACCTTGGTCCAAGCAATCATCTCTTGCTTAACACAACCATAGTTTCAACTAGTCTTCCTCCCTGCATTCACTCTTGGCCCAAGCAATCATCTCTTGCTTAACTATGGTTGCTTAACACAATCATAGTTTCAACTAGTCTTCCTCCCTGCATTCATTCTTGGCGCACCGTAATCCATTCTTCACTAGAGTGATAATTAGAGGTACTATAATATATACTGCTCTAGAGTTATATTGTCTAGAATTTACTAGCTGAGTGGCCTTGAGCAATATACTTAACACTTATGCCACAATGTGCTCGTCTATAAAATGGGATGGTATATTTATCTGTTCTCTGATTGCTATAAAGGAATACCTGAGACTGGGTAGTTTATAAAGAAAAGAGGTTTAATTGGCTCACGGTTCTGCAGGCTCTACAGAAAGCATGATACTGGCATCTGCTCACCTTCTGGGGAGGCCTCAGGAAACTTACAGTCATGGCAGAAGGCAAAGCAGGAGCAGGTGCGTCTTACATGGCAGGAGCAAGGGGTAGGGGGAGGTGCTACACACTTGTAAACAATCAGATCTTTTGAGAACTCACTCATCAAAAGGACAGCATCAAGAGGATGGTGCTAAACCATTCATGAAAGATCCACCCCCATGATCTAGTCACCTCCAACCAGGCCCCACCTCCAACATTGGGGATTACAATTTGACATGAGATTGGGTGGGGACACAGATTCAAACCATATCAGAAGTAAATTGTTAGTAAAATATAAATCAGATTATGTCACACATACCTGTTTTTGAAACTTTAGATTCTCATTGCTCTTAGAATAAAATTAAAACTCTACTTACCGTGGCTTTCAGGATCCTTCATAACCTGGCATATTGCCTAATTTTTCTGATACCCATCTTGTTTCTACTCTCCCCTTGCTTACCATATAGCCACAGTCACTATCTTTAACTTTCTAGTTGGAAACATGGCTTTTTGTGGGGTGTATTTCCTTTTACTTTCTATTGTTTTGGGACCAACTTATTTACGTCAGTTTTGTGTTTGTTTTGTTATATGTAAAAATAGTGCCTTAAAAAATCAGTTTTTTTTTTTAACCTGGTGAATCATTTGTTTTATCTTTATAAATGCTGGGACGAGAGGCCTACTCCTTTTTTCCAATTTTGTGAGAGATTGGTAAAATTCTTAGAAGTGGAATTGCTAGGTCAAAAGATAGAAATGTTTTCAGATGGATGATTCCTATTGAAGTAAATTTTTTGAGAACTTAACATGTCCAAAAAGGTTTTCATTTGCCCTCATGCTTGACTGGTAGTTTGCCTGGATGTAAAATTCCAGATTCACAGTCATTTTTGCCCAGACAGTGAAAACATTATTCTACTATCTTTTAAAAAATAACAGTTTTATTGAGGCATAATTCATATACCATACTATGTGCAATTTAGTGGTTTTTAATATATTCATAGAGTTGTATAGCCATCACCGCAGTACATTGTAGAATATTTTTATCACTCAAAAATGAAACCCCTGGATTTATTAGCAGTCATTCTCTGTTCCCACCAATTTGCCCACCCCCCAGCCTTAAGTCAACAAGTAATCTACTTTCCGTCTTCATTGTCTTTTAATGTTGCTGATGAAAAGTCTGATGCCAAATTAATTCTAGTTATAGGAAGCTTTTAGAGTTTTCCGTTTTGAATTTCTGGAATTTAATTATGTAAACTAGGATTTATGTAGATATGAGTCTTTTAATTCATCCGCCTTAGCCTCACTGAGCCCTTTTACTCAGACCATTGGTGTTTTTAACTCCAAATATTTTTAGCATAATCTTTATTTATTCTATTTTCTTCATTTAGAACTCTTACTAAATGTATTTTGAACTTCCCAAACATATTCTTTATATCTCTTCAACTTTTTACTTGTATCACCCATTTCTTTCTTTCTTGCTCTCTCTTTTTTAACCTCTCTACCTTCTGGGACATTTCTTTGTGTTACATATCACTACTATGATCTTTATCAATACTACTTCTGTTATTTACCCCTTCTCCTCAAGTGTTTTCTTAGTAATAATATTTCAGTTTTCTCCTTGCCCATTTATTCTGTTTGTTCATTGTGATCTTTTTCTTTCCTCCCATTGGATATTCATAGTGTCTTGTGATTCTTGTTTATTGAATAAGGACTAAATTGACAAAAACTTTGCAGTTACATAGGTCTAGGATTCTTTTCTAAATGGGAAATGACTACAAGTGTCATGTATTCATTGACTGGCTTTCCTCCAGGGTGCAGGGATTTTAAGAGGCAGGCTTAAGGCCACCCCAGTTACCAAAGTAAGGACAGCTTTACTATGTTTATTCCTGGAAGGAGCTAGCTTACTTACTTAGTATCCTCCTCCTTCAGTATCTTCCCTCTTTCCCTCTCGCCCTCCCACTTTTCCTTTCTACTTCAAGTATATAGTAAAGTGTAGGGAATAATATAATAACTATGTACCTATTACTCAGTTTTGTTGAATTGTCTTATATATGCTTCAGATTTTTATAAACAAAAAAATTATAGACACAGATATAGCACCTTACAGTCTTACTTTGATACTTTTCTCTGCCCTTTCTGCCTTTTCAGAAGTAACCATTATCCTGAATTTACTGTTTATCATGCCCATGCACATTTCAGATACTTTTGCTGTGGGTGTAGATCCACAAACAATCTAGAACGTTGATTGCATGTTTTTGTGAACCCTGAAAGAACCAACCCTTTAAGGCAGATTCTGAGTGGCTAACAGTCCAAATTCAAAATAGACCCACGCGATCCTTTGCAGACATGTAGAGATCATATGTGTACTCCGCATTCCTGGAAAACCTATACACCCAGTAACTTTAGGACTTTCATAGCTGTCTGTTCCTATTTATGCCACCTGAATTAACAGCTACCAGAAAATACCATTTGGCCTTTTGTACCTAACAAACACTCTGTGACCTGCCTCAGCCAATCAGAACTGAACAAGTTTGCACCCCTCATTTGTATAGTGGACCAGAGTGGGAACCTGACTGTGAACTTTCTCTGTAAATGACAACCCCTTTTCTTTGTTCTCTCAGAAGGCGCCTTTATTTTCTACCAAGGTACATCTCCACGGTTTGCAAACTGTTTGCTGGAATAAAGCCTGTTTCTTTTTTAAGAAAGAAAATCTTTTTCTGTAGATTGTTGACATTTTAAAAGTTGTATATATCCTGAAACTTGCTTTTTCATCAATATTATGTTTTTGAGATGTATTCATGTTGATAAATATAGCGCTAGCTTTTTGTTTTGACTTAATATGTGGTATTTTGTTATACAGATGTACCAGTTTGCCATTTTTTCTCTCTTAGGGAACATTTGAGTTGGTTCTAGTTTTTTGCTATTATAAACATTGCTGCAGTGAAAATGTCTTGTACATATGTGAATATAAGTAGCTACATGATAGGATATGCTCATCCTTAGCTTTACTCTAGATATTGCCAGTTTACTTTCAAATATTTATATTATACCACATGTAGAATATGATAGTGTTTGTTGCTACATGTACATGATTACCAACTCTTGTATTATTAGGCCCAATTTTTTTGCAGTCTCACTGATTTTTCATATGTATGTATGTATTTTTTGAGACAAGGTCTTGCTCTGTTGCCCAGGTGGGAGTGCAATAATGCATTCCTGTCTTATTGTAGCCTCAAACTTCTGGGCTCAGGCAATCCTCCCACCTCAGCCTCTCAGCCTCTGTTAGCTGGGAGTACAAGTATGTGGTACCGCATCCAACTAATTTTCTTTTTTTTCTTTTTTTTTTTTTTTTCTAGAGATGGGGTCTTGCTATGTTGCACAGGTGCTGGGATTACAGGGATGAGCCATTGTACCAGGCCTGGTTTTTCATTGCATTTCTTTGATTACTAATGAGGTCATTTATTTTATGTGTTTATTAGATATTCGAATTCCCTATAGTGAACTACCTATTCATAAGTCTTTTGCCCATTTTCTTTTGGATTAGTTGACCTTTTCCAAAAGGATGGCCACTTACCCTGGAAATATTTATTATATAGTCCGTTCTGTTCCCCACTAAATTATAATGCCAATGTGAACCATATGCTGTGTAAATAAATACCTGTGCCTCTGTTTCTGAGCCCTCTATTCTGTCTCTTTGGGCTTTCTGTCTCTATGCTAGTATCATTTCTCTGTAAGTCTTGTTTTCCTGGTAACACCAGTCTTACCCTCCTTATTATTCAAAATAGCCAAAGGCTACTATTATACAGTGCTTCCATAAAAATTTTAGAATCAGGCTGGGCGCAGTGGCTTACGCCTGTAATCCCAGCACTTTGGGAGGCTGAAGCGGACGGATCACGAGGTCAAGAGATCAAGACCATCCTGGCCAATATGGTGAAATCCTGTCTCTACTAAAAATACAGAAAATTAGCTGGGCATGGTGGTGTGCACCTGTAGTCCCAGCTACTTGGGAGGCTGAGGCAGGAGAATCACTTGAACCCAGGAGGCGGAGGTTGCAGTGAGCCGAGATCATGCTACTGCACTCGAGCCTGGTGACAAAGTGAGACTCCATCTCAAAAAAAAAAAAAAAAAAAAATTTACAATCAGTTTTTCAAGTTCCATGGGGGAAAAATTATTTTTGGAATTTTGTTTATTGCACTACACTGAATTTATTTGTGGAAAATTGACATCATTATAATATTGAATCTTCCCATAAAAGGATATTTATGTAGGTCTTTGTCAAGTGAAGGGGAACACATCTGCATGCACACATACATGTCATTTGGTGTAATGTGAAATAAGGTTTAGTGGAGAAAAATAAAGAAGTATTAAGGCACACACAATTCCCTAAGGTCTGTTATCCCCATATAGATGTGTGCACTGGCCAGACACATCTAGAACTATGTACTGTGGAAAGGGCTCCTGTGTAATAATTGGAGCTTTGAGGTTGGTGAAATGGTCTTACTAGGGAAAGCCATCAGTACTCTGTGGCTGATCAGCCTTTTCTTGCATGAAACAAACTCAGACCTCCTGAGCCAACTTTTTGATAAGCTACCAAAACAGGGGTGGAAACCTCTAGAGTCATCTGACTCTGTCTCTCTTCTTAGTAGCCTTTTGTGCACCTGCACATTATTTTGTTGTTTCCGTCACAAAAGTTTTGGGAATCTTTTGTTAGACTTTTCTTCTAGATTCTTTATAATGTTACTATCATGAGAAGCATCTTTTTTTAATTGGCTCTGGCTAATGTGTTAGAACACCATGTAATTTTATGTCCTTGATTTTATATCCAACAAACCTTGCTAAACTCTTCTGTTAGTTTTTATAGTTAATAGGTATTAGCCCTGATGGTTTGTAGATTCTCTTGGGTTTTTCTGTAGATAGCATGTTTCCTACAAATAAGTTTTTTGTCTCTATAATTCTAATTCTTATGCCTCTTTATATAAATATATATTTATATAAACACTTATATAAACACTACCTATACTACCAAGATTCAATGATTGTTAACATTTTACTGTGTGTATATCTCCTAAGAAAAAGGAAATTATTTCATTTAACCAAAATATCATATGTAGGAAGGTTAAAATTCTATCATCTTACATCTGATATGTGTTCAGATTTCCATGGTTGTCCCAAGAATGTCTCTTGCAGCTATCTTCCATCCCTAAACTAAGATCCACTCTGCATGCACTGAATTATTTGTTGACTTTTAGTAGTAGTTATCTTTTAGTCTTAAACTGACCACCTACTGTTTTGTTCTCCCATGAAATGATTTATTAAAGAATCCAGGACAGTTGTCTTAGAATGTCCCACATTTTGGATTAGTCCAATTGCCAAGGCTTTGACTTTCAAAGAGAAGAAAAATGTCTTAGAGAATGTTCCACAATCTATATTTGATTATTTCAGTGTAGCAGTCTTAGCGTATTTCTCTATTCCCTGTGTTTCTTCTAAACCAGAAGTTAAGTATGAAGGCTTGATTAGATTCAGTTTAAATGTTTTGCATGTATACTTCATGGGTGATGTCTCATGTTGTATCACATCAAGAGGCATATGTTGGGTTGTTCCACTATTAATGATTCTAAGCCACTTGAAGGTATGTTTTCCCCTTCATCTTTAATCTGTGGCGAAATACTTTGGCACTATGTAAGTATCCTGTTCTCCATCAGCTTTTCTCCTAATGATTTTTAGCATCATTTGATCCTTTCCTGAACCAATTATTTTATATTAGCTGGCATTCTTTTGTAAAGAAGCATTTCCCCATATCAAGTGGGAATAACTAATTTTTCCTAAAAAGGCGGGATACATGCATAATTTTTTTCATTTAAAGTTCAGTTTTCTAAGGGTGTAATAATCCCCTACAGTGTGAGCAACTGCTCTCCCACCCTTTTAATTTTTATGGAATTTTGAAGGTTTTTTGTTTATTTGTTTGTTTTTGCATACCATCTGTTATAGTCAATTACAGTACTTATTCTTTTTGCTGAAAATCTCCAAATTTGGTCAGTAGGAGTCCCTTCAAGCTGGCCTCTGATGTTGTTCTGATATCTGGCACAAGATGTTCCTAGATCTCTCTTCTTGAATAATAATAGATAGGTTTGAAATGCTGTAATGCTGGCCCTTTCCCCCATTAATGTAGTCATTGTGTTGTTGTTACTTTGTGTAATCTAATAATGCTTATTTTGTTAAGACCTAATATGCTTATTAATAAACTCATTAGTAAAACCTAAATGCTTATTTAGGTTTACTTTCATGTATATTAGTCTCTAGATTCTCCATCTGTGTTCATTTTCTATGGCTGCAATAATAAATAACAACAAACTTGGTCACTTACAACACCACAAATGTGGTGTACTCTCTTACATTTCTGGAGGTCGGAAATCCAGAATGAGTTTGTTTTACTGGGCAAAAATCAAGGTATCAGCAAGACTTTGCTCTCTCTAGAGACAATAAGGAAAAATCTGATTTCTTGCCTTTTCCAGCTCCTAGAGCTGCACTGCTTGTATTTCTTGGCTCATGGCCACCTCCTCCATCTTCAAGGTCAGCAGTGTAGCATCTTCAGATCTTTCTCTGCTGAGTTTTTATATCACCTAATCATCTATAGTAAAATTCCCTTTTATTTCCCTCTTATAAGTATGCTTGTCGATTACATTTAGGGCTTACCCAGATATCCAGAATAATCTCCCTGTTTCACAATACTTAATCACATCTGCAAAGTTCCTTTTGCCACATAGGATAACATTTACAGGTTCTTCTGGGTCTTGGTATATGTTTAGTTATCTTGGTGGGGGGCCACTATTCAGCCCTCTCATGCCACTCTTTCTTTGATATTACTTCTTGATTCAGTTTCCTTTTTCTAGGTTGTCAGTTATTTTCTTCTTGCACCTTAACGTCAGTTCATTATCTTCTTGCTTCTTTTACTGATGTTGAGAAGTATGCCATCAGTCTGACTTGTCTTTACTTTCTGGTTGACTTTAAGAACTGAACTTTTTTATTTTCACCTGTTTTGGAAAATTTATGGCCAGCTTCTGTTCAAATATCTCCCCATTCCCTGTTTACCTCCCAGATTAACTCATTTTGTGCTTCGTGTCTTTCATATTTTCCATTCATTTATCTCTGCCTTTTGGCTAATTTTCTCAGAATCACCTTCTAGTCCTTTAATTCTCTCTTCAGCAGTAATCTGTTTTACGTTACCTGAGGTTTTAATTTGATGACTGTATGATTCAAAACTCATGTCTTTATAGTTTCCTCATGCTTCTTCTTTATATGTGTTGTCTTTAGGCTTGCTGTTCTTCCAGAGTTATCTCAGTAGAAATTTACTTTTGTGTTTTGGTCTGCAATTTATTAGCTTTGATTTCTTTGTCAAACTGATTATATTCGTTTTCTGTTTTTCAGGAATGTTCTGAATTTTTCCAACTAAGTGGTTGATGGTCCTGGCCTCCTTGCTTTCAGTACTGTGATTCTTTCAACCATTTTCTTGAAATTTTAAGACCACTTCTGTCTCTCCCTTCCCTCCCTCTGTTCCTCCCCCAACCCCACCTTTCGTAACAATTATTTGTTTCTTGGAATCTCTTAGGCTAGTCCTGTAGTTTTCCCCTTTGACCTATTAAGTATTATGTTACTGGATTCCTAATTAATGATTATTCTTGCTTTTAATATATATATTTATATATACTATTATATATGTTTATATATCATATATATTAATTTAAGAGTTTGATGCCTTTCTTCACAGTTTGGATTATTTTATGTTTTGTTTGTTTGTTTGTTTAGAGATAGTCTTGCTCTGTTGCCCAAGCTGGAGTATAGTGGCGTGATCTCAGCTCACTGCACCCTCCATCTCCCAAGTTCAAGAGATTCTCCTGCCTCAGCCTCCCAAGTAGCTGGGACTACAGGCACGCACCCACACCTAGCTAATTTTTGTACTTTTAGTAGAGAAAGGGTTTTGCCTTGTTGGCCAGGCTGGTCTCAAACTCCTGGCCTCAGGTTATCCACCTGCCTCAGCCTCCCAAAGTGCTGGGATTACAGGAATGAGCCATTGTACGTGGCCTATTTTTTTTTATGTTATCTTTGTTGAGTTTTGACATCTAGGTTTTGCTAGCTTCTTAAAGTAATTTAGAAGATATATAAGTATATATATGAATATATATATAAAATCACCTGTTACTAATTGATATTTTAATTACATTTTCTTTAAGGGATGAGGGGAGCCAATGGCTGTAGTTTTTTTTTTGTGCCATAGCTCCCCTTCATGTCCTTCCATAGCAGTTTGTCTGCATTTATATTTTAACATGGGCATCTTCTAGGATTTTTTAAAAAAAATTCTCAGTCTTTTTTTTGGAGAAGGAGTTTTGCCATTTGTAAAGTCACTAAAAATGATCAGTTATTTACTAAGCTTGCTTGGCTGTAATAGCTGTGGTCTACTGAAGAGATTAAAACAGGAGAGGAGATCTTTTAGTAACTTTCTTGAAGTTTTTAGTTTTGTTTTTAATTTTTTCATCTCCCTTTTAGGATTGTGGTAACAGGTTTTTCTTTTTTTTCCAAGAAGATGTTTTAACTATGTACCTACCGTTAGCTTTTCAGTATCTTATTCTACTTTTTAATATATCTCTATTTTATAAGAGTCATCAAAGTTCTTTCTCTGACTCTTCTGGAGATTCTGAAAGACTTTCTCTCCCAAACACATTCTTTAAAATTCCAACAAGGGTCATTGTGACTTTTTTTTATTCTTCGGATATAAAATTACTCTTCTTTGGGGAGATAAAAAACCTGACTTCCAGACACTTATGGTCTGGCCCCACTATACCTAGCCAATATTATCATTTTCTTTTACTTTTTTTTTGAGACGAAGTCTTGCTCTTGTCACCCAGGCTGGAGTGCAGTGGCGCAGTCTCGGCTCACTGCAACCTCCGCCTCCTGGGTTCCAGTGATTCTCCTGCCTCAGCCTCCTGGGTAGCTGGGATTACAGGCACACGCCACCACGCCCGGCTAATTTTTGTATTTTTAGTAGAGACGGGGTTTCACCGTGTTGGCCAGCTGGTCTCGAACTCCTGACCTCAAGTGATCCACCCGCCTCATCCTCCCAAAGTGCTGGGATTACAGGTGTGAGCCACCACTCCCAGCCCAATCTTAACCGTTTTTTATACCCCAGCAAGAAAATTTTATTCTAATCAGCTCATTCTCTTCATTTCTCATCTCTGATTATTTTCCCCCACTTTCTCTCTCCCATCCTTTGAGAGAAATAGTTCTTTATGCTAACTGCATATGAGTTTTTATGGAACATTGAAAAAAAAAAGGGAGTGTGGGTAATATTGTCCTGAATTTACTGGACCTAAGAAAGAATCACTGAACTAGGATGACCTGTTTTCTTTCCTACCCTATTCTGAAACCAGCTTAAATCTTCAGCTTTAATTGCATACCTATTATGACTAAGACACCAAAATAAATCATGAGGGGACAAAAAAAGAAAATGTTTCTGATCTTAAAGTAGCTAATAGACATGGAAAACATAATCAACTTTATGTTATCAAATTATGACTTAGAAAACAGTTTTGCCGAGTTGATCAGTGAACACATCATAGAGGGATGCTCTAAGGAAAGATCCATCCTGGACAATGTGGCAAAACCCCATCTCTACTAAAAATACAAAAATTAGCCAGGTGTGCTGCTGCGTGCCTGTAGTCCCAACTACTTGGGAGTCTGGGGTGGGAGGATTGATGCCAGGGAGGCTGAAGCTGCAGTAAACCAAGATTGTGCCACTGCACTCCAGCCTGGGAGACGGAGACCCTGTTTTAAAAATAAATAAAGTATTCATTTTTTTTTAAACAAATATATGTTTGCTTATTGTATGCTAGGCACTGTTCTAGGCTCTGGGGATAAATCAGAAAAAATAAGACAAAAACCTATGCCCTCCTGGACTTCATTCTGTTGGGGAGTGGGAAGACACACACCAATAACAAAATGAACACGTAAAATATATATAGTAAGGTGGTCACATATGCTACGGAACAAATAAAATTAACAAAGGGCATAGAAGCTGATTCTGTGCCTTTAAGGAATGGGAGGGATAGAGCCTTTCTAAATGAGAAGGTAAGAGAATGCTTCATTGATAAGGTGACATTGGGATAAAGAGATGAATGAACTTGGTAAGACAGCAAACTTTATAGAAATCTTAGGGGAAGAGCATTCCAGGCAGAAGGAATAGTAAATTCACAAGTCCTGCACTGGGAGTATACTTGGCACGTTCAGTTAGGCCAAATGTGATTGGAATGGGATGAGTGACGGGAGAACAATAAGAAATGAAGCTAGACAAATAGCAGAGGGCCAGGTCATGGCTTTGGTGATTTTTAGTGGGGAAGCCAGTGGAGGGTTTTGAGCAAGAGAATGACATGTGATCTGCAGTTATAGTTTTGTTTTTGAGATGGGGTTCACTCTGTTGCCTAGGTTGGGGTGGCGCGATCACAGCTCATTGCAGCCTCAACTTCCCAGGCTCAAGCAATCCTCCCACCTCAGCCTCTGGGACCACAGGCACACACCACCACGTCTGGCTATTTTTTTTTTTTCTTTTTTTTTTGTAGATACAGGGTCCTACTATGTTGCGATCCTCCCGTCTCAGCCTCCCAAAGTGCTGAGATTACAGGCGTGAGCCACCATGCATGGCCTGCAGTTACAGTTTTTGAAGAATAGCTACTGTGCCATTCTAGGCATGAAATAGGAGAGGCCATTTCAGAAACTCTTGTTAATAAACTAACAGAGAAATGAAGGTGGCTTAGACCAGGGTGGTAAAGTTAGAGAAGGTGACTAATATCTACATATATTTTGATTTGGAGATGGATTGAAATGGATTGTCAGATGTGAGAAAAGAGTCAAGGATGATGCTGAAGTTTTTGGTTTACTCAAAGAAGGGAGCTTATTTCCTGAGGTAAAGAGACTAGGAAAAACAAGTTTTGTGGGGGTGATGGGGGAGATCAGAAGTTAGTCTTTGAACATGTTAAGTTTGAAATGCCTATTAGGTATACTAGTAGACATATTCAGCAGGCAGTTAGGAATCTGGTGTTGAGAGGAAAAGGTAGAGTTGGATTTTAAATTTTGGGCTTCATCAGTTCATAGTTGGCATATAAAGATACAAGATTGGATGAGATCACCTAGGGAGTAAGTGTAGCTTGACAAAAGAAGCCATCTGACACTTTTTGGAGATATGAAAAATTAGCAAAGGCATCATGAAAGAAAACATTGAAATACCTGACTGGAAAAACAATTTGGAACCTCTATCACTGCTTCTCAGACTTTAATATGCATATGAATCATTTTGTTAAAGTTCAGTAGATCTGAGATGGAGCTTGAGCTTCTGCTGTGTGTTTTGTTTGTTTGTTTGGTTTTTGGTTTTTTTTTTTTTTTGGCAGGTTGTGGGGTGGCGGTAGAAACTGAGTCTCACTATGTTGCCCAGGCCGGAGTGTAGTGGTGCACTCATGGCTCACCGCAGCCTCAACCTCCTGGGCTCAGGTAATCCTCCCACATCAGCCTTCTGAGTACCTGGGACTACAGGCATGCACCACCATGCCCGGCTAATTTTTGTATTTTTTATGGAGATGGGGTTTTGCTATGTTGCCCAGGCTGGTTGTGAACTCCTGGGCTCAAGCAATCCACCTGCCTCGGCCTCCCAGAGTGTTGGGATTACAGATGTGAGCCACTATGCTAGGCCAGCTTCTGCTGTTCTCACAGTCTTTCAGAAGATGCTGCTGCTTCTGGTCTGTGGACCCACACTTTGAGTAGCAAGACTTTATATGACAAGAGTCATGAAAAACAATTGAAAGACCTTAACATTTGTAGAAGAATAAAGATTAATATCCAGAATAAAGACTATCTATAAATGAATATGGAAAAAACAAACAACTCAATAGAATAAAAGGGAGTGCAGTATAGGGAATTTTCCAAAATCTCAAATGGCCAGTAAGCATAAAAAGTGCTCAACTTTGTAAGAAATACAAATTAAAACATGATTGCCTTTTCCCTTTCAGACTGGCAAAAGTTTAGAAGTGTGATTGTGCTGGGTGTTGGTGAGATTGTGGGGAAGAGTGGACTTATACCCTGCAGATAGGGACTTGACTTGATACATTTCTTCTTTTGGAAGACCATTTGGCATATTTATTAAATTTTAAAATAGGTATATCCTTCAATCCTGGAATCCTATACCTAGATACCAAAAAATAAAACTTGCACTTTTACTCTGAAAAGCAGTTCAGAACTATTTGTTGGAGTATTGTTTGATGTTGAGGAAATGGAATAATCTAAATGTCCTTTAGTAAGGAAATTATTAAATCAAGAGATTTGGAACTCTTTTTTTTCATTTATTTCCCAGTACATTTAAAAATTGATATCTGACATTTTTTCATTATAACTTTGAATAGTTTAAAAGGCCATAATTTCTACTGTGTGTTATATTTATGTTAAATACATTTTTTGGACAAGCCTTAAAGCTGCAGATTTAGATCATTCAACTTAGAAACAGAATCTTCCGTATAACCTAATAGCCAGTTCTCACTATCAAACCAGACAAATTGGACTGTTTTTCTTTTTTATTAAGAAAAAAAACCTGATTACTTATTTATCTTAAAACAGATATACTAATATATGCCTTTTAATAACCACTAAACTTCTGGATTCTAGTCTGGCTGGCTGGTGATGGGTAAGGCTTGGAGCCTTGCCACAAATTTGTTTCATTGATAAAATATGGTCCTGCTCTTAATTTTTCCCCCTTTTCTCTCAAGGAATTTCCCTATTTAATTGTCTATTTGTTAGGTACTTTGGAATTTATACGTCTCAGAATGGTGCATCTTAGTAGTATTTGAGGTGGAAAAGAACTTTGCCTTTCTTTTATAAAGTGGAAAATAATTATTTTAAAAGAGGAAGTAGACAAGGAGAACCAGTTCTTAAGCAGATCAATCAGGGAGCATACAGATAAAACTTGAGGATCTGGAAATTCTCTTAAAATTGTCTATGCCCACCTAACCCCTGGATACCACTGAAGTTTAGAGACTGTTGAAATAAGCAGTGCAATGCTATGAAATGAATGCTATATAACCATTAGGGAGTAAAATATATGCATATTGACGTGGAGAGACTTCTGAGACATTACTCCATGAAAAAAGCAAGTGTTAAAAGTATTTTATATATAGTATTTAATTATATGTGTACATTTCATATATGTATGTCTTAATGTTTTTTCCATGAGTAAAAGGGAGACATGGAAGGCTGCTCACCAAACCATAAACAGAACTTAACCTTTTTGAAAGGGGGCCTGGGAATGTGAGGAAGATGAAGAGAGATTTCATGGTTTATTCTGAATATTCATGTATTCTTTGAATCTTTTATAGTTGAGAATACGTTGTATTACTAGTGTAGAAAAAAATTTAAAGATGTTTCATAATAAAAGAGAAAAACCACTGTACTAAATGATCTCTAAGCTCAAAATTTGAGGAACACTGGCAGTTACTGTGATGTAGTTGTCTATGTTAAAATATTTCTAATTCATATACTAAGTGATTTTTATTTAAATTCTTTTGAAATATTTTTTAGGTGTGGAATATCAAACAAATGATTAAGTTGACACAGGAACATATAGAGGCCCTATTGGACAAATTTGGTGGGGAGCATAATCCACCATCAATATATCTGGAGGTAAGCTTTTGAGTATCATATCTAGTAATTTTGAAAAGAAAAAAAATGAACTTATAAAAACATTTGTACTGATAATCTTGATTATTTTAGGAGGTGGGATTAGGAATAGATTTGGGAAGAGAGAATTAGCTTTGCCTGTATTATACTTCTTAATCTTGTTTTGTGTCACTTGTTAAAATAAACATGTATTTTATAATTTAGAAAACATCAGAACTAAGGGGGAAGTGATATAAATTTCAAGGTATTACTCTGAATTAAATTTTTATTTTTATTTTTATTTTATTTATTTATTTTTTTTTGAGACGGAGTCTCGCTCTGTCGCCCAGGCTGGAGTGCAGTGACACAATCTCAGCTCACTACAACCTCCGCCTCCCAGCTTCAGACGATTGTCCTGCCTCAGCCTCCTGAGCAGCTGGGACTACAGGCGCACATTACCACGTCCACCTAATTTTTTCTATTTTTAGTAGAGATGGGGTTTCACCATATTGGCCAGGCTGGTCTCGAACTGACTTTGTGATCCACCCACTTGGCCTCCCAAAGTGCTAGGATTACAGGTGTGAGCCACTGTGCCTAGCCAATTTTTTTTTTTTTTTTTTAAAGAGAAAGCACACAGTTTTGGAGCTCAGCAAACCAGTTACCATATTGGAAAATGGGGTAATTTTTTAAAATATTTTTTCCAGAATGAGTTTCCCCAAAATTGGTTTCTGCTTCCTTATAGGTAAAATTTGTAATTTTTAAATAGCTCAACATTGTTTAGCTTTACTGTTTAATAATGCCTTGAGGTTTGTGTCAAGCCTTGAGCATAATTGTAAATTTATATTCATTAATCCTATGAGTTAGTAGGTGCTGTTATAATCACAGATGAGCTTTCTTAGCATTAGTTTTCTTAAGTAGTCAGTCAGACTCCACAGCCAACAAGGTGTTACAGAATCTAGGTGGTAAGGCTCTACAGCCCACACTGCTCACTACTACCCTACACACCCTTTCTTTATAAAAGCTGGCTCAGCTGTCATCACTAGTGAGGCAAGGAGATGGAGAACTCTAAATTAGAAATGATCAGGTTGCCATTTGGCTCCAAATACCAGAGATTTTTAAGCACAGATTGAAAGACTTCTGAACTAAATTTGTAACTTAGTAATTTAATTACTTTTTGAAGGGCCAGTTAAGTCTTAAGGATTTTATGAGAAAGTTAAGTTTATATTTCTGAAGTAAACTTGGAAGTTTGGAAATAACAGCTAATATGCTGTTTTCTTTCTCCTCTTCTTCATGTGGCTCATCCCAGATCACACTCCTAGTTAATATCAAAGCTAGGACTAGAATTCTTATTTCTCATTACTAGTTAGTGTACTTCCTAATAGCCTGTGCTATCTTCTATACATATATTATTAGGAGGCTGATCAAAGGTGTCATAAGGAAGCAAGTACTGCTAATGAGAATGGCAATTTTTTATTAATCAGAATTAGACAATATAACCAGCAGTTTTTCTTCCAACCATTTCTATGTCTTGGAGACTTTGAACCCATGCTGAGATGTAATTCATTTGCATCAATAGCTATGTCCCCACTATAGCAGTGATTCACTGCCCCCTCCTCACATAACTCTTCAGGCTTTTTACTATTTGAAGACTGATCACTAACAACAAACCTTAGAGCTTCTTATTCTGTGCCCAGTACTGTGTTAAATGTATTTTATTGCTTAACTCATTTCTTATAGTTACTTTGAGCAAGATACTAGGTACTGGATATTTTTGTTATTCCCATTTTACAAGTGAAAAAACAGAGAGGTTAAGTAACTTAACTAAGGTGACACTGCTAGTTAGGAAAGAAGGCAGATATCTAAGTCAGAAATCTGTGTTCTTGATCTCTATCTTATTCTACCTTTATCATGACATTGTCTCGCTCTTTCCCCACCCTCACCCCCCAGACAGCTTTTCTTATTTGGGCTAAATATTTCTATTCCCTTCAGCCATTCTTAGTAACATAATTTATGGACCTTTTATTAGATACAGTCTTTTTGGTTGGTTCTTTTAGAATTAGACACACAAAATTGAACTACTTATTAAAATTAAATCTGAGTAGGACAGCATACATCAGACCATAACTCACAGGTTATATTATTAGCTTGTGGTAAAACAGATTCTTATCTTGGGGACTTGTGGTATACAATGTGTGTGTATTATGTGTATGTAGTATGCAAAGGTATGCATATACACATGTACATACACACACACTGAAGGCAGCAGTATAATATAATAATTACGATGAGCCATGGAGTCATACAGACTCCATGTTTGAATCCCAACTCTGGCTTAGTTTCTGTACTCAAGATATCCAGCCTTCTTATACCCCACCTCATTAGTAAAGTGGAAATAATATCACATCTTGGGTAAGTTAAGGATTAATTGAGTTTATAATTATGAAATAACATAGTTCCTGATTCAAATATTAAGAATTCTATAAATAGTTGATTTATCTTGTACTGCTCTAGGCCTTGGGGAATAGCAATTGTCTGTCTTTTTTTTTTTCCTCCTGAGATGGAATCTTGCTGTCTCCCGGGCTGGAGTGCAGTGGCACGATCTTGGCTCACTGCAACCTCCACCTCCCAGGTTCAAGCAATTTTCCTACCTCAGCCTCCCAAGTAGCTGGGATTACAGGCATGCACCACCATACCCAGCTAATTTTTGTGTTTTTAGTAGAGACAGGGTTTCAGCATGTTGGCCAGTCTGGTCTCAAACTCCTGACCTCAGGTGATCTGCCCCCCTTGGCCTCTCACAGTGCTGGGATTACAGGCGTGAGCCACCGTGCCTGGCCGGGAATAGCAATTTTTTAAAAAATGGCCAACAATCTCCGCCTTTTTAAGCTTATATTTTAATGAGGGGATGGATATATAGACAATGAACATATAAATGAGTTTTAGAACATTGCACTTATCACCATTTTATTTTTTTATTTTTTGTTGAGATGGAGTCTCGCTCTGTTGCCCAGTCTGGCATGCAGTAGCACGATCTCAGCTCACTGCAGCCTCCTCTCCTGGGTTCAAGTGATTCTCCTGCGTCAGCCTCTCAAGTAGCTGGGATTACAGGTGTGCGTTATGACTCCCGACTAATTTTTGTATTTTTAGTGGAGACAGGTTTCACCATGTTGGCCAGGCTTGTCTCAAACTCCTGACCTGAAGTCATCCACCTGCCTCGGCCTCCCTAAGTGCTAGGATTATAGGCGTGAGCCACCGTGCCTGGCCATCACCATTTTATATACTATGAATGGACTCTAACCAGCCCAAGAGAAAAGACCTGTACATACTGATATTTAAAGGCCCATCAGTGAAGAGCTAGATCTACTGATTACTCACTGAGACCCACCGTTCTGCAGGTTTCTCATCTGCCATTTAAGATTCCTTTACACTTTTTTTTTTTATTGGGGTAAAATATGCCTAACAAAATTTACCATTTTAACCATTTTTAAGTATATGGTTCTGTGGCATTAAGTCCATTCATGTTTTTGTGTATCCTTCACCACCATCCATTTCTAGAAATTTTATCATCCAAAACTGAAACTCTCTAGCCTTTAAACACTAAATCTCTATTTCCTTCTTTCTCTAGTTCGTAGCAACCACCATTCTACTTTCTATCTCTATGATCTATGAATTGGACTACTCTAGGAACTTCATGTTAATGGAATCATATAATATTTGTCCTTTTGTGACTGGCTTATTTCATTTAGCTTAATGTCTTTGAGGTTTATCCATGTTGCAACAAGGATAATGCATATATCAAAATTTTTTTCCTTTTTAAGGCTGAATAATAATCCATTCATTGTATGTATTTACCATATTTTGATTATCCATTCATCCATCAGTGGACACTTGGGTTGCTTCTACGTTTTGGCTATTATCAATAATGCTGTGAACATGGGTGTACGAGTATCTGAGTTCCTTTTACTTCTTTGGGGTATATACCAGGAGTAGAATTGCAGGATCACATGGTGATTTTATGATTATTTTTTCTGGAGTTGCCACACCTTTTTCTGTAGCACCTGCCCTGTTTTATATTCCTACTGGCATCGCATGGGGTTCTAATTTTTTACATCCTTACCAACACTTATTATTTTCGGTTGATTAAAAAAACCATAGCCTAGGCTGAGCGCGGTGGCTCACACCTGTAATGCCAGCACTTTGGGAGGCTAAGGTGGGCGGATCACGAGGTCAGGAGTTTGAGACCAGCCTGACTAACATGATGAAATCCTGTCTCTACTAAAAAATACAAAAATTTCAGGTGTGTGTAGTGGTGCGCACCTGTAATCCCAGCAATTCAGGAGGCTGAGGCAGGAGAATCGCTTGAATCCAGGAGAAGAGGTTGCAGTGAGCCGAGATCATGCCACTGCACTCCAACCTGGGGGACAGAATAAGACTCCGTCTCAAACAAAACAAAACAAGGCAAAACAAAAAAAACATAGCCTCATGTGCGTGAAGTGATACCTTATTATGGTGCTGATTTGCATTTTCCTGATGACTAACAATGTTGAGCCTTTTATTATGTGCTTATTGGCCATTTGTATATCTTTTTTGAGAAATGTCTGATTTAAGTTCTTGGTCCATTTTTTAATTGGATTGTTTGTTTTGTTCTTGTTATTGAGCGTAGTTCTTTATATAGTCTAGATATCAGTTCTTATTGGATATTTAATTTGCAAATATTTTTCCCATTGTGTGGGTTCCCTTTTTACTCTGCTTATAGTTTTTTAGTCCAAATTATCTATTTTTCTTTTTGTTGCTCTTGCCTTTGATATCATATCCAAGAAATCATCACCAAATCCAATGCCATGACATTCTTCTCCCAAATGCTCTTGCATTTGGGTCTTTGATCCATTTTGAGTTAATTTTTATATGATGTAAGGTAAGGGTCCAACTTCGTTCTTTTGCATATGGATACCCAGTTTTCTCAGCATCATTTGTGGAAAAGACTGAATGGCCTTGGCACCCTTGTCGAAAACCATTTGACTATATATGCAAGAGTTTATTTCTGGGCTTTCTATTCCATTGGTCTATATGTCTGTCTTTATGCTGTCATCATACTGTTTTGATTACACTAGCTTTGTGTAGTAAGTTTTGAAATCAGGAAATGTGAGTTCTCCAACTTTGTTCTTTTTCAAAATTGTTTTGGCTATTCAGGATCCCTTGAGATTCCTTTTTTTTTTTTGAGATGGAGTCTCACTTTGTCACCCAGGCTGGAGTGCAGTGGTGTGATCTTGGCTCACTGCAGCCCACCTCCCAGGTTCAAGTGATTCTCGTGCCTCAGCCTCCTGAGTAGCTGGGATTACAGGCACCTGCCACCATGCCTACCTTTTGTATTTTTAGTGGAGACGGAGTTTCACCATGTTGACCAGGCCAATCTCGAACTCCTGACCTCAAGTGATCCACCTGCCTTGGCTTCCCAAAGTGGTGGGATTACAGGTGCAAGCCACTGTGCTCAGCCTCCATGTGAATTTTATAAAGGATGTTTCTCTTTCTACAAGTAGGTCATCAGGATTTTGATAGGGATTGGATTGAATCTGTAGATTGCTTTGGTTAATACTGATATCTTAAGAATTCTTAACTCTGAAATATGAGTGGACAGTTAAGAATAACCAGATATTTAAAGAAAGCTGTCAACAGGAAAGACAGCAGCAGAAATGGTCAACAGAAACTCAGAAACAGTGCAGAAAACAGAATAAAACTTAAAAATAACTATAATTAGCATCAGAGATAAGATCTATTAGTCCTGTCTTGCTTTGTAGCAATACTAAAGAAGCAAAAGTAACAGAGAACAAGAAAGACCTCTTGGAAATTAAAAATACAATAGCCAGAAATTTATTTTTATTTTTATTTTTTTTTAATTTTCTTTTTAATTCTCAGCAAGGCAAGTTACGTCTATAGAAGGGTGCGCCCTTACAGATGGAGCAATGGTGAGCGCACACTTGGACAAGGGAGGGGAAGGGGTTCTTATCCCATATGCATGTGGCTCTTGCTGCTGTGTCATTCCCCTGTTGGCTAGGGTTAGACTGCACAGGCTAAACTAATTCCGATTAATAACTAGAATTTTTTAATTTTTATTATTATTTTTCTTTTTTTGAGATGGAGTCTTGCTCTGTCACCCAGGCGGGAGTGCAGTGGTGCGATCTCGGCTCACTTCAAGCTCCACCTCCCGGGTTCACGCCATTCTCCTGCCTCAGCCTCCCGAGTAGCTGGGACTACAGGCGCCCGCCACCACGCCCATCTAATTTTGTTTTTGTATTTTTAGTAGAGACTGGGTTTCACCGTGTTAGCCAAGATGGTCTCGATCTCCTGACCTCGTGATCCGCCCGCCTCAGCCTCCCAAAGTGCTGGGATTATAGGCATGAGCCACTGTGCCCAGCCCAGAAATTTTTAAAAATATATGTATATACAGACATATAGGTATGTACATGTGTATATATGTATGTGTTGTATATATATAAATAAATGTTGAAAAATAAATATTGGAAGATAAATGTTCTAGAAAGCAGAGTAAAAGCAGAGAGATGGGAAATTTTAGAGGAAACATGAGAAAAATTAAGGAATAAATCCCAATCCATAAAAATTATAAATGCGTTTAACTGCAAGAAACAGAACCCTTCAAGAATAAGTTTCTGGAACAAATAGGGATTTTCATTTCCTTTCACATAGCAAGAAGCGTAGAGGTAAATTATTGTAAGACTAGTTCTACACAGGTCAGTTGTCAGATACTTGGTTGAATCGCTATAGTCCCTTTAGCTTTTCTGTCAAGACCACAGCAGATTTTTAAGATCTTTCCCTCATACAACTCCTCAAAGCAGAAAGCAGAGAACAGAGAAGTTCTCTTGTATACTAAGCTCTTGCTAGGAAGAAAATCTTTCTCAAAAATCCTCTATAACTCTTCCTTTTATATCTCATTGACTAGAATGAGGTCACATATCACCCCTATACTAGTGACTATGCTTACATTTCCTGAAGTAAGAGTCTAATAAGTCAAAAATTTCCAGTGTTCAGTTTTTCTTCAGATTAGTTTGTATGCTGTCAAGTAGAAGTTGTGCTATGATTATTTTATTCTATAACATTTCAACAGAAACCCCTTTTAAGTTTCTATAGGAAGATAAATCTTCAACTACTTATTCTTGCTTCTTCTCTTCATTGTAGCAAAACAGAGAAATTGGTTACACCACCATCAGAAATCCTCTTGATTTTCTTTTTCCCACGTACTAATTTATTTAAAAGCCATCTTTTCAGTTCTAGATGTTCTCCTACTGGCAGATAACAGTTAACATTCTATTGATTCCCTTGATGATAACTACAGTGAAATATGAGATACAGTACTCTAAAGAATTTCAAATTTGTCTTCTCAGTTGATCTTTGGTTCCCTTTTTTCTACCATCATCCAAAGGAAGAAAAGATAAATTTACTCTGAAAAGTTGTTCCCCAGAGTTTCTTCATTTCCTCTCAGTGTTTCCATATTCATTTATCCAACAAATTATTGGAATGCCTTCTATGTGTAAGATATAATGCTAGATGCTTTTCTAGTAGTAGATTCTTCTTTCTGTACTTGATTTATTGGAGCCCAGAGATGAAGGGATACTGTCTCTGTAATCACCCTACAGCTGAGTCCTAACTACTTCAGAATTTATGGTTGAATCCTACAGTCCCCTGTAGACTGATGAAGACAGTAACAGCTCCTGACATTTACTGAGTATTTACTATGTATCAGGTACTAATCATATATTAGTTCATTTAATCTTCAGCCTACCCTTTGAGTTACACTTAACTATTCTCATTTTCATTTTATAAATGAAGCAATTCAGGCACAGAGGGATTTAATAATATGGCCAAGGTTACACAACTTGTAATTGGTAGCCAAGGTTTGAATCCCAGACATTCTGAATTTACAGCCCATGCGTTTAATCACCGTATCATTCTTACACTTGGCAGCCTTTCTGATTTTTAGTCTATATAGAACCTAGAATAATACAGAGGCATTGTGTCAAACCCTTCAATGAAATTAATACTGGAAGCTGGATGCTTCCTGTGGAATGCAGAACAGTCCATTATATATCATTTATGGGCAGTTTGTAAGATTTCATTGTATCTTGTGAGAGTAAGAATAATTAGACTAAATTTAATTAACTAAATGATAAAAAATAAAATTTTTATTTCGCTGCTTTTTCTCATTACATTGAAATTAAATAGATCCTTAGATTTTTTTCCCTTCTGTTTTAATTGAGAAATAATTCACATACTATACGATTAACTTTTTAAAACTGTGTAATTCAGTGGTTTTTACTATATTCACCACTATCTTATTCCAAAACATTTTTATCACTCCCCAAAAGAAACCCTTTATGCATTAGTAGTCATTCCCTGCAGCCCCTGACAACCACTGATCTACTTTTTGCCTTTATGGATTTGCTGGTTGAAATATTTCATATAAATAGAATTATATTATGTGGCCTTTTGTGACTGGCTGCTTTTACTTAATGTAATGTTTCCAAAGTTTGTTTATGTAGTAGTATGTATCAGTACTTCATTTCTTGTTATGGCTGAATATTTCATCATACACATATATCATGTTTTGTTTATCCATTCATCAACTGATGAACATTTGGGCTACTTATATGTTTTTGCCATTATGAATAATGCCACCATGAACATTCACGTGCAAGTTTTTGTGTAGATATATTTTCATTTTTCCTGGCTGTATGCCTAGGAATAGAATTGCTGGGTCTTGTGGTAACTCTGTTTTACACTTTGAGGAACTAACTGCCAGACAGTTTTTCAAAGTTGCTGCACTATTTTGTATTCCTAACAGCAATGTATGAGGGTTACAGTTTCTCTCCATCCTCATCAACCCTTGTTATTATCTATTTGTTTTTTTAATTAAAGCCATCTTAGTAGGTGTGAATTGGTATTTCATTTGGTTTTGATTTGCAGTTTCCTAATGACTAATAATATAGAACATCTTTTCATGTTCTTGTTAGCCATTTGTATATCTTCTTTGGAGAAATGTCTATTCAAATCCTTTGCCCACTTAAAAAAACTGGGTTTGTCCTTTTATTACTGAGTTGTAAGAGTTCTTTAGGCCAGGCATGGTGGCTCACACCTGTAATCCCAGCACTTTGGGAGGCTGAGGTGGATGGATCACTTGAGTCCAGGAGTTCGAGATCAGCCTAGGCAACATGGCGAAACCCCGTCTCTACAAAAAATACAAAAATTATCCAGGCGTGGTGGTGCATGCCTGTAGTCCCACCTGCCCGGGAGGCTGAGATGGGAGGATCGCTTGAGCCTGGGAGGCGGAAGTTGCAGTGAGCCAAGATGGCAGAGTCACCCAGGCTGGAATGCAGGGGCACCATCTCGACTGACTGCAACCTCTACCTCCTAGGCTCAAGCCATCCTCCCACCTCAGCCTCCCGGGCAGCTGGGACTACAGGCATGCGTCACTGTGCCTGGATAATTTTTGTATTTTTTGTAGAGATGGGGATTTGCCATGTTGCCCAGGCTGGTCTCGAACACCTGGACTCAAGCAATCCTCCCGCCTTGGCCTCCCAAAGTGCTGGGATTACAGGTATGAGCCACCGCACCTGGCCAGGAGTTCTTTATATATTCTAGATAGTAGATCCATGACTTGCAAATATTTTCTCCCATTCTGTGGTATTTTTTCCCACTCTTTCAATTTTGTCTTTTGAAGTACAAAAGTTTAAATGTGGATGGAATTCCAATTTATCTATTTTAAAGTTTAAATGTGGATGGAATTCCAATTTATCTATTTTCTGTGGTTGCTGTGCTTTTGGTGTATCATACATGAGAGACCATTGCCTAATCAAAGGTCAGGATGATTTACTCCTGTGTTTTTTTCCTAAGAGTTTTATAGTATTAGTTATATAGCCAAAACAGGTTTAGTTGCTTGCTGCCTGCAGAGTCCAATTAGTAAGAGCAAAGTCTAGTATAAAGTGACTTTTTTATTCCAAAGTTAGCTTAAAGGAAGAAGACGTACAGGCTTCCTGCCTTAAGGGTACTGCTTCCCTGTTGGAGCAGAAAGTGGGTGCTTTTAAAGAAGGTGCCTACACGGGGGCAGAAATGAGCGGGTGGAAGATCTGCATATTCCCTTCGGTGCCTTCTTTCTCAGGCAGTCAAGTTGGTGGCTTCATGGGCAAAAATACCTCAGAGGTGGCTGAAAACTCTAGCAGTCTTACTTTTGGTTGTAGATCAACTATTACCTCTTGAGGCAACTTCCTGACGGGTGAGAGTTCCACTCAGGATTGTCTAAGCACATAATTAGATCAACTTGCCTTGTAGGGAATGTCTGGTGAAAAGGAGATAAAAGGCCATAATTGCATTTCTTTTATTCTTTTATCTTTTTCTTTTTGAAACAGAATCTCATTCTGTCACTCAGGTTGGAGTGTAGTGGCATGATCTCGGCTCATTGCAGCCTCTACCTCCTGGGCTCAGGCGATCCTCCCGCTTCAGCCTCCTGGGTTGCTGGGACTATATGTGCATGCCACCATGCCCAGCCAAGTTTCATATTTTTTTTAGAGATGGGGTTTCACCATGTTTCCCAGGCTAGCCTCAAACTCCTGGGCTCAAGTGATCTGCCTGCCTTGGCCTCCCAAAGTACTGGGATTACTGGTGTGAGCCACCACCCCTGGCATATAATTGCATTTCTAAAGAGCTAAGTAGGAAGTGGGGAGGAGGAGGAAAGAAAAAAATAATTAAACTTTTTCTTAGAAAAATGAGGGTGCTCAATTATATAATAGATATGTGACCCATTTTGTTTTGTTTTTAATTTTTGTAAAGATGGAGTCTATGTTGCCCAGTCAGGTCTTGAACTCCTGGCCTCGAGTGATCCTCCAGCGTTGACCTCCCAAAGAGCTGGGATTGCAGGCGTGAGCCAACATGCCTGGCCTATTTCGAGTTAGTTTTTGGATATGTTGTGAGGTAGTAGCCCAACTTCATTCTTCTGTGTGTGGATATTCAGTTGTACCAGCGCCAGTTGTTGAAGAGACCATTCTTTCTGCATTGAATTGTCTTGCTGGCTTTGTAAAAAAAAAAAATCAATTGACTGTAAATGTAAGGTTTTATTTCTTGTTCTATTGAGAAATAATTCACATACTATATTATTCACTTTTTTAAAGTGTGTAATTCAGTGGTTCTTAGTGTATTTACACAATGGACAACTGTCACCACTATCTGATTCTAAAATATTTTTATCATTCCCACAAAGAAACCCTTCATGCATTGGAAGTCATTCCCTCCAGCCCCTGACAACCACTGATCTACTTTTTGCCTTTATGGATTTACTAGTTGTACCTTGTTCTATTCTGTTCTATATGTGTGTTCTTATTCCAAAATTATTGCGCTGTCTTGATTACTATAGTTTTATAGTTAAGTTTTGGAATCAGGAAGTATAAGTCCTCCAACTTCTTTTTTCTTTTATAAGATTGTTTTGATAATTTCAAGTCCGTTGTATTTCCATATGAATTTTAAGATCAGCTTGTCAGTTTCTACAAAAAAAAATTGAGATTTTGAGAAGGATTGCATTGAATCTGTAGATCAACTTGGGAAGCGTTGTCATTTTAATGATATTAAGTCTTCTTAGATTCTTTTTTCTTTTTTGAGATGGAGTCTTGCTCTCGTTGCCAGGCTGGAGTGCAGTGGCGTGATCTCAACTCACTGCAACCTCCGCCTCCCAGGTTATCAATTATTACTAATACAAATATTTATTGGATTTTTGCTATGTGGTAGTCTCTACAATAATTTGTTTTACTTGTGTTATCTCATTTAATCCTCACAAAATTATTTTGAAGTTGAGAAAAATTTGCCATATAAAGAAGAGTATGATAAAATATTCTAAAGGAGATAAAGAGAAAGGATACCTCTTCTGGATTTTGACAAAGAGAGCTTAGAATTAGACTTTTTGAAAAATATTTAGAGTTTTGATGAGAAGGAATAGGGTTTTTGAACAACTGTCTCCTGAAGAAGTGGTATCTGGTATCTGCAGCATCTTGAATAACCAAAAGAAATGGTGGTGGTGGTTGTGGTTGAGGTTTGCACATATGTTGGAGTGGCTTGCTCATATTAGTAGAGTGAGAAAACAGAGGAAAAGGGAAAAGTAGATGATATGAGAGAAAACTGAGGGAATGGTAGACTAAGGCCCTAAACACCCAATATTAGCACTGAAGTGAGAGTAGAAGAAGAATGGGGAAAGATGTGGAGAATTTTGTAGATAAAGAAGTAGAGTAAACTTTTCATTTGATGACTTTGATCTTCAGAGTGGATTTGAAGGTAATGTTATTTTCAGAGTGAATTAAAAGTTGAAGGATGAAGTTAAGATCCAGAGAAGAATTAGGAAGATTGGAATAACTGTTTTGACTGTAATATGATGTTAAAAACAAGCATGATTTTCAGGCAGTAGTGTGAAGGACCAGGCAAATCTAAGTTCCATAAATTGATCATAGAACTAATTAGACCAGTTTTATTATTTTCTCCAACAGTGTGTGGTAACCTGACAGGAAAAAATAGAACAATTGAATGGTCAGACTTACCCAAAATTTGTATCTGGCAAGCTAGTTGATAAAATAACAAGAATTAGCCTGAAAATCTTAAGATATCACCAATGGCATTGTTGTAGTTGTGAGCCGCAAAGTATGTGAAGGAAGACAACAATGGCCAAATCTTAGCAACTGTTTGAGAGATTAATGTTGACCTTGAACAGATTAATGTAATGAGATAGACATTTAAGAAGTTGGGATAAGTATGTGTGCCCCAGGGGTGCGTGAGGTTCTAAATCGAGATCATTTCATCATTTTTATTGCTTTTGTAAAGACTGTGATGCTTCTCCGGGTCTTAAAGGTAGAATGGAAATAAATGCTTTTAGAGGTGAGAGGTTTAGAGAAATCTATGGCAGTGTTAAAAGAGTAATTGAAGTTCATATTGAATGCAGCAAGGGCAGTAGGTAAAATGAGCCAGGGGCCTTGGTAGATTGCAGCTTTGAGGATAGGGACAGATGGAATAAGTAGATGTTTTGTACTTAACAAAAGGAAAAGCTATTGATAGATGTGGTGAAGTGATAGTTTATAATCTGTCATGGAGGGATCAGTATACTTTCAAAAATTAAAGCTAACATTTTGGTAAGGAAATATGTTTGGAAAATTGTTCTTTTCATTACTTTTCCTAAGGTTTATTTTGTCTAGTAACTGTACTTGCTCAGGTGACAGTAAATAAGAATATTTTATCCATGCAGGAGGAACCTTTGTGTTCCAGACTGCATTTATGTGATCTTCAAAGAGTAGGAATTGTGTTTGTCTTATGTGTGGTTGTAGTCTGAGCCCTAACAGTGCCAAGCACATGTATCAGTATATATTTACTGAGTGATTGAAGGCTCAATAAATAAATTTTATTGAGAGAAGTATGCTTAAGTAATTAGGCCTTGGTACTGAAAGCTAAACCAAATTGTAGCTCAGAAAATTTGGAATCTATCTGTTTATAATGCCCTCATCTACTATGAAACAGGGTCTGGGTAGGGCAACTAGCAGGCTGTAAACAAAGAAGACCTTTTGATGAAGTTTAAATCTCTTCCTCAGTAGCTCTTGTTACTATTCCCCGCCCCCCTTATTTGTTCGAAAGTATGTGGTAAGATGCAGCATAGCAGGGTCCTGTGGCCCTTATTGAAATGAAATTTCTCTTTCATTCTCCTCTACATTTTATAATTCTCCCTTCCTCCCTTACATTCAGACTTGATAGCATGGCGTATATACTCTCTACAATCTATTCCCTTTCACCTTTTCAGCCTTATTGTTTCTTTACCTATTTTTCATTTAAATTTCTTTCTTTCCTTTTTAAGAAAACAGGGATGCTGCTAAAGCTTCATTTAAATTTCACAAACATATATTGATCTTTTGCTATGTCCCAGGTATTGTATGACATTGAGCTATACCTATCTATAGTTTTTCATGTGTCTTAAACTTTCTCGCCTTTGTTACAGAAAAAACAAACTCTTTGTTACAGAATTTTTCCCATATAGAGGATTCCTTCCTCCCTACTTTCTTCATCCATCTAAATGCCAACCTTTCAAGGCTGTCCTCCTTCCTCATTATTACTTTGTGTCAAGAATATTGTTTATTTCTCATGTACATCAGTTACACAAATAAAAATACACCCATCCTACTCCACTGCCCAACAGTAAACTCCTTGAGAGACGGGAAAGGCCATTTTAAAATATTTGCTTCTCTCTTTCATAAATGTTTGTAGTATTGCATCTATTTGAGATGGTAGGTAGAAATAGTAGAGCATGGTGTGAGTGAGGGGATTACCAATGCCAAAAAGAACTATGGACTTGTATATTCCAATTCGTTCAATGTCATTCTGTTCTTTTAAAATTTGATATCTTGTATGGTTGCTTGACTTTATAGCCTTCATCAAATGAAACTTCTAGGAAGATACTCTGATGGATAGTAGCCCCATAATTTCTTGGCTGTAGGGTATAAGCCACATTTTCAAATACAATTCTGTTTTTTTTTTTTCTTTTTTCACAAGGCTTACAGCTTTGCATACTAGTTCCAATCTCTAAGCAGCATTAGGTGGGGAAAGAAGTCATCAAACAGCCATACTGAGAAGAGTAAAGTATTTTAACTGATAACTATTCCAGAAAGAATGTGGCAGTTACACATCTTCTAAACCCTATTAAGGAGGTTTTGGTACTAACAGTGAGATCTGGTACTGTGTCCTAAATTTTGGGGTTTTTTTGGACAAATCCTTAATACCTCATGTCCTTTTCAACTTCTTTTTCTGTTGAGAGAGAGAGAGAACGAATGGAATTCATATGCCTACAACTTTTCCGGGACAAAATAATTCTTTTAATGGGAGGAACACTTTTCCTTGATACAGTGTTTTATCTTACGTTAGACATGATTTGGAAGGTAAATATAAGTGGACCAGAAAATTGGAAATACTGTGCTTTTTTATTATTCATGGACCATCTAGATATCACATATGTATAGGTCAAATTTATCAGGTGTAATATAGTGTAGTGTCTAATAACAAAGAATTTATC
Source organism: Homo sapiens (assembly GCF_000001405.40). NCBI lineage: Eukaryota > Metazoa > Chordata > Mammalia > Primates > Hominidae > Homo > Homo sapiens. Next base: position 140,835,046 of record NC_000007.14, on the reverse strand, counting down.
AATTTAAAGGTGAAAGTATTCATTTATAGTATTTCTGGCACTTATTTTGTAATTTGAAACTTAAAACCCTATCAACTGGTGAAAAGATTATAATCAAAGGCTAAAATTTTATATTCTCTTTTGTTAATGTCAGGACAAAGTCCGGATTGAATATAAGTCTGCTTTATTTTATAGGCCTATGAAGAATACACCAGCAAGCTAGATGCACTCCAACAAAGAGAACAACAGTTATTGGAATCTCTGGGGAACGGAACTGATTTTTCTGTTTCTAGCTCTGCATCAATGGATACCGTTACATCTTCTTCCTCTTCTAGCCTTTCAGTGCTACCTTCATCTCTTTCAGTTTTTCAAAATCCCACAGATGTGGCACGGAGCAACCCCAAGTCACCACAAAAACCTATCGTTAGAGTCTTCCTGCCCAACAAACAGAGGACAGTGGTGAGTCAGTTTTAATATCACCATTTTGCTGTTTCTTTGTATTTTTCAGACAGATCAGTTGTTGAAAATTAATATATTATTACTTCATACTCAGAGGTCATGCAAATAGAGGCATCCATGTCATACAGGAATGAAAAATATGTAATTATTTGGTGGCAAAGTCTATATTCCTTAACTGAAATAAATGGTATTGTCTCTAGTGTTGGATTTGACATTTAAACCTGTCTGCCAAACTTGAACCACAGTCATGTCTAAGCACTAGTTTAAAATAAATCAGGATTTTAAGACTTGAGCTTGTTCATTATCTAATGTGTGTCAGGTAAGACTCATTCTTCACCCTTGAGAAATCTCCTTTCTGAGTTATATTATCAGATGTTGAACGTTCAGTGTGATTGATATGTTTCCCCTCATCTACTTCATTTTTGGTTGTTGAATATTAGTATTAACCATTGGAACAGCGTACCCTGTAAGTAACATTTGAAGCATTTAAAGAGAAATCTGTGGAATTATTGTGGGTGGTCTATAATCCTTAAGTGCAACGAATATTGTTAGTAGACTTAATAAGTAACCCATCTGTATACATCACTACTTTTTAAATGTCTGTGGTTACTTTTGACAATAAAAATTCCAAATACAACTGAAGTCAAAATTTTTCATTTTTTTTCTCTGACAACAGAAATCAAAAGTGCAATTGGTCATTGTTTAATGTTCCAAAAATTCCTTTCTGACTTGAAAAAAAAATGTTATTATAGAGGCATTTTACTTTCAGAAGTTAAGAATTCCTGCATATGAGTTTAGAAAACTAATGGAGTTACGAGTTACCAGCCTGTAAGTTTTTATCTTAGGAAATATGGCTTTCTAAAGGCATCATTTATTGTCAGGGAATAAAAAGTAATAAAATAAAAAGTCATACTTTTTCTGCCCTTTTTCCATGTACAGACAAAAGTTGGTTGTAAAAAATAGACTCTAATTTTTCATTGTACAGAATTACAAATCAATTTGTAAAACAAATCCAGTTCTACCCTTTCTCTTTATTCTGTTGGGTAGAATAAAATTAAAATTATTTTTCCCACATTAAGATGGGGAATTACTAAGCATATCTTTCCAGGGATGCCCCACTTAAAAGGGGAATATCAACATATGAATTATCTGTAAATAGATAATCTTCGAAGCAGCCTAACAAAACTGGCAAACATCCCATCCCCAGTAGATCTTAAATTAATTCTTTATTGTCTGTATTCATGAGCAGAAAGTAGGAAATGTGTTCTTCAGTCCCAGGCGTTTCCCTTCTCTTCATCACGGTATTGTTCCTTCCAGGTTCCACTCAACTTAGTAATTTTGTGAGTTTCTGTATACAAATGTAAAATTGGGGTTGTTGGAGCCTTTCAAATTTCTCAACCTAATGATTAAGTTTAACTAGCCTCCGGCCGGGCACAGTGGCTCGTGCCTGTAATCCCAGCACTTTGGAAGGCTGAGGCGGGCAGATCACGAGGTCAGGAGGTCAGGAGATCGAGACAGTCCTGGCTAACACACGGTGAAACCTTGGCTCTACTAAAAATACAAAAAGATTAGCGGGGCGTGGTGGTGGGTGCCTGTAGTCCCAGCTAATTTGGAGGCTGAGGCAGGATAGTGCTGTGAACCCGGGAGGCGGAGCTTGCAGTGAGCCGAGATCGCGCCACTGCACTCCAGCCTGGGCAACAGAGCGAGACTCCATCTCAAAAAAAAAAAAAAAAGGTTTAACTAGCCTCCTCATATTTATGAGAGAGGCCAAGAGAAATTTACAGGTATCACTAAAGCTTATAATTTCCCTTTTAAAAAGAAATAAAAACAACTGAGACTCTTCAAAGATGTAAAATGATAAATGAATAACTATTAGGCAATTGACTAGGCTTACCTTAATTATCCTGGCTAGGCTTAGATTAAATAAGTAACTTGTTCTTGTCCGTCATACTCCCAGTTTAACAATTCGTATTCAATACTCAGAAAAACTGTATATCGTGAACTTAAAAGGCCTTATGAATCATCAGTAAATGGGTTTGTGGTATTAAACTCTTTCAAGAACGTTATTTTGCCATTCTCTCTTTTATCTGAATCTGTTAACCCTTTTCTTAACTACCTCTTTTCCTCTCCTTTTCTTCTCTCAATTCTTATTAACATTAACAGTTACTATTTGAGCATTTGCCATGCTGTGTTCCAAGTTCTGTGCTAAGGACTTTACATACATCTTCTCAGCCAGGATAATTCACATTCTAAGTAAAATTGTTTGTGGTAGTGAATGACAGTTCCTCTATCAAAATACATGTTTCTGTTTGTCCTGAACACTCAGGAACAAAGGGCAGTAGAACCTACTAGCAGCAAATGAAATCAAGTACCAAGAATGAGATTATGTTTTTTAAAGTGGACTTAGATTTGTAGTCCAAGATAGCACGCTAAACACTTGCCTTTATATCTTTGTTCCTTTCCAGAAATTTCATTGAAATGATAGTAAAGATATGTAAAAAGAATAATAAAACAGGATAGGATTCTGTCAGAGAACTAGAAATTTTTAAGAATTCCTGGAAGATGGAAAATATATGAATGGTTACGTAAATAAGCCAAAATAGAAAACCAAACAAAATACTAGGAGCTAGATTCTTACATGAAGGGAGCCATTCTTAGCAAAATCCTGATGAAGCAGATAGCATAGTCAGCAGATTACAAAGAAGTGGATTTGCCTCTTGGGTAGTCGTCAGAGTAATTAGTCGAAGGTCTTGCTCTGGCAGGAAGACAAAGTCATGTGTCTTCATAAATCGAGCTGGTGATATAAATATGAATATTTTGAAGGTGTGTGTTAGTTGTGAGTCCTGTGGAGAACCAAAACAAACCTCAACTAAAAACATTGAAATTCTGAATTCAAAAAAAATTTTTTAAAGGTCATGGCCTGATATTTTTAGACATCTGATAATGGGTTGCTGAGTCCTGAGTCCCCAGTATAGCCTTACATTGCACATGTCCATAGAGATGTGAATGTTGCCTCCTGGAGTTGTACAACAAGGGGATCCTGTTAGTTCCTCTTCTGTATATATGGAACAAATAATTTGTAGCATTTATTCCATGAAAAAGCTCTAAAAGTCGTTTTCTAAACAAAATTTCTGCCTGGAGAGTTCTATGTGACTGCTGTGTGTGTTTAAATGGTGGAACTGAACATCAGATGTCCCTGAACCTCAGAGAAATCCAGTGGGGTAAAAAGTAAACGTTAATCTACCGAGGAGTAAAATAATACTCTGCTTCCATCTGGAATATACCAGACTTCTTCTCACGTCTGTACCCATTAGTAATCTGTTTGGAAAACAAACTGCTTTCCCCTACTATACTGTCAACACAACAAATTTTTGTGACTAGATGTGTGGGGGTGTTTTTCCCCACCAAGCAATCTCCAGTTCTCTGTAGATAATCAACTGGGTTCTCCACCCAATTGTCTGCAATTGTTGTTAAGTTGCCTTCAATTTAACTCAATTCTGACACTATCTACCCAGGTATAGCATAGACCCCACAGGTTAAGAGCTCAGTCCCACAAGACTGTCCCCCTCTTGAGATGCTAGTCCCAAGTTCCAGGTTGTGACTTACACTTCTGACCAGCTGGCTATAAATCAAGGATTCCCACATCTTCTAATCTTTGATCATTTGCTAGAATAGCTCACAGAACTTCAAGAAACACTTAACATTTACTGGTTTGCTATAAAGGATGTTACAAGAGGTAAAAGACGAACAGCCAGATGGAAGAAATGCATAGGGAAAGGTATGTGGGAAGGGATGCAGAGCTTCTGTGCTCTCTTTAGGAGCATCACCTTCCACTACCTCCAAATGTTCAGCACCCTGGAAGCTCTAGGAACATTGCATTTCAGTGATTTTTATGGAAGCTTCATCATATAGGTGTGATATTTACTAGGTCAATCTCCACGACCTCCCCACTTCTCAGAGGTTGGTGGATGGGGCTGAAAGTTCACATTATGGCTTGGTCTTTCTTTTGACCACCTTCCATTCAGGAACCCACCAAAACTCACCTTGTTGGAACAAAAGATGCTCCTACCACCTAGGAAATTCCAAGGGAATCAGAGCTCTGTGTCAGGAACCAAGGTCAAAGACAAATATGAGAACAAAAGATGCACCTGGCACCCTGATCACTCAGGAAATTACAAGAGTTTTAGGAGCTCTGTGCCTAGAACTGGGGTTGGAGGCCAAAGGGTTGAAGACCAAAATATATATTATTATAAACCACAATATCAGAGTTTGTCAACATAATAAACCACTTGCCATTTGTTGGACCTATACAACTGTACAGGAGTAAGTCCACACCAAATCAACCTAATTTTTATTTATAAATATGACTAGAACACCAACAGCAACAGAGAAAACTCAAGAAAAGAAAGCAACTAGAAGATGTAAAAATATTATAGCTCAGGATGTACTTCATTCTTGAAGCCAAATCAGTTTGATATAAAAATTGAGTCATTCAGAGGACCACAGAGTTTGTGCAAATTGAAAGTATGATTGTTGACTTTTGTTAAACAGAAAGGCCAAACATTAGGATAGCTAGAGTTAATAAGTATTTTGGAAAGTAAAGCTAAAGACATACCTTTTAAGATATGAGATAAAGTGGGCAAATATGAGAAAAAAGATAAGAGACATGGAGAGAGCAAAAGTTCCAACTTCTGTTTAATAAAGAAGCAAACAAAAATAGAGGGAAGATGTATTCACAGACATAATACAGGAAAATTTTCCTGTGTTAAACAAAAACCAGCCTTCAGATAGATAGGGGCAACTGACTGTCAACAGGAAAACAAAAACAGAGATTGACCTGGATACTTGCTGTATAATTCGAAAGTTGAAAGAGAACCTTTTCAGAAAGATAAACTGGTAATCTGCGGGAGAATGAAAACTGGATCGTTTTCTCATTGGCAAACTGAGGGCTAGAAGGCAGTGGATCAGGGCCATTAAAGATCTGATGGAAGTTAATAGCCAAGCTAATATTAAAAGTAAGACACTTTGGGTATCTAGGGACTGAAAATTATTTCAGTGGAATATAATAGGTATCTAGAAATAGATCCCAGAATTTCAGAAAATGTAATATGAAAAAAATGGTTCAATCAGTAAGAAGAAGGTGAATTATTTAATTTTTGGTGCTGGCATATGTAGAAGAAAATAAAATTGGGCCCACATCTTAGACTGCTTACAAAAGTAAATTCTATCAGAATCAAGAGATTAAATACCAAAAAAAAAAAAAAATGTAAATCTTTCAAGAAAAATCTAGTAGGCTGCATGTAAAATCTAGGAGTTGAGGTCACTATCTTAATCAAAACTTAATTAGCTCAAAAGCTGTAGGAGACAGATGGATTAAATACAATTTTGAAATTATGTATGCCCCCCCCCACAAAAAAAAAACCTTAACAGAGTCAATAGTCTGTATAAATTTGGAAACAGCATTGGTGCCCAGATACCAAGAAGTAAATAGTCTTCTGAATATACAAAGAACACTTCAAAATTGGCAAGAAAAAGACAAAACCCAGCAGAAAAATAGGGAAAAGATATAAATAGGCAGTTCGTATAAGATGAAATCCAAATGAACAGTAAAGCATGTGAACACTGTTCAGATGCAGTCAGTCAGTTGTGAGTGTACAAATTAAAACTATGAGATCATTTCATCTGTCTGGCAAAATATAAATTATTATTGGCAGGGGTGTAGTGAGAAAACTGCTCCCTTAGTTAAGGATAGAAATGTGAAGTATCACAGCTTATTGGAAAGCACTTTGATAATATCTGTCAAAATTTACAAGAACTGTATCTTCCAAGCCAGTACTCCATCTATTGGGAATTTAGCACATAAAAGCACCAATATTTATACAAGGATATTTGTTAAATCATCGTAATAAGAAAAAAATATAGAATGTCATCAGTAGAGAAATGGTTGTATAAATCATGGTACAGCCACACCATGTAGTACAATGCAGCCTGTGAAAAGACTTGTACTTGAAGGTTTTTCTGAGAGGTATTATAATTGAGAAAAGGAAAGCTGTTGGAAACTCTGATATTACTTACTTATTCTTTATGTATATCACATTGCAATATTCTAGTAGGTCTAGAAATATCTCTCTCAACTAGAAATGCTGAATAAAATATGTTTATTTAAATGTATAGCTGAGCTCAATAGAAAAACCTATAGAGGGTGAAAACAAAGACGGAGTTGAAAAAACCAGAAAAGCATAGGAGCTGATATGTTAAGGTATCGCTGAACTATAACCCTCAACAAATCTAACCCACCATCTATTTTTGTATGGCCTGCGAACTAAGAATGGATTTTACATTTTTAAATGCTTGAAAAAAGTTAAAGGAATAATAGTATTTCATAATCTATGAAAATCACACGAAATACAAATTTTGGCCAGGTACGGTAGCTCATGCCTGTAATCTCAGCATGGGAGGCTGAGGGGAGTGGATCACCTGAGGTCAGGAGTTCTAGACCAGCCTGGCCAACATGGTGAAACCCACATCTCTACTATAAATACAAAATTGGCCGGGTGTGGTGCCGCATGCCTGTAACCCAGCTATTTGGGAGGCTGAGGCAGGAGAATCGCTTGAACCTGGGAGGTGGAGGTTGCGGTGAGCCGAGATTGCGCCGTTGCACTCCAGCCGGGGCAACAAGAGCAAAACTCCATCTCAAAAAAAAATAAATAAATAAAATTTCAGTGTCCATCAGTAAAATGTTATTGGAACACAACAATGCTAATCTGTTTATATGTTGTCTGTGGCTGGTTTCATGCTTTAGCAGTGGTGTTGAGCAGTTGTACATCACAGTGTAATCTACAGAACCTCTGGTTCTTTATGGAAGAAGTTTGCTGACCTCTGCGGTCGTGGCCTCAGGTGGGCCAGTTTGTCACTCTGGAACAAAGGATGTGAATATCAATGTGTGGGAATACAACACTGGGCCTTCAGCCTGTGTCACAAAGGTAGTTGGAACCCAGATTCTCACATAAAGCTGACCCTTTGAAGGACATTACCTTCAGTGAAAGGCTGAAATCTATTACCAGAATACATAAAGATAACAATAAACTTGACTGTCTTTGACAGTACTCTAAATAAAGTTTCCCCTGTGATTTTTTAACTATGGACCTATTCTCATCATTGTGTGGGATTCAAATTTATACTGCCTGCATTGTCCAGGAACCCTCAAGCCATGAAGTGGACATAACGACTGGTCTTGGAGTGGTAATAGCACTCAGGCACTGCACAGAAGCAATGGAAACCCTCCCTCAGCCCGTCTAGGTCTCATAGAATTCACAGAAATAATGCTTTACTGACTATCTCAAGATCTCAAGTTGTAAGACATGCAAGGAAACAGTCTACAATCAGTGAGTTAGCAGACTTAAAACAGCAGGGTTAGACTCCTAAGAAAGAACCAAGTAGAACTTTTAGGTAGTCTTGATTTAAACCTCATCATCTATGAAGTATTCTTGCTTGGATTGGGACCTTCTATTTTATAAGAAACACAGGGGATAGAGGAAAAAGGTAAGCACCATGAGGAAACAATTAGACAATTCAGAATGTTGACTTCCTGTAAGACAATAGCCCTAGACTCCTTGATAAGTTAATGTCTTGGACAATAAAAAGGTTGGGGATTATTCCACACTGTACAAGACCAAGTGCACATAACAACCAAATGCAGTGTGTAATCCTGAGGGGGGAAGAATCATTCTTGGGACTTGGGAAATTTTTAACATTGATTGAATACTACATATTGTTATGGAATTAACGTTCTTAAATGTGAGGATGGTAACGTAATTATATAGGAGAATGTCCTTGTTCTTAGGAATTACATGTATAAGTATTTAGGAGTAAAGTGTTAGGATGACTGCAACTTCCCCCGCAAACCCACGCTTTTTTGAGATGGAACTTATACACAGTAGAGGGTACAAATCTGAAGTATATCGCTCAGAGTTTTTACATGTGTAACTACCATGTAGATTAAGATGTAGGACATTTCCTGATGCTTTAGAGGGTTCTCCTGTGCCCCTCCCAATTCACTAAAAATAACCACTATTTCATTTCTATCTCTGTCAGTTACTTGGAAACTTAACTTCAAATGGTGTGATGGAAATCAACATGCAGAGAAAGAGAAAAGCAAATACGAAAAGATAATCTTAGAATCTAAGAAAATTTCGATGTTAATTGTACCATTTGTTCAGATTTTCTGTCTGAAATTTTTTGTAATAGAGTTGGAAAAATTGAAAACATAGAAAAAAAGAAATGTAGAAAGTTCAAAAGAAACAGTTATCTCTAGGAAAAAAGAGTGAACATACTGATACTCATTTGAGGATGTAGCAAGATAACACTTTAAGTAAAATTTCAGTATGTCAAGTTAGTTACAGCAAATTACATAGGAAATGTTTAAATGTCACATAGAAATTCAAATATTTATTTAAAAAACTCAGTGAATAAGGTAAAGCTAGATTAAACCCAGCCAAAGAATGAATTAGTGAACTCTGGAAAGTGAAGAAAGAGAGTTATAGAAAATATAAAAGAGAGGTTAAGCAGTATGAAAAATGGAATGAGCATTATATGCCTCAAAGAGTTCCAAAAGGTAAGAATAGAAATAAATGAGTAGAGAAAAATTCAAATAAATTAGGGCTAACATTTACAAATGACATAAATCTAACGATTTGGGAAGCACAATCTCTGAGTTGGACAAACAATTTGAATCCAGGATAGACATAATAAAACCAAAGAATATTGTTTTAAAAGCACTCAGGGAAAAAATTATATAGAAAATAATTAAAATTAGACTAGGAAAATTTGTTATGGCAGTTGTAGAAATCAGAAAACAATAGAATAATATACTCAGAGTACTGAGAGGTACCTGTAAATCTCTCAGCTAAGTTAAGCTATAAATTTGATTAGGTTGACTTGGGCAAATGCACCATAAAGTCCTTTCCAGAGAAGGAGTTCACTTTTCATAGGTTCTACTTGAAGGAATTGTCCAAGAAGGTTTACTGTATAAAGGAAATTGAACACAGAAGGAATGAAAAGTAAAAATTAAACCTAAAATTTGCAGAAGAAAACACTACAGAAAATTTTTGTGACCTGGGGTTTGGCAAAGATTTCTTAAATATGACACCAGAAGCACAGTCTATAATGAACGTATTAGTTTATTGGGTTAATCAAAATGTAAAACTTCTGCTCTTCAAAAGACAGTATTAAGAGAATAAAAAGAGAAACCACAGATTGATAATCTTTGTAAGCCATGTATCTGATCAAGGACATGTAGAATATATAAAGAACTCTGAAAGCTCAATAGTAAGAAAACAAATGGCTGGGTGCGGAGGCTCATGCCTGTAATCCCAGCACTTTGGGAGGCTGAGGCAGGTGGATCATGAGGTCGGGAGTTCAAGACCAGCCTGGCCAAGATGGTGAAACCCCATCTTTACTAAAAATGCAAAAATTAGCTGGGCGTGGTGGCAGGCGCCTGTAACCCCAGCTGCTCGGGAGGCTGAGGCAGAAAATTGCTTGAGCTCGGGAGGCAGAGGTTGCAGTGAGCCGAGATTGCGCCACTGCACTCCAGCCTGGGCAACAGAGTGAGACTCCATCTCAAAAAAAAAAAAAAAGAAAAAACAACCCAATTAAAAACGGACAAAGGATTTGAACAGTTTCATCAAAGATATATGGATGGTAATAAACGCATGAGAAGACGCTCAACATTAGTCATTAGGAAAATGCAAATTAAATAGGCACGCGATACCCTTACATGCCTCCTAGAATGGCTGAAATTAGAGTGACCATACCAAGTATTAGTGGGGATGTGAAAGAACTAGAATTTCCGTACACTGCTGATAGGAGTGTTTAATTGGTACAACCACTTTGGAATAAAATTTGGCAGTTTATTTAATGAAACCTTTTCAAAATCCCAACGGGCTTTTTTTTTTTTTCCTCAGAAATAGAAAGTCCGTCCTAAAATTCATACCGTATCTCAAGGAATCCCGTATAGCCAAAGCAGTCAAAAAAAGTACAGAGTTGGGGGCATCATGCTTCCTGATCTCAAAACTTACTACAAAGTTAGAGTAATCAAAACTAAGTGGTACTGGCATGCAGACAGATGAGAGTCCTGAACTAAATCTTCACATTTATGGTCAAATGATCTTTGACAAGGGTACCAGGACCACTCCATGAAGTAAAGAGAATCTGTTCAGCAAATGATGCTGGCAACTGAATATCCACATGCAAAAGAATGAAGTGGTACCCTTCCCTTATACCATGTACAAAGAATAACCCAAAATGGATCAAAGACTTGAACATAACAGTTAAAGCCATAAAACTTTTACTACAAGAAAACATAGGAGAAAAGCATCATAACTTTGGATTTGTCAATGATTTCTTGGCCGTGATGCCAAAAGCCCAGGGAACACAAGAAAAAATGGAAAAATTGTACTATTATCAGAATTTAAAACTTCTGATCATCAAAGGATATAATCAACAGAGTGAAAAGCCAACCTGGAATGGGAAAAATATTTGCAAATCTTGTATCTGATAAGGGGTTAATATCCAGAATATAAAGAACTCCTGTAATAGCATACAACCTTGTTAAAAAATGGGCAGAGGACTTGAACAGACATTTCTTTAATGAAGATATCCAGATGGCCACGAGCATATGAAAAGATGCCCAACATTGCTAATTATTAGGAACATGCAAATCAAAACCACAAGGAGATACCACCTCACACCCATTAGGATGTCGGCTATCAGACAAAAAAGAAGATAACAAGAGTTGGCAAGGGTGTGGAGAAATTGGACCCCTGTTGCACTGTTGGTGGAAATGTAAAATGGAGCAACTGCTATGGAAAACAGTATAGAGGTTCCTCAAAAAACTAAAAATAGAATTACCATATAATCCATCAATTCTCCTTCTGTGTATATACCCAAAATAATTGAAAGCAGGATCTCAAAGAGATATTTGTACACTCATGTTCATAGCAGCATTATTCACTATAGTAGCCAAAGGCAGAAGCAACCCAGATTTCTGTTGATAGAGGAGTGGATGAACAAAATATGGTATGTATATACATTGGAATATTATTCAGCCTTAGGACATTCTAACACATACTACAACATGAGTAAATCTCAAGGACATTATGTTAAGTGAAATGAGCCAGTCATAAAACGACAAATACTGTATGATTCCACTTATTGAAGTACCTAGAGTGTTCAGACTCACAGAGACACAGAGTAGAATGGTGCTTGCCAGGGGCTGGGGGAAGGGGTGCTGGGGAGTTGTTTAATGGTTATAGAGTTTTAGTTTTGCAGGATGAAAAGAGTTCAGGAGATTGGTTGCACAACATTGTGAATGTACTTAACACTACTGAATTGTACACTTAAAAATGGTTGAAATGTTAAGCTTTATGTTAGATATATTTTACCATAATTTTGTGAAATAATAGTATGGTAGTTATGTAAAACGTTAGGCTGGACACGGTGGCTCACACCTGTAATCTCAGTGCTTTGGGAAGTCAAGGCGAGAGAATCACTTGAGACCAGGAGTTCCATACCAGCCAGGGCAACATAGTGAGACCCCATGTCTACAAAAAAAATTTTTAATTAGCCAGGAGTGGTGGTGTACATCTGTAGTCCTAGCTACCTGAGAGGCTGAAGCAGGAGGATCACTTGTGCCCAGGAGTTAAAAGCTACATTGTGCTATGTGCACCATTGCACTCCAGCCTGGGTGAAAGAGCAAGACCCTGTCCACCCCCACAAAAAGTCAGATGTACACTTAGCATATCACACAGCCCTTCTACTCCTCGGTATTTACCCAAGAGAAAAGGGAGCATATGTTCGTAGAAAGATTTGTATACGAATGTTCTTAGTTGCTTTGTCATAGCCCCAAACTGGAAATAACCCAAATGTCCATAAACAGGTGAATGGTTGGATTGTGGTGTATCTATAAAAGGGAATACTACTCAGTAGAAAGGAATGAACTGCTAATGCACACAACATAGATGAATCTCAAAGTAATTATGCTGAGTGAAAGAAGTCAGACAAAAAATGATTACACGTTTTAAAATTCAGTTTACATAAAATTCTAGAAAATGCAAACTCTTCTATAGTGACAACAGATTTGTATTTGCCTGGGCACAGGACTATGGCAGGATGGAAGATTTACATAGGAGCACAAGGAACCTTTCAGAAAGTGATGGGTATGTTCATTATCTTGAATGTGATGATGGTTGCATGGGTATATACGTAATCTCAAAATGTATCAAATTGTGTACTCTAAATCATTGCAGTTTATTGTATGTCAGTTGTACCTAGATAAATCTGTTTGTTTGTTTTTTAATAGCCTTTAAGAAAGCTGATAGTACTGTGGAAATATTATATGAAATAGACTTTGGGAGAAAGAATTATTATTAAAATTTTTTTTTCAACTTTTATTTTAGATTCAGGAGGTACATGCACAGCTTTGTTATCTGGGTATATTGCATGATGCTGAGGTTTGATGTACAAATGATCCCATCATCCAAGTACTGAGCATAGTAGCCAATAGTTTTTCAACCTTTGCCCTCCCCGCTCTAGTAGCCTCCGGTTTCTGTTATTGCTGTCTTTATGTCCATGAGTACCCAAAGTTTAGCTCCTACTTAGAAATGAGAACATTTGATATTTGGTTTTCTCTTCCTGTGTTAATTTGCTTAGGATAATGGCTTCCAGCTGCATCCAGGTTGCTGCAAAGGACATGATTTCATTCATTTTTGTGGCTGCATAGTATTCCATGGTGCATATGCCTTTGCTATTGTGAATAGTGCTGTGTTAAATATGTGGTTTTTTCGTAGAATGATTCATTTTCTTTTGGATGTATATATACCGAGCAATGAGACTGCTGGGTCGAATGGTAGTTCTATTTTAAGTTCTTTGAGAAATTTCCAAACTGCTTTCCACAGTGCCTAACCAATTTACATTCCCACCAACAGTGTACAAGCCTTCCCTTTTCTCTGCAGCTTTGCCAGCATCTGTTGTTTTTTGCCAGCACTTTGGGAGGTTGAGGCGGGAGGATCACTTGAGGTCAGGAGTTCGAGACCAGCCTGGCCAACATGGTGAAACCTCATCTCTACTAAAAATACAAAAAAAAAAATTAGCCAGCCATGGTGGTGCACACCTGTAATCCCAGTTACTTGGAGCTGAGGCAGGAGAATTGCTTGACCCTGGGAGGCACAGGTTGCAATGAGCTGAGATCCCACCACTGCACTCCAGCCTGGGTGACAGAGCGAGACTCTGTCTCAAAAAAAAAAAAAAAAAAAAAAATGTAATTCAGACGCTGGGTGTAGTGGCTTGCGCCTGTAATCCCAACACTTTGGGAGGCCAAGGCAGAAGGATTGCTTGAGCCCAGGAGTTCAAGACCAGCCTGGGCAATGTAACCAGACCCTGTCTCTACAAAAAATTAGCCAGGTGTGCTAGCATGAGTTTGTAGCCCCAGCTACTTGGGAGACTGAGGCGGGATAATCCAGGATTTTGAGGCTTCAGTAAGGTATGATTGTGCTGCTGCACTCCAGCCTGAGCAACTGAGTGAGTCCCTGTCTTAAAAAAAGACTTTCTAGATCCTGGAGTATGTGCAATAACTAAAAAGAATAAGCATATATGTTCCTTGAGATTTTTATTTTTAATTTTATTTTTTGAGAGTGAGTCTTGCCCAGAATGGAGTGCAGTGGTATAATCACAGCTAACTGCAGCCTTGACTTCTCAGGCTCAGGTGATCCTCCCATCTCACCCTCCAAGTAGCTGAGACCACAGGCGTGTGCCATGCCTAATTTTTAAATTTTTTTGTAGAGGTAGGGCCTTGCTATGTTGCCCAGGCTGGTCTCAAACTCTTGGGCTCAAGCAATCCTCCCTCTGTGGCCTCCCATAGTGCTGGGATTATAGGCATGAACCACTGCACCTGGCCCTGAGATATATTTGAATAATTGTAAAAATCTGTTAATTGGGGTTATTGGAGGGATGGGGATATTCCCTGGGACAAGAAAAAGGGACTGACCTTTTACTTTTATACTTGATACCCTTATTTCACATAATGCCAAGGTGTCTGTTTTTTATGATTGTTCAGGGTGATTATATATTTATTCATGTATTGTTTAGAGTAGTTGTATCTCATTTAGCTATTTCTTTCTTGATGGATAATTAGGTAATGTTGCAGTATATATTTAAGTACATATATCCTGAAACACTGTGGGAATACTTTTATTGGGGAAGATAAATACCTTGAAATAATTATTGGGTCATAGAATATACACACTGAAAACTTTGCGATAACTTAATATCAGAAAAGATTTTGATTCTCAACAAGTGTATGAAACTTCCTTTTCCCACAAGATCCTGGCCAACATGGAATGTTAACAGATTTTTAAAAGTATTACCAATCTAATAAAATTTAAAGTATATTTGACTTGAATCCTGTGTGTATTGTTTGTCTGTATGACAGTTGTTTGTATTATATGACAAAAAATTAACCAAAAAATATTAGACTCACCTGATTACCCCAAAAGATGGCTTGTGTTCTAAGCCTGTTTAGGCTTATAAGTCAAAAGAAAATTTCTTTAAAAAAATTTTATTTGATGGTTTATTGAGATATAATTCAAAAGCCATACAATTTACCCATTTAAAGTATAAAATGATTTTTGTATATTCACAAAGTTCTGTGGCCGTGATAATTCATTTAAAAATATTTTTTCATCCCAAAAATAAACACTGTACCCGTTAGCAGTCACTTCCCATTCCTCCCATCCCTATGTAACCACCCATTTGCTCCCTATCTCTATAGATTTGCCTATTCTCTGGCATTTCATATAAATGAAATCATACAATATGTGTTTGTGACTGACTTCTTTTACTTAGCATAATGTTTTCAAAGTCCATCCACATTGTACCCTGTGTCAGTCCTTCATGCCTTCTTATGGCTCAGTAATATTCCATTGGCTGTATATACCACATTTTGTTTACACATTTATCAGCTGATGGACATCTGTGTCGTTTCTACTTTTTAGCTGTTATGAGCAATGCTGCTGTGAACATTCGTATTCAAGGTTTTGTGTGGACATATGATTTCATTTGTGCCTCTAGTAACCTTTTAAGAGACTGGCAGAATGTTTTTCAAAATGGCTACACCATTTTACTTTCCCTTGAGCATGAGGGTTCTGTTTTTTTCACATCACTGCCAAACTTGTTTATTATTTGTCTTTTTTATTATAGCCATCCTAATGGGTATGAAATGGTATCTCATTTTGGGTTTTATTTGCATTTCCCTTATGACTAGTAATGTGAAGCATCTTTTTGTGTGATTGTTGGCTTTTATATATCTTTGTGGAGAAAGGATTTGCTTTTATATAGATAGTTTTACATGCAATTCATAGATAAATACCAATGACCTGAGACGAGAAGAATTACAAAGGTTTTTGAACAATGCTCTAATAATAGAAATCGGACAGAAAAGAGAAAGTAGCCAAGATTATTTCCTCTAGAGATGGGAAAATGTACAAGTTCTCCAAGGATCTATGACACAACAAGAGAAAGAAGTGGAGATAACAAGAATAAAACTGAATGCTCTAGAGACACAAAAGGGAAATACTGAAGATAGGTAAGCTCTCTTCAGT
This sequence comes from Homo sapiens, assembly GCF_000001405.40. Classification (NCBI taxonomy): domain Eukaryota; kingdom Metazoa; phylum Chordata; class Mammalia; order Primates; family Hominidae; genus Homo; species Homo sapiens. The sequence goes on along the minus strand of NC_000007.14, from coordinate 140,818,955 downwards.
ATCTTCTTTGTTTTTAAGTTTATTCCTAGGTAAGCTATCTTCAGTGTAAGGTAGACTACGTAAGATAGGTAAGCTGTCTTCAGTATAAGGTAGACTAGATAAGCTATCTTCAAAATAAGGTAGACTAAGTCAAAGGATTGTAATATCAAGAAATGTGATAGACCCTGGATGTGGTCTTTTACATCACTAAATGAAAACCATACTTAATAAGTTGTATATAGTATTGTAAAGATAATTGCCTGTTTTAGGTATTTCAAAATTGGTGACTTTGGTTTAGCATTTAGAAAATATTGTTCATAAGGTTTTTTAACTTTTTATTTAGAAAATTTAAAACACTTGGCCGGTGCTGGCGTGTTGGCTCATGCCTGTAATCCTAGCACTTTGGGAGGCCAAGGCGGGCGGATCACCTGAGGTCAGGAGTTCGAGACCAGCCTGGCCAACATGATGAAATCCTGTTTCTATTAAAAGTATAAAAATTAGCCAGGCATTGTGGCGCACACCTGTAATCCCAGCTACTCGGGAGGCTGAGGCGGGAGAATTGCTTGAACCTGGGAGGCAGAGGTTGCAGTGAGCCAATATCGTGCCACTGCACTCCAGGCTGGGCAACAGAGCAAGACTCCATCTCAAAAAAAAAAAAAAAATTAAAATACTTGTATGGAAAAATATAAAGGACAATATATTAAACAGCTGTTTAGTCACCTACAATGAACAAATACTAATTTTTTGTTATATTTGCTTCATATTATACATAGAAGTACAAATTTAGGTTCCACTACCAGTCCCATTCCTCTGCTGGACACCCATCGTCCCATCTTGTCCCCAAAAAGACAGTCACTATGATAAATGTGAGGTACCTTCAATCATATTTTTGTATTTTATTATATATATGTGTAGCCATAAGCCAATGTTTTTGTTTTTTTTTTAATTTGTAAGGTGATACGATACTATATGTATGTAATGGTCAGCATCTTGTCCTTTTTATTCAAAATTATGATTTCAAGGTGTATGTATTTATATGTTAACACATACAGATCTATTTCATTCAATGCTATTATCAAGTATTCTAGCTTCTTAATATACCACAGTTTATCTTTTTCTCCATTGATGAGCATTTAGGTTATATTTGGATTTTTTTGTTATGACAAACAGTGCTGTAATAAGAACATTCTTGTGCTTGTCTCCTTGTACACATATAACAAGGTGTCACAAACCTGAAAGTGGAATTCCTGGGACAGGGAGTATCATTTGAAGAGACTGTCCTTTCCCCAGTGTATGTTCTTGGCACCTTTGTCAAAAATGAGTTCACTGTAGATGTATGGAATTATTTCATTGTTCTCTATTCTGTTCCATTGGTCTATATGTCTGTTTTTATGCCAGTACCATGCTGTTTTGGTTACTATAGCTTTGTAGTATAATTTGAAGTGAGGTAATGTGATTCTTCCAGTTTTGTTCTTTTTGCTTTGGCTATTCTGGGCCTTTGGTAGTTCCATATAAATTTTAGGATTATTTTTCTATTTCTGTGAAGAATGTCTTTGGTGTTTTCATAGGGATTACATTGAATCTGTAGATTACTTTGGGTAGTATGGACACTTTAGCAATATTGATTCTTCCAGTCCATGAACATGGCCGGTCTTTCCATTTTTTCATGTGTTCTCTCCAGTTTCTTGCATCAGTGTTTTATAGTTTTCATTGTAGAAATCTTTCACTTCTTTGTTTTTAAGTTTATTCCTAGGTATTTTATTTGTAGCTATTGTAAATGGAGTTACTTTCTTGATTTTTGTTTCGGATTGTTTGCTGTTGGCATGTAGAAATGCTGCTGACTTTTGTATGTTAATTTTGTATCCTGCAACTTTACTGAATTTGTCAGTTATAATTGTTTTTTTGGTGGAGTCTTTAGGTTTTTCCAAATATAAGATCATATTATCCACAAACAAGGATAATTTGACTTATTCTTTCCAATTTGGATACCCTTTTTTTTTTCTCTTATCCAATTGCTCTAGCTAGGACTTCCAATAGTGTGTCGAATAACAGTGGTGAAAGTGGGCATCCTTGTCTTGTTCCAGGTCTTAGAAGAATACTTTCAGGTTTTTTTCATTAATTATGATTCTAGCTGTGGGTCTGTTGTCTGATGAAAAGTCTGAAACGGTACCTAAAACTACTAAATTAATTTTAACATCTTTGAGTTGTTTTTAGTTCTGTGAGAAGAGCATATCTATTTTGGTTTACTCAGTGAGTAGAGTAGTGTCTAATACTGAGTAAATGTACTGTAAGTATTTTTGAAAGAATGAGTCTTTGGGTTTACATACCCTGGGGTTTGTAAACAAATATCTGTTGATTGGCATTAATCCTGATGGTATCCAAGGTACAGGAATGGCAAAGGGAAAAGATAGGGCAATACTGACTGATGCTTCAAAATCATGCCCTAGTTATGCTATAATCAAGCAGGAAATGTTTATGGAATGGAAAGATTAAGGAAAAGGTATGTTCTTATTTTAGCAATAAAACGAATACCAGAAGCTTTAACATTCACCAGTACAAATAAATAGTTTCAATGGAATAGGTCGAAAGTAAAGGGACATCACTAGAGTAAATGCTAGACCTTCCCTCTCCTTTTATTTTTAGCAACAGCAAAGCAGAAACTAAGATCTACAAGTGATCAAAGAGGGTGATCCATTCAGTTTCTGTGTAGACAGGAATAATAATAATACCTTTTACATATTGGTACAGTTTGTAAAAACACTTTCACTTACTCATTTAATCTTCATAGCAACTTGATGAGGTAGAATACTATAGGAAGCAGTATTAGCTCAGGTTGGTACGTAAATTACTGTGTTTAAATTTCAATAAAACAGCTATGGAATCCAAGACATTCTTGGCGCCTAATAAACTGTATTCTTTGCCAACAGTGAAAGTGCTTCTCTGTTGCTTGGTAAGTTTTTTCCCCTTAGAATACTAATAAAGTAATTGATTAACTTTCATTTTTATTTTGATTTGATTGGGACAGCAATTTAGCAGTAAAAAATGTCACCTTTATAAATCCTGTGGTTTCTGGTTCTTGGCCAGTTAAATTCAACCTGACCAGGAGGCACGCTTAATTCTAAAATTGCTTTTACCTTCTGAAGTTTTTGTGGTATAGACATCCTCCTTTTTCTACTTTAATGAAAGCATGTTATAAGCAGATCATAACAATTTTTTTTTCTTTAAAACAATATTGTAATTAGGCCAGTTGCAGTGGCTCACACCTGTAATCCCAGCACTTTGGGAGGCTGAGGCAGGCGGGTCACTTGAGGTAAGGAGTTCGAGACCAGCCTGAGGAACATACTAAAACCCCGTCTTTACTAACAATACAAAAAAATTAGCCGGGCTTGCTGGCACATGCCTGTAATCCCAGCTGCTCTGGAAGCTGAGGCATGAGAATCCCTTGAACCTGTGAAGTGGAGTTTGCAGTGATTCTAGGTCGCACCATTGCACAAGCCTGGGTGGCAGAGCAAGACCCTGTCTCAAAAAAAAAAAAAAAAAAAAATGGCTCACACCTGTAATCCTAGCACTTTGGGAGGCTGAGGCGGGCGAATCATGAGGTCAGGAGATCGAGACCATCTTGGCTAACAAGGAGAAACCCCGTCTCTACTAAAAATACAAAAAAAAACAAAATTAGCCAGGCGTGGTGGCAGACACCTGTAGTCCCAGCTACTCAGGAGGCTGAGGCAGGAGAATGGCGTGAGCCCGGGAGGTGGAGCTTGCAGTGAGCTGAGATCACGCCACTGCACTGCAGCCTGGGCGACAGAGCGAGACTCTGTCTCAAAAAAAAAAAAAAAATGTAATTGATGTAATAGTCCCAAAAAAGAACTTGGCATTAAGTTAAATTATAAAATCAGAAAGCTATGTAATTTAAATTTGTATTCAAAATCTGTATATTGGCATGTATATTCTGTGCCAGTTTATTTAAGATGTTACTGTATCATGAAGCTTACTTAAGGCATATAATCGTCTGCACTGTAAAACAAACTACCAAATTAATGTACTATCTCAAAGAATTAAACATATAACAATTTTGATGACCACCTAAATTTTAGAACAACTGTTTTTTTAAAAAACTTTTTACTATGGAAACTTTTATATATATAATATATATAAATTATATATGTTATATATAATATATATATGTTATATATAATATATATGTTATATATAATATATATGTTATATATTGTATATAAATTATGTTATATATAAATTATATACATTATATATAAAGTATAAATTATATGAATTTTATATATATATATTTTTTGAGATGGAGTCTCACTCTGTCACCCAGGCTGGAGTGCAGTGGCACAGTCTTGGCTCACTACAACCTCCGCCTCCTAAGTTCAAGTGATTCTCCTGCCTCAGCCTCCCTAGTAGCCAGGATGACAGGAGCCTGCCACCATGCCTGGCTAATTTTTGTGTTTTTAATAGAGATGGGGTTTCACCATGTTGGCCAGGCTGGTCTTGAACTCCAGACCTCAGGTGATCTGCCTGCCTTGGCCTCCCAAAATGCTGGGATTACAGGCATGAGCCACCATGTCTGGCCAACTATGGAAAATTTTAAACATACATAAAAGTAGAGTAGTATATGAATCATTGTGAGCTCATTAACAAAAGATAATTTCAGTTCACTTTAAAAATTGACGTGTGAAAGTTTGGACTCATACATTTTGTTTTGGTCTAAAGTTTCCTTGGCAAATATTCACATGGTTCCATTGACTCTGGCTCCTTTTTAAGATAGGATGCTTTTTTATTTTTTTAAGAGAAAAATTATTGCTCTGACAAGCTAATCAAAGATATTTAATTTTGGAATTTGGAGGAAAGGCATAAACCTAGTTTATTACAAAAATACCTCTTTTTAGTTTTCCTAGCCTTAAAGTAGGAGACAACCTCCCTCCCTTTACACAGGTTATACTTTCATATGGTATTTGCATAAAGAAATCTTGTTTTCACCCTGGCCTAAATATACATCCAATTTTCTCTGCACCTTTTAGGTAACTCTTTTTTAAGGAGGGTGTGTGTGTGTGTGTGTGTGTGTGTATGTATGCGTCCGCATGCATGTGCATGTGTGTACACGCATGTATGGATTTTCATGGTTTTTAAAATATAGACATAAGTACAAATACATTTATTTCCCCACTCTTCATACATAAGATACATAATACTGTATATATCATTCTGTATTTTGTTTTTAACGTTTATGTAGGCCATTCTGGAAATTTTGTTTCATACATAATTTTTTATATATATACAACTACAGTTCCATTGTATAGATGTACTATAGTGTATTTAACCAGTGATGTGTGTATGGTCATTCAGGTTCTTTCTAGACTTTTGATATACAGTCAGTACTGTAGTGAATAATGTTGCACATACATTATTCTTATGTATTGCAGGCATATCTGTGAGATAGATTCCCAGAAGTATGCTTGACTAGGTCAAAGAGAAATTTGCATTTGTGACTTTGATAGATACAAATTTCGCTTCATGGATCTTGCTTAATTATGAGATGTCTGTTTATAGCTTCATACCAGTAGAATATGTTATCAATTTTTTTTTGGATTTTTGCCAATCTGATAAATGAAAAATAACTTCACTAGTTTGGGTTTGCTTTCCTCTGAGTGAGACTGAACATGTTTTCATATGTGTGAAGGCCATTTCTACTTCTGTTTCTGGGACCTGTCTCTCATATATTTTTCCCTTTTTCTCTTGGGTTATTGGTCTTCATCTCAATTTTTCAGGAGCTCTTTGTGTATCAGGAAGCTAACACATCTGCTAAATGAGTTGCAAATATATTTTTCACCATTTGTACTGTCTTTTTACTTCACTTTTAATGTGTTTGTTTTGCCATCCAAAAGTTTTTTTTTAGCTTTATGTAGGTGAATATAATATTTTTTTCCTTTATGACTTGTAGATTTTGCATCAGAGTTATAAAAGCCTTTTTCATTTGAAGATTTGAAGGTGCCATGCTTTCTTCTAGTTCTTTTATGGTTTGTTTCACTCTCCTTCCCTTTCTTCCTTCCAGCATTTAAATATTTGATCCATTTGTAGTTTATTCTGGTATACAATATGAAGTATGGATGAACCTTTTTTTCTAGATTAGTTCCAGTTGTCCCAGCATCAGTTATTTAAAAGTTCATCTTTACCCCATTTCAGATGTTGCCTTTATCTTATTCGCACTTTCTTTATGTGTTAGGGTCTATTTTGGTCTTTCTGTTTTGTTCCATTGATTTCTTCATCTGTTGTACAGGTACTATCATGAAAGAACAAATAGTATAAAAATTCAGCCTACAAAAGTGGAATTAAGAAGGACTGATAGATGGCTTGCCTTGGTAATAGAGCAGAAAACCAAATTTTTGCCTGTTGATGAAATATATATGCAACTTAGGATCAGCATATGTAGAGAAGCATGAGGGAGCATAGCCATATTTGAAGTGCATTACTGGAGTGCCTAAGGGAAATTACCAAAGAGGCTGAAGGATAGATAGCTCCAAGTCATTGGTGGCCTTTTATGACACATTATGGAATTGGAATTTTATCTTACAAATAATGGGAAAATTTTAAGCAAACTAGTGAAATTTAAGATTATATATTAGAATGGGTTAAATGCTGAGTTCAGTGAACTCAGCGTGGGCTTCAGATTCCACAAACCCTATGAAATTTTGTTTCAGAGAGCACATTTGAGGCTTTCATTAGATTCTCAGAAGTCTTTCTCTCTCTCCCCCTCCCACCCTCACACACACACACACACACACACACACACACACAGGTGTGCATGCACATGCATGCCCAAAAGTTAAGAATACCTTCTTAAAAGTAAAAAATTAAAAACAAAGATAAAAAAGAAAAAAAGAATGCCTTCTTTAGAAAGATTTCTATGGTAACATAGGATAGGATACATTGGATGTGGTTTAAAACTAAAGATCGGTCACCAGTCAGGAAATTTTGGCATTAGTATAGGCGGAAGACGAATGGCACAGGGAAAAGTGAGCTTTCACTTAAGTTTATTATTTCTGAAAGGTTACAACCAGTTCTCATTGTTCGTAGTAGTTATGGTCTATAAATTCACTACAAACAATTAGTGAACACTGAACCTTGCTCCTAGGGGAAGTACAAGGATTATTATTATTTAAATGAGCCAAAAAACCCCTCTGTATATTGGCCTCTAGGTTGTTTCTTCCATTACAACAGGTTGAGACCTATTGGCTTAAAAGTGTGCTTGCACCAAACTAAATTTTTTGTACATCTAATTGTTTTAAATATAATCCTGATAAGCAGATTTTTAGCCACTGAGAGCCTGCCTACTTTGCAGTCCCCACAAAACTGCTTTGTACTCAACATCTATTAGGTATAAATAAGATCAAATCCCAAGGCTATAAAGATTCCAAGCTGCTGTTGCCCTTTGGAGCTCTTTGATACATAGACTCCCTGCTGGGTTGTCTAACATTGTCAGCTAGACATATAAGCTCCCTCTCCTACTCCCCTCTCCCCTGAGAGTCCCCTAGCCCTCCTCTTCTGGGTGATAGCCACTCCACCTCAGCTTCTGGCCAGTCCTGTTTGGGTAGTGGCCACTCTGCCTTAGCCTCTGGACAGTATGCTTTAAGGACATCCTCTGCCTGCAGATCTGTCAATGTCACCCAATAAAGCTATGCATGCTACTGCCACCTCGTGGTCATATCTTTTTCCTTGATCAGACCCCAGATCCTTCACATTTAAAATACAGTTAGGTTCCTACCAGCCTCTAGTCACATTTTCATCAGTCAGTCGATACGTAACCTTGTTTTGTGTGTGTTTCTGTTTAAAGACATATTGTTGATTCATTAACATTGAACTCACGGCTGACATTACTATAACTCATGCCTGAAGGAAGCTGGCCTAACACATGTACTTACTCTGCCAGGGACATTATAGCCTTCTTATGCTTACCAGCCCTAAACAGCACGTGAGCACTATGCTTAGGGATTATTTTAAACAGAAGAATCATCAACAAGAAGCACAAAAGTGAGAAAAAAGTGGCACCAAATAGGCTCTGCCCAGGATACTTGTTTATAGTATGAAAATTGAAACAAGAAGGCAAGAGAAAGCTTCACTGTTCAACCTCAGTTGGAGAGGTGCATGCATTAGGCGACTCAAATATCTCATTGCTCTGCGCATGTCTATGAAAGCACTAAGAGTATTGACTTTAGAGTTACAAATAAATTTTAGCAAGTAGAGAGATTTCAAGTATGGACTCCACAAGTAATGAGGATCAACTGTACCATCCAGTCTCTTTAATACTTCCAGTGATGAGCCCAGTCTCTCATGACAAACTTTTACCTTGCTGGGTAGGTAAAAGTTCAGGGTTTTTCTTTGTTTGTTTGTGACAGTATCTCGCTCTGTCACCCAGGCTGGAATGCAGTGGTACGATTTTGGCTTGCCGCAACCTCTGCCTTCTGGGTTCAAGTGATTATCGTGCCTCAGCCACCTGAGTAGCTGGGATTATAGGCGCCCGCCGCTCTGCCCGGCTACTTTTTGTGTTTTTTAGTAGAGATGGGGTTTCACCATGTTGGCTAAGCTGGTCTCGAACTCCTGACCTCAAATGATCCACCCACCTTGGCCTCCCAAAGTGTTGGGATTACAGGTGTTAGCCACTGCACCCAACCTGGATAGTTTTAATGGTTATATTGCACTACCCTCTGCGTCCTGTTATTTCTGGTCATAGATCCTAATTAGGCTTTCTGGACTCTTTCCCCCTTCAATATATTATTTGAATTCAGCTGTCTTATATTTACCTTTACCCCCTTTTTTTCCCCTCTAGCATAAATATTCCCAATTTCTTTGGAAACTTTTGGTTTGCTAAGCACCTCAATTTAAATGAATGGAACTTATTGTTACAAACTAACATTTCCCCTTCTTCTTACACCTCCCAATAAAAACTGTGTCCTCTGTATTCACACTGCCTCACTGTAGTCTACACCTTCAGTTCCAAGTAACTCAGATTTGCCTGTGGGGGATGAGGCAAGGAAAAGGCTAAAGATAGATAACTTTAAATATACAGAGAGATTACTTTTTTTTTCCCTTTCCCTTTCCCTCCTTCTCTGTCTCTCTCTTCCCATGTCATCTTTGCTGCTTCGTATGTTAGCTTCATTCTATAACAGATTTTCTCAGTGTGGTGGAGAATATGGCCATTGAGGGCTCCAGATTTGTATCTTCTGCAAATCTACAGAACTACAGTAGAAACAAGGACTTTTCTCTGTCAGTGTCCATGTGTCAATTTAGGGAAGAACTCAGGTACTGTTTGGGTCATATATATAGCCCTGGACCAGTTGCTCTTGCCGGGGGTATGGGAAACTGATTAGCCAGCTTCTGTCATCTGTAGTGACATAAAAGTAGTGACCCTTGATAGCTTTTCTAGTACCATGTGGATTTCTAGAGAAGGGAATATTCCCAGAGGAAACAGGGGCACCAAACAACAAATATCAAGTATACATGTTAAGACAGGTTTTTTTCTTCCCGCTATGTTTAGGGCCAGTAAGAGGTCTCTTAAGGACAGTCAGTGTGATTGAAGGGTTATACAGTTTTCAGCTTTGAACAGTATTGGATCAAAATTGATTTTGCTTTTAATATTGACATCTATTATTGCTCAGTGATGGATATACTGCGTTGGTGGGTATATTGTAGCAGATACTGTTACTTCTTCTTTTTATATGTTTAAAGTATTTCATAATTTTAATAAAATAGAAAATTAACTTTGCTTTGATTTAAGTTGGTGAATAATAACAAATATTTGGGTTATAATTTCCCTTTAGTATTAAGTTAGCTGTAGAAATGGTGTTGTATCTGACCTAGTAACCCATTTGACTTTTTAAAGATGAATTACTAAATTTTTTTAATGATATGAAAAAATGTAATTTGCTCCCTTTACCTCTTATCAATATATTTATGATACCATAGGTACCTGCAAGGTGTGGAGTTACAGTCCGAGACAGTCTAAAGAAAGCACTGATGATGAGAGGTCTAATCCCAGAGTGCTGTGCTGTTTACAGAATTCAGGATGGGTATGGTTTGTATGTGACGTGAAATTTTGTTTAAAAAGAAAATCACACATTAAACTTTGAAGTTTTCTTAGGATCTTTACCAAAACCTAGGGAATTGAAAGTGTACTTTAGGAAAAAGTATTAAAATAATACTAAGTTAGCCTGAAGAAATACTGTAGGCCATATGAGGAGTTAAATAATTGTATATGACTGTAGGGTTTGTTACTTTGATCAAATGATTTTATTTGGAATTTGAGATTCTTACAATTTTTGAACCATTCAGAGTGTGATTTATTTGGATAATAGACTCTTACCCCCCTCCCATTTTTAATACAAACTCATAGTTTCACAAAAGGTATATCAAAATTAACATTTTATATTGACCTACTTTTCTTTCAGAAAGTGTCTAACATTGTTCCAAGACCCTCACATTTTGAATCCTCTTTAAAAAAAAAAAAATTATTTTGGGGGCATGTTGTCCCTGTCCCTTGAGTACTCTTTTTCCTTGAATGGATAGATAAGTCCGTACCTGTGATTTTTTTTTTTTTTTTTTTTTTTTTTGGACCCCAGGAACAATCCATTTTCTGCTGTTGTAGGTCTTTTCTGGAGCTGACTTGAAGAAAAGAGTACATCTCTTTACCCTGCTGTTTGTCCAAGAGTGATACATTTATTTGGGGTAAACTTAAAATTAATTTATTGCCATTTAAATTTCTAACGATGGAATATTAGGGAGCCAAACCTCCCTCACTGTTACTAGCCCCTCGATAACCAATTTTCATATCTTCAGCATGAGGTATATGAATATTTTTAGGTGTAATAACCAAGAAAGGCTTGTGTCTACATTTTTCAGAGAGAAGAAACCAATTGGTTGGGACACTGATATTTCCTGGCTTACTGGAGAAGAATTGCATGTGGAAGTGTTGGAGAATGTTCCACTTACAACACACAACTTTGTATGTATCTTTACATTTTTTTTTGAAATGTCAAAAATGTTTAGATTTTAATGAATGAATTTTTATTTAGGGAATGTGAAATATGGATGAGTAATTTTGGAACTGACATTTTACCTGAGTTGAAATCAGTTGTTTTCTTTAAAAACTTGTATTTAAACAAGAGTTTAATTTTAATCTTTATACTTTCTTTTTAATTTAAAAAAGTAAAATGTATGCATTGTTAAAAGATAATTTTGAATAGTGCAGAAGTATGTCAAGTAAAAAAAGTGAAAATACCCTCCTAGAGGCCAACATTTGTTTAGATTAACAGATTATTGTTCTGTCTTCCAAACTTTTTTCTGTGTACACAAACGTGTGCTTGTACCTGTAAGCCTAAAGTTTTTTCCTTTCTTTTTTTCTCTCTTTCCTTCATTACTTTCTTTTCTTTTCCCTTTCTTAAATCAAAGTAGAGCCATGCTATGTGATATTCTTTGCCTTATTTTTTTTTAATTCAACAGGATGTCACGGACATCTTTTCATGTCAGTATACCTGGCTTTATTTTAGTATGACTATGTAATAATTCGTAAGAATAGGAATTCATTATATTTAACCATTTCTCTATTGATAGACATTTAAGTTTTTGTATTATAAAAAATCTGTTACATACAGGGCTAAACAAGGTCTTTCTGCATATATCTTGACACACTTGTACACACCCTTGTGTTTCTGAAGGATAGGTTAATGGAAATAGAATGGCTGGATATTAAACTCTCCATGAGGCTTTTTTCTTTGTCTGGTTTTTGCATTTGCTAGAACCTAGCATAAGCCTAAGGGTCACCAGCATAAGGCCCGGAATGTGGGACCTTTCCACCTTAGAGATGAGGATCTACATAGAACTTGAGAACTTATCCCCTAAAATGGCAGGCAGAAGCCAAAAGTTGTCTCTGAATCAGGAATACATTTCTTACTTTTCTCTATGTATGGAATTTTGGCCAGAGTTTTTTCTAGGTGGATAATTACTGCTACCCTTTAGGCGTCAAGTGTTTTCCCATGTGTCTTGGTGATTAATCCAGCTGGGCTCTTAAAGCAGATGATTGATTAGATTATTTCCTTTGGGGTTTATGCTTTCAAGCCTCCATTAGTAGTGAATAATGAAATCATGTTTGTGTTTCTGTAAGGCATTTTTTGGGAGAAGTGTAAGATACACCTAATGTCAATCAAATTTTACTGTGCAGCAAATAATTTTTTAACATGTTGAATTTTAAGTGGATAAATCTTAACATTTTTATTTAAGTTCTTAAGAATACAAATACAGTTGAGCATACATTTCATAGTGATTACTACTCTGTTTCTTAATAATTCTTCTTAGCTAGAAATTGAATATGAGGAGATAAAAGAAAGACCTAAGTTGCTAAGTGTGAGAAAATAGTATTAAAATGATGCCTCAGGAAGGTCCTTGCCACAGAAGGATTGTGAAAGCAAACTGCAGATTGATTCCAGAGTATGGAAATTGTCACCACTCAGTTGGATACCTGCCAGTAAATTTTTATTGAGAACTTTCCATTTGCCAATACCATATCTTACCTAGGGATATGACAAATGAATAAGACAGTGTCACTGCCATAGAGTAGAGAGAAGATTTAATAAATTTTCATAAACATTCATAATTACTATATATGTATAAAGTTCTATAGATGCACAGAGATTCCTAACCTGGCTTTTGAGGAGTTAGGAAGGTTTCTCAGAGACAGAAATATCTAAGCTTAGGCCTGATGGATGAGGAAGTAAGTATCAAGTAAAGAGTACCCTAAACAGAGGGAAGAGCAAGAAAGCATGTTACCTTTCAAAGTTTTGAAAGAAGTTCAGAATGGATGATACAAGGTTGAAGAGTAGGTTGTTAACAGTATTGTGGGTAGAATAAGAGTTGTGGGTAGAATAAGCAGAGTCCAGCTCATGAAAATCCTTGTTAGCCATATTAAAGATTTGGATTTTTCTGTAAAATAATTAGAAATGTAATAGTTGTAAGCTTGGGGAGAAATGTGATTAGATTTGTGTGTTAGAATGATTGCTCTGAGTGCCATATAGAGGCAAGATCAAAAACCTATGTTCTGCTTAGAAAGGAAAAGTGTTCTTGGCTGTCTTGGGTTTTGCTTGGCTATTCAAGGAGGGCTGCTTATGCCTCATGGTTTCATATTATAAAAGCAATCCCTTCAGTATTTCTCTATATCCCAAGAGTCCTTGGGAACTGGGAAGTGGGAAAACAAGATTTGAAACTTTTATATCCAAACCTTCTCCTTTTTCTGCAGACACTCAGTGTCTTCCTTCACACAGCCCCACACCTTACAAATTAATGCATGCAAATTACCTTGACTGTGCCTCTCACTAATTTGCCATACATATTTATGTATACTCAGATACTAGATTAAGTGTAAGCTGTGACCCAAAAGAAAGATATATCTTCCTGTGCTCATCTTTATTGACAAAGGTATACTTACAGATACAGGCATATATTGCTTAAAATTTATGATCAAATGCATATCCACATGTTTTCTTTCCTTCAGCTGTTTTGGTCACCTACCTACTTGGTTTGGTGAATAATGGCCACATAAAAAATTTTAAAGATTTTAAAATTTCTTGTATATCCAGAGACAAATGGAAAAAGAACACAATTAGAAATAGACATTTACCTGTTTTATATCCCCTAGAAAGTGATACATAGGAAAAAAGGTGAAGAAAATAAGAGTCACTTTTAAAACTAAATGTCCTCAAAAAGCCAGAATGTATTATATATCAGGATGTAATTTTCTTGAAATATTTTCAATAACTTTCTATTCTTAATGGAACAGAATGTGTAAATAAATGTGTATTGAAAATGGACTTTTGGCTGGGCACAGTGGCTCATGCCTCTAATCCCTTGAGAGGCCGAGGCAGGCAGATCACTTGAGCCCAAGAGTTCAAGACCAGCCTGGGTAACATGACAAAACCTCATCTCTCCAAAAAAATACAAAAAGTAGGTGGGCATGGTGGTGTGCACCAATAGCCTTGGCTATTCAGCCTGAGGTGGGAGGATAACTTGAGCCTGGGAGGCAGACTTTGCAGTGAGTCATGATTGTGCCACCATACTCCAGCCTGGGCAACAGAGCAAGACCCTATCAAAAAAAAAAGAAAAGAAAAAGAAAAGTAGACTTTTGATGTTGAAATCTATTTAATGTATCATAAAAAAATTTACATGTAGCAGAATAGATTAGGAAGTTCTAATTCATGTTGTATATAGTCAGGGTAAGTAGTGTTGTATGAATACAGTTATATATGGAGTCATAATGTAAAATATCATTATTTGTGATTAAAACTCTGAAAAACTGGGCACAGTGGCTCACGCCTGTAATCCCAGCACTTTGGGAGGCTAAGGTGGGCAGCTCACGAGGTCAGGAGTTCAAGACCAGCCTGGCCAGCCTGGTAAAATCCTGTCTCATTTGAAAATCTTGTGAGTTGTAACTGGTTTTATACAAAATATTGAAGAGTGGAAATTGTATAATTACAATCATGTAATTAAAAGTATTAACCACCCCCCCCAAAAAAAAAACCTGTCTCTACTAAAAATACAAAAATTAGCCAGGTGTGATGGTGTGCGCCTATAGTCCTAGCTGCTCGGGAGGCTGAGGCAGGAAAATCGCTTGAATCCAGGAGGTGGAGGTTGTAGTGAGCCGAGATCGTGCCACTGCACTCCGGCCTGGGTGACAGTGAGACTCTGTCTCAAAAAAAAAATCTCTGAAAAACTGAAATGAATTAAGAATATAGAGGCCGAGTGTGGTGGCTCATGTCTGTAACACTCTGGGAAGACGAGGCAGGCGGATCACTTGAGGTCAGGAGTTTGAGACCAGCCTGGCCAACATGGTGAAACTCCATCTCCACCAAAAAATACAAACGTTAGCTAGGCATGGTGGTGCATGCCTGTAGTCCCCAGCTACTTGGGAGGCTGAGGCAGGAGAATCACTTGAAACCAGGAGGCAGAGGTTGCAGTGGGCCGAGATCCTGCCACTGTACTCCAACCTGGGCGACAGAGCGAGACTCCATCTCAAGAATACAGAGCAAAGAACAAATAATGAAATAGAAGTCACCCATGCTCTCGCCACTCTGAAGTAGCCACTCACATTTTGATATTTATTCTTATATTTTCTTATTATTATATACACTAAATAAATATATTTTAAGCAATTTCTGGCTTTAGTGGGATAGATTCTTCCTAGTGCAGTTCTGTTACGTGACTCATGTTCTACATCATTTGCCTTTGACATGGAATTCTTAACATGTTGCCTTCTAAGTTTCACCTAGAGAAGTGTTCACAAATAAGTTTATGTGGCCCAAACATTCTAATCCTCTAAGAAATTGATCATTTGTTAGAAAAAATAGATCTTATTGTCTTTTAGGTGATTTTTCTGTTTCTTATTTTTTTTAGTAAGATTAGGAAGAGCTGTTTCAATTTTCATATGATTACTTACTAGTTTTATAAATAATTGTTTTTACATTTTTATCCAAAGTTAACCATTATGTTTTTGGACCATAGATCAGGGGTTCTGATTCTGTCAGCTATTTTGTTTTTGTTTTTGTTTTAGCTATTATGTAGATTGTATTTATAGTCTCTCTCCCTCCCACCCCCAATTCCACTCTGGAGGAATTCACTGTTAATTTTTAATGGTTTCTGTTTTAAGCTCTTTTGGTGATTATTTTCATCTTACTAAATACAGTTACACATTGCCTGATGACTGGGATATGTTCTGAGAAATGCATCAATGGTGATTTTGTTATGTGCTTACACAAGCCTACATGGTATAGCCTAACTATACAACTAGGCTATATGGTAGAGCCTATTGCTTCTAAGCTAATAACCTGCACGGAATGTTACTGAACTGAATGCTGTAGGTAACCTTAACACAGTGGCAAGTTTGTGTATCTAAACGTAGAAAAGGTACAGTAAAAATACAGTATAAAAGATCAAAAATGGTCTACCTGTGTAGGATACCTAATATGAACAGAGCTTTTAGGACTGGAAATTGCTCTGGTGAGTGAGTGGTGAGTGAATGTGAAGGCGTAGGACATTACTATTTGTTACTGTAGACTTTTATGATAAACATTGTACACTTAGGCTACAGTACAGTTTTAAAATTTTTCTTTTTAAAAAGTTTATAAAGTAAAAAATTTACATTAAACTAAGGTTTAATTTTTTTTAACTTTTTGACTCTTGAAATAACAGTTTCAAAAGTTTAAAAACATTATATAGCTATACAAAAATATTTTATGTGCTTATTCTATAAACTTCTATTTTAAAAATTTTTAATTTTTCTTTTTTACTTTTTAAACTTTTCTGTTAAAAATGAAGACACAAGCTGCACACGGTGGCTCATGTTTGTAATCCCAGCACTTGAGGAGGCCTAGGCAGACGCATCACCTGAGGTCAGGAGTTCAAGACCAGCCTGGTCAACATGGTGAAACCCTTCCTCTAATAAAAAATAGGAAAATTAGCCAGGCCTAGTGGCATGTGCCTGTGGTCCCAGCTGCTCGGGAGGCTGAAGCAGGAGAATCACTTGAACCAGGAGGTGGAGGTTGCAGTGAGCCGAGATCGTGCCACAGCACTCCAGCCTGGGCGACAGAGCCAGACTCTGTCTCAAAAAAAAAAAAAAAAAAAAAAAGACACAAACATACACATTAGCCTAGGTCTACACAAGGTCAGGATCTTCAAGGTATCACTAGGCAATAGGAATTATTCAACTCCTTTATAATCTTATGGGACCACTGTGGTATGAAGTCCATGATTAACTGAAGTGTCATTATGTGACACATGACTGCAATTATCTTTTAGCCACAATTTCTTGCTTTATTAACTTTAGATATCATATACTGATTACTGATTGTATAAGGAATTAGCTCATTTATAGTTCTTCCTCTCCCTCCTCTCCCCCAATATTTTTATTAGTAGTTTTTTGGTTCTTCTATTGGGTGCCTTTGTAACTTTAATATATGCCTTTCTTGTTCCGTCAACACCAGTCGGCATTTCTTAACCTCCCTTCTTTGTATGATAATTAAAGTATAGGCTTCTTCCTTTCACCTCTGTTTCCTCCTCCTTTTCATGTCTACTTTTACTTTTATGTTGTCAAGCTTGAAATCAGTTGCCAGCCTTTTACTCATTTCTCATTTTTTAACTTCTGGGTTTTTAAGTTAGATAGTGGGGTGGGAAATAAATATGTGTAGTCCATCTATTATCTTGAACCCCCGGTTTTCATTTTATAATAGTACTTTAGTATGTGAGTTTCATGATATAAATATATTACAACTTTGTTATTTTAAACAAGAGAGTAGATACGTCAGTTTCTAGAAAGTTTTCTTGTGAGTTTTTGAAATCTCTGTGATTTTTTACTTTGCAGGTACGAAAAACGTTTTTCACCTTAGCATTTTGTGACTTTTGTCGAAAGCTGCTTTTCCAGGGTTTCCGCTGTCAAACATGTGGTTATAAATTTCACCAGCGTTGTAGTACAGAAGTTCCACTGATGTGTGTTAATTATGACCAACTTGAGTAAGTAATCCAAAAATATCTCTTTTCTACCTACCATTTTACACTTAAATTTTCTTAATGTGAAGCTACGATGTCTAAAAGTCTGTGAGGGTTTTTCTTCCATACGATTGTTATAGAGAATTTTTTTTAAGTGTAGTTAGAGAATAATATGTGGAATGGACAGTATTTCTCTCCCAAATTGTAATGCTGGTTCAGCTATACAGTTAATTTATATTTTATATTATCGTTTAATTAATCAAGACCCCTAACCCATAGAAACCATTTTTGGATAGTTTCTAGGAGGAGAGGGAGAGTTGTTTCAATTAAATTAAGCATTATGATTTTGTACCACAGATCAGGTAGTCTGATTCTGTTAGCTATTTTGTAAATTACGTTTATATTCTTCCTCTCTCTCCTTCATCCCCATTCAGCTCCCTTCCCCCAATTTATTTGAGTAAGATGTAAAATTTTTGTATCCAGTATATATCTCTTTCTAAAATTTCTCTTTGCTGTATGCCAGTTTTTCTAATAGATTAGACTGAGTCTATTATCTCTTTTTGTGTCATTGGTGCTGCTGCTGTTAAAGTCTTACTTTTCTTGATCACCTGAGCAAATAAAACTTAACTCTGTACTTTAAGTAAATTATAATGTCACCTAATTTACAGTAGATACTTTTTATTCTCATTCTTTAACCATAAAGCATGATTTTCATCTTGTAGTATGTAGAAATTTGCTGAACTGAATGATTAGTTTTAAGTTATAAGCATGCCTTTGAAAGTGCAATACAATTTTTTTTAAAATAAGCCTTTAGACAAAAATACAACTAATTGAATTTTAACAGTTGTTTCTGAGAATGGAATTTGATCTCAGTTTTTTTGGTTAACTATGTATTTTGGTATATGAAGCTTCTGGGTTTTGCACAAGTTAGGTTTGTTTTGTTTTGCCTCACAGTTTGCTGTTTGTCTCCAAGTTCTTTGAACACCACCCAATACCACAGGAAGAGGCGTCCTTAGCAGAGACTGCCCTAACATCTGGATCATCCCCTTCCGCACCCGCCTCGGACTCTATTGGGTATGGTTTGACTTCTGCTCTTGGGCGACATGCTACTTGAACCGCTTTCTTTTGGATCTCCTGGTTAATTAGAAACCTTTCCAATGTTTAAATTGTTAAATTAAGGACTTTTTCCCCAAATAACTTATCATACCACTCAGATATTTACATGCATTTGATACAAATAAATGGGATTAAAGCTGACATAGACTATTTCAGAATCAGTCCTGAAAAAATCAATATTGGGTATGATTTGACTTCTGCTCTTCAGTGACATGCTTCTTGAACTGCTTTCTTTTGGATCTCCTGGTTAATTAGAAACATTTCCAACATTTAAATGCTTAAATTAAGGATCTTTTCCCCAAATAACTTATTTTATCACACCAGTCAGATATTTACTTGCATTTGGTACAAATAAGTGGGATTAAAGCTGACATAGACTATTTCAGAACCAGTCCTGAAAAAATCATGCAACAGATCATTTTGAGTCTACACCTTGAGTTCATCTTTTATTAGGTATAGAAGTATATGACTTCCACTTATGAAGAAGCATTGATATGTGAGACAATGGCAAACAATGTAAAAATAGTATATAATTATAATCTACAATTTATGATGGAGTATATTGAAGTATGTGATGAGGACATAAATGTATTCATGTTTACAGAAGGAAGAATAGTGAGGAAAAAGAGAGTGCTCAGGAAAACTTAATGAAGAAGGTGGTATTTGAACTAGACTTTAAAGAATTACTACAATCTGAACGGGCCTAGGGAATAGAAGCATGGTGAAAGGGGAATGGAGAAACAACAGATATAAAGGGAATAAACAGATATAAAGGGAATGAAGATGTTAGGTTTAGAAGCTAGTGAAGAAAGGTTTATCTAACTTAAGAACTACCATGTGTAAAACCAGATTATGGAGAGTCTTGGAATTGAGGCCAGAATTTAGACTTAAAGGTCTTTAAGCAGATTACTAACTTGATGAAAATGGCTTTAAAGAAAAAATCAATTAGCAGTGAAATACAGATGGATTGACAGAAAATTTAGGGTGAAGAAGGCCAACCTAGGATGTTGTTGGTAGTGAAAACTGAGAGAGGCAGTGAAGACAAGTTCAAGTGCTAGAAGTATGGAAAAGGGATAGATATTCATAAAGCGTAAAAGAAAAAAATGAACAGTATTATTAATCAGTTGAGGATAAAGCTGAGAAGTGACTTTAAAAATAATGCAAAGGCAGCCGGGTGCGGTGGTTCACGCATGTAATCCCAGCACTTTGGGAGGCTGAGGCGGGCAGATCACGAGGTCAGGAGTTCGAGACCAGCCTGGCCAACATGGTGAAACCCTGTCTCTACTAAAGATACAAAAAAAAAAAAATTAGCTGGGCATGATGGCACACACCTGTAATCCCAGCTACTCAGGAGGCTGAGGCAGGAGAATCACTTGAACCTGGGAGGTGGAGGTTGCAGTGAGCTGAGATCGCACCATTGCACTCCAGCCTGGGTGACAGGTGAGATTCTGTCTCAAAAAAATAAAAATAATGCAAAGGCGTCATTTAAGCTTCATAGTAGGAAATAAAAAGGAAGACACAATAAAGATGAGTTAAGTGGGTATCAGTTTACTTTGGAACATTTCTCGAACTCCTGGCCTCAGGTGATCTTCCTGCCTCAGCCTCCCAAACTGCTAGAATTACAGGCGTGAGACACTGCACCTAATTAGCTTTGGAACATTTCTGACACAGGTCTGTGTACTCTTTCACATTGAATTTGGGGCAGCGTTATTTAGGCTGCGTCTGGAAGCACATGCTTTAAAAAAAAAAAAAAAAAAAAAGGCCGGGCGCGGTGGCTCACTCCTGTAATCCCAGCACTTTGGGAGGCCGAGGCAGGCGGATCACGAGGTCGGGAGATCATGACCATCCTGGCTAACACAGTGAAACCCCGTCTCTACTAAAAATACAAAAACAAAATTAGCCGGGCGTGGTGGCGGGTGCCTGTAGTCCCAGCTACTCAGGAGTCAGGAGGATGGCGTGAACCCAGGAGGTGGAGCTTGTAGCGGGCCGAGATCACGTCACTGCATTCCAGCCTGGGTGACAGAGCAAGACTCCGTCTCAAAAAAAAGAAAAAAAAAGTCCCCATACAGCATTCTGTCCTAGAATATTCCTGAGATGTTAAGATTAGAAATATTTATTGTCAGTTTTAACCCTACTTCCTCCCACTCTTCACAGTGTAATGCCATTTCTTCAGATTTCTACCTAGAGAAATCTTTTCAAAATCAGTTGACATTTTCAGTACAACTTTGTAATTTTTACAAAGCCAACCTTTCTGGTGATCTCATGGGTTAGAAAATTTTGCAAAAGAATTTTGTCTTAAGCAGTGAGTATACTTACCTATTTGGAACACTGGAAAATGCAGCCGTTGTGTTCTCTTGTCAGGTTGTAGCAGTTATCTCTTCTAGTGGAGTCATTTTATTCCCGTTGGCTCTATCACTACTTGTGTGCAGCTGTGTTTTTTTTAGATGGTCAAATCAAAATGTTATTATTTGGTTGGTTTTTAATTAATCTTTTGGTTATAATATTTTCTCCTGACAGATTCTGTAGACCATGATGCCTTTCTAATGGCAGGTCCCAGTTCTGTGAGCAGTTATAAAACACCCTAATGAAATTAGCTTGGCCTCTCTGAAGGTTTATAATGGTAATGATCCAGGACATTTGCCTTCCAGTGAAGGAATGCTATCTTAAAATTAAGAAACCATTTGCCTGTGCCATGAATATTTTATTGGTAACTGAACTGAAATATATTCTGATCTTGAGCAAATGATAAGATGTTCAAACTTGTCTGTAAGTCATTTTCCTGATGTTTTTATGACATAACTCCATATGGTTGTCTCTGTAAAGATAGAAGCCAATCTTGTTCAGTATCAAAACTCTTTTGCAGTTTGTTACTAGTCCTGATAACAATAATAATGGTCATGAAACAAGTGTAATAATGGATGTAATCAAGAAATATTGGAGAAGCAATACATTGCCCAGTTTTGAATACAAAGTGAGAGATACCTCCTTTTCTACTTTTTAAAAATGCTGTAGAATGTATAAATTTGTGAGAGGTCAACATTTAAAATGTACGTATCACCAGACCAAAGTTTTCAAAACTTTTAAATATTCTAGATTAAGAATGAGATCTAAACTAACTGGTAATTTGCTGAAGGGTATTATAATTAAAATTCCTTTTGTCTTTAATTTGGTACTGCTTTAAAGAGGTTTACTGCAAGATAGGTACAGGTATCATTGGGAGAAAGCCAGTTTGCCGACTGCCAAGATACTTCATAGGGTATAAGTTACCTTGGTTAGTGGAAAAATTTCCCAGTATGGTAATGTAATTTTATCGATTCCCAGAAATGATGAGATTGGGAGTTATACTGGTTTGTATTAACTGAAATCAGAAAAAAAATTGAATCAGGATACCAGGTAATATTTTTCAGTGAAAAATATACCTGTTATGTAAATTAGACTTCTTGTGTTGTGTGCGCCACCACTCACTCTTCTTTTGTAAGAGATTTATGGGAAATCAAATTATAATCAGAAGACTGTTTTCGTTAAGCATAGAATTAGGACATGGCTGAGATATTCAATGACATCAGATTATGATCACTTCAAGTGTTCCCTTGTACTTGCCCTGAAAGCTAGAGAAGTTGACTTGGTGGACCAAGACACAACTATTAGATACCAACTACCAAATTGAGTTTCTCTGATTTTGTATAATACGCAGATATCATCATTTTCTAATATATACATTCTTTAGATATGATAGTGAAGTGTCTTAGATTAAATCTGGTTTTTGTTTTTCTTCTGGACCAATGTCTTTTGCATACTTAACTCTGATTTGTTATCTACTACATGTTTCTGTCATATTCCTAACTTGGTGAGTTTCAGAAGTGACTTACTGCCATCTCTGCCTATCCCAGATCAATTATTACAGTAGACTATCTTATGCAATTCTAGTTATTCATACTTTTTCCAATTTTAAGCCTTTTTTTTTTTTTTTTAAGATGGAGTCTCACTTTGTCACCCAGGCGAGTGCAGAGACGTGATCTTGGCTCACTGCAGTCTCTGCCTCCCTGGTTCAAGTGATTCTCCTGCCTCAGCCCCCTGAGTAGCTGGGATTACAGGCCCTTAACACCACACCCAGCTAATTTTTGTATTTTTAGTAGAGACAGGGTTTTACTATGTTGGCCAGGCTGGTCTTGAACTCCTGACCTCAGGTGATCCACCTGCTTTGGCCTCCAAAAGTGCTGGGATTACAGGCATGAGCCACTGCACCTGGCCTGCCTTGAGACTTTAAATCAGCCTGTAAATGGTTGTCAGTCAGTCAGTGCCCTTTCTAAAACTTTATTGACTAATGTCATTTTTGCATTCTTTTTCCTGCTCCTAAAATTTTCTAGCTATAGACATATATTTGGCTACCTAAAGCAAAAATAAAGACAGCTCTGTCAGAAACCAAAAGTTTCTCAATAATCAGAAAAAATAAAAAGGACCTAGATGGAACATGCTAATTTTCCTAAAGGCTTGTTTCTTACCTATAATTCTCATTGAGCCGATACCAATTTTTTTTTAGTACATAATATTTTATTATTTGCATATCAATTCTAAGTGGATTCATTTCATTAATATAAACACATGAAGTCAAAACTTCTTTCCTTATCTTTAATAATATGCTTCAAAGAAGTAAAATTGTGAACTGGTGTGGTTCAGATTCTGACATGTTTTATTCAGAGACTGACTTTCACTGTTAGGCTTCCTTGGCTCTTCAAACCTTTATTCATTCCTTTCCTACTATATTTTTTTCCCATTCCTCACGTCTCACAAAAGTGTCTTTTTATTCCCTCAACATTGTCTTTCTAGCTGTGTCTTAGTAACCACTAATAATTAGTTTGCATAAAATAGGGTGGAATGATAACCAATATGTGAAGAGAGCTTATTGGCACTTAGCCATTCATTGGTCCTGATGGAGTTAAGTGAGACAGCTTACCTCATCTATCAAGTGACACTCATTTCCCCACTCCTAGGATACCCTTTCTGAGGGGCTACATCCTTCCAAGTGTTTACAATCTAGTCTCAAAACTTTAGTGTTCTCTGTGAGTGCCAGGTTCATTTTAGGGTGAGATATCATAGACTATGTTATTTAGCTACCATACCGAAATAGGTATGTAACATATTTTGGTGATTTTCCAAATAGCATACAAATGTAACATTTTGGTGGTTTTCCAAATAGCAGTTTTCAAAAATATTTGCTTTAGTGGTTAATATATGATTCTCTTGTGTCTCTGTTATCAATAATGGGCATGATAAAAAATCCAGAATATGAGAGATATTGGC
The DNA here is from genome assembly GCF_000001405.40 of Homo sapiens. Taxonomy (NCBI): domain Eukaryota; kingdom Metazoa; phylum Chordata; class Mammalia; order Primates; family Hominidae; genus Homo; species Homo sapiens. The sequence goes on along the minus strand of NC_000007.14, from coordinate 140,795,018 downwards.
ACTCTGAGGATCATCTTCTGAATTTGAAAAGGATTTTTCAATATTGTTCTGGATTTTCATTCAACTCCTGTAAAGGAACAAGTACATCATTCAGGTCCTGAAATATGCATTTGTATTCTCAAAATATTTATAATTTCTTAATATGTAAAATTTTCATTTTAGTAAATTCAGATGTCAAGACAATGTTAGAAAAAAATGGCAAATTATATTCAGTCATTCTCAGAGCATTTTTATATAACTTCAAAGGTTGAACTTCTTCAGTTGATGGCCACAGGTAATTTCTAGCCATAAGTAAATTTCCCTAGTGTTTTCCAGGTAAGAATCAGTGGTCTTATCATTGATAGTTCCTGGAGGGCCTACTTGAGCAAAGCAGCTTTGGCAGTATTGGATTTTTAAATTAATACTTTTAAAAGTCATTACTGCTAGGTTTTTAATGCTTTAATGATTTTGAGAATATAAAAACAAGAAAATCCTTTTATCTTCCTTTTTAAATATTATTACCTTTATATCGTTACTCTGAATCTTATCTTCCAATGACTTCATTTTTCCAGGCCCCAAATTCTCACCAGTCCGTCTCCTTCAAAATCCATTCCAATTCCACAGCCCTTCCGACCAGCAGATGAAGATCATCGAAATCAATTTGGGCAACGAGACCGATCCTCATCAGCTCCCAATGTGCATATAAACACAATAGAACCTGTCAATATTGATGTAAGTATCCAGCATTGCTAGAACTAAAAAAAAACCAAGTATGTATCTTTATTTTTCTGCTATAATTATAACTTAGATCAGAAATAAGTGCCATTTTTCATTTATCACAGTTATTTTAAGTGATAAGCTTCTTGTGAATCACAAATCAGAAAAGCTTCTGGTTTCTCTCTGATGACATTAAATATTTCACTGACTCCAGGTTATACAGTCACTCTGATTTTTTTCCCTTATGATACCATCTCTATAAAAGTCATCTTCAAATGAAAATGGTTTAAATATCAAAGGACTGATAGAAGCCCTTGACAGAATTAAGTTCTTTAAAACTTTTATAAAAATGATTATGATTGTGCTATAAGAGGTGGATATGAAATTAAGAATTTCAGGCCAGGCATAGTGGCTCATGCCTGTAATCCCAACACTTTGGGAGGCCAAGATGGGTGGAACGCTTGACCCAGAAGTTAGAGACCAGCCTAGGCAACATAGTGAGACCCCATCTCTACCAAAAGTAAAACAAATTAGCCATGCATGGTGAGGCATGCCTGTAGTCCCAGCTACTCTGGAGGGTGAGGTGGGAGGATTGCTTGAGCCCAGGAGGTCAAGGCTGCAGTGAGCTATGTTTGCACCACTGCACTCCAGCCTGAGCAACAGAGTGAGACCCTGTCTCAAAAGAAAAGAATTTCAATTTGTGCTATCATAAGCTTGGCATTATGACCAACAAAAACTTGATTTTTTCTGTGTTTATTTTAAAATTAGCATATAATTGAAACTATAAATTTTATTAAATATTAATATAAAAGAAAAACTTATAAATTTTAATTTTGTAATTTTAGGTAAATTTGCAAATCAGACTTTCTTCCCACTTTTTACTAAGAAATTTTCTCTATTTTTATTGGGTTCATTTTAAGTGACTTTTTTCTAGTACTAGTTTTCCTTAACTAGCAAGGTTCACCTCTATCTAGCAAGACCTAAAAACAAAGGAAGAAAGGGGAAAAGGAGAATGTGATATAAGAAATCAAACCATATGTCCAGGTTAGGGTTGTTCTCAGTCTGTCCAAAATTGCAACCTTCATCTTTACTTTGAAAACTATCATCCTTTTAGACTATTCCCTTTTTCTCTGATTGTTACCACTGTTCCCTGGTATGTTGGGCTTCATTTAGAGTGTCATCTTTGTATCTTGCCTTTTCATCCTCTCTCGTAACCAGTCACAGGGTATCACCTTTTCATGTGCATCTCAAACTGGTTTTTACTTATTACCGCTGCCATTTGGGCCCATATTTTTTCACTTGAATTATATACTACATTAATCTCCTAAATAGATTTTCTGCCATTGATTTCTCTCTATCTATTTCCATTCCTTCTGCAACTGTCAGAATTTTTTTACACTTCTAGCATCATCTGTTCTCTTGTTCCAAAACTTTTAGTGACTTACTGTTGATTACAAGGTAAAGTGCAAACTCTTTAGCATTTTTATTCATGTTCAAGCACTTATGATTCCATTAAAAAGATTTACTAATAACTGTGGGCTATGCATTGTGTTAGGCAATTGGGAATTATTTATGAATTAGCACATGGCCTTTGCCCTCAAGGAAGTCACAGTCTAATAGGTGAATCAAACATTTAAATAGATAATTACAAAATATATAATGGTAGTTTAGAGAAGGGGGTAATAAACTCCATCTGGTTGGATCTAGGAACATTGAGCAGAGAAGGGACAACCTTTAAGCCAGATTATGGTGAATAAGTAGGAGTACACTACATAAGGGGGTTAGGAAAGTCATTTGTTAAGGAAATGAAAGGCATAGAAGTGCCTTTACATGGAATGTAATTAATAGTTGATATTGAAGTTTAGGGTCCAGGAGAAGGCTTGGGGAATGGTGGAAGGTGAAACTAGGCAGGTAATATCTACAGTGAAAGGCTTTGTGTATTACTCTGAAATCTAAAGCAGTGCTAGGGAATCTGAAGAATTTTGATTGGGAGAGGAAGTCATCAGCTCTATATTTTAGAAAAATCTTTGATGGTAGAGTGGAGGATAGATGAAATGGGAAACACATAGAGGCAGGACTGTCAATAATGTGGTTTTTACAGTATTTCAGACAAGAAATGATATTTAAACTCAAGTAATAGCATTGGTGCTGAGAAAGAGTGTGTTTTGGGGAGGGAGACTATGAATTAGTGAATTAGTGGTAAGAGTCTTAGGAATCATGTTGAAAATGACTACTATTTATGAATACTTATTACATACAGGTACTATGCTAAGTGCTTTACGTAGACTTTCTTATTTCATCCTCATAAAAACTCATAGGTTATGTACTATGATTATCTTTATTTTACTGTTAAGAAAATTAGATTTACAGAGGTTAAGAAACATACCCAGATTACACTGCTGATAAATTACTGAAGTGGGTTCAAACCTGGCCTTTCTCTCTTACACTTAACCACTATACTGTTTTGTAGTAGAGGAGAGGAGTGAAAAATATGAGAAGTAGAGGATAATGCCAGGTTTCTGGCTTATAGATACTTAGCTTATAGACCGAGTTTCTGGTAAATAGCACAGTTTGTTAAATACCAAAGGAAAACAAGGTTTGCAGAAGCAGCAATTTTAGCTTTTTGGGGGCATATATTGACTTTAAGATGCCTGTGGGACTTTCAGGTTTAGAAATCCAGTAGCAGTTGGATATAAGGACCTTGAGTAGAGATACAGATTTAGGAGTAATTAGCATATTTATGTCAGTTAAAGCCATGGATGTAAATTGCTCAAAGAGCATATGTAAATTGAAAAGGGGAGAAAATGTAACCCTGATAAACATTAACATTGGAGGTGCAGGCAGAGACTCTCTGTCTCCTTTATGGGCTGGCTCTTCCTAAGTCTAGCCCCAGATAACTAAGAACAAGTGTTGCAGAAGCCAAAGGAAGAAAAGGGGTTTCAAGAATACCAAAGTAGTTGGTGTCAGTTGCCATTACGATTCAAATGAGATAAAGACTGAAAGGACTATCAATTTTGGCAATTGAAATGTCATCTTTACTTCATTGAGAGCTGTTTTAGAGGGCCAGTAAGAGGAGAAGGCAGCAGGTGAGGAAGTAGGATTAAGTGTTAATTTTGAGAAGCTTGGCTGTGAAGGAATGACAAAAGAGGATAGCTTGATTCAGGGTTGAGGGACAATTTTTTTTGGTTTTTCGGGTTTTGTTTTTGTTTTGTTTTGTTTTTTGAGATGGAGTCTTGCTCTGTCACCCAGGCTGGAGTGCAGTGGTGTGATCGCTGCTCACTGCAGCCTCCACCTCCCGGGTTCAAGCAATTCTCCTGCCTCAGCCTCTCGAGTAGCTGCGATTACAGGCTCCCGCCATCATGCCCAGCTAATTTTTGTATTTTTAGTAGGGTTTTGCCATGTTGGCCAAGCTGGTCCTGAACTCCTGACCTCAAGTGATCCGCCCACCTCCGCCTCCCAGAGTGTTGGGATTACAGGCGTGAGCCACTGCACCCAGCCAAGGGACAATTGTTTTTAATGTAAGAGACATTAGTATATTTGTAACTGGAGAGGAAGAAGGCAGTGAAGAGAAATTGAAGATAACAAGAGAGGAAATGATTGATGTAGTAAAATTCCTTGAGCTTGGAAATTATGTCTCTCAGAGACTGTGAAGAATTAAAGATGGACATAGCCAGCTCTGTAACTCTTTACAGACTGTGTGATGTTGGGCAAATTATTTAATCCTGGGGCTAGTAGTGTTTGCCTTCCATAGTGGTTTGAATTGCTTATTATGCCTGGTACATAATAAGAATTCAGAAATTATAGCTAATATTAATATGCAAATAGTTATAGATATTAGAGCAGAAAAGTTGTTTGATGGCTTTTGTTTTCTCTATTATGATGAAGGGAAGGGATGTAAGTAAGAGAAGGAACTACAAAAGAGTGGGAAAAAAGTTGAAATATCCAGTTTTCAAATGCTAGAAGAACCTTTGTAACCTAGAATGAGTAGAAAAGATTGTCAAGGAGCTTTAAGAACACATTCGGAATTTAAAAATCTAAGTTTATGTTGTTACTAGCAGTAACTTGTAAGAGTGGAGAAAGCAAAATTTGGTTAATCCATAGTTGTGGAGAGTTTCAGAGCTGATGCAACAGAAAAGAAAGGGATATGGCCTTTGTCTTGTAGTTCCTTCCACCTGAAAGACTCTTTGCTTTTCTACATGCCTATCTCTGAAACCCCAACTCAGAGTAATTCCTTGACTGCTTTATCAGTGACCAAGTCCTATAGTTATCATACACAGCACTAAAAATCTTATCGGCTGGGTGCAGTGGCTCACACCTGTAATCCCAGCACTTTGGGAGGCCAAGGCAGGCGGATCGCCTGAGGTCAGGAGTTCAAGACCAGCCTGGCCAACATGATGAAACCCCATCTCTACCAAAAATAAAAAATTAGCCGGGCATGGTGGCAGGCGCCTGTAATCCTAGCTACTCGGGAGGCCGAGGCAGGAGAATCGCTGGAACCCAGGAGGCGAAGGTTGCAGTGAGCTAAGATCGTGCCATTGCACTCCAGCCTGGGTGACAAGAGCAAGACTTCATCTCAAAATCTTATCACCTGTATCACTTAGTTGGCAATCAATTGAGCAGCAAACTTTGGCATCTCTTTTATTATATTCTTATGCAATTATTCTTAAATTATTTGATTTTCACTTACTTCCAATGTGTGCATCTTACTTCCCATGAGATTGTAAGCTCTCAAGAATGGAAAGTTAATGACATCACTAGGATTTTTATATTTGTTAGTAGCCATATAACTCCTGTCACCTTCTTTTCAGGTACGTATTTGATTTTTCTGTAGAAAATGTTGAAGACTTTATATGATACATTAAACATGATAGAAATACATCTTTAAAGAATTTACTTTGTTTTAGCCTGTAAACAAAAAGTTGTCTATTTGCAGAGACTATTCAGAGATATTTGGGGCCATTCAATCCCTCATATTTAAGTTAAACTAAATAAACAGACTAATGCAAGTTCTACCCATCAAGGCCCAAATTGCATTACCAGTAGCGACTGTCCCCACTACCATCGTTGTTATAAAGAGCTAAATATATATATAGTTTTTTTTTTGTTTTTTTTCTGTGATGGAGTCTCACTCTGTCACCCAGGCTGGAGTGCAGTGGTGCAATCTCAGCTCACTGCAACCTCCGCCTCACAGGTTCAAGCAATTCTCCTGCCTCAGCCTCCTGAGTATCTAGGATTACAGTCGCGTGCCACCATGCCTGTCTAATTTTTGTATTTTTAGTAGAGATGGTGTTTCACCATGTTGACCAGGCTGGTCTCAAACTCCTAACCTCGTGATCCACCAGCCTCAGCCTCCCAAAGTGCTGGTATTACAGGCTTGAGCCACCGCACCCGGCGCATAAAGAGCTATATTTTAATAATAAAGACAAATTTTAGTGGCCGGTTGCGGCGGCTTATGCATGTAATCCCAGCACTTTGGGAGGCTGAGGTGGACGGATCACCTGAGGTCAGGAGTTCAAGACCAGCCTGGCCAACATGGTGAAACCCCGTCTCTACTAAAAATACAAAAATTAGCCAGGCATGGTGGTGCGTGCTTGTAGTCCCAGGTATTCAGGAGGCTGAGGCAGGAGGATCACTTGAACCCAAGAGGCAGAGGTTGCAATAAGCCAAGATCACGCCACTGCACTCCAGCCTGGGCGACAGAGCAACTGAGTCTCAAAAAAAAGGACAAATTTTAACAAAACCTTTCTATGAGCCACTTTGTTTCTTTCCTCTTCTAGTGTGCCCTTATCCATCCATATTTTTATGATTGTAACCAGTGTACTTTTAATTTTATATTTTTAAATTATACTATAAACATGTTTCATGATTCAAGCTTCATAATTATTTTGGTAGCTGCATAATACTTCATTAAATTGATACACCATAATTTTCTTAACCAAAATATGTCAAAATGCCTATAATAGAGAAATAATTATTTATAACTTTTTAGTATGATGGATAATGTTGCACTAAACATCTTTGTGCATATCACTTTTTCTTCTGAATTATTTCCTTAAGAAAAGTTCCCAGAAGTAGAATTACAGAATCAAAGGATATGAACATTTTTATCTCTCTTAATGTGCACCAGTATAATTTTTTTTAAGGATTGATGAAGCCATTTTTTAAAAATTTATTTATTTCCAAAGTTCAGGGGTACATGTGCAGGATGTGCAGGGTTGTTACGTAGGTCAACATGTGCCACAGCGGTTTGCCACACAGATTATCCCATTACCTCGGTATGAAGCACAGCATCCATTAGTTATTCTTTCTGTTGCTCTTCCTCCTTTTACCATCCACCCTCCAACAGGCCCCAGTATGTGTTGTTTCCCCCATGTGTCCACTTGTTCTTATCATTCAGCTCCCACTTATAAGTGAGAAAACACAGTATTTGGTTTTCTGCTCCTGCATTAGATTGTTGAGGATAATGGAAGCCATTGGTTTTGAATGGCCTGAAATGGACATCAACATTTGATTAGGACTAATAATTGTTTCATTATAGGTTTACATTGGCAAGTGCTTCAAAATTTAGATTGTATTATGTTCACTAGATAATTCCAAATTGTTTTGTGTAATAGTTATAAGATGTATTGTTTTAATTAATAAAATAATTCTTTTAACGTTAGTGGAAAATTCAGTGTTATCGCTACTCTCTGATTATATGCTTGCTTGGAATAAATATACATTACTATTTATTTGTAGGACTTGATTAGAGACCAAGGATTTCGTGGTGATGGAGGTAAGTAGTGATTTCAGGTTTTTTTAAAAACTCAAGGAAACTGCAATTGCTTTGCTGCTTATTTCCTTTATACTTGCCTCTTTCAAGTAACAGACACAGAGAAAAATGTGTAGAGAAACCCAAAATTTTTTTGTTTTTCTGTAGTGTTTGTCATTTACCTCTAATAAAATGTTAACTAGTTTATAACATGAGTAGAAAAGATGACTGGACATAAAAGGAAGTCTTTTTTTTTTTTTTTTTTTTTTTTGAGACGGAGTCTCGCTCTGTCGCCCAGGTTGGAGTGCAGTGGCGCGATCTCGGCTCACTGCAAGCTCCGCCTCCCGGGTTCACGCCATTCTCCTGCCTCAGCCTCCCGAGTAGCTGGGACTACAGGCGCCTGCTACCACGCCCGGCTAATTTTTTGTATTTTTAGTAGAGACGGGGTTTCACCGTGTTAGCCAGGATGGTCTCGATCTCCTGACCTCGTGATCCGCCCGCCTCGGCCTCCCAAAGTGCTGGGATTACAGGCGTGAGCCACCGCGCCCGGCCAAAAGGAAGTCTTAAAATGTATTATCTACAGTTTTAAAATTTCTTCCAGGATCAGACAAGATCGGACACGTTCAGGATGGTATGGCCGTAGACTACAGTTTTAAAATATCTTACCAAGGAAAGATCCTTAATTTTTATACCCGCTTTATTAATTTCTAACCATCTTGAAAGCTATTGTTGATAAATTTCCTTTGTGGGGCTCCACTGATACTTAAAGATTGACCTTAGAATCAGATAAAACTTAACTTTGCTAAATCATTCTGAAGAGGGGGTTTGTCAGACATTATCAACCACTTCCTTCAACTTTCTGGAAGTGTTTTAAATGTACATTTTATAGAACAGACCCATAATGGCAAAGCCCATTTGTCCTCTTCTTAGGTCAGTAAATACACAAATGAGAAACTGAATTGAGATTTCCAACTGAATTTTCATCTAGTATTCACTCTAGCACATAAGACAACATTGCTTAAGAAAATACTTTTTGTAAGCATTACCCTATATAATGTTTTATAAGAGGTGATATTTGAGACTGTCTTGAAGTGTTCTTCCAGGAGGTCCTTTACACTTACCTTCCCTGTTGTCTTCTGCCTAGTAAGGAAGACCTGTAATAACTGCTTATCATGCTTAGAGTTGACCTCTTCACTGTGACCTTCTTTATCTTCAAAATATCTAAGCCCAGACTCAACAATATTTTACATTGAGTAAACATTGTTATAAACCTTCTTTTGTTATGTTTCTGTATACCCATGAAGCAACCAAAATAATAATAAGCCTGCATTCTATACTCTGGACTTGGTATTGATGTTAGCACATAGTTACACAAGCTTTTTTTTTCCTGTTTGTTATTTCATGAACCTGCCAATTAATGTTGCTGCCAGTTTGACTTTCGTATGTCTTAATAGCTGTGGCTTTTGATAATTTTGCCTAATACATCCAGCATTTAAATGTTGCCATCATGTTAGCATCACAAAATTAACTTAGTCATAAACACAGCCTGCTTAGTACCTAAAAGCAAGTGGCATTTCTTGTCCTTTTCATGAGTCACTTTTTAAAAAATCATTGGGATTTTATGAAAATAAGCAGATTTTTGGTCCAGAATTATTTTATGAAACAGGCTTCAATTCATCTTGTTTATTCCCCATGACTTCTTTCATTTCTTCTGTGTGTCTGTCTTCCTGTGTTTGCCTGCCCCTCTCTTTCTCTTCTAACAGCCCCTTTGAACCAGCTGATGCGCTGTCTTCGGAAATACCAATCCCGGACTCCCAGTCCCCTCCTACATTCTGTCCCCAGTGAAATAGTGTTTGATTTTGAGCCTGGCCCAGTGTTCAGAGGTAGTTGGGCTCTTCTTTCTTGTTTTCACCCAAAGCAAACTAAATATAAAACTACAGATGCTGTTTGTGCCTCACCCTCACAGCGTGTGTTTGTAAGTGTGAAAGTTTTCAGTACTAAATTTCTGTTTGGCCTGGCTGGAATGCTTTGAATGTACGTCTCACACGTACTCACTGCCACAAGCTTTCTGTATGCTGTCTGTCATAAATTTTTAAAAGCAAGAAAATCCTGACCTGAGATTTCCATCTTGTTTTTTCGTTATTTTATTACTTCTTGGTCTTGATAATTTCTTAAACTTAGTGGGTGGGAATAAATAAGGTGGGTGGGGAAGAGCTTACTGGATTCCTTTGATTTTAATGCATTTAAGTGATTATTCTTGATGACTTAATATTTGTTAATTTTGTGGTTTTTAAGAAAATTAAAGTGTCAATGGAAACTTCTATTATGAGATTTTATTAGGCTTTTGGCCTTTTTTCAGATTCTGTAATACTAGCAGTGTTTTTTGGGTTTTTCTTTCCCCCAATATGGGATGTGTATATTTTTGTCAAAGGTAGGGAGCTGTTAAAAAAGACAAAAAAAAGATTTATAACATATTTTAGATATTTCAGTGTACTTCAGAAATTTGAGAATTTATCCTTTTAATTATGTCCTAATAGAAGAAAGTTTACAGTATAATTTCATTCTCCCATTTCATCTTGCCATGTTTTATTTAGTAGTTAAACTGATTTGTAAAAACTTAAGTCGGGCCAGGCGCGGTGGCTCACGCCTGTAATCCCAGCACTTTGGGAGGCCGAGGTGGATGGATCACCTGAGGTCAGGAGTTTGAGACCAGCCTGGTCAATGTGGTGAAACCCCGTCTCTACAAAAATACAAAAAAAATTAGCTAGGCATGATGGCGGATGCCTGTAATCCCAGCTACTTGGGAGGCTGAGGCTGGAGAATCGCTTGAACCCAGGAGGCGGAGGTTGCAGTGAGCCGAGATCACACCATTGTACTCCAGCCTGGGTGACAGAGCAAGACTCCATCTCAAAAAAAAAAAAGTAAAAATTGGGACAGATGTCTTTCTCTAAATATTTTTAAAGATTTATATTTACTGACTCTTGCTAGTTAGTATCTGTTATATATTCTGAATGTAGTAATGGTGCTTTAGATTTTTGCTCTCTCAGCCCTGCTGTTTCTCAGAAAATCCATAGAATGGGATGGAAGTCATACAGTAGTGAGTAATACAACTAAATTAAGTGATACAATAAAACTACTTAGTAGATCATAACCGTGAAGCCTGGTCAAGCAGTCGAGGCTTTATAATGTTGAAAATTATCAATGGAAGGTAGAAAATGGATTGTGCTCTACTTAATAGACATTGTGGATACCATTTTATTTTAGAAAATTGCATATGAGATAATGAAAATTCTACATGGTGATATAATATGATGTAATAATGGTAAACATTTTCTACAGATTAAACATTTAAATGTGGTTATTGGTATCCTTGTTATCTGAAAGATAGTGGCTCTTTTTTTCCTTAAGAGTAGCAGTCATTTTTTAAAAAGAATCTATTTTCTTGAGGTCATTTTGTTGTTCTGTATATAGAACTATTGCCTGGACATCTGAGTTCTACTCAGCTGTATTCAGGCCCCAGTAAGATTCACTGCCCTGAACTCTTCTGAACCAGGTGCTACTGTACCTTAACTCAGGATGTTTGCCATGAGAAAGGTATGCAACCCTGCCAACAGAGATCACTTCCAAAGAGTATACTCCTCAGGCTCACTTGACCTATAGAATATTTGTATTTATAGTAACTTGGCTGAGAGGCCATAGCGCTTACTTAACAAAGCTCTCACTTACAAAGGCAGAGATTTTTCAGAAAGTCTTGAGAAATATGCCCGGCTTTATTTACATTAACTTTGTTTTGTAGGTAACAAATAATCTTTGTTTAATAATGTAAGCCTCCAGGAACCAATGATACTGACCAATATCTCTTAAATAGTAGAGCATGTAGTTTAGGATTATATTTGAGTTTAGTGATTAATATGAATAAGTCAGATATTTTCAACATTATGGCCATTATTAGAAAATGTTTCCATCTGGGGATTTCCTTTTTTTTAATATTGATTGGCTGTTGAGGTAATATTAAATAATTAATTAAAAATGTATTTGTTATATAGGCTTTTACATTTATTTTGCTTTTTGATTTTTTTCATCAAAGAAACAGAAACTTGGGAGTATTTTTAGTATTTCTGTCTTGTTTTAGAGAGATTGTTTTTCTCCTAGATTTTGCACCAGTAAATAAAGTATGTGTCTATGTCTATCATCAGATATCTTAAAGGTCATTAAATTGGCCAGAAAACTAAAAGAAATTATAGTTGTAATCACCAAATGAGGCCCCTTTTTGGCCCATCCTTTCCAAAAGGTCTATATTTAAACATGCACTACATTTTAAAATTAAGTCTAAATATCCCCCAACCTTCTACCCCTGATAAATTAACATACTTGCTCCTCCTTAATGTATACATTTTTCTTTTCACTAATTTAGGATCAACCACAGGTTTGTCTGCTACCCCCCCTGCCTCATTACCTGGCTCACTAACTAACGTGAAAGCCTTACAGAAATCTCCAGGACCTCAGCGAGAAAGGAAGTCATCTTCATCCTCAGAAGACAGGAATCGAATGGTAAGAGTATATGATATCTTTTTTTCTCTGAATTCTTTCTTCTTAGAAGTCACAGCCAAATGTAATATTATCCTTTAGATATATTATGTCCATATGTGACACAGAATTCCCATAATTAAATAAATTTAAGAACTGATAGTTTTTTGCTTAAAGCATATTTCTACGGCACTGCTTTTTGCTGTCATCTATAATATAATTTAGTAAAAGGCAGTTTTGGAAGAGTAACAGTATTCTGTTCTAAAGTAAGGAAAAAGAGAGAAAGCTAATATTAGAAGGCACGAAAAGGCTGGTCCAGAATTCAGATATTTCAGATATCTACTGAAGGACATTCTTCCCTATTTAAAAAATCAACTTTCTTCTGCAAAATGAATCCACCATGGCACATGTATACGTATGTAACAAACCTGCACATTCTGCACATGTATCCCAGAACTTAAAGTAAAATTTAAAAATAAAAAACGAATACTGTTTAGCCGTAGTATTGCTACTAATTGTTGAATAAGAGGATCTTTTACCCTACCAAAGTAATTTTATATGTTGATTTTTTTTTTTTTTTTGGAAAGACCGAATTAGATAAGATACATGAAGAAATTTAGCACTGATTGAAAAAGACTACCTAGATGAATTGTCAGTAGTTACCACAGGTTAACTTAAAATTTTTTGTGATTTAGAGCCAAAACTATTCACAAATATAGCAGCACTTATCTTGCTCCTTAAAGTCTTCCAGATGATAAAAACATTTTACTTATTTCAGTAATATACATTCCTGCTCATACCCCATAAATAATTTATATTTTTTAATAAATTGTTTCCATCCTAACCATCCTTCTGAGCAAAGTATCACAAGGACAGAAAACCAAACACCACATGTTCTCACTCATAGGTGGGAATTGAACAGTGAGAACACTTGGACACAGGGCAGGGAACATCACACACTGGGACCTGTCATGGGGTAGGGGGAGGGGAGAGGGACAGCATTAAGAGAAATACCTAATGTAAATGACAAGTTAATGGGTGCAGCACACCAACATGGCACATGTATACATAAGTAACAAACCTGCAAGTTGTGCACATGTACCCTAGAACTTAAAGTATAATAAAATAAAAAATAAAAATAAATTTTTTCCATCCTAATATTGACTTCAGTCTTAAATTTAAGTTTTGTATTTTAAGAGTCATACTTTTAACTACTATTCTTCCAGAGAATTTTTCTTAAGGGGATCTCTTCCTGTATCCCTCTCAGGCATAAGGTAATGTACTTAGGGTGAAACATAAGGTTTTCTTTTTCTGTTTGGCTTGACTTGACTTTTTTACTGTTTTTATCAAGAAAACACTTGGTAGACGGGACTCGAGTGATGATTGGGAGATTCCTGATGGGCAGATTACAGTGGGACAAAGAATTGGATCTGGATCATTTGGAACAGTCTACAAGGGAAAGTGGCATGGTAAGTATGTAATGTGGTGACATTGTGACAAGTCATAATAGGATATGTTTAACAACTTTTATTTTGTAAAAAATATCATCAAAGGAAATATTCACTGTTCGCATCAATAAACTATTTTGATTAGTTTCAGGACTCCTCCAAAAGTTTCTAACAAAAATTATGGGAAATAAAAACTGTTCACAGCAGTCGGGACTCCTACCATTTTATTACAGTAATAATTTTTAAAGGGGAATTCCTCCAGGTTAACTAGTCCTCAAAAGGATTTTATTTTCTTTTAGAGTCTTTCAGCTGATAATTTTATTTGTATTATAAGTCACAAGTAAACATATTAAAAATGTACTTAATGGCTGGGCGCAGTGGCTTATGCCTGTAATCCCAGCACTTTGGGAAGCTGAGGCTGGCTGATCACGAGGTCAGGAGATCAAGACCATACTGGCCAACATGGTGAAACCCCATCTCTACTAAAAATACAAAAATTAGCTGGGTGTGGAAGCACGTGCCTGTAGTCCCAGCTACTTGGGAGGCTGAGGCAGGAGAATCACTGGAACCCAGGAGGCGGAGGTTGCAGTGAGCTGAGATTACGCCACTGCACTCCACCCTGGTGACAGTGAGACTCCGTCTCAAAAAAAAAAAATTAACAAAGAAATATAAGTGGCCAGTAAACATATACAAAATGTTCAGCCTTACTAGTTATCAAAGAATTGCAAATTCAAAAAATAGACATCATTATTTGCCTCTTAGTTGGACAAAATCTTTTTAAATTGGATTATATTAAGAGTAGTGGATGTATTTTCATCAAAGGTTTAATATCAATGAAAAGTGAAAGTGAACATGTATCCAACTAATAGAGAATTGGATAAATTTATACCATCATATGTGATTATATAGGAGTTAAAATGGCATGGTAGAGGTACATTTATTGATGTAGAAAGGTGTCTTTGGTATATGAAATTTTTCAAAGCAGTATGTGTAAGATACCATATTATGGAGCTCATAGAAATATATAACATAATTTTTTATATGACAGTATTTTAGGCCAGGCACAGTGGCTCACGCCTGTAATCCCAGCACTTTGGGAGGCCGAGGCAGGTGGATCACCCAAGGTCAGGAGTTCGAGACCAGCTTGGCCAACATAGTGAAACCTCATCTCTACTAAAAATACAAAAAATTAGCCAGGCTTGGTGGTGGGCGCCTGTAATCTCAGCTACTCAGGAGGCTGAGGCAGGAGAATTGCTTGAACCTAGGAGGTGGAGGTTGCAGTGAGCCGAGATCCCGCCATTGCACTCCAACCTGGATAACAGCGAGACTGTCTTAAAAAAAAAAAAAAAAAAGACTGTGTTTTAGTTTTTATCTCCTTAATCTATCTTTTCACAGGTGTTCATAAATATTCACACTAAATTCATGTAAAAGCCTAATAACATATAATGTCACTTTTGAGTGACATAATTAAGGGAATTTTTTTATACCTTCAAAATGTCTTTAAACTTTTCTTAAGTGCTGTACAGTATTTTATGATACAAACAGTAGAATAAGCACTGTATTACTTTGATAATTGAGGAAAATCAATGTTGATTTAACTTATTAAAATATACATACAGGTTGAGTATCTTTATTTATTTATTTTTGTTTGTTTTGTTTTGTTTTGAGACAAGGTCTCGCTCTGTCGCCCAGGCTGGAGTGCAGTGGCACAATCTCAACTCACTACAACCTCTGCCTCCCAGATTCAAGCAGTTCTCCTACCTCAGCCTCCTGAGTAGCTAGGATTATAGGCGCGTACCACCACCCCTGGCTAATTTTTGTATTTTGAGTAGAGACGAGTTTTGCCATGTTGGCCAGGCTGTTCTCAAACTCCTGACCTCAGGTGAGCCACCCACCTTGGCCTTCCAAAGTGCTGGGATTACAGGTGTGAGGCAGCACACCTGGCCAGGTTGGGTATCTTTAATCCAAAATCCCAAACCCGAAATGCTCCAAAATCCAAAACTTTCTGAGTGCTGACATGATGCTCAAAGGAAATGCTTATTGGAGGATTTCATATGTTTGGATTAGGGATGTTAAACTGGTAAGTATAATCAAAATATTCCAAAATCAGAAAAAATTTGAAATTTGAGACACTTCTGGTCCCAGGCATTTTGGATAAGGGATACTCAGCCTGTGTATAAAAGTGCACATAAATTAGCCAGGCATGGTGGCATGTGCCTGTACTCCCAGCTATTGAGGAGGCTGAGGTGGGAGAATGGCTTGAGCCCAGGAGTTCAAGGCTGCAGTGAGCCATGATCACACCACTGCACTCCATCCAGCCTAGGTGACAGAGCAAGACTCTGTCTCTAAAAAAATTAAATAAACAGAACATTACTAGCACTCTAGAAACACCCTCCCATGTCCTCTTCTAGCCAATCACCTCTCTCCCAAGGGTAACCACCACTGTGATTACAACAGGAAGTGCATAGTGTGTACTCTTTTGTGTCGGCCCTTTTCACTCAACATTGTTTATAAGATTCATCTATATTGTTGTGTGAAGTTGGAGGTCATTCATTCTCTTTACAGTATTTCATTGTGTGACTATAACATGATTTCTTCTTTCATCTGTTGCAATTGGATCGTTTCCAGTTTGGGGCTTTGATTGATGCTGGTGCTGTAAACATTTTTAGTGTATGTCTTTTGGTGAACATGTAACCATTGATGGGTATATATACCTAGGACAGAATTGTGAGACCACAGGGTATGCATATGTCCAGTTTTAGTAATGCTGCCAACAATGTTACAAAGTAGTTGTACCAATTTAAACACCTACTGGCAGTGTTGACGTTACAGCTGTTTCACATAAAGTTTTTTTTTTTTGATGATTTTAATAAAATATCATTTTCTTTTTTTATTATTATTATACTTTTAAGTTTTAGGGTACATGTGCAAAGTGTGCAGGTTAGTTACATATATATACATGTGCCATGCTGGTGTGCTGCACCCATTAACTCACATGAAGTTTTTTTTAAATTTTAGTGACAGTTTTAGTCATTTTCCTAATTGAAAGTATCATAAGTAATCCATAAATTTGAAAAAAATGTTAACTACTCTGATAAAAAAGTTTTATAGTTTCCTACTTTTAAGCAAAATTCCATAGGGCCTGGTAATTGTAGTTTCAACATTACTTGCAGTTTCAGTTAGTAAATAAATATTAAGCCTAGTAAGTATAATTTAATATTGTCAAATAATTTGGAAAATACCATGGGTACTTAATTGATTTTACCAAATTTCCATGGAACAAACAAGGTTGGCTATTTTTTGGATTGATATTTTGAAATACTAGTACAGGAATATCATTGTTAGTTGAATTTTTAGCCTTAGAAAACAAATGGAGTTTAGATAGCTAAAGTATAATTTATTTGTGATTTAATAATGGTATGGAGTTAGGGCTATGATAATTAGTGAAAACACCCAAGAATGTTTTATACTTTTAAATTTTAAAAATTGAAATGACACTTGGAGTAACAATTGCCTTTTAGGTGATGTGGCAGTGAAAATGTTGAATGTGACAGCACCTACACCTCAGCAGTTACAAGCCTTCAAAAATGAAGTAGGAGTACTCAGGTGAGCTTGTGTGAATTACTCTTTTCCAGAGAAAGAAGTTATTTTTATTAGCTCCTGGTTCCCAGTGGTAGCAACTATTAGCTTTACAGATTTACTCAAAATGAATAAATTTGTAGAAACAGAGTATGTCTGAGTATATTTTTGTCTTTAACCACATTCTTTTAAGTAGTATGCAATGTTATATGGTATGGCTGATAGAATACTTAGTCCTAGACTGAATTAATGGAAGTATAGTATTCTGATAATATAAAGTAATAGTTCTACTTATGAAAAGAATACTCTCCAGTTTTAAGCTTATCAGAATACATTTAGAGGTGGTATTTAGTCCTGGGCTCTGGAATTTTAGAAACATTGACAAACTAGGATATGCCTAGTGAGGACCACCTAAATAGGGAAGATTCTAGAGGTGTAACGGGGGAAAATAATCAACAGAACTGAGGATATTTAGTTCACAGAAGGCTGTTATGTTCAAGAGAGTGCACAGTTATTCCAGAGTGCGGAAAAAAAAGTTATTCCAGAGAGCAGACCAGGGAAGCAAGCCAGAGGTGAAAGTTGTAAGAAAATGATTTTGTCTCAACACTTGGAAACTTTATAATACCAGAACCACTTAAATAAAGATATGAGAGTCAGCTACAACTGAGTGATGAACTTCCCATAGTTGAAGGTATTTAAGCAACCTCTAGTTGCCTGTCAGATATATTTAAAAAGATATCTCTGCATAAAGTAGGAGGTTAGACTTGGCAATTGCCAGTCTCTTCTAAATGTATCCTTTTGTTGCCTTTTTTAAAAAAAAAAAAGCTTTTTCTGACAACATTTTACCGACAGACTACTTTGGTTCTCTTTTGTAAGAATTGCTAAAGTTTGTCGACATTTAATGTTTACTGTCACATTTCTTTGTACAGGAAAACACGACATGTGAATATCCTACTCTTCATGGGCTATTCCACAAAGCCACAACTGGCTATTGTTACCCAGTGGTGTGAGGGCTCCAGCTTGTATCACCATCTCCATATCATTGAGACCAAATTTGAGATGATCAAACTTATAGATATTGCACGACAGACTGCACAGGGCATGGAGTAAGTTCCATTCGTTAAATGTCTTGTAAATTATTTTTGAAGACCATTGAGGATGTTTTAAAGGTTTTGGCTGCTATTCTTTTGGATTGCATTTTAAATTACTGTCCAGGAACATAAGGATGCTAACTAATGGCTGGTAAATAATATGATACTAAAAAATAAATGTCTCTGTCTAGTGCAGCCTTCAGAACATATATCAAGTATTTGATAATAAATACATGACTGCAAACTTAGGCTTAGCACTCAGTGATTGAGCTAAGCAAGAGAGGTTCAGAAGATAGAAACAGCAAAAACCTGCTAAAAAGTTGTTAGCAGTTGTGCAAGTAAACAGAATGGTTGTTAGTTACTTTTTCAAATCAGTTTCTCTGAGTGCCCGTATTTTTGGTTGCAAAATGGTCAGTTAATAAAGTTAAAGTGAAAAATCTGCATTCTGACCCTTTTTGAGGATTTCAGAGTGAGTTCCTATCTGTTGAATTTTGCTATGCAATTTAAGGAGTTATTTTATAAAGTTTACCATAAGCTAATATGGGGAACTGACTTTGAAGGATAAATTTTAAATTTTGCAACTCTTAAGTGCAAATGAATAGGTAAATTAAAAGGTAAAATTAAACAAATTTTGAAAGCACTTAGGTGAAAATTATAAACTCAGTAAAATATGAATTTGAAAGCTCTGTGAGAAGTTTAAAAATAGATATGATCTGAATTTTGTTTTTTACAAATTGCTTTCACTTACATAGATTATTATGTCATTTAATCTTTATAATGTTATGAAGGAGATCTTTTTTCTTTTTACAGATAAGGAAATTGAGGCTTTTAAGTTCCTTGTCTAAGGGCACACATTTAATAAGTGGCACCAAAGGTGTTTAACTCAGGATTTCTGACTCCCAATCCAGTATTCTTTCCCCATAACCACTATGCTACTTTTACATTACAAAATTAGAATAAAAGAGTAAAAGGGTATATATGTACTAACACCTACAACTCTAACTGAGTATTGCTCCTAGCAAGTAAGTATAGAGCCAAGACTCTAAACCAGATCTGGCTCTTAGATCTTCCAACTATACCACCTTCTCTTTCTCAAAACTAGGCAATATATCTATAATTTAGATTGTTTACAAGCCTATATTCGGCCAAAATACTTATTACAGCAAATTATTACCTTATTCAGTAACACCCCCACTTACCCCTAGACTTGAAACAATCTCAACGTTTCAGATAAGTTAGAATCTCTGAATCTGTTCGAATCTAAAGGCTTTTAAAGAATTAAAATCTTGGCCAGGCACAGTGGCTCACACTTGTAATCCCAGAACTATGGGAGGCCGAGGCAGGCGGATCACCTGAGGTCGGGAGTTCAAGACTAGCCTGACCAACATGGAGAAACCCCGTCTCTACTAAAAATACAAAATGAGCCAGGCACAAGCCTGTAATCCCAGCTACTTGGGAGGCTAAGGCAGAAGAATCACTTGAACCCGGGAGGCAGAGGTTGCAGTGGGCCAAGATCACACCATTGCACTCCAGCCTGGGCAACAAGAGCAAAATTCCGTCTCAAAAAAAAAAAAAAAGAATTAAAATCTTGTGAAGAGTAAACCATGGCAAAGATTGTGAACATTCAGTGAGAAACAAAGGCTTATTCTCTTCCCACACCACTGGTCTCTTTGCAATTTCTTCAGCAGGCCAAGCGTGTTCCTTCTTTAGGACCTTTATGTTTGTTATATTCTCTTTAGGATACACATGCCACAAATATCCTTGTGTCTCGGTTCATATGTCCCCTTTTAATAGAAATCCTTGCTCACCTTATATAACTAACATGTCCCCACGTCACTCTGTCACTCTCTATACCCATAGGCTTGATTTTCTTTATAACGCATAGCTCCATCTGACTTGTTTCTTGTCTTTTATCCCCACTAGAATGCAGGCTGTATGAGAGCAGGGGCTTTTTTTCATTATTTTATGCCTAATGCCTAGAATGGGACCTGGCATACTCAGTACATAACTGTTAAATGAAAATGATTACACACAACTGCATATTATTGATAGATTTACCTTTCAGAAGAAAGAGATGCCAAATCCTTCTCACATCACAGCTGAGAAATGTGGCTGGGCATGTTGGCTCACACCTGTAATCCCAGCACTTTGGAAGGCCAAGGTGGGAGGATTGCTTGAGCCTAAGAGTTCAAGACCAGCCAGGAAACATAGGGAGACCCTCGTCTCTGTAAAAAATAAAAAATTTAGCAAGGTGTGGTGGCACTTGCCTGTAGTCCTAGCTACTCACTAGGCTGAGTTGGGAGGATCACTTGAGCCCAGGAGTGTGAGGATGCAAGGAGTCGTGATTGTGCCACTGCATCCAGCCTGGGTAACAGAGCGAGACCCTGTCCCAAAACAAACAGGCTGGGTGTAGTGGCTCATGCCTGTAAACCCAACACTTTAGGAGGCCGAGGTGGGTGGATTAAGACAAGAAGTAACAGTAAAGAAGAACATTATCAAATTGGAATAGTGCTGCAGTCTGAAGAACAGTCAGTGAAGAGGTGATATATTTTCAAAATATCACTTTACAGTTTGGGATTATCAGTGTAAACTTTAGTCATCTACTCTGAAACACTTTGGTTGTGTTTTTAAATAGATCTTACCATTTAACATGATGCAATGAGTGTACGATAGTATGAACATAGATCATTCCATTCAGTTTATCCTAGATTTTAGTAACTGAAAAAGTATTAATTCCAAGTTTTAAGCCCTCCAGCAGAGTATACTTTTTAGTACCAGTTTAAAATTAACCAAGGAGGATATAGTTTCTTTTCTCTTTTTGTTTTGTCTTGTAAGATCATAACATACAACTGGTTAAATGTACCGACACATCTTCAGTTTCTGAAGGATTTGGCAGGTTGAAACTCCTCTTATTAACAGGGCTATGAGTTTCAGATTAAGGTGACAGATTTTTGCTCCTTCCTGGAACTCCACTAAAACTGTAATAAAGGAATTTTTTTTAAAGCATGGACACATAAGGATGGGGATAACAGAGAGGAATGAGACAATATCAGCAACATTTTGAAAGCTGGAGAGCAGGTGGAAAAGTGATCATAGACTTAGACCCCAAAAGGCTAAATGATCAGTCAGCAGTGGGGAAATGAAAGCCAACCTGGTTTATACCGTAGAATCCTCAATTCTCAGGAATTGGCAATATCAGCTATCTCAGGGGATGAAAGGGTTAAAATGAAAGGCCTGTTTGAAAAGCTGTTATTTCTCTAAATCTGTTCTCTTACTCACCAGGTAACTGCTCCATCCCTATCCTAGCAGTAGACTGGAAGTTTCTTCTCTAGAGAGGGGAAAATAAATATCTCTGGACTGGGAGACCCTAATCTATGTCTAGGACATGTATATCTTTCCCAAAACATGGGGATTTGATGACTGTGTGCTTACTAAATGATGAAGGGAGATTTCCCCAGCCCTCTCTTTTTATTTGATTCCTGACATGCTAGCAGCCAAACCCTACTCTTCCGAAATGCAGAAGATTCGAAGAGTCTTGGGTGAATTTTACCAGCTCAAGAGGAAAGACCCAAAGAAAGTGACATCAGGGATTCCACCTAGATTACTGTATAGTTCAAAAATAGCAAGCCCATCTGTATGCTTAAAGCCTCCAGGCAGCTTGTAAGTCCCTCACTTAGTCTAAGTAAGAGTATCGCTGGATAACTAGATATTGGTGGGGAAGTCTTATGCAAATAAGAGAGACTGTAAAACACATAGAGAAAAATAGGCATTGGGAGAAACACATACAATGCAAGATTATCTCTCCCCTGCCTCACCCCACCTCCAAAAAACCTATCAGTTTTCTCAGAGGGAGAAAAGATAACTTTATGTCCACTAAACAGGAACAGAGGTTTTCTAAGGAACATTCATGTAACAGCAGCAACAAAATGCTAAAATGTTGATATTTACAGTACACTGGAAATTATGTCCTTTGCAATTATTTAAATGTAACTTTTAAATGTTAATTTAAAAGGAGTTAACGTAGTTTCTCAGAATTCTTTTAAGGGGTGTTCAGCAAAAAAAGTTTTAAAACTATTATGTTAAACACTATATGGTTTAATATTAAATTCCTATATTATGCAACATAATTCGGAAGGGACACTTAGATAAATTTTTTACAAACCAAGTTACATAAAATATGTATAATTAATTGGAACACATAACCAGATTGCATCAGTGAGTCTTGAAGTGGATATTCCTGTTTTCTTCTCTAGTGTCAATGACTAAAGCACACTATTTTCACTACTTTTTTTAAATTTTGAGACAGAGTCTCACTCCTCTGTCACCCAGGCTGGACAGGCTGGAGCGCAGCGACACTCTCTCAGCTCGCTGCAACCTCTGCCTCAAGTGATCCTCCCACCTCAGTCTCCCTAGTAGCTGGGACTACAAGGGCGCACCATCACACCTGGCTCATGTTTTTGTATTTTTTGTAGAGACAGAGTTTCGCCATGTCACCCAGGCTGGTCTCAAACTCCTGGGCTCAAGCGAGCCACTGCCTCCGCCTCCCACAGTGCTGGGACTACAGATGTAAGCCACCAGGCCCGGCCTATTTTCAGTACATTTGATTGAACTTTGTTGTTGTTGTTGTTGTTGTTGTTGTTGTTGTTGTTGTTGTAGTTAAACAATCTGTTTTAATCAGGCTGACAGATGTTAGAACAAACAGGATGGTCCTAGGGGTCATGAACTGGTTCTTCAAATCCTAACTGTTGCTGCTGATTTTGTAACAGATTTTAACATATCTTTTGACTTCTGGTCACTCATTTCAGCCTCATGTTTGGTTCTCTGTTTTAATTTCCCCCTATCTATTCCCATGGATCAAATGGCACAGATGGAATTCCTTACATACCTAATTTTTCCTCCCTATTTCCAATACTGTTCATCTTGAATGCCAACCATAGTTTCATCTTGAGGGCTTTGTTTTGGAATTATCTCCAGAAGCTATTCCCAGTTAGAAGCCTGCTTGGATAATTAATATTGCTTCTTAGCTCCCTCCAGCTCTCTTTCCTTCTGTCCCCTGGCTCTACCCTGAGCACAAATGATAATTCTCTGTGACCATCACAGCCACCATCTTACTGTGCCTCCTTTCAACTCTTCATGTCTATATCCTCTTCCCTGACCAGCATCATCTCACAAAGGACTGACCAAGCCAGATATAGTCTATAGCTAGACAATAAGGCTATAGGGTATTTAAATAGCCTCTTAATATGTACTTTTGCAAAGCCTTTATTTCAGAATAGCCTGCCCTATGTTGAAAGTGATCTTTTCTGACTGCTCACCAAAATTCATTCTAAAGTCTCTGGATATAAGCAGAATAGG
Source organism: Homo sapiens (assembly GCF_000001405.40). Taxonomy (NCBI): domain Eukaryota; kingdom Metazoa; phylum Chordata; class Mammalia; order Primates; family Hominidae; genus Homo; species Homo sapiens. The sequence goes on along the minus strand of NC_000007.14, from coordinate 140,771,571 downwards.
AACAAACGGATTCATTTTATAAAGTGCTAAGGTTGCAGTTAACTCATAAGATAAAACCTTTAATAATTAGAAAAGTTAGTCTGGACACGGTGGCTCACACCTGTAATCCCAGCACTTTGTGAGGCCAAGGCAGGAGTATTGCCCGAGCCAAGGAGTTCAAGACCAGCCTGGGCAACGGCAAAACCCCGTCTCTACAAAAAATACAAAAATTAGCTGGATGTGATGGTGTGCACCTGTGTTCTCACCTACTTGGGAGGCTGAGGTGGGAGGATCACTTGAGCCCAGGAAGTCGAGGCTGCAGTGAGCCATGATCGTGCCACTACACTCCGCCCTGGATGACAGAGCAAGACCCTGTCTCAAAAATAAATAAGAATAATTAGAAAAGTTGAATCATTAGGACTTTCAAATGTGTCACCTTTATTGGATTACAGAATATAAGCAAAAAATGGATAGGTAACATTTTTCCTGTGTGGTTATATCTTCCATTTGTACCTCAGTGAAAAACTATTTCTGATTCCTAGGTTTACTTGAAAAGGAGCAGAGCTGTTCTAATGGTAGATAATTATAAACTCACTCTGAGGAATCAGGGTTGGTAAAGTATGTTTTATCATCTTCTTTTTTGGTTTTTTTTTTTTTTTTTTGAGATGGAATCTCACTGTCACCCAGGCTGGAGTACAGTGGCACGACCTTGGCTCACTGAAACCTCCGCCTCTCAGGTTCAAGCGATTCTCCTGCCTCAGCCTCCTGAGTAACTGGGATTACAGGCACCCACCACCACACCTGGCTAATTTTGTATTTTTAGTAAACGGGTTTTCACCATGATGGCCAGGCTGGTCTTGAACTCCTGACCTCAAGTGATCTGCCCGCCTCGGCCTCCCAAAGTGCTGGGATTACAGGCGTGAGTCACTGCACCTGGCCTGTTTTATCATCTTTTCACCTGCCAGTCATTGATTCATCCCAAGGACCCAGATATCTTAAGAATACTGTTACTAAAGAAATTCCAGGAATGGTCAGTACATTGTGCCTTTTTTTTTTTTTTTTTTTGGCAGGCCTTATAATTTCAGTATAATATTTATGGTATGATTTTGAATTTAACTTTATCAAAAAATTAAATCACAGAGGCACATAGAAAAAGTTACAGCCTATCGATATATTTACAGAAGCATTATATTCTCAAAATAAGATGATTAAAAATAATTTGGAGATAAATCCTTACAATTTACTTTGTTTTAAACAATGATGAGCATGCCTCTTTTACTCATAAGTGAACCCAGTTGAAGATAGAAGGACTAATTAAAGCTGAAAAAATGGTGAACATGTATTAGTGATTGATAATAATTCTAAGTGGCCGAAGAATATTTAATTATAGTGAACATAATTTTCTGGTCGGTAAAAATAATAATAGGGTGCTGATAATAATAATAATCAGAAAATGCAAGGTAAAACAAAAAGGTACCACTTTCCACCCACTGGAATTGGCAAAATGCCTGAGTTCTGATAAGATCAAATGTTCATAGGATTAGAGGAATTGCTTCCTGGGTCATTTCTGATGCAACCAGCCACCTTAACAGCATTCTGGAAGTAGCTGTTAAAATAGGAAAATGCTTATTCTAACCCCAAGAAACATTAGCTTTTGTTCCAAGTCGTGTATACAGAAAGAGATGTATTATAGGAAACAATATAATAGTGAAAAATTGGTCTGGATGCAGTGGCTCATGCCTCTAATCCCAGCACTTTGGAAGACTAGGGTAATAGGATCACTTGAGGCCGGGAGTTTGAGACCAGCCTGGATGACACTGTGCGACCCTGACTCTATGTAAAACTTAAAACATTAAGGACATTTTTTTAAAAAAAGAAAAACTTATTGAAAAATTGGAAACATGTTCATCAGGAGAAGACTTGATAAATAACATATTGGCACTTACATACAGTAGAATCGTATATAGTAGTTAAAAGTGGATTATATATGTATCAACATAAAGCTTTAAAATATTAATGTTAAGTGAGAAAAGCAAGCTGCAGCATGAGACCACTTAAAAATTTTTAAGCAGAACATTTTTTACATTTGGGCTTTAAAAAGTGGTGTGTATGTATATATGTAAAAGTACTGAAATAAGGATTAGAAAGCAAAGATCAAGTAACATAGTGATTATCTCCAGGAATCAAGTACAAACTTTGAAAAAAGACTGGAGGTGGCCAAGCACGGTGGCTCATGCCTGTAATTCCAGCACCTTGGAAGGCCAAGGCAGGTGGATCACTTGAGGACAGGAGTTCGAGACTAGCCTGGCCAACATGGTGAAACACCATATCTACTAAAAATACAAAAAATCAGCTGGGCATGGTGGCCGGTGCCTGTAATCCCAATTACTTGGGAGGCTGAGGCAACAGAATCGCTTGAACCCAGGAGACGGAGGTTGCAGTGAGCCAAGATGGCACCACTGCACTCCAGCCTAGGTGACAGAGCGAGATTCTGTCTCAAAAAAAAAAAAGACTGGAGGTGTTTTAGTCCATTTTCTTTACTATAACAGAATACCTGAGGCTGGGTAATTTGTTGTTTTCTGCAAAAAGAAACTTATTTCTCATAGTTCTAGAGGCTGGGAAGTCCAAGGGCATTGGTGCTAACATCTGCTGGGCTTCTGGTGAGGGCTTTCCTACTGCATGGTAACATGGTGGAGAAGCAGAAGAGGGAGTGGGCACACACAAAAGGGGCAGAACACAAGGGACAGCCTCACTCTATAGCAACCCCCTTTCACAGTAACTGTAGAAGTCACTCCTGGCCAGGTGTGGTGGCTCATGCCTGTACTACTAGCATATTGGCAGGCTGAGGAGGGAGGATTGCTTGAGCCCAGGAGTTTGAGACCAGCCTGGACAACATAGTAAGACCTCATCTCTACAAAAAAATTTTTTTTAATTAGCCAAGCATGGTAGCACACTCCTGTAGCCCCAGATACTCTGGAGGCTGAGGCAGGAGGATCACTTGAGCCCAGAAGTTTGAGGCTACAGTGAGGCATGATTGAGTCCACTGCACTCCAGCCTGGGTGACAAAGTGAGACCCTGACTCAAAGAAAAAAAGAAGTCAGTGACTCCTGCTTTCATGAGGGCATTCCTCATGACCCAGACCCAAATGCCTCTTAAAGGTCCCACCAACTCTCAACACCATTACACTGGGGCCAAGCCTCCACATGAGTTTTGTGGGGACAAGCCATATTCAAACTGTAGCAGGAGGCAAATGTATAAAAGTTTTAATGGGTCTGATTATGGTAAGAATATGAGTGACATTATCCTTTGCTACTGCAGTTTTTTTAAAATTTCAAAATCATGTTACGAGGAAATATGTAATCATTATAGGAAATTCAGAAAATGTAAACATAAATAAAAAGCACCAGTAATCCACCATCAAGAGATAACTGTCATTAATATTTTGATGTGTATTGTGTATCCTTTCAGAATGATGTGTTTTAATACTATACACAATGGTTTCTTGCTGTTGTTTTAAATCATACTGGGTTTTCCTTTTTACTCTTAAATATCTCTACTGGTCAATAAATATCTGATACCAGCTCTGCTACATACTGTTAACTCACTGTCTCCCCTTTTTCTTTATGCCAACTATGTTCTGTGGGGTTTCTTAAAATATACTGTAATGTATTTAGCAATGATATGCACTTACTATGTGTCAGACATTCTGTGTACTTTATATACATTACCTCATTTACTCCTCAACAACCCTGTGAGGTTGCAGCTTTTATTATATCCTTGTTTTATGGATGAAGAAACCTGGTTATGGAAGGGGCAAGTAACTTGCCCCAGGTACTTCAGCTCCAGGGTGTATTCCTTTAACCATTAAAGCATGTTGCTTCCCCAACTTATTCAGTCCCTTCGAAAACTTCAAGTAGACCCTTAATGTTATAGGGCAGTTACACTTTCAGTTTCCTAGTTCATTCACTGTCCTCTTTTAGACACTGTCATACCGCCTCAAAACCTCATATCCTTAAGCCTCTAAAACCTCTTCTTCAAGAAATCAGCGATGACATTGCTTGCCATCTCTTTAAGACAGTTGGAAGTAACCATTATGACATCTACCCACCTGCCTGCATTCATACCAGGTTCTTCTGCCTTATCACTAGTAAAAGCCAATCCCTCCATTTGTACACTAGATTCCATCCCCTTACCCCTACCCAGAGACATCTTTTGAGTAAATCTCCCATCTTGTTTATCATCAGTTTTTCCTTTCCTACTGAATTTTCTCCTATTTTAAAACATCTTTTGGCTGGGCACGGTGGTTCATGCCTGTAATCCCAACACTTCGGGAAGCTGAGGCGGGTGGATTGCTTGAGCTCAGGAGTTCAAGATCAGACTGAGCAACATAGTGGAACCCATCTCTACCAAAAAATACAAAAATTAGCCAGGCGTGGTGGTCTGTGCCTGTGGTCCCAGCTACTTGGGAAGCTGAGACAAGTGGATCTCTAGAGCCTGGGAAGATGAGGCTGCAGAGAGTCAAGATCGCGCCACTGCATTCCAGCCTGGGTGACAGAGCAAGACTCTGTCTCAAAAATAAGTAAATAAATAAAACATCTTTCACTGAGTGCAGTGGTTCACACCTGTAATCCCAGCCCTTTGGGAAGCTAACGTGGGAAGATCACTTGAGCTCAGGAGTTGGAGACCAGCTTGGGTAACAGAGTGAGTCCTTGTCTCAGAAAACTAAAGTAAAATTTAAAAGTAGGGCAGGTGTGGTGGCTCACACTTGTAATCCAAGCACTTTAGGAGGCTGAGGCTGGTGGATCACTTGAGCCCAGGAGTTTGAGACCACCCTAGGCAACATGGCAAAACCCGTCTCTACAAAAAATACAAAAATTATCCAGATGTGGTGGTGTATGTCTGTGGTCCCAGCTACTCGGGAGGCTGAGGTTGCAGTGAGTGGAGATTGCACCACTGCACTCCAGCCAGGGCGACAGAGTGAAACCCTGTCTCAAAAAAAAAATTAAGAAGTAACAGTAATAATGAAACATCTTTCTTATGCACATTTGGCAGAATGTTGACATTTGTGGAATCTATGTGGAAGGTGTGTGGGTATTCTTTCCATTTTTCTGTATGTTTATTTTCTTTTTTGTTGTTGTTTTGTTTTTTTTATTATTATACTTTCAGTTTTAGGGTACATGTGCACAATGTGCAGGTTAGTAACATATGTATACATGTGCCATGCTTGTGTGCTGCACCCATTAACTCGTCATTTAGCATTAGGTATATCTTCTAATGCTATCCCTCCCCCCTGCCCCACCCCACAATAGTCCCCAGAGTGTGATGTTCCCCTTCCTGTGTCCATGTGTTCTCATTGTTCAATTCCCATCTATGAGTGAGAACATGCGGTGTTTGGTTTTTTGTCCTTGCGATAGTTTACTGAGAATGATGATTTCCAATTTCATCCATGTCCCTACAAAGGACATGAACTCATCATTTTTTATGGCTGCATGGTGTATATGTGCCACATTTTCTTAATCCAGTCTATCATTGTTGGACATTTGGGTTGGTTCCAAGTCTTTGCTATTGTGAATAGTGCCGCAATAAACATACGTGTGCATGTGTCTTTATAGCAGCATGATTTATAATCCTTTGGGTGTATACCCAGTAATGGGATGGCTGGGTCAAATGGTATTTCTAGTTCTAGATCCCTGAGGAATCGCCACACTGACTTCCACAAAGGTTGAACTAGTTTACAGTCCCACCAACAGTGTAAAAGTGTTCCTATTTCTCCATATCCTCTCCAGCACCTGTTGTTTCCTGACTTTTTAATGATTGCCATTCTAATTGGTGTGAGATGGTATCTCATTATGGTTTTGATTTGCATTTCTCTGATGGCCAGTGATGATGAGCATTTTTTCATGTGTCTTTTGGCTGCATAAATGTCTTCTTTTGAGAAGTGTCTGTTCATGTCCTTTGCCCACTTTTTGATAGGGTTGTTTGTTTTTTTCTTGTAAATTTGTTTGAGTTCTTTGTAGATTCTGGATATTAGCCCTTTGTCAGATGAGTAGGTTGCGAAAATTTTCTCCCATTTTGTAGGTTGCCTGTTCACTCTGATGGTAGTTTCTTTTGCTGTGCAGAAGCTCTTTAGTTTAGTTAGATCCCATTTGTCCATTTTGGCTTTTGTTGCCATTGCTTTTGGTGTTTTAGACATGAAGTCCTTGCCCATGCCTATGTCCTGAATGGTAATGCCTAGGTTTTCTTCTAGGGTTTTTATGGTTTTAGGTCTAACGTTTAAGTCTTTAATCCATCTTGAATTAATTTTTGTATAAGGTGTAAGGAAGGGATCCAGTTTCAGCTTTCTACATATGGCTAGCCAGTTTTCCCAGCACCGTTTATTAAGTAGGGAATCCTTTCCCCATTGCTTGTTTTTCTCAGGTTTGTCAAAGATCAGATAGTTGTAGATATGTGGCGTTATTTCTGAGGGCTCTGTTCTGTTCCATTGATCTATATCTCTGTTTTGGTACCAGTACCATGCTGTTTTGGTTACTGTAGCCTTGTAGTATAGTTTGCAGTCAGGTAGTGTGATGCCTCCAGCTTTGTGCTTTTGGCTTAGGATTGCCTTGGTGATGCGGGCTCTTTTTTGGTTCCATATGAACTTTAAAGTAGTTTTTTCCAGTTCTGTGAAGAAAGTCATTGGTAGCTTGATGGGGATGGCATTGAATCTGTAAATTACCTTGGGCAATATGGCCATTTTCATGATAACTGATTCTTCTACCCATGAGCATGGAATGTTCTTCCATTTGTTTGTATCCTCTTTTATTTCATTGAGCAGTGGTTTGTAGTTCTCCTTGAAGAGGTCCTTCACATCCCTTGTAAGTTGGGTTCCTAAGTATTTTATTCTCTTTGAAGCAATTGTGAATGGAAGTTCACTCATGATTTGGCTCTCTGTTTGTCTGTTATTGGTGTATAAGAATGCTTGTGGTTTTTGTACATTGATTTTGTATCCCAAGACTTTGCTGAAGTTGCTTATCAGCTTAAGGAGATTTTGGGCTGAGACAGTGGGGTTTTCTAGATATACAATCATGTCGTCTGCAAACAGGGACAATTTGACTTCCTCTTTTCCTAATTGAATACCCTTTATTTCCTTCTCCTGCCTGATTGCCCTGGCCAGAACTTCCAACACTATGTTGAATAGGAGTGGTGAGAGAGGGCATCCCTGTCTTGTGCCAGTTTTCAAAGGGAATGCTTCCAGTTTTTGCCCATTCAGTATGATATTGGCTGTGGGTTTGTCATAGATAGCTCTTAATATTTTGAGATACGTCCCATCAATACCTAATTTATTGAGAGTTTTTAGCATGAAGGGTTGTTGAATTTTGTCAAAGGCCTTTTCTGCATCTATTGAGATAATCATGTGGTTTTTGTCTTTGGTTCTGTTTATATGCTGGATTACATTTATTGATTTGCGTATGTTGAACCAGCCTTGCATCCCAGGGATGAAGCCCACTTGATCATGGTGAATAAGCTTTTTGATGTGCTGCTGGATTCGGTTTGCCAGTACTTTATTGAGGATTTTTGCATCAATGTTCATCAAGGATATCGGTCTAAAATTCTCTTTTTTGGTTGTGTCTCTGCCTGGCTTTGGTATCAGGATGATTCTGGCCTCATAAAATGAGTTAGGGAGGATTCCCTCTTTTTCTATTGATTGGAATAGTTTCAGAAGGAATGGTACCAGTTCCTCCTTGTATCTCTGGTAGAATTCAGCTTTGAATCCGTCTGGTCCTGGACTCTTTTTGGTTGGTAAGCTATTGATTACTGCCACAATTTGAGATCCTGTTATTGGTCTATTCAGAGATTCAACTTCTTCCTGGTTTAGTCTTGGGAGAGTGTATGTGTCGAGGAATTTATCCATTTCTTCTAGATTTTCTAGTTTATTTGCATAGAGGTGTTTGTAGTATTCTCTGATGGTAGTTTGTATTTCTGTGGGATTGGTGGTGATATCCCCTTTATCATTTTTTTATTGCATCTATTTGATTCTTCTCTCTTTTCTTCTTTATTAGTCTTGCTAGTGGTCTATCAATTTTGTTGATCCTTTCAAAAAACCAGCTCCTGGGCCAGCCGCCCCGTCCGGGAAGGAGGTGGGGGGGTCAGCCCCCCGCCCAGCCAGCTGCCTCGTCCGGGAGGTGAGGGGCGCCTCTGCCCGGCCGCCCCTACTGGGAAGTGAGGAGCCCCTCTGCCCAGCCAGCTGCCCCGTCCGGGAGGGAGGTGGGGGGGTCAGCCCCCTGCCCGGCCAGCCGCCCTGTCCAGGAGGGAGGTGGGGGGGGTCAGCCCCCCGCCCGGCCAGCCACCCCGTCCGGGAGGGAGGTTGGGGGGTCAGCCCCCCGCCCGGCCAGCCGCCTCGTCCGGGAGGTGAGGGGCGCCTCTCCCCGGCCGCCCCTACTGGGAAGTGAGGAGCCCCTCTGCCCGGCCACCACCCCGTCTGGGAGGTGTACCCAACAGCTCATTGAGAACGGGCCATGATGACAATGGCGGTTTTGTGGAATAGAAGGAGGGGAAAAGCGGGGAAAAGATTGAGAAATCGGATGGTTGCCGTGTCTGTGTAGAAAGAGGTAGACATGGGAGACTTTTCATTTTGTTCTGTACTAAGAAAAATTCTTCTGCCTTGTGATCCTGTTGATCTGTGACCTTACCCCCAACCCTGTGCCCTCTGAAACATGTGCTGTGTCCACTCAGGGTTAAATGGATTAAGGGCGGTGCAAGATGTGCTTTGTTAAACAGATGCTTGAAGGCAGCATGCTCCTTAAGAGTCATCACCACTCCCTAATCTCAAGTACCCAGGAACACAAACACTGCGGAAGGCCGCAGGGTCCTCTGCCTAGGAAAACCAGAGACCTTTGTTCACTTGTTTATCTGCTGACCTTCCCTCCACTATTGTCCTATGACCCTGCCAAATACCCCTCTGCGAGAAACACCCAAGAATGATCAATTAAAAAAAAAAAAAAAAAAAAAACAGCTCCTGGATTCATTAATTTTTTGAAGGGTTTTTTTGTCTCTATTTCCTTCAGTTCTGCTCTGATTTCAGTTAATTCTTGCCTTCTGCTAGCTTTTGAATGTGTTTGCTCTTGCTTTTCTAGTTCTTTTAATTGTGATGTTAGGGTGGCAATTTTGGATCTTTCCTGCTTTCTCTTGTGGGCATTTAGTGCTATAAGTGTCCCTCTACACACTGCTTTGAATGTGTCCCAGAGATTCTGGTATGTTGTGTCTTTGTTCTCATTGGTTTCAAAGAACATCTTTATTTCTGCCTTCATTTCGTTATGTACCCAGTAGTCATTCAGGAGCAGCTTGTTCAGTTTCCATGTAGTTGAGTGGTTTTGAGTGAGTTTCTTAATCCTGAGTTCTAGTTAGATTGCACTGTGGTCTGAGACACAGTTTGTTATAATTTCTGTTCTTTTACATTTGCTGAGGAGAGCTTTACTTCCAAGTATGTGGTCAGTTTTGGAATAGGTGTGGTGTGGTGCTGAAAAAAATGTATATTCTGTTGATTTGGGGTGGAGAGTTCTGTAGATGTCTATTAGGTCCCCTTGGTGCAGAGCTGAGTTCAATTCCTGGGTGTCCTTATTAACTTTCTGTCGCGTTGATCTGTCTAATGTTGACAGTGGGATGTTAAAGTCTCCCATTATTATTGTGTGGGAGTCTAAGTCTCTTTGTAGGTCACTAAGGACTTGCTTTATGAATCTGGGTGCTCCTGTATTGGGTGCATATATATTTAGGATAGTTAGCTCTTCTTGTTGAATTGGTCCCTTTACCATTATGTAATGGCCTTCTTGGTCTCTTTTGATCTTTGTTGGTTTAAAGTCTGTTTTATCAGAGACTAGGATTGCAACCCCTGCCTTTTTTTGTTTTCCACTTGCTTGGTAGATCTTCCTCCATCCTTTTATTTTGAGCCTATGTGTGTCTCTGCATGTGAGATGGGTTTCCTGTATGCAGCACACTGATGGGTCTTGACTCTTTATCCAGTTTGCCAGTCTGTGTCTTTTAATTGGAGCATTCAGTCCATTTACGTTTAAAGTTAATATTGTTATGTGTGAATTTGATCCTGTCATTATGATATTAGCTGGTTATTTTGCTCGTTAGTTGATGCAGTTTCTTCCTAGTCTCGATGGTCTTTACATTTTGGCATGATTTTGCAGTGGCTGGTACCACTTGTTCCTTTCCATGTTTAGTGCTTCCTTCAGGAGTTCTTTTAGGGCAGGCCTGGGGGTGGCAAAATCTCTCAGCATTTGCTTGTCTGTAAAGTATTTTATTTCTCCTTCACTTATGAAGCTTAGTTTGGCTGGATATGAAATTCTGGGTTGAAAATTGTTTTCTTTAAGAATGTTGAATATTGGCCCCCACTCTCTTCTGGCTTGTAGAGTTTCTGCTGAGAGATCCGCTGTTAGTCTGATGGGCTTCCCTTTGTGGGTAACCCGACCTTTCTGTCTGGCTGCCCTTAACATTTTTTCCTTCTTTCAACTTTGGTGAATCTGACAGTTATGTGTCTTGGAGTTGCTCTTCTCAAGGAGTATCTTTGTGGCGTTCTCTGTATTTCGTGAATCTGAACATTGGCCTGCCTTGCTAGATTGGGGAAGTTCTCCTGGATAATATCCTGCAGAGTGTTTTCCAACTTGGTTCCATTCTCCCCGTCACTTTCAGGTACACTAATCAGACGTAGATTTGGTCTTTTCACATAGTCCCATATTTCTTGGAGGCTTTGTTCGTTTCTTTTTATTCTTTTTTCTCTAAACTTCCCTTCTCGCTTCATTTCATTCATTTCATCTTCCATCACTGATACCCTTTCTTCCAGTTGATCGCATCGGCTCCTGAGGCTTCTGCATTCTTCACATAGTTCTCGAGCCTTGGCTTTCAGCCCCATCAGCTCCTTTAAGCACTTCTCTACACTGGTTATTCTAGTTATACATTCGTCTAAATTTTTTATTATTTTCATTAAAAAAAACTTTTGGGGTCCCTCCCTTAATCCTGCTTCTCTCTTCAGTTATTACCTCATTCCTCTTCTTCCTTCGACAGTAAAACTTCTCAAAAGACTTGTTGGTATTCACTGTCCAGTTGCTCTCCTTCCTTTTTATCTTGGACCCCACTCAAACCAGGCTTTTGCCCCTGCTGCTCCAGAAAACATCTTTTTTTTTTTTTTTTTTCTCTCTCTCAAGGAAGAGTCTCACTCTGTCCCTCAGGCTGGAGTACAATGGCATGATCTCAGCTCACTACAACCTCTGTCTCCAGGGTTCAAGTGATTCTCCTGCCTTAGTCTCCCAAGTAGCTGGGATTACAGGTGCACACCACCACACCCAGCTAATTTTTGTATGTTTAGTAGAGACAGGGTTTCACTATGTTGGCCAGGCTGGTCTGGAACTCCTGACCTCAAGTGGTCTGCCCATCTCGGCATCCCAAAGTGCTGGAATTACAGGCATGATCCACTGTGCCTAGCCAGGAAACAGCGTCTTAATATGATAGTTACTGGTGGCCTCCATGTTGCTAGATCCAGCAGTAAAATTCTCAGTCCACAGTTTATTTGACCTGTCAGAAACATCTGATACAGTTGATCACACACTTCTTCATGAAACAGGTTCTTAATCCCTTGTTTAATTGTGTTCTTAGTTTCTTGCTGCTCAGAATGTGGTCTGAGTAGCATCTGTACCACCTGGGAGCCTTTTAGAAATGCTAAGTTTTAGATACCACCCCAGACCTGAATCAAAGACTGCATTTTAACAAGATCCCCAAATGATTCGTGTCCATATTAAAGTGTGAGAAACACTGCTTTCAGGCATATTCTCCTGATTACCCTTCTACTCACTGTCTACTCCTCAGCTGGTTCCTCCTCTCCTTCTTTGGTGTTTCGTGGTTGGACAAGTCATTTAAAATACCTGTAATCAGGGCCGGGTGTGGTGGCTCACGCCTCTAATCCCAGCAGTTTGGGAGGCCAAGGCAGATGGATCACTTGAGGTCGGGAGTTCAAGACCAGCTTGACCAAAATGGTGAAACCCCATCTCTACTAAAAATACAAAATTAGCTGGACGTGGTGGTACTTGCCTGTAATCCCAGCTACTTGGGAGGCTGAGGCGGGAGAATCACTTGAACCCGGGAGGCAGAGGTTGCAGTGAGCCAAAATCGTGCCATTGCACTCCAGCCTGGGTGACAAGGGCAAAACTCCATCTTAAATAAATAAATAACCTATAATCAGAACCAGCAATACAAAGTATTATCAAGGATAAAGAACAACTGGAACTCTCATACATTGCTGGTAAAGATTTTAAATGATACAGCCATTTTAGGGATCAGGTTGGCAGTTTCTTTTAAAGTTAAATTTACCATTTGTGCAATTCTAATCCTACCTAATTACCCAAAATAAATGAAACCATCAGTCAACAACAAAGACTTGTATATGAATACAGCATCTTCTTCATATTTGCCACAAACTAGGAACAACACAGTGTCCAATAAGTAAATAGATAAGTTGTGATATACCCATACCCCGTAACACTGCATGCAGCCAGTGCGTGAATCTCACAATTGTTTTGCTGCGCAAAAGAAGCCAGGTGATTCTGTTTATATGAAATTTGAGAAAAGGCAAAATTAATCTGTAGTGACAGAAGTCATTATCAATGGTTTCCCAAGCCTAAAGGGGGTGTTACTAATCGCAAAAATGTATGAAGAAACTTTCTGGGGTGACGGATATTCTTTATATTGATTGTGACTGGTCATTACACAAGTGTATGTGTGTGTTGAAACTTTTAAAACTGTCCATGTAAAATGGGTGCATCTTGTGTGTAAACTGTACCTCAGTAAATTTCAGTTTTTAAAAGTGAAAAATACCTGATGGCTTACACCTATAATTCTAGCACTTCGGGAGGCCGAGGTGGGAGGATGGCTTGAGCCCAGGAGTTCAAGACCAGCCTGGGCAACATAGTGAGACCCATCTATACAAAGCAGTTTTTTAATTATCCAGGCATGGTGGCGCCCACCTGTAGTCCCAGCTACACAAGATGCTGAGTTGGGTGGATCTCTTGAGCCCAGGAGGTTGAGGCTGCAGTGAGCTGTGATCATGCCACTGTACTCCAGCCTGGGCAAGAGAGCAACACCCTGTCTCCAAAAAAAAAAGTGAAGGAAACTAAAAAATCAAGGCAAAAATAGAATTTAGGCCACTATGGAGCATAACTTTAAAATATGTGAACTTTACCTATTCGATATTTTAATTATTTTTAAAGTGATAAATGATTACTGACTACAGAGAAGTAACAGAATGCCATTCTCGTTAATCTTACTTTCCAGGGTTGTAATAAGGGAGCAGAGGGCATCAAAGTATAAGGAAGGCTGTAATTTGGCACTGTCACCACTATCATACCTACCAGTCCAGGTGGTCACCCAAGGAGAGACTCATCTTGCTGCCTAAAGTCTGATGAACCTTTGTAAAATTGTGCAGTATTAGGTGAAAGAGGGCTGACATGCAAATGTCTAAGTAGGTCAGTTCTGTGTTTTACCAAGAGTTTAAAATACTTGAAAATGGCAGCAGACTTAAGTGAGAGATGCTAGTGGCTTTTACAAATAAGCTAAGTTGATAAATTAGCCAAATGGCATAGCAATATTATCAATAGGCATTTTAATGATAATCTCTCATTGTTTTCTTAAGGATAAGATCAAGTGATGTAACATGAATGACAGGATTTAACTGGGTTCATACTGGATGAATGATCATACCTGAAGACAGCAAACTATAATGAGATTCCTATCCTCAGTCCTCTCTTGAATATAATTACGTATTTAGAAGTAACTTATGTGAGGAATTATTAGCATGCCGATCTTTAAAAATCTCCTTTTTTCAGCTCTCACGTAAGACTCTTGAAACAAGAAAATAAAAATAACCTATGTTTTATTAAAGAAAAATGAAGCAGGCAAGAAAAAACCGACTTTTTTAGTGAAAGCTAAAGTTTTAATCTGAAATTATAGACCATGTCTACAAAATTTAAAATCCTAAGGCTGGGCGTGGTGGCTCACGCCTGTAATCCCAGCACTTTGGAAGGCTGAGGCAGGCAGATCACGAGGTCAAGAGACTGAGCCCATCCTAGCCAACATGGTGAAACCCCATCTCTACTAAAAACACAAAAATTAGCTGGGCATGGTGGCGCGCGCCTGTAGTCCCAGCTACTCAGGAGGCTGAGGCAGGAGAATCACTTGAACCTAGGAGGTGGAGGTTGCAGTGAGCCGATATCGCACCACCGCACTCCAGGCTGGTGACAGAGTGAGACTCTGTCTCAAAAAAAAAATCCTAGTCAAGTCCAAAAAAAGAGAAATATACAAGTATAAGATGGGGAAAATGTTTTATAGGAGCAATTCAAGAATAATTATTCTAGGATTGTAATTGAATATAATCCTTTTTGTGCCCTTTTTTAAAAATTCTATTTATTGTCATAAATTTTGACCCAGCAGCAGGAAGCATGTAATTAAATATAATTTTAATTGGACTCAGTAGCATGACTTTGGCTGCCATAACAATCACAATAATGTCTGATTTAATGTTGTATGCCCACCATGTGGGAGATGAAGATGAGGATCTCACCATAGTTTGTGTTGGTTAGATCCGATCTGAAGTATTGCTTTTAATTTGGGGCACCACATTATGCTCTGTAAGAATGTGGAAAAGCTGAATCTTGGATAAGAGCTTGAAGTAGTGTGAGAAGAAATTTTACCAGATGATTTTGTAGCTCTAAGATTAAATGGTTCTATAGGTGGACACTTTTTCTTCAAGGAATGAGACTGTTAAGAGAAACCTATCAAGAGAATGTGTTGTTCCTTTGGTTGATAGCATATTTGTTCTTTCCTAGTACTTCTGTAAAACTGTAATGCTCTCCTTAACATCTTACCAAGGAAAGAGGGAGGTCCAATCTAATTATCCTAATTAATGGATTGACTTCTGTGTCATATATGGCAAAGTAAAGTTGATATATTCTTGTTCCCTTCCCTACTCCCAAACAGTTATGTGAGTTATTTGTTTTCTGTTATTTTTGTTTGGGTTTTTTTTTTGGCATTTTCCATTGTAACTGGGTGGTGCTTAGGAAATTACGTTTTAGTGTCCCCCTATATAGAATTATTTAGGGTAGTGATTACTGTGAAACATTATCTTATGTAGGGATTCGGTTGTGTCTCATCCCATTTCTCTAGCTGGGGGATTAGACCCCCTTTTCCTTCCAGCCTTTCATTCTACAGACCTGGACTTCTACTCTTTGCTGCTTTTGTTACAGAAGGATTACAGAAAGAGAATTATTCAATGAGATAAAAATTAACAAAGCAGTTTGTAAGTAATAAAGGATTACACAGGTATAAAGTGTTGTTTCAGGTTGTATTTTTATGCAACTCGGCCTATAACAAATTTATGCTATATAACTTCTATGCTGGGTATATCACTGGTTCCCCAATTACATTTATATCTTGTTAATTATCTAGTGCTTTCCTGGTCAGAAAATTTCTCTCCCCACTCTCCCCAGTTACATTTCTGTCTACTCTATTCTTGCTATATTCCTCTGCATCAAATTTGTTGAAAGGATTAACACCATCCCATGGAGAACACCTTTATCTTCCCCTCTTTTATCTTCAGCATGCCTCTGTATTTTGATATGGTTGAAGCCCATTTGTTTTTGTTTTTAAGTCTTGCAGGAAAAAGAACCTCCTTTCAAAGACCAACACCTTGGCTGTATACTAGATCCCAGGTCTCTCTGAGTGCAGGACCTAGCTCCACCAACCAACACCATCATCATTTATCCCCCTTTCTTTCTAATGGAGACAAGATCTCACCATCTTAAAGCTTTGATTGGGGCCCATTTATTTCCACCAGTTTTTAACTTTGTATGTCACTGCAGAACTTTGTAAGCAGTGAGACCTATAACCGAAATAACATTTTCTTTCAGTGAAAGAGTGACAATATGATGTAGAACACTGAGCCTAAAGTCATGACAAGATAATTTTCAATTGTAGTAAATGCTATGAAGAACATAAACTGTGATATGAATAGTAATTGGAGAAGGGATTACTTTAGATAAATAGTAATTTGAAATGAAAATTTTATCTAGAAAATACTTTAAAATTTTTGATATTGGGAAGAATGAGGACGTTTAAATGAAGATGAGACAGCATGAATAATCTTGGTTATTTGCAAATCTTCCACTTTTAACAGTGTTTATTGCATGATTTTGATTATACCATTTGGATTTTAAATTCTCATTTTAAGGTAAAACTGTCTAATGATCATTGTCAGATTTCAGAAGTGTCATATAGCTATTCTCTCCGGTATTCAATTAAGAAAAATAACCTTGACTAGCACATTATATGCATCTTATTGTAGTTGATTCAGTAGACATGTATTGAATACTTACCACACATACCAAGCACTGTTCTCGGCACTGGGTATACAAAGAAATAAACAAGACACAGCCCTTTTGAGACAGGAGGATCTCTTGAGCCCAGGAGGTGGAGGTTGCAGTGAGCCAAGGTCGTGCCACTACACTCCAGCCTGGGTGATAGAGTAAGACTTTGTCTCCCCAAAAACAACAACAACAATGCTGCCTTTTACTTCAATGAATGTAGCTAAAGCAGTTTTTAGGGGTAACATAGATGATTTTAAAGTTATCGTTGACTTTAAAATAGACCTACTATGGCCATTTTAGAGAAAGTTTTCTCCTCACTAGTTTTAAGAAAATATTTTAAGAATATATGACAACTACCTTTAAAAATAGTTTTAATTACCAAACTGCATGTTCTAGTAGTTTACATTCCAAATAGAAGTGAACATAGGCACGTTGAAAAAACACATGAATCAAGCCATTATTATGATAATTACTACATAAGTTGAGCAGTGAAAGAGCACTTTCAGTTCGGTTAGTCATGGGAAAGCTTCACTCAGGAGTTAGAATTTGTATTCAGTTTTAAAGGATGGATATGAATAGGTGGAAAATAGAACGAAAGCTAACTTGGAGGGTTGGGTGTAGGAGGGGAGCATTGAACACAGTGGTGGGATTAAATATCAAGGTATATTTAAGGGACATGGATAAATAGGCTTGACTGGAGTGAAAGGTTTGTATTGGTAACTAGTAAAAGATAAAGCAAAGTCTTTTAATAGAAAACAAGATTTTGACTGTACCATTATAGTGATATGTTCCTATAATCTTAAATTCATTTACAGTCTATTTTAATATTCTGTGAAGGGTTTATTACAATGTACTATTTTCAGTTGTATCATGATTCTAAATAAGTCTTTACACCCCCAAGTATGTTCTGTAGATTTCGAGGCCAGAGTCCTTTAGCCCTACTCAGGTTAAAATGATGTTTTGTTTTTCAGTTACTTACACGCCAAGTCAATCATCCACAGAGACCTCAAGAGTAATAGTATCCTTCCTGAAATTTGTCTGCGAAGTTTGAAAACATCCTGACTTTTTCTTCTGCATTTTGTCTTCACATTATGTAAAAACAGTTTTCATGCTAAGTTCGATATACTGTAAAGAGAATTAATAAAGGATTGTGCATGCATGTATAGGAGAGCAGGATACCACAGCCTGCTTTTGGTTTCTCGACAACTGAACATTACAAGAAAATCTATCAGAAGTCTTTACAATAGTAGGAGTTTTTGATTGCTTGCTTACATTTTATCAGCACTATAAAACTGATAGTTTTGTAGCTATCTATTAGTCCCTTTCAGACCTCTGACCTTGCTCAGTGGTAGTTGAGATATAACTGAAGACTCTAAATTATATAACAATGAGGTGAGAAAAACATAATATTTCTCTTCCCTAAGTGCAGACTAAGATACTATCTGCAGCATCTTCATTCCAATGAAGAGCCTTTACTGCTCGCCCAGGAGTGCCAAGAGAATATCTGGGCCTACATTGCTAAAATCTAATGGGAAAGTTTTAGGTTCTCCTATAAACTTAGGAAAGCATCTCACCTCATCCTAACACATTTCAAGCCCCAAAAATCTTAAAAGCAGGTTATATAGGCTAAATAGAACTAATCATTGTTTTAGACATACTTATTGACTCTAAGAGGAAAGATGAAGTACTATGTTTTAAAGAATATTATATTACAGAATTATAGAAATTAGATCTCTTACCTAAACTCTTCATAATGCTTGCTCTGATAGGAAAATGAGATCTACTGTTTTCCTTTACTTACTACACCTCAGATATATTTCTTCATGAAGACCTCACAGTAAAAATAGGTGATTTTGGTCTAGCTACAGTGAAATCTCGATGGAGTGGGTCCCATCAGTTTGAACAGTTGTCTGGATCCATTTTGTGGATGGTAAGAATTGAGGCTATTTTTCCACTGATTAAATTTTTGGCCCTGAGATGCTGCTGAGTTACTAGAAAGTCATTGAAGGTCTCAACTATAGTATTTTCATAGTTCCCAGTATTCACAAAAATCAGTGTTCTTATTTTTTATGTAAATAGATTTTTTAACTTTTTTCTTTACCCTTAAAACGAATATTTTGAAACCAGTTTCAGTGTATTTCAAACAAAAATATATGTCTTATAAACAGTGTTTCATATTTTATTCTTAAATAAATATGAACCCTTAAAACGAATATTTTGAAACCAGTTTCAGTGTATTTCAAACAAAAATATATGTCTTATAAACAGTGTTTCATATTTTATTCTAAATTGTTTAAAGTATTTTGTGTTCAAAATGTTCTGTGTACCCTGTTGAAAAAAAAAACAGGTATGCAATTTAAGGCAGGTGTGATCCACAGCCATTATTATGGTTTTGCTAAGAGAACTACTCCTTTTAACAGAGAAGCTGTTTCGCAATCTTATTTAAGCCTAAATTGGAAAGTTACTTCCTTTAGACTAGAAAGTATCTCATAATTATGGGGCAGCTGGAAGAGGAAAGACAAAAAAAAATGAGAGGTAGATTAACAGCCTTGTGCTGTCTTGCATAGCTCTTTCTTTCTTCTTGTTTTTTGCTTTGTGGAAAAGAAGAAAGAGAAGTTCTAAAAGAAGGGAACAAAAACTTGTGTGCATTGCAGCAAGCTGTGGAAAGCTCAGTCATATGAATCATTCCCTAAAACAGCATTCTTAAAAGGGTCCCTCACACCGTTTTAGAGGGTCCACAAGATCTTCCCTTTGTGAGACAAGATTTTCTTTATATCCTTCAACCAAAACAACACATTGCAACAGACTGAGTGCAAAAGCAAATATGAGAATCCAGCTGGCTGCTGTTAAGCCAGACATTGAGGAGAATCACAGGCCACTCATGGTGGCTGGAGTCCATAGTTCCAGCTACCTGGGAGGCTAGGGCAGGAGGATCACTTGATCCCAGGAGTTGACTGGCCTGCTCAACATAGTGAGACCCCATCTCTAAACCATAAAAGGAGGATAATTGTAGTACTATTCTTCTTACTAAACTTTTTTTTGATAATAGTTATTTTTCATTAAAAATGAATGATCTGTGTTAACATCTACTTGTTATTATTTTAGTAGTTAAATGAATTACTAGTTTAATTTCTCCATTAAATTTTAATGGTAAACATCCACAGATATAATCTACCTAAACAAAAGTTCTTTATCATCCTCAATAATTTTTAAGAGTGAAAAAGAGTCCTGAGACCAAAAAGTTTGAAAAACACAGCTCTAAGCTGAATACAGCCTTTCCAAAAGTCTTAGTGCAATTCTAAGCTTTAAATAACTTAATCTGCACTAAGACTTTCGGGCACCCTGCTGGAAACAGAAAAGTTGTAAGGGCTTTCAAAGCCACAAACTTTATGTAGCAGTCTCCAGAAAGGGAAGTCCAAGATAGGACTCCCAAGTTTGTCAAAATAAACCTAGAGTTAAATTGAGCTGTGATTTCTTATGACAGTAAGTGGAATTAGGGCAGGTGGCAAGGTGGAAGAGGGGACATTGGACTTAGAAGATCTGTATTCTGGTACCCTATTTGGCCATTAACCTGCAAGTTTCTTAACCTCCTCTAAGTCTACATCTGAAATGTTGAGTTGGACTAGTAGATTTCCAATGCCCCTTTTTTCTAAGATTCGGTGACTGGAGTTAGCTAGATTTTTTCCATTATTTAACATATGTTTAACTTTTAATTAATAATTATAAGTGATAGAAAAATTAATAACTATAATCTGATGTCAGGCACCTTTATTAAGGCATACACACCTTGTGAAAAAGATGGCAGTGTATCCTAAAAAGATGAGGGAAAACAGATTTTAAGTGCTGAAATTGCAAAACCTAAAATTATAAACAATTGTCACGTGCTTTTAAAGTATGTTAATTTTTGACTATGTGGGAGAGTTAGGCTCAATCAAGTCTCCAGTTTTGTCCTTACTTTTTCAAAAACCTTAGTTTATACAGTTTGTAGATTATTATACATAAAGTTTTATATTTTCTTACAATTAATTTTTTGTTGATACCTGTGTAAATGGGTTTCTCCTTTATTCTTTCATGCTGAGTTTTAAGACGAGAGAATAATAGCCAACAGTACCCTTTATTGTTAAACCAATCCTGGGTTGATACTGCCCTCAGAAACAAATATGGAACATCCGTATCATAGGAGAGAAGAGTTTGGTCATAACTAAGGCTGTGTGGTCCTTTGAATTATATACAATGTTCTTCTCAACTTTGTTTTATTTGTATCTTAGGAGAGAAAGAAACCTTTGTGAGAGTTTTTACAAATTAAATCACTAAATTGAAGATTCGTCATGCATTTCTTAAAATAGGTGACATGCAACTTTTCATCAAACTGTCTACCAACAACAGTGTGAGATAAAACTAAATTAAAAAAAAAAAGTTCATCTGATTTCTACTCCATCTCTCACAAAAATTGGTCAGGCTTTGAACATTATACCTTTGCCATACCAGCCTCTCAGTATTCTGGCTTGCTTATTACATCACAGTTATATGTGGTTTATTTTGTACTGTATTACTAAAAGCAACTATGAACAAAATGTATGACAAAGCGAAGTAGATACAACCTTCTCCTTCACTTCCATCCTCTCACGCTCTTCAGGACATCCCACAGATCTTCCATCAGTGGTTCTCAACTTTGGTTGGACACTAGAATCATCTGTGGAGCTTTAAAGACTAATTAATGTTTGGGTCCCACCCCCAGACTCTGTTACGTTGTGTGATTGGACTGGAGTGTAGTCTGGACGTTGAGGGGTTTAAGGCTCCGCGGGTCATTCTCATTTACAGCTGTTGCTCAGTGCCATTATTGCCTCTCCTTGTGAGATGCCTGCCTTACCCAGAGCAATAACCAGGAATCTTGTCCCAGGTCTTTCAGTCATTTTTGCAGAGTTAGTACCACTTTTGCTGTCAAATTGACATTGTCACAAACTTTTCATTAATATACTGCCATTTCGATTCCTTCCAAATGAAACAATACAGAAGACGCAAGGTGAAAGAATAACTCTTTTAAGCTAATAATTAACCAACTGTTTATTGTATTTCATGTAAATAAGAAACCTAATTGTGCAATACAATGACTGAAATGTGTAAAAATGTAGCAAATATGATTGTTTCATTGCCCAAGAAGCAGCAGCCAGAAGATTCTTTATACCATCTTTTACTAAATCTACCTGCTGTCTTGCTTTTGTTAATAAAGCATCCATGGCATGTTTATACCATATGCTTATTCCATAGTTTGAAAGGGGATTTGAGTTTATCAGTCCTGAAATTCTACCATTATTTTCTAAGGTGTCCTCAGATGAGAAAAGTTGTTTGTACCAATGGGAAAACTTAAATTGTAAGACAGTTACTACAGTAGTTGTGCTGCTCCTAAGCATCTTATAACCACAAGTCTAGTATTTCTTTGCTGAATCAGGAATGGGAAGTGGGAACTGATTCTAATAGGGTAAGTCATGGGAAGAATTCATCTGGCAATGATGGTATTTTCTGCAGAAAGATTGCCTAAATAATTACTAAATTATAAAATCTTAGTAATACAATACAAAATCTCTGCTAATACTGTCTCTTTCTGAGTATGTAGAGGTTTTTTTCTTCAGCTTAATCAGTTTTATTTCTTTGACTATTAAGAGAATTGATTACATATTAGACAGGTGTTTTAATGGTAAAAGCATTGCTCTAGGAATTATAGTAGGTTGTTTTTCAGTCTTTATTCAATTGAAGTGAAGAATATTTTTCTTTGTATGTTCTAACAGGCACCAGAAGTCATCAGAATGCAAGATAAAAATCCATACAGCTTTCAGTCAGATGTATATGCATTTGGAATTGTTCTGTATGAATTGATGACTGGACAGTTACCTTATTCAAACATCAACAACAGGGACCAGGTAAATATTTACCACGTCTTGGTGTTTATTTTACCGTCTATATACAAGGCTCCAGTTGTAGAAAATAAGTGTTAACTCCTGGGTAAGCGTGAAGGATAGATTTCTTGATTTTTTGTTACCAGTTTTAGAAATCGTTTGTATACTTTTGGCAGTAATAGCAACACGTTAAGTCCTTTCCTCAGAATATCAGTCATGAATGTTACAATGGAATAAAATTCCTGATTTTCTGACTAGAAACTACAGTTACAAGAATGGATATTTCTTGACCATCGCACAATTAGAAGAATGAGCTCTGCTACTATAGCATCTGGGCATTATACTTTTCACTGTATCACAGATTGTGCTGTCAGAACAGGTACTCAGCTATGAGATCTTTATATTAAATTCTTTTAAAATTACTAAGGTTTCTTGAAATCTTTAATTTTTAAAACTAGGTAAATGGAAGAAATCATGCTTTGATTTTTCTATAATGAGAATGCTAGTAGGAGGGTAATTTTTTACTTCTTTTCCTTCCTAAGCAACTATTCCCTGTCCCTTACCTTCCAAAAGGTACTAACATAGCCTCATGGAGCTCTTAGCCTTTTCTATCTCTGCCTCAGTAGGCTCGCTTAGACTTTTAAAATTGGCCAAGAAAAGTGAATTATCTTTACTAAAATTACCTTGGATAACTACATTTTAAAAGATTTGTGATTGTGTGTGTAGAGAGATTACAACAGTTACACTGTTAATATATTAGAAAACACTAGTTGACCACATAAACTCTGATTAAAGAATATTTCGACTTTATGCTGTGATTTGCCTCAGAATCACCTGGAAATTTTGCTTAAAAATGGAGAAACTGGAGCAGATTGTAATTAAATGGGGAGGGTCCAATCACCTGCATTTTTTTCTGTTTCCCAGGTGATTCTAATACAGACCAAAGTTGAGAATCACCAATCTAAAGATTTTTTTTAAAAACAGTGCAGGCTTTTTAGGTATTTCATAACTTCCCAACCTAATGAAATGGTAGTTTTTGTATATAAATGTTACTGCTTCATTTAAGTGATTTGTCTGTTTTGTCAAGAGCTCAGCTCTATCTTTTTGGTGCTAGCTCTGAGTAGCTTTCTCACTTCACCTATTGTGATATCGGAGAAATAATCTCTTAAGTTACCATGTACTTTGTGTGTGTACTTACTGAATCACCATATGCCCCTTACACAACAGTGGTCTTGACTGTGTTTGATGGTTTTTAAAAATGGCTACATTTCTACCCAGTTCATTATAAAACTAAATTTTAGTTGGTGTTGGCCTTTCTAACTACTTCATAGCTTTAGAATGTTGAGTCTTAGCTTTGAGTGTGTAACAACATGACTTTGGATCTGATGTTTTAAGCCTGCAGGAAACTTAGATTCAGGATGGACTGAAATTTCAGCTAAAGAACATAATTGAAACATTGTACTTACTGTACTTGTGATAGATCTAGATCACTGAAATGATTGATTTGACAATGGCAGTTGGGGTAGCAAAATGGTCTCTAATTTACAAGCTTCATGTCCTCTGTCTTTTACAGTCTTATTTATTCAATCATACAGCATAACAGCCTGTACCATGTTCACTTTTCCTGTATATAATATTTTTCTGGAGGAATTATGGATTTTTAGTTTAGTTTCAGTTGATTTATCATATAGACTACAAATTAATAAAAATTTATGAACCTAAGATCTGGATGAAATTCATTTGTCAGTGAATACGTTTATCTTAGTACAATAATAAAATTATAATATAGAAACAAGTATTATCTCCAAAATACAGATAAAAGCATCCCAGAGTTCTTCTCTCATCCACTTCTTGGCATTTTAGGTGCTTTGTCCTCCATGGGAGTATAATAAATGATGTGGCAAGGGCTTACTCTCCATGAGAGGAATGTGTGACCAACAGAAGGGTAAGGCCTTTACTAGTTAATTCTTTCTAATAGTATAGTTAGAACCTTCTGGAATTTGCTAGTCTGAAACCAAGTTAAGTATTTAATGGAGAAGAAGGAGGTAAAAGAATGATGTCCTCTTACAACTACCCCCATTCTGCTTCATTACCCCCTAGTCTACTTACGTCAAATAGTACTTTCTATGAAACTCCACATTTTGAAGGGTTAACTCTGGCCATCCTCAGTGAAGCTGCCCCAGGTATTGCTCCATTCATCCTTTGATTTTTCTTTTGCTATCTATAATACTTGGATCTCCATAGCTCTCAGATTAGACTTCTGTTTAAGAATCCAGGAATATTCTTTACTATGCAATGTGAATACCATTCCCCTAGACTCTCATACCCATAGTCTGAGGTGGCAGATTTTGCCTGTAAATTCAGAGCACAGCTGGTAAAGCAGTGTGATGTAATGGCAGGCCTTGGACTCAGGTAGGTAGACTAGGTCTACCTACCTCTCTGGGTATCTTTTTTTTTTCTTTTTTCTTTTTTTTTTTTTCCAAGACGGAGTCTTGCTGTGTCGCCCAGGCTGGAATGCAGTGGCCTGATCTCAGCTCACTGCAACCTCTGCCTCCCATGTTAGCGATTCTTCTGCCTCAGCCTCCCGAGTAGCTGGGATTACAGGCACGCAGCACTACACCCAGCTAATTTTTTTGTATTTTTGGTAGAGACAGGGGTTTCACCATGTTGGTCAGGCTGGGCTCAAACTCCTAACCTGATGATCTGCCCGCCTCAGCCTGCCAAAGTGCTGGGATTACAGGCGTGAACCACTGCACCTGGCCTTTTTTCTTTTTTCAATTACCTGCAAAATAAGGGAATTCGGCTAAGAATTTCTTCCAGCTTCAAAAATCAGATTCTTTTCTAAAATAGTTCTCTTAGCTCTTTGCAAAGTAGTGTGCCTTTTTACCTTTATTCACCCTAGCACTAAAGTCTGGGAAATCACTTTGTCATCCCCCCACTCTCTTTATCATTCTAACATTTTTCTCTCTAATCACCCTGTTCTTCCCTCCTTCAGTGCATTTTCTCTTGTAAATTGGGATTAATAATGTGCTCACTTAAGTATATTGACTATACCTTTATGGCTTTCGTTCCTTGGAGTAGAAGTGCCGTGTCTTCTTTGAAGAATAGATAGCATATATCTGTTATTTCAAGTGTATTATTCCAGTTATAATTGCTGCATAACAAACCACCCAGAATGTAGTAGCTTAAAATATGAATCTGTAGGTTGGGCTTTTCTCTGTGAGGAAGATTCTTACCTGTTTCACACCGTATTGACTAGAGTAGATTTACGGGGTGTTAAAAGGATCTACTCAGAAGTGGCTCATTCATGTACCTGGCAAGTTGGTGCTAGCTAGAAGCTAGAAGCTCAGTTATTCTCCACATGAGCTTTTCCTTGTGGACCTCTTCGCAGGTCTTCAAGGACCTCTTCATTGGTCTTTCTCACAGCGTGGTTGCTAGGTTCTAAGCACAAGATCTGAAGAAACAGGAAGTAAGTACTAGTCTCTTATCAGTAGGCAAATTATTTTAATAGAAAATGTTTTCAATACCAACTATATGCAAAGCACTATGGAATATAGAAGGATTCAAAATGAATAAAACAAAACCCAGGCTCTGCTCTCAATGGCATGTGCAGTTCTGTTGAGGCCGTGCTGGGGGTGATACTGAAAATGAGCAGACATGAGCTCCAGTAATACCATGGAGTGAATTGACAGGGTCGAGACACCAGGAGTACTGAGTGTGTATTGAAAGTATGAAAAATCAGTCCCAGAATTTGAAGCTGGGGTATTGGTTTCGTTGTGTATGTGCCACATGAATCTTCTGTCCATGAATAACATCCAGGAAAAACTTCCCTTTTTTCTTCTTTCTGTTTCTTCATCAGTCAGCCTCTGCACCCCACCCCAGCAGATACTGAAAGTTTCCTGCTTTCTGCTCTGCACTAACTAAATTCTGTGGGATGTATAAAAACATGAGAGTTGTCTTTGATTTTTTTTCTCACATTCCTCCTGAAAGACTCTTGAAAAACTATGTATCTCCTTGTATATTTTTTAAGTTGGCATCTAAAAGTTTTTATCTTAAGTTTAAATAATTGCAAAGAATGTAATTTCCAGTATATTCTATTAACATTTTAAAATAAGACTACTATATTAGATACATATATATCCCTCTTTTTGAAATATATACATCAAAATCTAAAAACCATACCGATTTTATGCCTATTAAAAAATACTGAAGCTCTTCATTAATTTCTGGAAGTTTTACATGGTTCCTTTTTTCTCTTCAAACTATTTGTATTGTTTCTGTCACAGAACTTCATCCTAATGTAACATATTTGTATGTTTTAAAGCCTTTTATTGATTACCTAAGTTACATCTCTGCAATAAAAGTATGTATATAAATTTAAATTTAGAATTTTACAAAATTGTGACTTCAAGCTCTGATTATTAATTTTTTAATTCTGAATTATGTTTTTGTTGCAAGTAATATATAACTGATGAAAGTAGCATATAAGTTTTGATATATGGAAACATAGAATGTAAAATTATATTGGAAATATGTATCTTAATGAATGACATGGGGCTTTTCTTTTCCCTTCAATTAATGTATGTATCTGTGGATAAATACAACTTTTTTGTTAGGACACTAGATACTAAGACTTAGTATTGATTCTTTCCATATTTCATTTTTAAAGAGGTAAATACTGAGAAATTTTATCTAAATTATAAGAAGATGACAAAGGCAGGAGTTTTGTTATAATCACATGCAGAGTTTAGTAGTCCCCAAGACCAGCTTCAGGTTTGTTAAAAGGACTTGCTGAAAACTCACTGAAAGCTGCTCAAGACTCACTGACAACTGTTACATTCACAGTTACAGTTTATTACAATGAAAGAATACAGATCAAAATTAACAAGGGAAGAGACTCATAGGACAGAATTCAGAAGCGTTCTTGTTGGAGCTTCCTGTCACCCTCTCCCAATGGAGTTGTGGACAGAGCTTCCAGTAGCAATGTGTGACAACACACATGGATTATTGCCAACCAGGGAAGCTCACCTGAGCCTTGGAGTCTAGAGTTTTTATTGGGGTTCAGTCATATGATTAACCACCTGCGGGGCTGACCTTAGTTTCCAGCTCCTGCAGAGGTCAAGCTGATGCCACATGACCCAGAGCCCTCTATAAATCACATTGTTAGCACAGTCTGTCTGGCATGGCCCATGGCCCCCAGATAAACAGACACTCTGATCAGGCAGGACATTTCAAGGACTTAGTGATTACCTCCCAGGAGCCAAGAGCAAAGGCTAGCTCTCTCTTTGGGCAAGGTTAATTCTTTACCACATACTATATATCACTCAATCATCTGAGCTCATTCCTATAATGTACCAAAATTTACATAGTAACTTGTCATTAAAAATGTTTTAAAAGCTCAGCTGACATTTCAATTAATATTTTTGAAAGTAAAGAATTGGAAACCAACAGACTCGTTACCCATTCGTTGGAGCCCAGTTTGACACCAGTATTTAGAAATGTCTCTTTGTTGCCCCAGAGGTTTTTACACCCTGGGACAATGTATACTATAGTTAGGTTACATATGGGTAAAAGGTGTGCCTTTTTTTTTTTAATTAAAGTTTTAGGGTACATGTACACAATGTGCAGGTTAGTTACATATGTATACATGTGCCATGCTGGTGTGCTGCACCCATTAACTCATCATTTAGCATTAGGTATATCTCCTAATGCTATCCCTCCCCACTCCACCCACCCCACAACAGTCCCCAGAGTGTGATGTTCCCCTTCCTGTGTCCACGTGTTCTCATTGTTCAATTCCCACCTATGAGTGAGAATATGCGGTGTTTGGTTTTTTGTTCTTGAGATAGTTTACCAAGAATGATGATTTCCAGTTTCATCCATGTCCCTACAAAGGACATGAACTCATCATTTTTTATGGCTGCATAGTATTCCATGGTGTATATGTGCCACATTTTCTTAATCCAGTCTATCATTGATGGACATTTGGGTTGGTTCCAAGTCTTTGCTATTGTGAATAGTGCCGCTATAAACATACGTGTGCATGTGTCTTTATAGCAGCATGATTTATAGTCCTTTGGGTATATACCCAGTAATGGGATGGCTGGGTCAAATGGTATTTCTAGTTCTAGATCCCTGAGGAATCGCCACACTGACTTCCACAAAGGTTGAACTAGTTTACAGTCCCACCAACAGTGTAAAAGTGTTCCTATTTCTCCACATCCTCTCCAGCACCTGTTGTTTCCTGACTTTTTAATGATTGTGATTCTAACTGGTGTGAGATGATATGTCGTTATGGTTTTGATTTGCATTTCTCTGATGGCCAGTGATGGTGAGCATTTTTTCATGTGTTTTTTGGCTGCATAAATGTCTTCTTTTGAGAAGTGTCTGTTCATGTCCTTTGCCCACTTTTTGATGGGGTTGTTTGTTTTTTTCTTGTAAATTTGTTTGAGTTCATTGTAGATTCTGGATATTAGCCCTTTGTCAGATGAGTAGGTTGCAAAAATTTTCTCCCATTTTGTAGGTTGCCTGTTCACTCTGATGGTAGTTTCTTTTGCTATGCAGAAGCTCTTTAGTTTAGTTAGATCCCATTTGTCAATTTTGGCTTTTGTTGCCATTGCTTTTGGTGTTTTAGACATGAAGTCCTAAAGGTGTGCCTTTTGTAAAGTGGTAGAAGGGCAGTTATAACAGGGAAAATGGGAAAGCAAGATAAGTGTTACACTTCCACTTGAGTGGTTCTCTGGCAAATCAGTTTTTTCAAAGGGGATACCAGTAAGTTGATAGTTGTAGAAATTAATTCCCTTAAAACCACCATGTTGGCTGGGCGTGGTGGTTCACACCTGTAACCCCAGCACTTTGGGAGGCTGAGGCGGGTGGATCACTTGAGGTCTGGAGTTCGAGACCAGCCTGGCCAACATGGTGAAACCCCATCTCTACTAAAAAAATGGAAACATTAGCCAGGCATGGTGGTGTGCACCTGTAATCCCAGCTACTTGGGAGGCTGAGGCAGTAGAATCTCTTGAACCCAGGAAGGGGAGGTTGCAGTGAGCCGAGATCACACCACTACACTCTAGCCTGGGCAACAGAGCAAGACTGTCTCAAATTAAAAAACAAAAACAAAAAAAACCCCACCATGTCTATACACCTCTGGCAAAGTCTTCCTGTAACCCCAGGGATACTTGACTCTAATTTAAAGACTATAGACCTATGACATGGCTGATCAACTAGCAAAAAGTTATCACTCACCTTAATGAACAGTTAACTTAAACATTGAAAACCTCTTGTGTCCACAAGGTTATGTTAAATACTGGAGGTAGTGGTGTTATAGATATTTTTTAAGAATTTTTTTTTTTTTGAGACAGTCTCGCTCTGTTGGCCAGTCTGGAGTATAGTGTGGCATGATCTTGGCTCACTGCAACCTCTGCCTCCTGGGTTCAATCAATTCCTTGCCTCAGCCTCCCACGTAGCTGGGACTACAGGCACATACCGCCACACCCAGCTAATTTTTATATTTTTAGTAGAGACGGGGTTTCATCATCTTGGCCAGGCTGGTCTTGAACTCCTAGACCTCATGATCCACCCTCCTCAGCCTCCCAAAGTGCTGGGATTACAGGCGTGAGTCACCACGCCTGGCTTCTTTAAGAATTTTTTTAAAATATGTATGTATGAGTCACAATCTCTCTGCCTGAGCACCCATAGTCTCATTGGAGAACTTAGATAAGATACATATCACAAAAAGATTAATAACCATACAAGGCAGTAAATGATCATCACAGCTAGTGGTGGGAAGAAGGACCATTATTACTTCTAGGTGTGTAAAGAAAGGTATGATAAGCATGGTTACCTTTCAGTTAGGCCTGATCATCTGGGTTTCAGGTAGCTAGAGAAGGGTGAGGGAGGGCATTATAAGCAGAGTAGGAGCAGCGGCAATAAAAAAGTTAAAAGTAGCTTTGTATTGGGATAGTCTTCTCTACAAATCCTGTTACTTACTTAACTGTATTATCTCGGGCAAGTTACTTAATTTATTTGAGCATTGGATTCCTTATCTGTAAAACAGAGTCAACACCAACCTTGTAGAATTCTTTTTTGAGTATTAGATGATATCTAGAATCCAAGTGTCCCAACGTTTTTTGGCCTTTCAGGGCCACCTTTTCCACTGATAGCCAAGTAAGAATACCTGAATTGCTGTCCATAATATATGACTATAGGAACTCCAGATCCTTTCTCTCAACTTTGAAGACCCCTGTTTGAAGTGCTTTACATTCTCCTGGCTGTTGCTTGTCACTTGTTGCTCCAACATATTATTCCAGGTTGCTCCCAAAATTCTAAGACTGCTGTCTTCCATTAAAATGATGATGTTATGATGGTGTAGCTTCAGTAGGGGGCATTGTGAAAGAAAACTGTAATCCCCTCAATTCAGTAACTCTTTCCAAGGTTCATCCTTTAACCTCTACTACATAGAGGCCACATTGCAATCAAAGCTTTACTAATGCCTGGCAGTTAAACAAGGGTCATTACAGCACCAAACAGGAAATAACACAATGTATCAAGCTTGGCGGTTTCTAAAATTCATCAGCTCTGCCCTGTAGCAGGGATCTTTTATGGGCTTTCTCCACTTTAGCCTCTACTCTCCCCCTGTTGCACCTATTCCCTCTAAGACCAAAAGCCCTTCTCTCAGGCTGTCCTCCCTGAGTCCCAAGACTCCTAACATCTATCCCTGCCTGCCCTCAAAAGAGGCAAAATATTAGGAAATTAAGAAATTAGAAAAAATTATAAATCTCTGAATCCAGGGAAGACAAGCCTTTTTATTTCGTTAAACAGATTTTAGCTCCTAATGGCTTCCCCTTCTCTCCTCTGGCGGAGGCTCTGGTTTGTATAACCAAGTGGCCCATTAGCGTTTCCACAATAAAAGGGCTTAAGATGCAGATGCCAAAACGACTGCTAAAATGTTAACCTTTTTGGTTTTCCCTACACATATATAGAGGACTTAACACAACGTCCAACAACAAGAAGTGCTGAATAAATTTTTTTTTTTTTTAAAGTAAAGAAGAGGCACTGTCAGATCTGTTTTAGATGGTTACCCTGTGAGTGGGAAAATGGACTGGATAAAGAGAGACCAAAAGCAGGGGAGCAATTAGAGAACCTTTGCCACAGTCCAAGGATCATGAAGATTTGAGCTTGCACTCCTTTTGTGGGTTTCCCACCATCTATGATGTGGCATTGGTTTTTTAAAACTTTTTATTGAGGTGTAATACATACATCGTAAGCTGTAAATGTACAGCTTATTGTGTTTTCAATGAGTGTGAAGTATATTTTTCAACTTATCTACAAGGTTGAATTATTTCCCTTTTTTTTCTCTCTCCAGATAATTTTTATGGTGGGACGAGGATACCTGTCTCCAGATCTCAGTAAGGTACGGAGTAACTGTCCAAAAGCCATGAAGAGATTAATGGCAGAGTGCCTCAAAAAGAAAAGAGATGAGAGACCACTCTTTCCCCAAGTAAGTAAAAGCTTCATGCTATCCAAAAGAACAGACTAACATTCATAGACAGATTTCTGAGCACTTTTTTGGGCACACAGTGTGTATTTCATGAGTTTGGATTCTATGTGCAGACTCCAGACAAGAAAACACATTAAGATGGCTTCATGAGGGTTGAGCAGTGGCACACCTAGAAATTTTGGGTCCTAATACAAAATATTCAGAAAGACTTTGCATTTGTCCATCAGTTCTCAGACTTCTCAGTCTTTGAACTCTTTTACACATTTAAAAATTATCGAAGACCCCCCCCCCCACAAAGAGCTTTTGTTTATATAAGTTTTAATTCCTTATTAGAAATTAAAACTATTTTTTAAAATATTAATGAATTAAACATAGTAAACCAATATGTTAAATAATATTTAGAAAAAAACAGTTCTATTATCTAAGAGAAAAAAATTAGTGAGGAGTTGTATTGTTTTACTTTTTTTGCAAATCCCTTTGCAAAAAGAAGACAGCTGGATTCTCCGCTTTTGCACTCACATTGCAATATCTCACATCATGTCACCCCTAAAAACTCTACTTAACGCTTGTAAAATAATGACAGTAAAAAAGGCAAATGATATCTTATTGTTATTACAAAAATAGTTTTGACCTCGTGGATCCCCTGGTGGTCCACGGACCACATTTTGTGAACCACTGCTTTATTTCTTCTTGGTGGTAAACAGATTCAAGCTTTCCTTTAATACTGGGTCTTTTTGAGGGGCATTTCTGCCTGATGCAGAAAAAGGAAAAGGCAGTAAGGCATTTGTCAGCTCAGCCTGCCTTTACCTAATTCTTGATAACTCACTGCTTTTTTTTTTTTTTTTCCATATTGGAAGGATAAAGCCTTAAGTTAACAAATTTCAAAAAGAACTGTAACTAAGGCCAGGTGTCGTGGCTTACAAATCTCAACACTTTGGGAGGCCAAGGCAGGCAGATCAGTTGAGGTCAGGAGTTCGAGACCAGCCTGGCCAACATGGTGAAAACCGTCTCTACTAAAAATACAAAAATTAGCTGGGCATAGTGGCAGGAGCCTGTAATCCCAGCCACTCAGGAGGCTGAGACATGAGAATCGCTTGAACCCAGGAGGTGGAGATTGTAATGAGCTGAGATGACACCACTGCATTCCAGCCAGGGCAACAGAATGAGACTCTGTTTAAAACAAAACAAAACAAAAATATCTAAATACCTCAACTAGCTTACAGAGTTTAGCTGTAGTAGATATTATAATATAAATGCAATGTTTTCTGATACTTAGGGAGCTCCTGATAGCACTGGATAAATATGCCTTGATGAATCAGTACAGTTTCAAGTGGGAAGTGCTATTTCCCATAGTAACCCTGCTACCATAATTACTGGAGTGTTCATGTATGAACTCTTAGGCCTTTGAATGCCCAGTCCTAGCTGAGTAACTCAGACAGAAGTCAATGTTACAGGAATTAGATTCACTCATCCTTTATTTTTAAATCTAAAAAATGTTATTCTTCTCTAAAGAATGAAAGAAGATAAAATTGATGGTTTTAACAAGTCTGTCAGGGTGTTGCCTAAGAAAAGAAAGGGAAAGCTAAGTGGTTGGCTGGGTAGATATAAGTTTCATTTATCAGGTTTCAAAGTTACTGTTCCTTTGAGGAAGAGTTTTTATTTTTTCTTTTTATTTTTTTATTTGTTTCTCTAAGTCAGGAAACCTCTGGGTTGAGACTGTCCTGGTGAGAGACAAGTGCTGCTGAGCAGCTTCAGCATGACCCTGTCCCATGTTCTCTTTTCACGTCATGGTGCTCGGGTTCTTACTTAGAATGTTTATTGACATTAATAATGCAAAGTACATCCTTAGGCCCACTTTTTAAATGATATTAAAAGGGGCAAAATGCTTAGCTCCATACTTCTAAATATAACATTTCATTAATTACATGGTTTCAAAAACTGAAGTGCATATGTGAACTTTCCAGATTATTGGAGGCTATCCCTTTAAAGTGTTATTTTGAAATTTTTGTTACAGGATATCTTTTCACACCATACTGTTATATGCCACATAAATTTTAGATGGCTGAAGATCTATATGTTTTATAAAATATGAAATCATTTTTATAGTTTTGAGGTAGGAAAGGCTTTCTTAATAGACAAAATTCAGAAGGAAAAAATTAGCAGATGTGAGTACATTAAAAATTTTTAAACTTCTATATAGAAAAATAACATTGAAAGATAAAAAGAATAATTGTAGCATATATAACAAAAAGTAAATGTTTATAATATACAAAGGACTCCTCCAAATCAATAAGTAACAAACAATAGAAAATGGGCAAAGGGAATATGAACAGGTGATTCACATAATAAATACAAATGGTGAATGAACTTAGGAAAAGGTGTAAATATTTCCATGGCAGTCAGTAAAATGCAAAGACACAACAGTGAAATATATTTTAATTTCGCCTCTCAGGTTGGTAATATCCAGCACTGGGAACAATGTTGGGAAGTGAGGAGGAGCATTCTATGTAAAATTTTAAAGGTTTGGTGGAAGGCAGCATTTTGGAAGACCTTGGTAGAATCCATAAATTCAAAATACTTCTAAAAATCTGTGCTATGTAACCTATTTCATAAGTATTCAGATATATATAAGAATGTTTACTATAATAAGAAAAAGACATTAAGATTAAGTTAGTTTTGTATTGATGACATGGATATTGGTGAGAGAAAAAGAAAACAAGACAGAAAACAAAATGTAGTATGATACCTCATTTTTTTTTTTTATAGGCTGGGCCTGTTCTGTTGCCCAGGCTGGAGTGCAGTAATATGATCATAGCCCACTGCAGCCTCAAACTCCTGGGCTCAAGCGATCCTCTCACCTCAGCCTCCTAAGTAGCTGGGATTGCAGGTGCCTATCACCACACCCAGCTAATTTCTTGTGGTGGTGGTGGTGGTGGTTGTAGAGATAGATTCTCACTATGTTGCCCTGGCTGGTCTTGAACTCCTGGCCTCAAGCGATCCTCTCGCCTCAGCCTCCCAAAGTGCTGGGATTACAGGCGTGAGCCCCAGTGCCCAGCCTGATAACCACTTTAAAAGGTTAAACAGAGGCCAGGCACGGTGGCTCACGCCTGTAATCCCAGCACTTTGGGAGGCCGAGGCAGGCGGATCACCTGAGGTTGGGAGTTCGAAACCAGCCTGACCAACATGGAGAAACTCTGACTCTACTAAGAATACAAAATTAGCCAGGCGTGGTGGCACATGCCTGTAATCCCAGCTACTCGGGAGGCTGAGGCAGGAAAATCATTTGAACCCAGGAGGCGGAGGTTGCGGTGAGCCGAGATCGCACCATTGCACTCCAGCCTGGGCAACAAGAGTGAAATTCCATCTCCAAAAAAAAAAAGTGGTGTTCAGGTGGGCCTTGTTTTCATGTATGTATTTTTATACATAAAAAAAGGTACTGAAGAGGCCAGGCGCAGTGACTCACACCTGTAATCCCAGCACTTTGGGAGGCCAAGGTGGGTGGATCAGTTGAGGTTAGGAGTTCGAGACCAGCCTGGGCAAAATGGTGATACCCGTCTCTACTAAAAATACAAAATTATCCGGGCGTGGTGGCACACGCCTGTGATCCCAGCTACTCGGGAGGCTGAGGCAGGAGAATCGCTTGAACCTGGGAGGCGGAGGTTGCAGTGAGCTGAGATCGCGCCACTGCACTCCAGCCTGGACAATAGAGTGAGACTCCATCTCAAAAAAAAAAAA
The DNA here is from genome assembly GCF_000001405.40 of Homo sapiens. Lineage (NCBI taxonomy): Eukaryota > Metazoa > Chordata > Mammalia > Primates > Hominidae > Homo > Homo sapiens. The sequence continues at coordinate 140,736,076 of NC_000007.14, read as the reverse complement.
AAAAGGTACAGAAGAAAGTATAGACTCTAACAGTGGTTATCCCTGGAGAGCAGGATTTGAGAGCCTTATACTCTTTATACATTTCTATAGTATTTTAATTTTTATTTGCATGTTATACTTGGAATTTACAATTTTTTGCAACTGCTTACTTCTTTGTCTTATACTAATCATCATAAAGATTACTTTTTAAAAAAAATTTAACTTTTAAAAACAATTTTCAGCCAGGCATGGTGGCTCATGTCTGTAATCCCAGCCCTTTGGGAGGCCGAGGCAGGCAGATCACCTGAGGTCAGGAGTTTGAGACCAGCCTGGCCAACGTGGTGAAACCCTGTCTCTGCTAAAAATACAAAAATTTAGCTGGGCATGGTGGTGCGCTCCTGTAATCCCAGCTACTCAGGAGGCTGAGGCAGGAGAATCGCTTGAACCCAGGAGGGGGAGGTTGCAGTGAGCTGAGATTGTGCCACTGCACTCCAGCCTGGTTGACAACAGCGAGACTCCGTTTCAAAAAAAAAAAAAAATTGGTATCTCAGGACAATAACAAAAGTAATAATAATAGCTGCTAAGGTTTTATTGAGTGCTTATTATAGGCCAGGCATTATGCCAAGCCCTTTAAACATGTTTCATGATTATGAACATGCATTATCATGCTGTATGCCTTCAAGGATTATAACCTGTTTCTTTGTGCCTTAAAATTGTGAATTTCTGCATTTTATATATTGGGGTCTATTTGTCGAGTTCTCCTATCTTTGCTCTTGGGTTGTCCCCTGTCACTTCTCATGTGCTACTAGCACTCTGGGTCTGTGAGGTTCTGCTTTCAATTAGGTGTATGTAAAACATTTCCCATGGCTAGGTTTCTTTAAAGGGCAAGTAGCTGTGATAATTCTGTTTAGAGATAGTCATAAAGTGCTTTACTTATTTATACTCCATCTTCTTCCCAAAAGAGACTTGTGGTCTATAACAAAAAGGTATAAAATTGGTTTTAAATTTCTATTATTTACTGTTTCAAGACTAACAAATGATCTAAAATATAAATAAAAGCTGACTAAGAATTACTCTCCCCATTTAATTTACAGAGAGAGTTTCTTCTTAAGAAAAAATACCAATTATTTACAAATATTTTCCCAAGCATTTATGACAATGCTGAAAACAATGTAAGATTTCAGGTGCTTTCTTGTAAAGTGTGATGGGACTCTTAAAGATTTATACCACCCAGATTTTCATTCTTCTTTCTGTTTTTTCTTTTTCTTTCTTTCTTTTTTTTTCTTTTTTCTTTTTTTTTCTTTTTTTTTTCTTTTTTTTTTTGTAGATTCTCGCCTCTATTGAGCTGCTGGCCCGCTCATTGCCAAAAATTCACCGCAGTGCATCAGAACCCTCCTTGAATCGGGCTGGTTTCCAAACAGAGGATTTTAGTCTATATGCTTGTGCTTCTCCAAAAACACCCATCCAGGCAGGGGGATATGGTGCGTTTCCTGTCCACTGAAACAAATGAGTGAGAGAGTTCAGGAGAGTAGCAACAAAAGGAAAATAAATGAACATATGTTTGCTTATATGTTAAATTGAATAAAATACTCTCTTTTTTTTTAAGGTGAACCAAAGAACACTTGTGTGGTTAAAGACTAGATATAATTTTTCCCCAAACTAAAATTTATACTTAACATTGGATTTTTAACATCCAAGGGTTAAAATACATAGACATTGCTAAAAATTGGCAGAGCCTCTTCTAGAGGCTTTACTTTCTGTTCCGGGTTTGTATCATTCACTTGGTTATTTTAAGTAGTAAACTTCAGTTTCTCATGCAACTTTTGTTGCCAGCTATCACATGTCCACTAGGGACTCCAGAAGAAGACCCTACCTATGCCTGTGTTTGCAGGTGAGAAGTTGGCAGTCGGTTAGCCTGGGTTAGATAAGGCAAACTGAACAGATCTAATTTAGGAAGTCAGTAGAATTTAATAATTCTATTATTATTCTTAATAATTTTTCTATAACTATTTCTTTTTATAACAATTTGGAAAATGTGGATGTCTTTTATTTCCTTGAAGCAATAAACTAAGTTTCTTTTTATAAATTTTGAGTGCAGGTGACCAAAAATATTGCTGAGGAGTGGCACGTTTGACATGAGTAAAATGTCTTAACTTCGGATTTTTAGCGGGAAAATGTTATAAATTGGAGTTTCTTTTAAATAGCTTTTTTTAAAATACATTAAGGATGTCTCGCTCATGTAGAAGTCAAATTTTGTTGCAAACGCATTGCTCCCTTCACACCCAATCTCTCCCCTGCAAAAAATCTTCACAGAATTCTGTGAGAACTTTTAGGTGTGTTTTTCTTTGAGATACCTCTGGTTGCCAAACACCAGGTAATAGATTTTTTAAAGTTGTTATTAGATTATTCTTACCTCTCATGATGCATATTTTAGCAATCACCTTATCATTGTGTCTCATGTTCTGTCCTCCTTATATTCTTTGCCCAGCAAGATTCTACTTATGATGAATGAATGCTCTTCTCCTTTTTTCATTCAATGGTATGAAGTATTTGTTAGGGTTCTTTAGTACTTACACTTTGTTGTGTAGAAAATGACTGTAATGTGGTGGTCAGTGTATTCTTACTGTGATTCAGAGGGAATCAAAAGTAGAAAGCAACAGCACGTGGTCCTATCAAAGATTTGGCCATCTCTGCTTCACTGTCAGCCTCTTAACTATATCTTCACTTACTCAATTTGGTTTTGTCATGATTTTTAAATGTAGCCAATAGATCAAGGTTCTTCCAGTAAACACATATCTGCATAAATGCCTCCTTGAAGTCAATAAAGAAGGAAATTGAGAAGACTTTAAATTAATGATAATTTAGTTTTTAAGTACCCACAAATAAATTTTTGAAACATTTTCTTTATTTGAATACTTAGATGTCATCCAGGAAAATCACTCAATAATAATTACGGCAAATCTTTAACCCCTCATTTGGGTAGCTTAAGATAAGTAATGCCATTATGAATCAGAATTGATTCATGACTTTAGTTAAGAAAATGAAAAGGAACATTTCACGTATTTTTAAAAATGATACTAAGGAATAAAGAAGTACAACTATTGGAAAATATCTAAGTATATGATTTTTAAATCCTCCAGTGGCATTAAATATATGATTATTAGTAATTGTTAGATAGGGTTTTATTCATTCACAAATAGAAGACTAGCAAGCATGTAACTAACAAAGTTTTTACAAAATTGACTTTGTGGAATGCTCCAAATGTTTGGCCATTTTGAGGCACAAGGTCAGGGGTCTCTTTATTGATAGAGCTCCTTCTATAATTTCCCAGCATACCTGCCTCACAGTTATCTTCCTTTCATTGTTCACTCTCTTTTTCTTCTCAATGCCATCCTGCCTAGGCTCCCATCATCTGCATCTGACACCTTTCCTTTCTTTCTTTACTAGTCTCCTTTGCGATGGGTGTGGCTAAGCTCTGTAGAGCCACTCAGAAACTCATTGTTCCATTCTGTAGCCAGTAAAACATGCCTCCAAAGTGTCACAGAGTAATTCTACTCTCTCTTTTAAATTAGGTCCACCGGAAATGTTAGTGAAAGGACATTAAAAATGTGACAGGTGACATGTTTAGCTAACATGGATCTGGAGAAATAGGAAGCAGTAGAATTAAATGTTTCCCTTTCAGGTTTAATTGTATTTGTTCTTGGGTTTTGTTTTATACTGAGTTTTAAATATATTCTCCAAATAAAAACATTATTTTTTCTAACCATATGTAGAGTTAATCTCTTTGACTAAGTAATTGAAACAAAAGAACATTTGTTCTTTTGTGACTGCTTTTTTCCTAAAACCTGAGCCCTCTTTTTTTTTTTTGAAATTAAAGTTGATTTCCTTTTTTTTTTTTTTTTTTTTTTTTTTTTTTTTTTTTTTTTTGAGACAGAGTCTCGCTCTGTCGCCCAGGCTGGAGTGCAGTGGCGGGATCTCGGCTCACTGCAAGCTCCGCCTCCCGGGTTCACGCCATTCTCCTGCCTCAGCCTCCCAAGTAGCTGGGACTACAGGCGCCCGCCACTACGCCCGGCTAATTTTTTGTATTTTTAGTAGAGACGGGGTTTCACCGTTTTAGCCGGGATGGTCTCGATCTCCTGACCTCGTGATCCGCCCGCCTCGGCCTCCCAAAGTGCTGGGATTACAGGCGTGAGCCACCGCGCCCGGCCTTAAAAGTTGATTTCCTTCTTCAGTAAGGAAACCTTTTTATAAATTTGTTTTGCATTTTAAAAGTTTTACTAATCAATGATGAGGAAAAAGATTTGTCTTCTTGATTTTAAATAGTTTCAGGATCACAGGATGTAATCAGATGCTTCCAGTTTATTTATTTTCAGGTATTACACTAGCCATTTAATCTTTTTTATTTATTTATTTTCTTCCTGCCCCTCGGATGGCATATACCAGCCATTTAGATACTAAACTCTAATAGTTAAACCAATAGTTAAAATTGTCCTCTCTAAAACATTGGCTATTTAATATACCAGCTTAAATGGCCTTTCTCTCAAGTGAGTCACTCTTAGTTTAAGAAAATTATGTGCCTTTTTAAAAAATATTATGAAATGGTACTTCATGACAGAAACATTTTATCAGTTATAGTCTTATTTGATTGAAAATTGTTGAGCATTTCTGTAAAACTTTTTACTTTACTAAATATTTCATCTTTCCTGTGACTGTTTTCTCAAAGAATTTAAAAGACTCGATGTGTCTATGCCAGAATGTTTCTCATCCTTTTGAAACTGCCTGGGCCAGGCGTAGTGGCTCACGCTGTAATCCCAGCACTTTTGGAGGCCAAGGTGGGCAGATCGCGTGAGCCCAGGAGTTTGAGACCAGCCTGGACAACATGGCGAAACGGTGTCTCTACAGAAAAATTTAAAAATTAGCCAAGCATAGTGGTGCACAACTGTAGCCCCAGCCACTCGGGAGGCTGACGTGGGAGGATCCCTTGAACCTGGGGGCGGAGGCTGCTGTGAGCCTTCATCATGCCACTGCACTCCAGCCTGGGCAACAAAGCAAAACCCTGTCTCAAAAAAAGAAAAGAAAAAAAGAAACTGCTTGAAAGTCATGACGAAGAATGTCAGGAGGGGACTTATTCTGGCTGCAGTTGACTTTCTCCTTAAATGTCAAGTAGTGATTGATTTGGATAAGAAGTAAACTGTTACTTTTCATAACATACTTTAAGGAATTTATCAAATTCTATGTATAATGCCCATTAAAATATACTCCATTCTGGAGTAAAGGGTAAGAGTAATATTTTTAAACTAGTTAATAAAGTCTTTAGCTTTCACATAAACCATGATATTTGAGGTGTCTAAAATCACAGGGTCTTTTTTTTTTTTTTCAGTCTTCCCAGTTGTTCTCTGCTCTATTCCTAAATAAAGTTAACTTGAAAATGCATGGCCGGTTGTGGTGGCTCACACCTGTAATCCCAGCACTTTGGGAGGCTGAGGCGGGTGGATTACTTGAGGCCAGTTCGAGACCAGCCTGGCCAACATGGCAAAACCCTGTCTCTACTAAAAATACAAAAATTAGCTGGGCATGGTGGTGTGCACCTGTAGTCCAGCTACTTGGGAGGCTGAGGCACAAGAATTGCTTGAACCCGGGAGGCAGAGGTTGCAGTGAGCCAAGACTGCACCACTGCACTCCAGCCTGGGTAGTAGAGCAAGACTCTTTCAAAAAAAGAAACAGAAGATGCAGCTTAAATTATCCTCAACCTGAAAGAAGGGGAAAGAAAATATTTCAATTTGGCCTCAAATTGATTTTTTTTTATTAATTAATATACCAAGATTTTTTTTAAGACATAGAGTATCTAGGTATTTCACTTCAAATAACTTCACACAAGCAGAGTTGGCTCTTCAAATAGAAGACGGGTAGGAAGTAGAATAGTAGAGATTTCCAGATGGGCAAGAAGGAATCATTAAGAAAAGATACTTTTTGTGAAAGCAGATTCATCACCTGTTACTCCCATGTTTTCCTTAAATTCTCCATGTTTTAGGGACATTTTAAGAGTCTTATTTTATTGATTCCTGAACTATGGATTCTTTTATTTTTTTCCCCTCAACACCAAGTATGACTATAAAAAGGACTGCATTCTGTTAGAAGCACTAGACTTTTGATAGAGTGATAGTGTTTGCTTTGTATTTGATTTGGAGTTTGTTGGTAAAAATTTGTTCTTTGTGCGGTTGTTTGGTTTTAAATTTTTTTGGAGACAGAGTCTTGCTCTGTCATTCAGTCTGGAATGCAGTGGTGCAGTACCACCACACCCTGGTAATTTTTTTGTTTTTGAGACAGAGTCTCATTCTGTTGCCCAGGCTGGAGTGCAGTGGTGTGAGCTCAGCTAACTGCAGCCTCTGCCTCCCGGGTTCAAGTGATTCTCCTGCCTCAGCCTCCTGAGTAGCTGGAATTACAGGTATGTGGCACCACACGTAATTTTTTTTTTTTCCCAGTAGAAACAGTTTCACCATGTTGGCCAGGCTGGTCTCGAACTGCTGAGCTCAGGTGATCTGCTCACCTCAGCCTCCCAAAGTGCTGGGATTACAGGCTTGAGCCACTGCACCTGGCCCTAATTTTTGTATTTTTAGTAGAGAGAGAGTTTCGCCATGTTGGCCAGGCTGGTCTTGAACTCCTGGCCTCAGATGATCCACCCTCCTCCGCCTCCCAAAGTGCTGGGATTACAGGCATGAGCCACCTCGCCGGCCTGGTTTTTATTTTTAAGACTAATATTTAAGTTTGTGGAGTATGACACTTCAACAAAATGAAATTTCTAATCATTATAATGAACAGGAAACATCTGAAGTTGTGTGCGTGTGTGTGTGTATTTTGTTTTGTTTTCGAGACAGGGTTTCGTTACTCAGGCTGGAGTGCAGTGGTACAATCCTGGCTCACTGCAGCCTCAACCTGCTGGTCTCAAGTGATCCTCCCACTTCAGCCTCCTCTAGGTAGCTAGGACTACATGCATGTGCCACCACATCCAACTGATTTTTTTTTTTTTTTTTTTTTGGAGAGACAGCGTCTCACTATGTTGCCCTACCTGGTCTCAAACTCCTGGGCTCAAGCAGTCCTCCTGCCTCGGCCTCCTGAAGTGCTGGGATTATAGGCGTGAACCACTGTGCCCAACCTTAGCTGAAGATTTTTTTAAGTATTTTTTAATGTAGTATATTAACATTTGGCTTAGATATTAGCATTTTCTGATTTTTTTATTTAATAGATTAATTCTAGGCATTTTCATAAAGATTTCTTTTCTATAAATCTTATTTTTACATTGACTTCCTTTAATGAGATTTGATTTGGCTAGATACATGATTACTCATAAGAATGTTGCAAGTCATTTTAAAGAAACATTAAAACACTAAAAATAGCAACCTTAAAATTATAAGTACTCAAACTGTAAGCAACAATAGTAAGAATGTTTGTATATTTCTGGAGTGTGTTACCATAATAGCCTCCTATGATTATACTCCAAATGTTTTACTCTAAGGTCTTAGTAATTTAATTTAGCCTTTTTTTTTTTTTAAATCAGTGCTAGATTCCCCAATCCTCTTAACTTTAAATATGAGGCAATAATTCTTTTACCCTTTCTTGATCTTTGGACTCACAATACCTTAGTTAATTGCTTGTTAAAAGGAATTCATGCATAGAAAGAGATAATAGACTATCTGCAGTTCATTAGTAGTTGTATTCAGATTGGGAAAACAAAGTGTTAATTGTTGAAAGTTGTTTAGGGACTGCTGGGTCTTGGAGTCAGCACCTGGGTTTGCATTCCTTCTCTGCAATTTTCTGTATATGATCTCAGGCAAGTTACTTGACCACTCTAAACCCTGGCTTCCTCATCTATATAATATAGATGATAGCATCTGCCTCATAGGGTTATCATGAGAATTGGATGCAGATGTGTACAAACTGTTCCGTGAGGCATCAGGCACTCAGTCAGTCACTAATACTATCAGCTTACAAAGCTGAGGATTCAATCATCCAGTCATTAGCAATCTGTTGTTGGGATGTGCCAGTGTTATCTAGCAACCAGTTGGAATCTGATAGCAATCAGAAATTAGATAGGTTATTCCTGGATTAAACAGTATATTCATATAAGTGATTGCTTGGATCCTCATCAGAAGCTGCTATTGAAAAATAGTGATATGGCTGGCCGGGCATGGTGGCTCATGCGTGTAATCCCAGCACTTTGGGAGGCCAAGGCGGGCGGATCATGAGGTCAGGAGATAGAGACCATCCTAACTAACACAGTGAAACCCTGTCTCTACTAAAAATACAAAAAAATTAGCCGGGCGTGGCTTCATGTGCCTGTAGTCCCAGCTGCTGGGGAGGATGAGGCAGGAGAATGGCATGAGCCCAGGAGGCAGGGCTTGCAGTGAGCCGAGATCGCACCACTGCACTCCAGCCTGGGTAACAGAGCAAGACTCCGTCTCAAAAAAAAAAGAAAAATAGTGGTATGGCTGACTAAATTTTGTTAATTGTCAGTTATTAACTAATCCCCAGAAATTAACTATGGTGTGTATAACAGGAATTGGCCTTTAGTTACAAGTAGAAACTATGGACAAAATGGTAGATGAAAAATAATGGCGGCCGGGTGCAGTGGCTCACACCTGTAATCCCAGCACTTTGGGAGGCCGAGGCAGGCAGATTACCTGAGGTCAGGAGTTTGAGACCAGTCTGGCCAACATGGTGAAACCCCATCTCTACTAAAAATACAAAAATTAGCCAGGCCTGGTGGCGGATGCCTGTAATCCCAGCTACTTGGGAGGCTGAGGCAGGAGAATCACTTGAACCCAGGAGGTAGAGGTTGCAGTGAACCGAGATTGCACCATTGCACTCCAGCCTGGGCAACAAAAGCAAAATTCCATCTCAAAAAAAAAAAAAAAGAAAAAAATAATGGCATGAAGCCCCCAAATTCATTAAGCTAAAGGAGCATGATATCACAAAGGTACTTTGTGGTTTAAAGAATTCTTTATGCTGATAATTATGTTCAGTGATGTGCCTATATTTAATTTTTTGTTAGATTGAAGGTGAAATTAACTAGAAAATAGGCAGTCTGGATTTTCTTTCTCTGTCAAACGTGTGGTGTGAACAAATCAGTTGACCTCTTAATTGTATCTTTAGCAAAATGAGGATAACTACTGCCTCTCTCTTCCTAATAGTGGCATTATAATAATATGATAGGTGAAAATGAGTTGATAATTCAGAGGTGGAAGTATTCTACAAATTGACATTACTACTTTACATTCAGTTTCTGAGAAATTTTGTTCATTGGAACTGTTTTCAGCTTGATCAGAACCATGATACATAAAACCCAACTGGAAAATTCTGCAGACTTGCTATTTAATTGATAGAGCTGAACCATATTCTGTATACTATATATGTTGTGTTCTTCCATGGGTTTCAGCCGTTTTTGCTTTTAAATTAGCAATGCTGTTGCTAGACTTGAAATATATAACTAGTTACTTTTCAGTGAAGCTCAAATGAGGCTTTTCTGTGTCTCTAGGTTATTTGAGATGACTTTTTTAAAATTAGCTCTTGTCCTCCCTCTACAGGAGAATTTGCAGCCTTCAAGTAGCCACCATCATGGCAGCATCTGCTCTTATTTCTTAAGTCTTGTGTTCGTACAATTTGTTAACATCAAAACACAGTTCTGTTCCTCAAATCTTTTTTTAAAGATACAAAATTTCCAATGCATAAGCTGATGTGGAACAGAATGGAATTTCCCATCCAACAAAAGAGGAAAGAATGTTTTAGGAACCAGAATTCTCTGCTGCCAGTGTTTCTTCAACAAAAATACCACGAGCATACAAGTCTGCCCAGTCCCAGGAAGAAAGAGGAGAGACCCTGAATTCTGACCTTTTGATGGTCAGGCATGATGGAAAGAAACTGCTGCTACAGCTTGGGAGATTTGCTATGGAAAGTCTGCCAGTCAACTTTGCCCTTCTAACCACCAGATCAATTTGTGGCTGATCATCTGATGGGGCAGTTTCAATCACCAAGCATCGTTCTCTTTCCTGTTCTGGAATTTTGTTTTGGAGCTCTTTCCCCTAGTGACCACCAGTTAGTTTCTGAGGGATGGAACAAAAATGCAGCTTGCCCTTTCTATGTGGTGCGTGTTCAGGCCTTGACAGATTTTATCAAAAGGAAACTATTTTATTTAAATGGAGGCTGAGTGGTGAGTAGATGTGTCTTGGTATGGAGGAAAAGGGCATGCTGCATCTTCTTCCTGACCTCCGGGGTCTCTGGCCTTTTGTTTCCTTGCTCACTGAGGGGTCTGTCTAACCAAGCAGGCTAGATAGTGCTGGCACACATTGCCTTCTTTCTCATTGGGTCCAGCAATGAAGATAAGTGTTTGGGTTTTTTTTTTTTCCTCCACAATGTAGCAAATTCTCAGGAAATACAGTTTATATCTTCCTCCTATGCTCTTCCAGTCACCAACTACTTATGCGGCTACTTTGTCCAGGGCACAAAATGCCGTGGCAGTATCTAACTAAACCCCCACAAAACTGCTTAATAACAGTTTTGAATGTGAGAAATTTAGATAATTTAAATATAAGGTACAGGTTTTAATTTCTGAGTTTCTTCTTTTCTATTTTTATTAAAAAGAAAATAATTTTCAGATTTAATTGAATTGGAAAAAAACAATACTTCCCACCAGAATTATATATCCTGAAAATTGTATTTTTGTTATATAAACAACTTTTAAGAAAGATCATTATCCTTTTCTCTACCTAAATATGAGGAGTCTTAGCATAATGACAAATATTTATAATTTTTCAATTAATGGTACTTGCTGGATCCACACTAACATCTTTGCTAATAATCTCATTGTTTCTTCCAACTGATTCCTAACACTATATCCCACATCTTCTTTCTAGTCTTTTATCTAGAATATGCAACCTAAAATAAAAATGGTGGCGTCTCCATTCATTCTCCTTCTTCCTTTTTTCCCAAGCCTGGTCTTCAAAAGGTTGGGCAATTTGGCAGCTGAATTCCCAGACAGAGAATAGAGCAATTTTAGGGATATTAGGACTGAGGGAGGGTGTGGGAAAGCTGTCATCAGTTGTTTTTATAGAAAGAACTGGCATTCATTAAGAACCTAAATCTTATCTTTGCACAAATGGAAAATATAACCTAGTTATAGCTTCCTTTGGCCTTTATTAAAGGGTAATATCAATCACAGTCATAGCAAAGAAAGCGGATGTATTAATGGCAAATTAATGGAAAACCTCCCTTATCAGGAATCTAGACTCAGAATTTAGGAACACAAATCAAATCAGACCAACCAAGCTATAGCCAAGGACTTGAAAGAAATTAAACAAGACCCAGAATAAATCAAGGAATTAGAAATTGTTATTTAAAAATTTCAGATTGTAACTCCAGGCCCTGCTGTCTATATTGCAGCCACTAAAAGCTCACTACCATTAGATTTTTGCTAACATACATGTATTCAGAAGAAAGCCTATTGAAATTTTCATTGTCTTGTAAAAGGTTGTCCTAGTAAAATGGAAAAGATCCTTAAGTTATTAATCAGTTTGAAAAGCAAATTTGTTTTTAAGTTTTACATCAGCAGGGCAGTGTCTTACAAAATTCAGAAATTGCAAAGGTGGAAATAATTCACGCTGATTTGAAGAACATCTTCTGTGCAATAATACTGCCTCTCTTGAAAAGCATTGGCTGTTTTTTCTTTTTAAATATATCTCTAGATGCTTTTAAATGTGGCTGTGTTCCCTTTACCAAGATTGGCTTCAAGTTTCCGCAGGTAGAGAGACCTGGGCTTGAACAAGAGGATGTGTTTCATGTCCTGCTGAGGAGGTAGAACATGTGCAGCCTGGGTCCGGGACTGCCTCCGTGGGGCAGGGGCAGGGGCGGTACCATTAGGGAGGAAGCTTAGCATTTCAGTTTCTTAAACAATATTCAGGGTGATACACTTTTTCTTCCCTTGCATTTTAGAATAGGCTGGTATCTCATTTGAACGGGGGAGCAGACTTGATCTCAAATGAAGCTGTGCCCAGGAGCCAGGCTTAGCATATTGAGATTTTTATAGATACCTTAAAAAATAAAATATTTAAACCTCTCTTTTCTTCCTTTTTCTATGAAATAGGTTTTTTCTCTAGTTTACAAATGACATGAAAATAGGTTTTATTTGTGTTTTATCTGCTTTATTTTTTGATGCTTAGACAACAGTTAGACTTACTGAGCTCCTAAAAAAACGAGGAAGAAGTCCTTATTTGTGAAAAGCACTTTATGAGTAATTGTATAGACAGTATGTGGCTGCGTCACTGATCATCTTGTAAGGGTGTAACAGTCTTGTCTGTAAAGTGGCTGCAGTGCCTTCTGTAGTGTGTTTTATTTTTGGTAGGGAGAGGTGAAGCCTTCTGAAAAATTTGAGAGCAACTACAGAGGATTGTTTGTAACTGTGTAGTATTCCTGATGGACTTTTTTCATCGTTAGAGTCAAGGACCTAGACTTTTGCCACTGAAATAATATTGACCAAAAAAATAGTTTATAAAAGGGATTTGTGAATAGAAAATTCAGTGTGATCATTTGTTGTTAATGTGCACCTTAAAAGAAGATTCTGTCTAGCTGTCAAATTCTGGTTCCCGAATATCTCACCCCTGATTGTATTTGAGATCTAGTAGGGCATACTGGGGCATTTTAGAAGATAAAATCCCATACAAATGATATATGCTATATTTATGTTGGTGTTGGAGAAGAAAGAGCAGTATATAAAGAAATAATTCAAGACTGCAGCACTGTCAACCTGAAACTTTGTAAATATTTCCTAGCTTCTGGTTTGGTGCGGTGACAGCACTTTCATCACAGGATGTTACCTTGTATTCACCAGGCGGAGTGCGAGCTGCTGCACATCCTCCTCAGATCTCACCTGTCCCCACTGTACATCCACCCGCCAGCTGCTTGCAAACCTCATCTCTAGCTTTAGTTCGAAACCACATTGCAGGGTTCAGGTGACCTCTACAAAAAACTACCTCTTCAGAATGAGGTAATGAATAGTTATTTATTTTAAAATATGAAAAGTCAGGAGCTCTAGAACATGACGATGATTTAAGATTTTAACTTTTTTGTGTACTTGTATTTGAGCACTCTCATTTTGTCCTAAAGGGCATTATACATTTAAGCAGTAATACTGTAAAAAAATGTGTTGCTCGGAATATCTGAATGTTGTTGAAAGTGGTGCCAGAACCGGTTTAGGGGTACGTTTCAGAATCTTAACCTTGAGTCAATTGCATGAAATTAAATAGCTGTGGTATCACTTCACTAACAGTGATGTAATTTTAATTTTCAGTAGGCTTGGCATGACAGTACATCCTCATAATGAGTTTGCTGCAGCTTTGTCACATGCACAGGCATTCATAGAAAGACCACCCAGCTAAGAGGGTAGAATGATTACTCTTTTTGCAAGATTCTCTTCTTTGTCCAAGTTGGCATTGTTAGTGCTAGGAATACCAGCACCTTGAGACGAGCAGATTCCAACCATTAGGCTATAAACACCATAGCCAGAGATGGAAGGTTTACTGTGAGTATGAACAGCAAATAGCTTACAGGTCATGAGTTGAAATGGTGTAGGTGAGGCTCTAGAAAAATACCTTGACAATTTGCCAAATGATCTTACTGTGCCTTCATGATGCAATAAAAAAGCTAACATTTTAGCAGAAATCAGTGATTTGTGAAGAGAGCAGCCACTCTGGTTTAACTCAGCTGTGTTAATAATTTTTAGAGTGCAATTTAGACTGCATAGGTAAATGCACTAAAGAGTTTATAGCCAAAATCACATTTAACAATGAGAAAACACACAGGTAAATTTTCAGTGAACAAAATTATTTTTTTAAAGCACATAATCCCTAGTATAGTCAGATATATTTATCACATAGAGCAACTAGGTTGCAAATATAGTTCAGTGACATTTCTAGAGAAACTTTTTCTACTCCCATAGGCTCTTCAAAGCATGGAACTTTTATACAACAGAAATGTTGACAGAAATTGCTGTAGTTTAGGGTTGAAGTACTGTATGATGGGCAGCAATCATGTATTAACTTAGAAGGGGAAATTGAAATATAGGACCGAATTTGGTTTTATCAGTTTCCAGAGTACTGCTGCCAACCTAGACACTGATTTTTCAGAGTTTGAAATGTAAATTTCTTCCCGGGACTTGATTGCACATGAAGCTGGACTGCGTTAGTCATCCTGTCCCAAAGCGCTGTGGGGGCCAGGGTGGAGGTCTCAAGGCATCCTTTATGACCTGGCCATTGGATGTAAAAGAAAACATATTCCATGCTGTGGTTCTTGTATCTTGTTTCATTCCTCACCATTGAAAGAGAAAGTCCATGTATTGTCTCCAGCACATCCTTGAAATGTTATACTGGGATGGATTACTGATGCCCATCGGTAGTTGAGCCCCAGAAGAGGGTAGTAGCATCTCTGCCTCAGGTGATGATTTGTAGCTTGGCCAGAGGAGAGCGGAGTCACCAGTATATCTGTGGTCCATGTTGCTAGCTCTGGTAAAATTAAAAATACTGGTAAGATGTTTGTTTTATTAGTACACTAGACAGTAAGCTCTGTTTTGTTGTTTTCAAATAACCTATTTTCACTTTTGTTTGGGCAAAGACATTTAAATTGAAATTCAATTCTAATTTTTGTTAATTGTGGAAAGGGTAATTAACAGTTCCTATCAGGTATTTTTAATGTGGAAAAGGACAGAAACCCAACTCCTAAAATCTTAAATTAAGGTAACAGTGCTTTAAAAAAAAAAAATGCATGGGGCAATTAGTCGGCAACTCAATGAGTGACTAAAGTACTTTTATTTAACATCCACAACTTCAACTGTTAAGTTTTATTAATTACTAAATCAGCTTTATTAAAATGTTGACATTTATTTAGCTATTTTGAATAATTATAGTGACTTGACGAGTGTGTATGAGGACACAGCCAATGTAAGCCAGTGTATCCATTTTTTAGAGGTGCATTTTTTTTTAAAGAATTCTGTAGATAGAAGTGCTCTGAAAACAACTAAAATATGTTTATTCATGGTAGTATCAAAAAATGTTTGTACAAACCATCTGCTTCTCCCGGCCAGCCGAGTTCATTCTCCAGCACCGTGACCGCTGGTTCTCATGTACAGCACATATGCGGGAGAGTTGGCAGAAAATTTGTGAAGAGATGCCGCAAAGGAAGGGTCTGTTGACGGGTGGGATTGGGGGTTTTGATGAAGTTGCTTAGTCCTGGTTTTGTTTTGAAAATTACTGCGTTGCATTTTTGTGTTAAGTTTTTGAACCCACGTGTGTTTTGGTGGAGTATGAGTTGGAAGTCACTGCAAACTAGCATAAACAACAAAGCTCACAGAGTAGGCACAGATGTAGAGAACAGAGACCAAAATGGGGTGAGGTGGCAGTAAATCTAGGATAGGGAAAAATTAATGTGAGGGTGGGAAATAAACTGTAATTACCTGAAATCAAATGTAAGAGTGCAATAAGTATGCTTTTTATTCTAAGCTGTGAACGGTTTTTTTAAGAATCATTCCTTCCTAATACATTTGTGTATGTTCCATAGCTGATTAAAACCAGCTATATCAACATATAATGCCTTTTTATTCATGTTAATGACCAACGTAAGTGGCTAGCCTTTATGTCTTATTTATCTTCATGTTATGTTAGTTTACATACAGGGGTGTATGTCTCTGTGCTGTCCCCTTCTCCTGCCTTCATTTTAAAATGCATCCATGGGTCCTCCGTGTTTCCTTTGGCCATGCCACATATATAGACTCAGTTTGGCCTTCATGATATCGCCTGATTTTTGAGGACTGTATCACAGTGATATGTATTTGTGGTAATCTCATTTGTTGGTTGTACATCTGATCCTTTCCTCAACATGGCAATTGCTGCCTTTCCTAAGATAGGATCATACAACTGATCAGGGGATTGAATTTGATCATTCATCAACATGTGTCTCTGAATTTTATTCAGTAGTTGTCATTGCTCTTTGGTTTAGACCAAGAAAAAGGAAATCCCCCCTTTTCATGTATTCCTTGGTTTGAGGACATGACTCCTGTAAGGGAGAGGAAAGGGAGATGCTTCCTGTTTGAACTGCAGTGAATTCACGGTTCCTGTTTCACCACTCCAAACCTTATGGCGACTCACACACACATTCCTCTTTTCTGTTACTGCCAAAGGTTCGGGTTTAGTACACTTCAGTTCCACTCAAGCATTGAAAAGGTTCTCGTGGAGTCTGGGGCGTGCCCAGTGAAAAGATGGGGACTTTTTAATTGTCCACAGACCTCTCTATACCTGCTTTGCAAAAATTACAATGGAGTAACTATTTTTAAAGCTTATTTTTCAATTCATAAAAAAGACATTTATTTTCAGTCAAATGGATGATGTCTCCCTCTTTTCCCCTATTCTCAATGTTTGCTTGAATCTTTTATTATTTTTTTTAATTCTCCCCCATACCCACTTCCTGATACTTTGGTTCTCTTTCCTGCTCAGGTCCCTTCATTTGTACTTTGGAGTTTTTCTCATGTAAATTTGTATAACAGAAAATATTGTTCAGTTTGGATAGAAAGCATGGAGAATAAAAAAAGATAGCTGAAATTCAGATTGAAGAAATTTATTTCTGTGTAAAGTTATTTAAAAACTGTATTATATAAAAGGCAAAAAAAGTTCTATGTACTTGATGTGAATATGCGAATACTGCTATAATAAAGATTGACTGCATGGAGAAGTCTTCATCAAGACTATTTTTCTAACACGATTACATTCAGTAACAAAAGTAGTCAGCAGTTTTAACAGTTTTTCTAGACAATGGAGAGACTGAGAAATGTACATTTTGTTTCATACATAATGTTGGTTACTGCTTAGTGGGTAGAAGTTCAAGTAAGTTGTCAAGTTTCATGCATGGTAGGTTATACGTGCTATACAACTTGCAGTGGCAACAGTCGTTTGTCAGGTGTTGGTGATGACCCTTAAATATTTGAGATGTTGTGACCTGATGTATCTTTAGTTTCAAACCACTGCTTTCCTCCATGTGGTTCAGTTGGAGTATGTGCTCTACTTTAGTCATGTTTAAAGTTTATCTGCAGAAACTCACCTTAGAATTGTATTTTTTCAAACTTTTGACAGCTTACATTTTCTATAGCAACACAGCACACGCACGCTAACATTTACTTGAAACTATGCACTCATGTTTTCTACTTCATTTTTTTTTATGCTGGTTACCTCAGTGAGTTGATTTTCTGCATTTGATTTCATGACCCTTCCCCAAATAAAATTCACTGAAGTCTGAAAAACTCCTAGAGTATCTTCAGACAAAATATATCAAATTACTGGGCAGAGTTTCCAGAAAGGAAGTAAACCGTTTTAAAACTCATCTGCAGCCAGGTGCAGTGGCTCACGCCTGTAATCCCAGCAATTTGGGAGGCCGAGGCGGGTGGATCACCTGAGGTCAGGAGTGGAGACTAGCCTGACCAACATGGTGAAACTGTCTCTACTAAAAAATACAAAAATTAGGCCAGGTGTGGTGGCTCACGCCTGTAATCCCAGCACTTTGGGAGGCCAAGGCAGGCAGATCACCTGAGGTTAGGAGTTCGAGACCAGCCTGACCAACATGGAGAAACCCCCTCTCTCCTAAAAATACAAAATTATCCGGCTGTGGTGGCGCATGCCTGTAATTCCAGCTACTCAGGAGGCTGAGGCAGGAGAATCGCTTGAACCCGGGAGTGAGCCGACCGAGATTGTGCCATTGCACTCCAGCCTGGGCAACAAGAGCAAAACTCCATCTCAGAAAGAAATAAAAAAAAGCTGGGCATGGTGGCCAGCACCTGTAATCCCAGCTACTCGGGAGGCTGAGGCAGGAGAATCGCTTGAACCTGGGAGGCGGAGGTTGCAGTGAGCTGAGATCACGCCATTGCACTCTAGCCTGGGCAACAGAGCGAGACTCTGTCTCAAAAAAAACACTTCACCTGTTTATCCTTATGTCTGAGAATAATATGAAGGAACAGAAAAGCCTAAAAAGGGCTTGTGCCTGAGGAATCTGGTTTCACCCCTCCTCCCAAACAATAAAATGTTATCAAGACTTAAAAGGCTAAGGCAGGAGGATTGCTTGAGCCCAGGAGTTTGAGGCAAGCCAGGGCAATATAGCAAGACACCCACGCTAAAAATAAAAATAAATGTCAAGACTTAATTTCCTATGAACTGCAGTTTTTCTCTTCTGAAAATGGTAATTCTATAATATAAACATCATAGAAATTCATTTTCTAAACCTTCATGTGTGATTACAACAGAGTAGATGTGGCTTTAAGAACATACTATACCATATATGTGAGGTTTTCCTTAAAATTTAGCCCAGAACTATGGACACTTTGGTTATTATAAAGTTGTATTATAAAGAACTCTACCACACTAGCTCTTCTGAAATTTTATCAGGGGCTGTGACACTTGGACCTACTGTCTTTTGAGTTATATAGTTCTCCTAGACTCAAAATGTTAGGGCAAAAAGTGTTCTTAACACTGAGTTGGGCTCAATGGCTCACGCCTAAATCCCAGCACTTTGGGAGGCTAAAGTGGGAGGATCACTTGAAGCCAGGAGTTCCAGACCAGCCTGGCCAAAAAAAAAATTTAATTAGCTGGGCATGGTGTCACGCACCTGTGATCCCAGCTGAGGTCGGGGGAGACTGCTTGAGCCTGGGAGGTCAAGGCTGCAGTGAGCTGTGATTGCACCACTGCACTGCAGCCTGGGCGGCAGAGCAAGACCCTGTTTCAGAGAAAAAAAAAAACTGGTCCAACTCCTCTCCTATCAGTTGCTGAATATGCAGCCCCAAAGGATATGACTCGCTAGGCTTATGTAGCCAGGACCCAAGATCTGTAACATGCATTTTACATAGGTATATATTACAGATATATAATTTTGTCACGATGGCTGTAACGAGATTTGGATAGAAATGGGTATTGACTCCATGACAGTGAGTTCATAGCCAGAAATGGTTGTTGTGTTAGGCATGCTCCACTTGTCCCTACTGTTGTCATCACCAATCTGGGAAGACACTGCTAGTGTAAACAAAAGGCACCTGCTGAGGCAGGTCCACACGCCACCTCAGGGAGCTCCCATTTCCCTGACACTGCACGTTGGTGTTTCCCACCATTGCTCCTGGTGAAATGGTTGCAGCAGGCGACAGGGTCAACCTCTTCTATAAAATAGTTCTAGGGGCAATTGGAACCAAGATGACTTCTGTATCTTCCTATAACATGCATATAACAGCTGTTCTTCTGCAACACCTCTCATCTCAAACTTTATTAGACAACTAATTGTGGTATTTACATTAAGGTTCCCTAGGAAACTAACAAAGTTACAAACGTGTGTGCTAAAATTTAACACTGGACCTCTGTTGCCATTTGAGGCCATACCCTAAAACTTAACTTTGAATGTACTTGTAGCTGCTCATCAGGAAGAGAGGAACAGATACTGTAAATGTGTTTTTTTGCTTTGGCATATTTTTGACGGGAGGGGTGGCACTGCGTCTGCTGGAATATGTTTACAATCTGGTCTATCTGGAAGTTTTTCTATAAAAATCAAACTGGGATCCCAGGGTCACTACACTTAGCTTAGGTCCAATGGTCTAGAAATAACAACTGATTCAATTTAGAGAGTATTTCATTCAGGCCAGGCCTAGTTCTAAGAGCTTTACCTAACTAACTCATTTAACCTTTTTAATCCATTCTACAAATTAGGACATTAAGGTACAGATCAAAGTTATTTGCCCAAACTCATAGCAAGCAAATGGTAGAGCTCCTAGTCAGATCCAGCAAGTCTGACTCCAACAGCCTGAGTTCTGGAAGCATTACACCAGCTTTTCAAATGTCAGATTGAGACAACTTAGTAGGCTGTAAAATCAGTTTAGGAGGTCTCAACTGGCCATTCTTCTTTAGTATGTAGAATAAAATGAAAATAGTGTGCATCATGGTAAATACTGTTTTGTGAACTTTTGGTTTGATATATGTGTACACAAGTATATTTATATGCTAGGTAATATGAAATTCTTAAACTGTGATCAAAAAGGCTGACACCAAGCTGTGTTGACTCAGATCATCTGACTCCGCCTAGAACAAGACAGCAGGATCTGAATCTCAGGTATGAGCTTGGCAAAGCACCTAACCCATCTATAGCTCAACTTCTTCACCTATAAAGTGGAAATAATAATGTGAAGATTTGATAAATTTACACATTAAGTGCTAACAACAGTGCCTGGCCCATAGTAAGTTTTCATTATTATTTCCTGTAACTATATATTGCCATCATCAATCAAATGTTGTACTTAAAATCCTTTTGGGACTCCTCCCACGTTAAGTATTTTCCCATATGCTATACAGCGGGTGGAGGTCCATTCCTTTGAGAAGGCTTGGAACAATTCCCTCCATGGCCCACATGTGGAAAAGAGGATTCCAATATGGCCTCCTTATTCTTTAAACAAAAGAATGCTCTTTTTAAAGTTATCTTTTAAATCAAGCAACTGATTTCTAAGGAATGGGGCTAATGAGATTATCCTGAGTTCACTGTTGTAGATTGTATTCTTTCCAAAAAAACTTTTATTGATATTGGGGAGTGGGCGGTCATGAGGGATGGGGTGGGGGTGAGTGGAAGACAAGGAAAAATGAAACCTAAAAAGTACAAAGAGATCTGATGGTTTTAAAAGTAAAGACCTTAAACATCACTTCATCAGCTCAGGCAGCTCACACACAGGTGAGTAAACACAAAACCGGAGAAGTGTCCCCAGCACCCCTTGCAAGAGGGACAGGACTGCTGAAGCTGTCAGCAGGGGAGGGTGCAACTGTTCCACTTGCTTCAGCTTTTCCTGCCATGGTGCCTGCTCTGTGACATCCAAAGAGAACCAAAGTGGGACTGGAAACCCAGTTACTAGGAAAGCCTATCATACCATACCCCAGCTTAAAGCCTGCCAGAGGCTGCTCGCTGCATTCAACCCAGAATCTAAACCTGTGGCCCTGGTCTGCTTATGAGATCTAGTCCCACCCTCTCCTCACCAGTGGGAGATGCCCTGGACTTTCTGTTCCTTAAACACGGGAGTGACTGTGGTCCCATGCGAGACCTTGATTCCTGCTGTTCCTTACTCCCAGAACACTCTTCACCCTCGCACAACTGGCTCCTCCTACTTGTTCCGCTTTCAGCTCAAATGCCCTCCCTGACCAGTCAAAAGTTCAATTTGCTTTTCTCGCCCATCTCTAGCACCTCACCCAGTGCCATTTCCTCCACAGCACTTAGTAAATCTCACTTGGTTAGTGACTGTCTACCCTTTCTAATAAGTTCTCTGAGAACAGAACCTTATCTTCTTTAGTACCAGATTCTCAACGCCTGAGTGATCAAAAACCTAAGTAGAAAAAAAGGGAGTCCACGCACGGTGGCTCACACCTGTAATCTCAGCACTTTGGGAAGCCAAGGCAGGAAGATCACTTGAGGCCTCGACTTCAAGACCAGCTTGGGCAACACAGACTCTCTGTCAACACACACACACATTAGCCAAGTGTGGTGGCACACACTTGTAGTCCCAGCTACTGGGGAAGCTGAGGCAGATCACTTGGGCCCAGAAGTTAGTTTGAGGCTGCAGTGAGCTAGGATCGCATCACTCCCCTCCAGCCTGGGTGACTAAGACAGACCCTATCTCTACAAAATAGATACATAGATACAGATCTGTGGGTAGAGGAGAATTCTGTCCAGTCTCAGAGAGTTGGAAAGTGCTTTGCAACAAATTTTAGAAAAAGTAAAAACTCCTGCTTCACCCATTCCTCTGGCCCCAAAAACTAGTTAGCAGTATGCCTTGTGGGGAGGAGCCAAGATGGCCGAATAGGAACAGCTCCCGTCTGCAGCTCCCAGCGTGAGCGATGCAGAAGATGGGTGATTTCTGCATTTCCAACTGAGCTTTGAAGAGAGTAGTGGTTCTCCCAGCATGTAGCTTGAGATCTGAGAACGGGCAGACTGCCTCCTCAAGTGGGTCCCTGACCCGAGTAGCCTAACTGGGAGGCACCCCCCAGTACGGGCGGACTGACACCTCACACGGCCGGGTACTCCTCTGAGACAAAACTTTCAGAAGAACGATCAGGCAGCAGCATTTGCGGTTCACCAATATACACTATTCTGCAGCCACCGCTGCTGATACCCAGGCAAACAGGGTCTGGAGTGGACCTCTAGCAAACTCCAACAGACCTGCAGCTGATGGTCCTGTCTGTTAGAAGGAAAACTAACAAACAGAAAGGACATCCACACCAAAAACCCATATGTACGTCACCATCATCAAAGACCAAAGGTAGATAAAACCACAAAGATGGGGAAAAAACAGAGCAGGAAAACTGGAAACTATAAAAATCAGAGCGCCTCTCCTCCTCCAAAGGAATGCAGTTCCTCACCAGCAACGGAAGAAAGCTGGACGGAGAATGACTTTGACAAGTTGAGAGAAGGCTTCAGACAATCAAACTACTCCGAGCTACAGGAGGAAATTCAAATCAATGGCAAAGAAGTTAAAAGCTTTGAAAAAAAATTAGATGAATGGATAACTAGAATAACCAATGCAGAGAAGTCCTTAAAGGACCTGATGGAGCTGAAAACCAAGGCACGAGAGCTACGTGACGAATGCAGAAGCCTCAGTAGCCGATTCGATCAACTAGAAGAAAGGGTATCAGTGATGGAAGATGAAATGAATGAAATGAAGCAAGAAGAGAAGTTTAGAGAAAAAAGAATAAAAAGAAACGAACTAAGCCTCCAAGAAATATGGGATTATGTGAAAAGACCAAATCTACATCTGATTGGTGTACCTGAAAGTGACAGGGAGAATGGAACCAAGTTGGAAAACACTCTGCAGGATATTATCCAGGAGAACTTCCCCAATCTAGCAAGGCAGGCCAACATTCAAATTCAGGAAATACAGAGAACACCTCAAAGATACTCCTCGAGAAGAGCAACTCCAAGACACATAATTGTCAGATTCACCAAAGTTGAAATGAAGGAAAAAATGTTAAGGGCAGCCAGAGAGAAAGGTCGGGTTACCTACAAAGGGAAGCCAATCAGACTAACAGCGGATCTCTCAGCAGAAACTCTACAAGCCAGAAGAGAGTGGGGGCCAATATTCAACATTCTTAAAGAAAACAATTTTCAACCCAGAATTTCATATCCAGCCAAACTAAGCTTCATAAGTGAAGGAGAAATAAAATACTTTACAGACAAGCAAATGCTGAGAGATTTTGTCACCACCAGGCCTGCCCTACAAGAGCTCCTGAAGGAAGCACTAAACATGGAAAGGGACAACCAGTACCAGCCACTGCAAAAACATGCCAAATTGTAAAGACCATCAAGGCTAGGAAGAAACTGCATCAGCTAATGAGTAAAATAACCAGCTAACAGCATAATGACAGGATCAAATTCACACATAACAATATTAACTTTAAATGTAAATGGGCTAAATGCTCCAATTAAAAGACACAGACTGGCAAACTGGATAAAGAGGCAAGACCCATCAGTGTGCTGTATTCAGGAAACCCATCTCACATGCAGAGACACACATAGGCTCAAAATAAAGGGATGGAGGAAGATCTACCAAGCAAATGGAAAACAAAAAAAGGCAGGGGTTGCAATCCTAGTCTCTGATAAAATGGACTTTAAACCAACAAAGATCAAAAGAGACAAAGAAGGCCATTACATAATGGTAAAGGGACCAATTCAACAAGAAGAGCTAACTATCCTAAATATATATGCACCCAATACAGGAGCACCCAGATTCATAAAGCAAGTCCTTAGTGACCTACAAAGAGACTTAGACTCCCACACAATAATAATGGGAGACTTTAACACCCCACTGTCAACATTAGACAGATCAACGAGACAGAAAGTCAACAAGGATACCCAGGAATTGAACTCAGCTCTGCACCAAGCGGACCTAATAGACATCTACAGAACTCTCCACCCCAAATCAACAGAATATACATTCTTTTCAGCACCACACCACACTTACTCCAATATTGACCACATAGTTGGAAGTAAAGCACTCTTCAGCAAATGTAAAAGAACAGAAATTATAACAAACTGTCTCTCAGACCACAGTGCAATCAAACTAGAACTCAGGATTAAGAAACTCACTCAAAACCACTCAACTACATGGCAACTGAACAACCTGCTCCTGAATGACTACTGGGTAAATAATGAAATGAAGGCAGAAATAAAGATGTTCTTTGAAACCAATGAGAACAAAGACACAACAGACCAGAATCTCTGGGACACATTCAAAGCAGTGTGTAGAGGGAAATTTATGGCACTAAATGCCCACAAGAGAAAGCAGGAAAGATCTAAAATGGGCACCCTAACATCACAATTAAAAGAACTAGAAAAGCAAGAGCAAACACATTCAAAAGCTAGCAGAAGGCAAGAAATAACTAAGATCAGAGCAGAACTGAAGGAAATAGAGACACAAAAACCCTTCAAAAAATTAATGAATCCAGGAGCTGGTTTTTAGAAAAGATCAACAAAATTGAGACTGCTAGCAAGACTAATAAAGAAGAAAAGAGAGAAGAATCAAATAGACGCAATAAAAAATGATAAAGGGGATATCACCACCGATCCCACAGAAATACAAACTACCATCAGAGAATACCACAAACACCTCTATGCAAATAAACTAGAAAATCTAGAAGAAATGGATAAATTCCTCGACACATACATCCTCCCAAGACTAAACCAGGAAGAAGTTGAATCTCTGAATAGACCAGTAACAGGCTCTGAAATTGAGGCAATAATCAATAGCTTACCAACCAAAAAGAGTCCAGGGCCATATGGATTCACAGCCGAATTCTACCAGAGGTACAAAGAGGAACTGGTACCATTCCTTCTGAAACTATTCCAATCAATAGAAAAAGAGGGAATCCTCCCTAACTCATTTTATGAGGCCAGCATCATCCTGATACCAAAGCCTGGCAGAGACACAACCCAAAAAGAGAATTTTAGACCAATATCCTTGATGAACATCGATGCAAAAATCCTCAATAAAATACTGGCAAACCGAATCCAGTAGCACATCAAAAAGCTTATCCACCATGATCAAGTGGGCTTCATCCCTGGGATGCAAGGCTGGTTCAACATACGCAAATCAATAAATGTAATCCAGCATATAAACAGAACCAAAGACAAAAACCACATGATTATCTCAATAGATGCAGAAAAGGCCTTTGACAAAATTCAACAACCCTTCATGCTAAAAACTCTCAATAAATTAGGTATTGATGGGACGTATCTCAAAATATTAAGAGCTATCTATGACAAACCCACAGCCAATATCATACTGAATGGGCAAAAACTGGAAGCTTTCCATTTGAAAACTGGCACAAGACAGGGATGCCCTCTCTCACCACTCCTATTCAACATAGTGTTGGAAGTTCTGGCCAGGGCAATCAGGCAGGAGAAGGAAATAAAGGGTATTCAATTAGGAAAAGAGGAAGTCAAATGGTCCCTGTTTGCAGATGACATGATTGTATATCTAGAAAACCCCATCGTCTCAACCCAAAATCTCTTTAAGCTCATAAGCAACTTCAGCAAAGTCTCAGGATACAAAATCAATGTACAAAAATCACAGGCATTCCTATACACCAATAACAGACAAACAGAGAGCCAAATCATGAGTGAACTCCCATTCACAATTGCTTCAAAGAGAATAAAATACCTAGGAATCCAACTTACAAGGGATGTGAAGGACCTCTTCAAGGAGAACTACAAACCACTGCTCAATGAAATAAAAGAGGATACAAACAAATGGAAGAACATTCCATGCTCACGGGCAGGAAGAATCAATATCGTGAAAATGGCC
Source organism: Homo sapiens (assembly GCF_000001405.40). NCBI lineage: Eukaryota > Metazoa > Chordata > Mammalia > Primates > Hominidae > Homo > Homo sapiens. The sequence continues at coordinate 140,710,206 of NC_000007.14, read as the reverse complement.
ATACTGCCCAAGGTAATTTACAGATTCAGTGCCATCCCCATCAAGCTACCAATGACTTTCTTCACAGAATTGGAAAAAACTAAAGTTCATATGGAACCAAAAAAGAGCCCACATTGCCAAGTCAATCCTAAGCCAAAAGCACAAAGCTGGAGGCATCACACTACCTGACTGCAAACTATACTACAAGGCTACAGTAACCAAAACAGCATGGTACTGGTACCAAAACAGAGATATATACCAATGGAACAGAACAGAGCCCTCAGAAATAATGCCACATATCTACAACTATCTGATCTTTGACAAACCTGAGAAAAACAAGCAATGGGGAAAGGATTCCCTATTTAATAAACAGTGCTGGGAAAACTGGCTAGCCATATGTAGAAATCTGAAACTGGATCCCTTCCTTACACCTTATACAAAAATTAATTCAAGATGGATTAAAGACTTAAATGTTAGACCTAAAACCATAAAAACCCTAGAAGAAAACCTAGGCAATACCATTCAGGACATAGGCATGGGCAAGGACTTCATGTCTAAAACACCAAAAGCAATGGCAACAAAAGCCAAAATTGACAAATGGGATCTAACTAAACTAAAGAGCTTCTGCACAGCAAAAGAAACTACCATCAGAGTGAACAGGCAACCTACAGAATGGGAGGAAATTTTTGTAACCTACTCATCTGACAAAGGGCTAATATCCAGAATCTACAATGAACTCAAACAAATTTACAAGAAAAAAACAAACAACCCCATCAAAAAGTGGGCAAAGGATATGAACATAACACTTCTCAAAAGAAGACATTTATGCAGCCAAAAAACACATGAAAAAATGCTCATCATCACTGGCCATCACAGAAATGCAAATCAAAACCACAATGAGATACCATCTCACACCAGTTAGAATGGCCATCATTAAAAAGTCAGGAAACAACAGGTGCTGGAGAGGATGTGGAGAAATAGGAACACTTTTACACTGTTGGTGGGACTGTAAACTAGTTCAACCATTGTGGAAGTCAGTGTGGCGATTCCTCAGGGATCTAGAACTAGAAATACCATTTGACCCAGCCATCCCATTACTGGGTATATACCCAAAGGATTATAAATCATGCTGCTATAAAGACACATGCATACGTATGTTTACAGCGGCACTATTCACAATAGCAAAGACTTGGAACCAACCTAAATGTCCAACAACAACAGACTGGATTAAGAAAATGTGGCACATATACAGCATGGAATACTATGCAGCCATAAAAAATGATGAGTTCATGTCCTTTGTAGGGACATGGATGAAACTGGAAACCATCATTCTCAGCAAACTATCACAAGGACAAAAAACCAAACACCACATGTTCTCACTCATAGGTGGGAATTGAACAGTGAGAACACATGGACACAGGACGGGGAACGTCATACACTGGGGCCTGTTGTGGGGTGGGGGAAGGGGGGAGGGATAGCATTAGGAGATATACCTAATGTAAATGACGAGTTAATGGGTGCAGCACAGCAACATGGCACATGTATACATATGTAACAAACCTGCACGTTGTGCACATGTACCCTAGAACTTAAAGTATAATAATAATAAAATTTAAAAAAAAAAAAAAGTAGTAGGAAGGATATTTGATAAAGCTTTGTGGTTAACAGTATTTTGAAATATATTTGCAATTTAATGTAATATGTGTCATTGGAGTGGAATTATTAGCATATCAGAGCTTTAAAAAATATGAATAACCCCAGTTACTATATTGAAAAGGTTTCCTTTATAGACAAGAGCAGATAAAGCTGGATTTGCTCATGCATTCAGCAAACATTTGAGTACCTGCTCTGTGTCAGGACTAAAAATAATAGATTTTTCAAGAGGAATAATCACAGAATTTGTCTTACAAGAATGGTGCTCCCATCCCTGGGGAGAAGATTATGAGCAAGGAAATACACTGTGAAAATAAAATATGAAAAGGGCTCAGGAACATTCATAAGACATATATGAAAACTGTAACTTGGAAAGTTGCCACATTAATACTTTTTAAAAGTTTTGCTAATGAATTAGTCCTGATTAAAAAGAAATGATCCTAGTCTCCAAGATAGTAAATATTTTAATACTGCTCAATTAAAAATCCTTTTCTACTATTGTGGACCTGTCCAATTGACATGGTTAGAGTTATCAGGAATTACATTGCAATCTACTCTGTACCACTAAGTCTAACATGTTGTTTGTCATTTTCTAATATTTCATATAATTGACAATAACATTTTCTGTAAATATTTTATTATATAAATTTTATGGTTGAAGTGGCAAAAAATGAAATATTCAAGAAAGCATTTAATGCTTTTTATTTGCCAATTTAAAATATTTTTACACATTAACAAGTGATAATGGTTATGGCACACCATGCCACAGACAATTTGCCAATTATATGACTCAGAAATCATTTAATACCTTAAGAATCAACATTAGTTTCTAAACTAATGTCGGTTGGGAAAATATTGTTTTCCTATACAACTTTCTCTGGTTCCATTTATTAGAGCTTAACTTTTATATAAGAATACTCATAACTGTGTTGCATTTCCACTATTTAGTTTAAATATATGTTTTAGAATATTTATTACTTAAATGATAATTAGAAATGTTATTTGTGAATATTTTTATGTAAAAAATGCTTCTAAACCTATATTAAATATATAAAAACTGTAAGAATATATTGAAACTTAGTCATAAAGGTCAAACTACTTGTCTTCTAATTGTTCATTAAAACTTGAGATAAAAACTAAAAAAAAAAGAAGTATGCCTTAAGAGTTGCACAACGGCCCCTCAACACAACTGCCCAGTCCACAGGAGCTACTTCATAAATCGACTGCACTGACCTCTAACCTCTGTGTACTCAGGGCAAGAATCCAGTGCAGTGGACAAAGGGCAAGAGTTTTCACAGGAAGTGCCGACACACAGCTAAGACACCAGCTGAGGTGGTGGCGGCACAGCCCTGCAGCTAAGGGTGAGCTCTGGAGTCCTCATCTCGCTGCCTACCAGCCTGTGATGCTAAGCAAGTAACTTCATCTCTGTGAACCTTGCAGTCTTCATTGATAAATGGAGCTAATGCCTGTCTATGTCAATGGGGTACCTAAGAGGATCGGCTGAAAGGGCACTAAACCACTAAGCGCGGGAGTTGGAAAAAATAATAATCCATAAAGGGTAGTTGCCTTTATCAGAAAGATCCAGGCCGGGTGAGGTGGCTCACACTTGTAATCCCAGCACTTTGGGAGGCCGAGGCGGGTGAATCACCTGAGGTCAGGAGTTTGACACAGCCTGACCAATATGGTGAAACCCCATCTCTACTAAAAATACAAAAATTAGCCAGGCATGGTGGCAGGCGCCTGTAGTCTCAGCTACTTGGGAGGCTGAGACAGGAGAATTGCTTGAACCCAGGAGGTGGAGGCTGCAGTGAGCCGAGATCACACCACGGAACTCAAGCCTGGGTGACAGAGTGAGATTTGTCCCCCGCCCCCCTCCCACCACCTCTCCACCACCCCACCCCCCCCCAAAAAAAAGATCCACAACTCCATTCTCATTCTTGACCAAGCCACTTTAATTTGTAACTTTAATGTGCAATATGAAGTCGATAATCCTTGAAATTCTCACCTGGCTCCTGCAGGAAAACAAAAGTAGAAAGCTTTAAGTACTTTTATATTCACTAATTCAAATCCATAATTCATTTATTCAATTATTCAAGTATTTATTGAGCACTGATCATGTGACAGCCTTGTAGACAAGAGAAGCAAAATCACCCTTCCTCTCTCAAGGGTTTACAGTCCAGTCATTAAAACAAATTTGTTGGCCAGGTACACTGGCTCACACCTGTAATCCCAACACTTTGGGAAGCCAAGAGGTGGATCACTTGAGTCCAAGAATTTGAGATCAGCCTGGGCAACATGGCAAAACCTCATCTCTACAAAATATACAAAAATTAGCCAAGAGTAGTAGTCCCAGCTACTGAGAAGGCTGAGGCGGGAGAATCACTTGAGCTCAGGAGGTTGGGGTTACAGTGAGCCATGATCACGCTGCACTCCAGTCTGGATGACAGAATGAGACCCTGTCTCAAATAACATAACATAACATAACATAACATAACATAACATAACATAACATAAAACATAACATAACATAACATAACATAACAAACTAAAATAAAATAAAATAAAATAAAATATAAAATAAAAGCATGTTAAATAAAAACATATTAACCCCTAGGGGTTTATGAGGAAAGGGAACCTTCTTAGTACCTCCCTTTTTAAAGAAGAAAAATTCTTGACTTCCTGACCTGGAAAATGAAAAAGCCATAACCCTTTACTGTTTAAAGAGTTAGTTTTCATATAGTTCTATATAGTAATACTCCCATATGCTGGATCTATTTAAATGTTGAGAGCAGGACACTGTAGTTTTGCAGCTACGTACTGTAAGCTCCATCTGTCCTGTTCACCACTGTAGGCCTGTGCTTGGCACAGAATTGGTCTTAATATATCTTTGATCAGTGGATGGATAAATGAAACCCTAAAATTATAACCTAACTTAGGAAAAAAATTTTTTTTTATTATACAATGGGCCAGGTGTGGTGGCACATGCCTGTAATCCCAGCACTTTGGGAGGCAGAGGCAGGAGAATCATTTGAGCCCAGGAGTTCAAGACCAGCCTGGGCAACATAGTGACACCCTGTCTCTACAAAATAAAAAATGTAAATAAAATAAAACATACAATGAAAAGGAAGAAGAGACCAAAGCAAATGTGAAAACTTAAGGCAGAAATCAGATACATGGCCAGGCGTGGTGGCTCACACCTGTAATCCTAGCACTTTGGGAGTCTGAGGTGGGCAGATCACTTGAGGTCAGAAGTTCGAGACCAGCCTGGCCAACGTGGCAAAACTCTGCCTCTACTAAAAATACAAAAATTAGCCAAGTGTGGTAGCATGTGCCTATAATCCCAGCTACTCAGGAGGCTGAGGAAGGAGAATCACTTGAACCTGGAAGGCAGAGGTTGCAGTGAGCCCAGATCACGCCACTGCACTCCAGTCTGGGCGACAGAGCAAGACTCTGTCTCAAAAAAAAAAAAAAAAGCAGATACAGGACATGGTTAACTCAACTTCATGCTGTTAGAATATGCAGTTTTTTCAAGTCCATCATAGGCACAAAGTAAAAACTAATGTTTATGAAAAAAGGTAAATATGACATAAAGAAATTTGGAGCACACCCACTTGTACAGAGTGAGGCTGAGTCTACACCTTCAGTCTTCATCATCAGGAGGGATACCTAATTCTTCATCTGTCCACTGGGAAGGATCAGGATACGGAAAGTGACCCTGGTGACAACCATTTAAAAGAAAGAAAAGTCAAGAATTTACATTCTGTGCAACTAATTAAATTGTTAAATAAATCTTGGAAAGAAAAAAAAAAAAACAATATGGCTCAGCCCCTGACCACAGGAACAAATTCTACTTTAATTATTCGATGGCCCACCTGTTCTTTAGTTTGTTCATTATATGGGCTCTGGTCTGAATTTTAAAAGCCTCCCCATTTGGAGGTACCAGCCTAAGCCAATGGTACGTGTCTGTGATAGAGGGAGGGTAGGGGGAAGTGGAGGCAATAGGTTTCAAAGGTTCCTGACATCCTGGCAAAGTCCTGGCAAAATATGTTTCCAACTCTCCTAACATTACTGCTGTGAAATGGAGAAGCCTCAGGTGGACTTCCTCATCTCCAATCCTGATCTAAGGGCTTATCTGGCTGCATCATCATCATCTCAGGCCTAACAGCTATACATACTGTACATACTCCGGACAGCTGACCTACAGTGAGGCAGGGGCACCTCAAATAGTAAATGTGTGGACAGTTCACAGACACCCAGGCAGCTCCTTACTGAAGGACAACGGCACAGAGAAGTTCTAAGAGAAATGGGATATGAAGCAACCTGATGCTTCTAAAACTTACATACTGCTTAAGATTTTTTTCCTATCCTGGAAACAAACCCAAATTTACTACAACTCAAAGTATCCTGGATAAACAAGCACAGATTTCAATGTCTTAAAGACGTAATTTCCCAAAGAACGGTCTGCAAATGTGGTAAAACCTCAGTTGAGGCTAATGATATGTTAGAAAATCACTAAAACTGGCCGGGCGCAGTGGCTCACGCCTGTAATCCCAGCACTTTGGGAGGCCAAGGCAGGTGGATCATGAGGTCAGGAGATCGAGACCATCCTGGCTAACACGGTGAAACCCCGTCTCTACTAAAAATATAAAAAATTAGCCGGGAGTGGTGGCGGGCACCTGCAGTCCCAGCTACTTGGGAGGCTGAGGCAAGAGAATGGCGTGAACCCAGGAGGCGGAGCTTGCAGTGAGCCAAGATCGCACCACTGCACTCCAGCCTGGGTGACAGAGTGAGACTCCATCTCAAAAATAAATAAATAAAATAGAAAATCACTAAAACTAACTTCCCTTCTCAAGACAAATTAACTCACATCCATCCCACCCAAACCTGGCTGCCCTGGGCCTCTGGACAGACCAGAAGACATTCATCATTTAAAGGAATTTAAGTGTGAAACCTAACCTACCAATGAACCGCTAGTTCAGAAGGTAAAAGAATTCATTTCTGGCCAGGCGCGGTGGCTCACGCCTGTGATCCCAGCACTCTGGGAGGCTGAGTCAGGTGGATCACTTGAGGTCAGGAGTTTGAGAGCAGCCTGACCAACATGGTGAAACCCCGTCTCTACTAACAACAAAAAAAATTAGCCGGCGTGGGGGTGCACACCTGTAGTCCCAGCTACTCAAGGGACTGAGGCACCAGAGTCACTTGAACCCGGGATGCAGAGGTTGCAGCGAGCCGAGATTGTGCCACTGCACTCCTGCCTGGTGACAGAGTGAAACTGTGTCTCAAAAAAAAAAAAAAAAAAAATGAGCTTTTAGTCTCCCTAAGATGGCAACCTAACAGAAACCATAAGAAACGGACCACCTAAATATACATCCTCGTGTAAAAAAAGGTGAGAAGATAACATGTTTCATTAAATAACAGGATTCTTGTATATACATATGGAAAAAGTGGTGGCAAAGGGCGATGTCCAGACAGAAAAATGGTCTACAACAGAAAAATAAACAAGCTATTAATACATCCTCCCTCCCCCACCCAAAAAACGACAAGTGCTCTTCTCCTGCACTTACCAGCACCTCTTCTGAGTCATGCCAAAAGCGCCAGAGAATCCAGAACCACATGAGTCCGCTGAAGAACTCGCTCTGGAACACCTGGGATCTGGTCAGCTGGGGGAACTGTCTATACCGGGGCTCAATGTGCACACCACCACCGGCACTGCAAGACAAAACAACATGGCAGACAGCGTGCTACATTCTCAAAGCGTTAAGTCATCCAAAACTCCTCTGAGTTACATCCTAGAACCAACGCTAATGTTTCTCATCTCCACTGAAATATAGACAGAAGTTCACAATCCCTTGAAATACTCACTTTTTACTAAGCTTGCTTCATGTGTAGCAGCAAAAACTGACCAAAACTGACAAGAGGCTAATTTTGGTTTTCAATTAGTGAAGATTCATTATTTTGCACTAGAAATTTGAATGTGTTGATTCTGGGGTGCTAGCCCCAAAGGTTTTAGTTAAGGGACTGTGAACTTGTTAGCAGGTCACTAACTTACTCAGAAAAATAAATTAATTTTGCTTTGTTTAGCTATCTATTTGAGGCAAATTATGTCCTCTGCCTATTACAATCTTTATTAAAAGACAACCATATGGGAGAGAGGACTCGCAAATCCTATTAAATATGCTAATGGCTCTGAACAAAGAACTTTAAACAGTAAGTTTGAATACGTGTTTCTTTTTTCTTCTTTTCATTCAGACACTTGACAAGTTGTGGCACAGAGTCCATAAGAGTTATAGTCAATTTATTCAGTTGGAGTATAAATATTATACGTTGCATCTAATTTAAATTATTTGCACCTACTGGGGCTATTCCTAAAACCTATTCATCAGCCATATATATGCTAATAAACAGAAGTGGATAAAAAATTTTTAAGAGAATTCCTATATAAAATATGTTTACCAATTTCATCTAGATAAGAATCAGCTTGTAAACCATATTCTCTTTTATGTAGCACAGAAATTCGTACCTGTAGGAAAAGTGCATTAAAATATCTTGTCTTCATAATGCACAGATTCGTGAACAGTAACAGGGCAGTGGTTCTTGATACATGTTAGCTAGGACTGTTTGTTTTCTTTGTTTGTTTGTTTGCGAGAGTCTCACTCTGTCACCCAGGCTGGAGTGCAATGGAACAATCTTGGCTCACTGCAACCTCCGCCTCCTGGGTTCAAGCGATCCTCCTGCCTCAGCCTCCCAAGTAGCTGGGACTACAGGTGTACGCCACCATGCCCAGCTAATTTTTGTTTTTTTTTTAGTAGAGACGGGGTTTCCCCGTGTTGGCCAGACTGGTCTCGAACTCCTGACCTTAGGTGATCCACCCACCTTGGCCTCCCAAAGTGCTGGGATTACAGGCGTGAGCCACGTGCCCGGCTGTTTTGTTTGTTTTTTTAAAGATAGGCTCTGTCGCCCAGGCTAGAGTGCAGTGGCGTGACCTTAGCTCAAGCGATCCTTCTGCTGACTGAGCACCTCCTGGGCTCAAGCAATCCTCCTGCCTCAGCCTCCCTCCCAAGTAGCTGGGATTACATACAAGTGTACACCCCCAGACCTGGCTAATTTTTATATTTTTTTTGTAGAGACAGGGTTTCCCTATGTTGCCAGGCTGGCAGACTGTTTTTATCCTCCCCCACTCTAAAAGATGACTGGTAGTTATTGAGTGTTTACCATGTGCCAGATACCACACTAAGCATTTTATAAGTTTTAATTCATTTAATTTTCATAATGTTATGATAAGGCCTGTAATTATTAATGATTTACCAGTGAGATGCTGTGTGATGGCAAAGCCTAAGCTGTTGCCTACAGACACACACCATTAACAATTTTCTCCTTTTATTAATCAAAGACATAACTTTTAACTAGAATTCCAACCAGCATGATAAAACCAATGTTACCATATTGAAATGATAAATTCCATTTTTTTTTCTAAATAGTCATCCAAAATTTAACACTTTTATTTGGAATGCTCTATTTAAGGTATTAATAACTAATTATGAATAAGGTGATTTTTAGTTTTTGCAGATGTGTGTATATATGTACTTTTTTAAGTATCATGTTTAAAAGGTCCTACCAAATATCGCCACTTTACAACTTGAATGACGTAGCATACTGTTTCCGTAATGTCCTCATATACCAATTATATTATTCATTCAGGATCTAGCTGTGCATATAGATATTACATTATGTAAATAAACCATGCAGGATCATTCAATATAGTATAACAAGAGCTTTTTTTTTTTTTTGAGACGGAGTCGCACTCTGTCACCCAGGCTGGAGTGCAGTGACACAATCTTGGCTCACTGCAACCTCTGCCTCCCAGTTCGAGCAATTCTCCTGCCTCAGCCTCCCGAGTAGCTGGGATTACAGGCATGTGCCACCATGCCCGGCTAATTTTTGTATTTTTAGTAGATACAGGGATTCGTTATGTTGGCCAGGCTGGTCTCGAACTCCTGACCTCAGGTGATCCGCCTGCCCTGACCTCCCAAAGTGCTGGGATTATAGGCGTGAGCCACACTGTGCCCGGCCAAGAGCCTTCTTCTTTGATAGCTTTTTGATACAATCTAGGTATAAGTGCCCAGCAGTAAAACTGATTAAAACAAGATTTGAAGGCCGGACACGGTGGCTTATGCCTGTAATCCCAGCATTTTGGGAGGCCGAGGCAGGCGGATCACCTGAGGTCGGGAGTTCGAGACCACCCTGACCAACGTGGAAAAACCTCGTCTCTACTAAAAATACAAAATTAGCTGGGCATGGTGGTACATGCATGTAATCCCAGCTACTCAGGAGGCTGAAGCAGGAGAATCACTTGAACCTGGGAGACAGAGGATGTGGTGAGCTGAGATCGTGCCATTGCACTCCAGCCTGGGCAACAAGAGCGAAATTCTGTATCAAAAAAACAAAAAAGATCTGAGTAATGCCGATGCCAGCATTATAGTTCAAACCCATCTTAGCAGCTCCCCACGCTTCGTTATTGCTAGAGTGACATGTTGTTTTAATCATAACCTGAAGTAGGGACTGCAAAATGGAAACCTTTTGGAACAAAGATTTGAAAGTCTGCAATTATATCACAGGAACAATGACAAGGATTGCCATGATTAAGGAATGCAAAGACTCAACACCTAATTCACAATGTTATGTTCCAAACCAGGTTGTGAACTGCATTGTGGCAAACTAGATACCCTGAACAACCCTCCAAATTAACAACTCTGCTGCTAGATGAGATTTTTAAGATTTTTACAAACATCACTGACCAGGCACAAAAGGAAGGAATCCACCAAGAGCAAAATTCAAGTAAAAACAAGGCCTGGAAGCTAAGCAATCAATCACTGAAGCTGCCTTCACCGGGAGCCCTTGAACCTCCACCAGGATAGCTACATGAGGTGTGGGGAAAGAGACGCAGCCTGGGGCCCACCCAAGGTGGGAAGGCTAATGACGAGGTCACTGAATAAAGCTGCAACCCCATATGGTAAAAGGGTGAACAAGAAATAAACCTTCCATGGACAAGGGAACAAGAATTTGTTATCAGAAGCCAGTCCTCAGGTAGATTTGCACCCAAATTCACATTACCTGCGTTGGACCTGTGTGGACCAAAAACCCCAAGCCGAGAATTTAATGTGAGCCTGAATTGGGGTGGCACCCTCAAGAGACTAAGAGAAGCACGATCTCAAAGAAATTCCAGGGAAAACAAGCTCAAGATCAAAAAACATAAGGAAGTAAGACACTATCAGCAAGTCCTGTAAGAAGGAAAGAGAATGGGGAAGAAACAACATCCAAGGAAATAATGGCTGTTCCAACTTCAAATGTTTGAGAGTCAAGTTTAAAAACAAAAATGCACCATAACTCTATTAGTTACATTTTTATTTTTATTTTTTTGAGACGGGGTCTCACTCTGTCACCCAGGCTGGAATGCAGTGGCACGATCTCGGCTCACTGCAACCTCTGCCTCCTGGGCTCAAGCAATTCTCCTGCCTCAGCCTCCCCAGTAGCTGGGATTACAGGCGCACACTACCATGCCCAGCTAATTTTTGTGTTTTTAGTAGAGATGGGGTTTCACCGTGTTGGCCAGGCTGGTCTCGAACTCCTGACCTCAGGTGATCCGCCCGCCTCAGCCTCTCAAAGTGCTGGGATTACAGGTGTGAGCCACCGCGCCTGGACAAAGTTACATTTTTAAAAAATAAATCAGACCACATTACTTTCCTGCTTTAAAACTCCAATGGCTCCCTGTGATTCTTAGAATAAAATTCCGAGTCCTCCAAAGCCCCCTCTAATCCGGCCCCCACACTTGTCCCTGTGACCTGGTCTCTCCCACTCTTCCCCTACGCTCCACTCCAGCCTGGCCTCCTGCCAACCCTGCGGGCTCTGGCCTCTCCACCTGATGCCTCCTCTGCCCTCTTATGTCCACCGGGCTCTTCCCTTGAGGTCTCTGCATGGCTGACTTCTCATCCCTCAGGTCCCGCTTCAAATCACACTCCCAGGCATTCCCACGCCATCCCCAAATACAATATCCCTTCTACTCCCACACCACGCATTCTCCATATTAATCCCCAGCTGTATTCTCTTCATAACCCTTAACAGTACTCAAAAAAGGTCTTTCTTTTCTACTGGTCTCTCCTCTCCAGAATGTACACTTCATTCTCTCTCGTATTCTGCTATATCCTCAGCACCTAGAAAGGAGCAGCCATATAGAAGATGCTCCATAAACATTTATGCACTTAATTATCACACACTCTGAAACAAGTGTGTGTTACGAACAAGCCAGCACCTCAGGGAAGATCGGCATTCCCCCATCTCCTCATGCAGGACCAAGGGCTGTCGCTCATGGCTCTCCATCACTGTCTTTGCCCAAGTCACACAGGGCTTTGCCTTCTGCCCACCCCACACCTGCCCCAGCTCCAGATTCTTCATCCATGTGGGACTTCAGGCAAGTCACTCCTTTCATTTCCTGGGCCTCAGTTCCTTAATAACAACAACAGTTAAAGAATACTTGTACGGTCCTTAGCAGGCACCAGCAATTGTTTTAAACACTTTAGTGAGACCAAGCGCAGTGGCTCGCCTGTATTCCCAACACTTTGGGAGGCCGAGGCTGGAGAATCACTTGAGCCCAGGAGTTAGAGGCTGCAGTGAGCTAGGATCGCGCCACTGCACTCCAGCCTGCCTGACAGAGTTAGACCCCATCTCCTAAAACACACAAACACGCTTTAGATAACAGTAACTCATTTAGTTCCTTGCAAATGGACGCCAAATGGGTGAGGAAACTGAGGCATTAAGAGAATAAGAAACTTTTCCAAGGTCCCACAGCTGGAGTGTGGCAGAGGTGGGATTTGAACCCAGCCACTGTGCGGCCAGAATCCCGCTTGGAATCACGACCCCACACTGCCTCTTGGTAAAGTGTAGCTGATGATCTAAGGGACCTGGAATCATCCATGACTCTTTTCCAGTCCTGCTCTTACGGAATCTCTGCACACCACTAACTCGGCTTCGGCAGCTGCTCCCTACCTCGCACCCGCTCCCTACCTCGCACCCCCAGCCCTCCGCCCTCCGGTCTGCGTCTCGGGCCACCTCGCGGGCGGCTCTGCCTGTCACTCTCCTAAACGCCACGGCTGCCCCAGCGTTGGCTTCCGGCTTTCTGCTCCTCTCACCCGACGGCGCTCTCTCTGGGCGACAGCCTCCACTCCCTGCAGCCAGAGTGATTTTTCAGCATTAAAAAGCGGCCACGTGACGTCTCCGATTAAAGGCTGCCGAACAGACTCTACCCTAAATTCCGCAGCCAGGCACCGGGACCCTGGACCGCGCCCTCCCTAGGCCTCACCGCCGCCGCCCCCCGCCTCGCTCCAGGAGCGTCCACACCCGCCGCGCACGCTGCTTCCTCCGCCTGGACCGCCCGCGCCGGCGCCGACTGGCTCAGCCCGCTCCGCATTCACGCGTGCGTCTCCCGAGGGCAGGCGGCCCCTACTACCATGACGGCCCTGCACACGGTGTCCCATCTGCCCAGCGAAGTCTCTCCCTCTCCCTCCGGCCAGCGGGGTCCCTCTCCTCGAGTCGCGGCTTCAGGAGACACGCGGACTACAGGTCCCAGCATGCCTCGGGACGCGGCCTCTTCAGGCGCCCCAGTCAAGGTGAGAGCGTCCCAGGGACCCGCGCTGTCCGCTACAGGCCGGCGAGGCCCCCATCCCCAGCCCCACACTCACTGACGGACTCCACCATCTCCAGCAGTCCGTGCGCAGCCGCTTCTGAAAAGGCGGCCTCCAACGCGAGCGAAAGACGCCAGCCGAGTCAGAGCGGACATACTCGCTCCCGTCCGCCCCGCGGTCCCCAGCCGCCTCGCCCCTGCCTACTTCGCTTCCCCGGCGCTCCGCCCGCGCCTCCCGTGACGTCACAGAGTCGCTCATCTCCAGGAGTGGGGGAGCCGGCAGCCGCTCCTGACCCAGATTAGCTGTGAGTCCTTCGGCTGCAGGAAACCTCTCTCCCGAGAGCAAAGCCCACGCATAACTTATGGTTGCTGAGCTGCCCCATGCCTTCTGAAACAGCTTGTTGGTTGCCCCTCTGATCCTGTAGGGCTCTCCCCGTGTTCTGCCCCTCCTAAAACTGAGTGGTGTATAATTCTTTTTTTTTTTTTTTTTTCTTTTTGAGACAAGGCCTTGCTCTGTCACCCAGGCTGGAGTGCAGTGACACCATCTCGGCTCACTGCAACCTCTGCCTCCCAGGCTCAAGCGATTCTCCTGCCTCAACTTCCCGAGTAGCTGGGATTACAGGCATTGTGCCAGGCTAAGTTCGTACGCAGCAATAGATAATGCCACAAATGGCTTGATTCGATCCACTGGCTTTAAGGCTGGGTTGGCATAGGCTCAGGGAAGAGACTGCCGTCTTTTTGTCCCTTTCCCGCCTCCACACTGTACCTGATGCGCACTGGCACGAGGGGCTGCGTGACCAGCTGGTGTTCTCCCTCCCAGCCATCTGGAGCCATCCCAACCCCTCTCTGCCTGCTTTGAATGTCCCCTCAAGACCTGGGAAGGAAAAAATAACATCACCTCCTTGAAAAAAACTGCACCAAAGGAATCTCTGTCCACCTAAACCATACTGCTCACTAAAAGACAGGAATGAGGAACTTTATCCTGGAGAAGGAAAGAATGGGAGAAACTAGTCCTGTAGTCAGGGCAGGACTCTCGGAGAGCGCAAGGGCTTGACTCCATTCGCTGCCTGGTGGTCTCTAAGACGAGCAACATAATCTATGAAGGTGCAGGGATAAACTGTGATTTTACCTAAAAAAAAAAAAAAAGAGAAATTAAGCTTTACAAATACCCCCCCTCCAGGCTGACCCCGGGCCCCTCCTAGTCAGCCAGACGGCCACATCAGCTCAGCTCTGAGAAGAAAGCCCGTGGTTGGGCCTGGCAGAGAGGGGCAGGTGGTGGTCACTGCAGGTCTGTCCCTGGGCGCTGCCATGGAGAAGAGGACACACTGGTTATATTAACTCTCTTCATATTCACCAAAATTAATGCCTGCAAGTGGACAGGCGCAGACACTGTGGCAGAGAAACTGTAGTTCCGGACTAGCGGGTGAACCCGGGGCCATGTTAAGGAAGTGGCCAAGCCGTTCTGCTCACGTCCCCGGTATGTCAGCCACTTTCATCAGTTTTGTTTTACCTTGTAATAAAAGTTACCAAGGAGTTAGCAAAATCTATTAAAAATTACCAAGAAGATAATTTGAAGTACAATGAAATTTGCCCTAAGTGTATATTATGCTGGCAGGTAGCACCTGCATGATATTTATACATAAAGAGTGTGTGTGTGTGTGTGTGTGTGTGCACATGCCACAGATCAGTAGGACTTGATGGCATTTTCTAACCTGAATATCAAAGTCTGGGAACTACCAGCAGTACCCATCTGACCAGGGAGTATAGCGGGTCAAGAAATGAGAAAAACAGGAAAACAAAATAAATTTATTCGTCCTCCTCCACATAACATTTTCCCTGAAGGAGAGTGTCCCTGGCACCTGGCCCAGCTTCCACAATGGAATGGATAGGCCCCTTCCCTCCTTTTACTCCCTAATTGGCCCAAAGCTTTTGAACAGACCCTCAAACCAAGCAGAGGAAGCCATGGTGTGCCTTCCACCACTGGAGGGTTACATTTGAAATTGGTGTCCCAATTTTAAAACGTCCCAGCTGCCATAGGAGAGGCTCTTGGGAGTGGCCTCCAGCTCTTGACAAGGGCCCACAGAGGCCACTGCCCCATCACGGGGGGCACACTGGGCCCGTGAGGAGGAAGGGCCTCGCTGCCTCCAGGATGTCCAGTTTGGGGTCCAGTGAGCGGCCAAGCCCCTCCAACACCATGATGGCAAACACAATGGAGGCAAAGTTGCTCTCAAGCTTTACCTGGAACAGAAAAACAGAACAGTTCATCTCAGAACATGCTGATACAGGGACGTGTGTTCTGGATAATCACCTTGCTGTCCACTCTCAGCCTCCCTCAGACCTGCCCACGGGATGTTTACCATCTACCTGACATTCTCTTCTCTACCGCGTCATCTCCCCAACCATCTCACCTACTCGCCCAGCCTCCCATCTACTGGACACACTAAGGAAAAATCTAGGGGTGCGGAATATACTTTTCTAGGTTTGTGTCCATGTGTGTATGAATGAATGACCAAATAAATCTTTCACACACATCCCAGAAACTATACATTTAAATACAGGTAATTCTTCGAAACCTACAGTAACCTTTATGTATGTATGTATTTATTTATTTATTTTAGAGACAGGGTCTCACTCTGTCACCTAGGCTGGAGTGCAATGGCAAGATCATAGCTCACTGCAGCCTTGAGCTCCTGGACTTCAGGGATCCTTCTGCCTCAGCCTCCTGAGACTGGGACTCTTTTTTGTAAACAGAGGGTCTTGCAATGTTGACGAGGCTGATCTCGAACTCCTGGCCCCAAGCAATCCTCCCACCTTGGCTGCCCCAAGTGCTGGGATTATAGGCAGGAGCCATGTCAGCTGGTCTACAATAGCCTTTTTAAGAGACAACACACAGGCCGGGCGTGGTGGCTCACTCCTGTAATCCCAGCCCTTTGGGAGACCGAGGCGGGCGGATCATGAGGTCAGGAGATCGAGACCATCCTGGCTGACACAGTGAAACCCTGCCTCTACTAAAAATACAAAAAATCAGCCGGGCATGGTGGCAGGCGCCTGTGGTCTCAGCTACTCGGGAGGCTGAGGCAGGAGAATGGCCTGAACTCGGGAGGCAGAGCTTGCAGTGAGCCAGGATGGCTCCACTGCACTCCAGCCTGGGCAACAGAGTGAAACTCCATCTCAAAAAAATAAAAAAAATCAGAGACAACACACAATTGACTGCTCAAACAGGGTACAGCTGTCCCTTCAGAGCCAGATTAGTAGTAATAGCAATTGACATGGATTCTTCAACTATTCTTCAAAAGTATCATCGTTATCCCCATTCTATAGAGAAAGAAGCTGTGGCTCAGAGAGGTTCAATGACTTGCTCAAGGCCACTGAGTGAGGAGGAATAGAGCCAGATGTAAACCTAGAAGAACAGGAATCTGCTTTTTAAGTGGACAGAAGGTCAAGAAATGGAAGGTTGAATCATGGGAAATATTCTTTGTTAGAAATTAAAGAGTATTTGTCTCCGTTAAGGGCTGGAAGGTTGTCGGGGTCAGGTGGATCCAGAAGCAGCAGCATGCTCCCAGGAGCAGCTTGTGGAGTTCCAGCCTGGCAGATTGGCCACACAGGCTCTGGTCCGGGTGGGAACCCAGGGCTCTAACACCTCTGGGAATGCTTTCATTCTGAAGCTGGGTGGGGGGTTCTTAGTGTGGATTAGATTCCTTTATCTCTGTGTTACTGTCAAATACTTTATTTAAAAAAATTAAGTGCTACCTGAATAGATATTTCTTCTAAGGAAGATATATTATACAAATGGCCAATTGGCATATGAAAAGATGTTCAACATCATGAATCAGTAGAGAAATGCAATCAAAACCACAATGAGACATCACCTCACACCCATTAGGATGGCCACTAAAAACAAAACAGAAAATGACAAGTGTTGGTGAGGATGAGAGAAACGACCCCTTGTGTACTGTTGGTGGGCATATAAAATGGTACAGCTCCTATGGAAGTTCCTCAAAAACTAAAAACATACCATATGATCCAGAAAACCTACTTTGGGGCATATGTTTAAAAACTGGAAAGCAAGAACACAATGTATAGACCTTACTGGCTACATTAAATGTTTTTAAAACTTTTCTAAAATTTGAAAGTAGGATCTTGAAAAGATATTTACACATTCATGTTCACTGCAGCATTATTCACTATAACCAAGAAGTGGAAGCAACCCACGTGAACATCAACAGCATCAACAGAATAACAGGCCAAGCGCGGTGGCTCACGCCTGTCATCGCAGCACTTCGGGAGGCCAAGGCAGGTGGATCACTTGAGGTCAGGAGTTCGAGACCAGCCTGGCCAACATGACGAAACCCTATCTCTTACTAAAAATACAAAAATTAGCTGGGCATGGTGGCACTTGCCTGTAATCCCAGTTACTTGGGAGGCTGAGGCACGAGAATTGCTTGAACCCAGGAAGCAGAGGTTGCAATGAGCCAAGCTTGCACCACTGCACTCCAGCCTCGGTGACACAGTGAGACCCTGTCTCAAAAGGAAATCCTGTCACATGTTACAACATGGATGAAACCTGGGGACATTATATTGAGTAAAACAAGCCAATCACAAAAGGACAGTATACTTTATAATTCCACTTATATGAAATATCAAGAGTAGCCAAAATCATGGAAACGTAAAACAGCATGGTGGTTCCCAGGGCCGGATGGAGAGGGGAATGGGGAGCTGGTCAATGGCTGTAGAGTTTCAGCTCTGCCAAATGAGAAAGACCTAGAGATCTGTTGCACAATGCTAACACTATGCATCTGGAGAGGGTTGGGGGGTTAAATTTTATGTGTTTTTCATCACAATGAAAAATTTGTAAATGTTTTCAAACTTAAGTGCCTAGTGAAGTGCTTGGAGTGCAGTAGCTGCCCTAGGCCCTCTGTCTCCTCTTCCATCCTGGGAACAGCAGCAGCAGCAGCAAACACTCAAGGCCCCTCACCCACCGTGCTGGAAACTGTGTGGGGAGCAGATGCTCAGAGTGAGCCACGGAGGCGGGAGGACCCAGCAGCAGGCGGGGGCTTGCCCACATGGCCACAGGTGAGCTGCTCGGCCTCTCGGCTTTGGTGCCTGCCTCTTGGAAGACTGAGGGGATAAATTGGTTACTAATAGATGTCATATAGTTAAGTAATGCAATGGAAAAGGCCATCTTCCAACGAGGTCCTCCCTTCTCCACCTTCAACACTGCTTGTCCCTGGCCAGCAGCCTTAGTTTAAAGAGTGCCGGAGACTAGGCTCCATGACAAGGCGACAGAGCCGGGGCACAGGCTAAGATGAACCATGAGGCCAGCTCCCTCTAATGGACTACAGCAGCCAGGCAGGGGCCACAGCAGTCCCGCTAGGGCCTCTGAAAGCACCAGGACACAAGGCATGACCCTCTAGAGCGGCCTCTGGACCCCAGGACTTCATTCCACCAGGAAAGAGCTAAGCATGACTTACATTAACACAAGCATCATGAAAGTGAACCAAGGAGGGAAAGACATGAAAAGCCAGAGGTAGGCTGTTTCTACATTTTTAAATACACTTTTCTACATTTAAATGTCACAGATACTTAGACTGCACTGACTTGACAGATAGACTAACAGCTACGAAGCACTTGTTGCAAATGGCTTGTTACTAAAAATGCTTTCAAAATATATAATAGGCCGGGCACAGTGGCTCACGCCTGTAATCCCAGCACTTTGGGAGGCCGAGAAGGGTGGATCACCTGAGGTCAGGAGTTCGAGATCAGCCTGGCCAACATGGTGAAATCCCGTCTCTACTAAAAATACAAAAATTAGCCAGGCGTGGTGGTGGGAGCCTGTAATCCCAGCTACTCAGGAGACTGAGGCAAGAGAATCACTGGAAGCCAGGAAGCAGAGGCTGCAGTCAGCCGAGATCGCGCCACTGCACTCCACCCTGGGCGACAGAGTGAGACTCTGTCTCAAAAAAAAGAAAAACAACAACAAAAAACAAGAACCATATAATAGAAGCGCCTCCCACCACCCTGTGTCCTCCCATTCCTCCCTGCCCCGTCCCACCTTCCCCAGAGACCTCCCCTCTGAATGGCCCTCACCTTGTGAGTCATCAGCAACTTAAAGACACTAGAGAGAAGGCTGGACACATGAAGCTGGAAAAACAAAATAAAGGCTAATGCAGACCACCGAGCCTTCCAGAACCGCTCATTTCCCACCACCCCCACACTCTCAGCCCCAGCATCCCACCCCACTCCCCCGCCAGGGCACACATACACCAGTCAGCACAAAAGGGACCATCTGACAAACTCTGAAAGGACTCCTCCAGCACAAGCCCAACTCCACCTCAAGACTCGGTCACAGAGGCCTTTGGAAGACAAGCCTTTGAGCCCCACCCACCCCATCCCTGAAGCAACCACAAAAATCACACCTGCCTATAATCCTAGCACTTTGGGAGGCCAAGGCGGGCGGATCACTTGAGGTCAGGAGTTCGAGACCAGCCTGGCCAACATGGTGAAACCCCATTTCTACTAGAAATATAAAAATTAGCCGGGTGTGGTGGCGGGTGCCTGTAATCCCAGCTACTCGGGAGGCTGAGGCAGGAGAATCGCTTGAATCCGGGAGGTGGAAGTTGCAGTGAGCCGAGACAGCATCACTACACTCCAACCTGGGTGATACAGCAAGACTCCATCTCAAAAAAATTTTTAAAAAATCACACCTGGATAGACTATCAGCAGGGCCAGCGTGCCAGTGGCCACTCCTTGTCTGACCCATTCCTGCTAATGTGGCCATGAACTTGGGGATAAAACAGTCACATTTGCTAGAACTGTGTATAAAATACAAAGCAGGCTCTGGCTTGGGTTTAAATAAGGGACATGCGCATTGGGCACATCATTTGGCTGCTTGGAGACCACAGTCCTCCCTCCCTGTATGCTTGGCTGTCCCCAAATGAACAGCGACCCCTGGATGAGGAAGGAGCTGCAGCCTCCTAAGTGGCACCGCACAAGGAGGCCCCCTTGAGCACAACGGACTTCACTGGGGCTCCTCATGCCTGGAAGATGTGGGGTGGTTCTTTTTCTGCTTTAAAACTCACACCCCTCATAAAGAGGTCTCCCTTAGACCCAGGATCTGCTCTGCCCCAGGCCAGGTATGGACTCCCCAGCCCCTGTTCCGCAAGTGACCTGCCCACCTTCTCCAGGGTGATGGTGTTCTTCCTGGCCTGGGTCACCAGCATGGCCATCTCGGTTTTGAACCCCTCCACGTCCCTGCACTCGCTGGCCCGGGCATGATGCAGGATCAGCTCAGCCACTCTCTGGCCCTGGAAAATGCAACGGAAAAGGGACTTGGAGTGGAGCTAGCATAAACCTGGATGCGGTGCCCAAGCGTCTTTCTCATCTCAGCAGCTCCACCCTGACTTTTCTGGCATCTTGCTTTTGGCTCTTCCTCCTCGGGCTGTGACCTTTTCCCTTTGCCCATACCTATAGGGAGGAATGCCCCCACCCCCGCTGCACTGCGCCTCAGTGCTTAACCTTGGCCCAGGGGACACTTTCAAACCAGCTGCAGGCCCCAGCTTTGGGTTTGCCCTCTCAGAGGCAGGGACTGCCCTGCATTTTGCTGTTTAAAAAAAAAAAATTTTTTTTTAAAAAGAGCCAGATGCAGTGGCTCACACATGTAATCCCAGCATTTTAGGAGGCCGAGGCAGGTGGATCACCTGAGATCAGGAGTTCAAGACCAGCCTGACCAACATGATGAAACCCCATCTCTACTAAAAATACAAAAATTAGCCGGGCATGGTGGTGGGTACCTGTAATCCCAGCTACCTGGGAGGCTGAGGCAGGAGAATCACTTGAACCCGGGAGGTAGAGGTTGCAGTGAGCTGAGATCGTACCACTGCACTCCAGCCCAGGGAACAGAGTGAGATTCCATCTCAAAAAAAAAAAATTAATTAATTAATTTTTAAAAAAAACAGTTCTCTTTTTCCCAGTGTTTTTCTTGCTGGAGAATTCTTTGCCAGCCGGCCAGAGGGCCTCCTCAGAGTCACCCACGACGTAGTGCTTTCAATTGACTCTGCAGAGGCCTTGCCGAATGCCTTTTCTCTAAATAATCATTCTCAACCACTGCAGACCCTCAGAATCACAGGGGAGGCTGCAAAAACTACTCATGTCCCCACATCGGACGTGCCAGCATGCTGTGCCCCACTTAGAGGCTGTGTTCTCTATGCTGTCGCATCTCACCAGCCTGCCACCTTGCAGCAGGTAGCACACACCAGGGGCAGCCATTATCTGGTCAAGAAGCCAGCATTCCTGCTGACCAGCTGGATGTTTGCTGGAGAAGGACCAGAAACTACTAACACGAAACAGCACTTGTTTCTTCCCACAGTCCCAAACCATCTGCCACTCAGAACTGGCCTGATTTGCACCCAGCACCTGCTAACAGAAAGCCCCTTAAGGGCAGCCTCGCCTCCTGTCCTCCTGCCTCCCTCCACTCGTTTCTGGCACACTGGCAAGTGTGAGCATTGACAAGAATGACCGGGCTAAGGAGACCTGTCCTGTTTCAAGACAGAGACATTCTGGCTGGGTGCAGTGGCTCACACCTGTAATCCCAGCACCTTGGGAGGCTGAGGCAGGTGGATCACCTGAGGTCAGAAGTTCAAGATCAGCCTGGCCAACATGGTGAAACCCCATCTCTACTAAAAATACAAAAAGTGGCCGGGCATGGTGGCATGTGCCTGTAATCCCTGCTACTCAGGAGGCGTGGCAGGAGAATTGCTTGAATCCAGGAGGTGAATGTTGCAGTGAGCTGAGATCACGCCAAGGCACTCCAGCCTGGGTGACAGAGCGAGACTCTGTCTCAAAAAAAAAAAAAAGACAGAGACAGAGGCATTCCCCAGAGTATAAAAGATTCACCCCCTGCCCAGCCTGTAGTCCTAGCTACTCAGGAGGCTGAGATGGGAGGATGGCTTGAGGCCAAGGCAGCCTGCGCAATATAGCAAAACCCATCTCCATTAATTTTTTGAAACTTTAAAAAAAAAAAAAAAAAACTAAGATCTCACTCTGTCACCCAGGCTGCAGTAGAGCAGTGCAATCCTAGCTCACCACAGCCCCAAACTCCTGAGCTCAAGTGATTCTCCCACCTCAGCCTCCCAAGTAGCTGGGACCACAGGCGCACACCACCAAGCCTGGCTTTTTCTTTTTTTTTTTTGAAATGGAGTCTCACTCTTTCACCCAGGCTGGAGTGAAGTGGCACAATCTCAGCTCACTGCGACCTATGCCCCCCAGGTTCAATGAATTCTCCTGCCTCAGCCTCCCAAGTAACTGGGATTACAGGTACACACCACCATGCCTGGCTAATTTTATATTTTTAGTAGAGACAGGATTTCACCGTGTTGGCCAGGCTGGTCTCGAACCCCTGACCTCAGGTGATCCACCCGCCTTGGCCTCCCAAAGTGCTGAGATTACAGGCGTGAACCACTGTGCCTGGCCTATTTTCTTATTTTTTATAGAGACAGGGTCTCACTATGTTGCTCAGGCTGGCCTTGAACTCCTGGGCTCAAGCAATCCTCCCCGCTCAGGCTTCCAAAGTGCTGGGATTACAGGTCTGAGCCACCATGCTTCACCAGCTCTTTTAATTAAAAAAAATTCACCCCAACTTCTGTGGTCCCAGTGCGTCTCACCTGCCCCATCACCACAGCCATGAAAACTGCCCGGAAATTCCTCAGGTCAGGGGCCTGCAGCTCCGCCACAATGCCAGCATCCAGCAGCACCAGTCGCAGCGGGCAGAGGGAAGATGGCACGGCCACCACCAGAGTGTCACAGATGTCCGCCTGCTGCAGCTGCGCCTCCTGACTCGAGGACAGGCCGTTGGCACCCTGAACCAGGATGTTTCCAGGGTGAAGGTCTGCATGGACAAAGTTATCCACAAATATCTGGAAGGAGATCACAATGCTCATGAGTGAGTCGCCCCTAGAGCACCACCAACCTACAGAGAAAGAAAGTTGCCAGGTGACAATAAGCTCCCAGCACTCTATCACAGCCGCAAAGAGGTGCATGTCCTATAGACCCTTCTTGTTTAGATGTCAACTCAGAATTTGTACAAGGATGAGCTAAGTTAAAGTTTTCAAGAGAAAAATTATTTTCAAAGTAAAAAGCATTTTTAAAAGATTATAAAGGGGCCGGTCTCAGTGGCTTTACACCTATAATCCCAGCACTTTGGGAGGCCAACGAAGGAGGGTCACTTGAGCCCAGGAGTTCAAGGTTACACAGAGCTATGATCATGCCACTGCCCTCCAGCCTGGGTGACACAGCAGGACCCTGTCTTGTAAAAATAAATAAATAAGGCCGGGTGTGGTGGCTCACGCCTATAATCCAACACTTTGGGAGGCTGAGGTGGGCGGATCACTTGAGGTCAGGAGTTAAAGACCAGCCTGGCCAACAAGGTGAAACCTCGTCTCTACCAAAAATACAAAAATTAGCTGGACATGGTGGCACATGCCTGTAATCCCAGCTACTCGGGAGGCTGAGGCAGGAGAATGGCTTGAACCTGGGAGGCAGAGGTTGGAGTGAGCCGAGATCGTGCCACTGCACTCCAGTCTGGGCGACGGAGCGAGACTCCATCTCAAAGAAAATAATAACAAAAATAAATAAATAAATAAAATAAAAAGTCTAAGGCCAAACTGCATTTGAAATGCCTTATTTTTACTTTATGATTTGAATCATTAATATTCTAACTAAAATAATTAGCTATTTATTAAAGATTTTCCCCAAACCTCTATGTTCTTTAAACTCATAGAACTGCATTTCTTTAAAAACAGCTCATAAATCAGACTTTCCCTCCGTTACTTCAACCTGTCCACATCAGTGAGGTGTGAGAGCAAGTGCCACTAGCAGCCACATGCACACAGAGCCCTTCTGTGGAGGAGGACACAGTTCTCAGGACATACTGGTATGCAGAATTAGAGGAGCAGGAAGGACACGGCTTTGAACCTGCTAAGCTGGGCAGCAACCCCCAGGGATTGTGTTGGATTTGGCACGGCTTGTGGAACAGGAATCAGCTTCCAATAACCGGTCATCTCGGAGGTCAGGGAAACCCCAGCAATCCTTCCACGGGGGATGAGAGGAGAGACCAAGGCAGGAGCAGAGCAGCTGCTGGTGGACGGGCTCTCAGGGACTGCTTCCAGCTGACATGGGGCCCCAAGCACTGTAGATCCCCTCTTCCCTGTAAATCCAGGCCATAGACCCCATCCCTTATGGCGGCAGACCATGAAGGGACTGTCCTAGTCCAGACTGTGGCTTTGGTAGGGATAAGGGAAGCTGCTACCGGTGTGAAAATCCTGGGACCTGGGGGGCTGGGACCTGCACACCTGCAGGACATGGTCACCAAAGGCTGGGCTGACCCTCCAGCGAAGCTGGTGCCTCCTAAGTAGGTCACTAATCTTGGCCCTGGTATACATTTTTTTTTTTTTTTCTGAGACTGAGTCTCACTCTGTTGCCCAGGCTAGAGTACAATGGTGCGATCTGGGCTCACTGCAACCTCCACTTCTTGGGTTCAAGCGATTCTTCTGCCTCAGCCTCCCAAGTAGCTGGGACTACAGGTGTGCACCACCACACCCGGCTAATTTTTTGTGTTTTTAGTAGAGACGGGGTTTCACCACGTTGGCCAGGCTAGTCTCAGACTCCTGACCTCAAGTGATCGGCCGGCCTCAGCCTCCCAAAGTGCTGGGATTACAGGAGTGAGCCACCATGCCTGGCCTAGTATACTTTTAAAAATTCACTGAGCATAATTTAAGATCTATGCACTTTATTGAATGTTGCTATAATTCAGTTGTTTTTTTTTTTAAGTTTCTGAATCTTCTGGAACCTTGCCCTCAGCTCTGCCCAGGGTCTCATGCCCCGATCCTGACCCCAAAACTGGAGGCCCCTCATCCTCGCTCCACTCCTGGTGCTGCTTCATGGTGCTTCTCCCCTGGCTACATCCCTCTTGTGCCCCTTGGAGCCCTGTTCCTGTGGACAAAGTCCTCTTGCCACCGGGTTCTGACTGCAACTACTGAATTGAAACCTAGGTGTGCCTCAACAATCCTGCTTCTCCAGGAGCCAGAGGGGTGGGAGCTGCTGACTCCCCATCCCACAGGCCCTGGGGTGGAGTGGAATTAGGGTTGGAGTGGTGTCACCTGAGCCCACCCCCACAACGGCTCTCAGCCTTCCGCATGTGCGTGCGTGCTGTCAGCCTGCAGGACTCCACCTGCTCTGAGCGCCCCTGCTGCGGGGACTCCAGACGTGCCTCCACCAACAGCTCGATCTCTGACTCCTCGATTCATTCTCCGGCTCTCACCACATGCCTGGGTCCTCCCTACCATGATTCTTCGCCTCTGAGACCTGGGTATTCTTCTTCCCTATCCGCCTCGACCCCATCGCCCATTCCTGTCATCCATCCCTTCAACCACTGTCCTCTGTCCCAACCACCAGAAAGTCCAGACCCCCGACAATCTAAGATCTCCTGCATGGGGGCTGCTAACAATGCTGGGTCACGATTACTGCCAACGAAGGCAGCCATAACTAGCGTGGCTTAGGACTCACTGCAGCTCCTTAGGAATTTCCACTCCTTTAACCATCATGGTGACCCTATGAGGAAGGCACTTCTTATCCTCTTTTGAAAGATAAGAAGCCTGACGACAAAGGTTAAGTAACTTGCCCCAGACACTCCTCTCTGCCCTGAGCTAGTAAACTGGAAGCTGAGATTTGAACTCAAAACAAATCCTGCTCTGGGCTCCTAACCCCCAGGCTACACTGCAGATAGGCAAAATACCCCTCTGCCTCTCCAACACCAACATGGCTTGCCCCTCCTGACAACCATCCACATTTTCCAAGTAGCTCTTTCTAGTCCCAGGGCAGCAATTTCAAACCTCTGTGTTCTCTTTAAACCTCCTCTCCCATGGCCCTCTGCATCCTACTCCCAGCAGAGAACAATGGCCCCTTAGTTCACAAGGAAATAGAAGGTTTCCCATGGAAGCACCATCAAATCCTGTCCCTGTGCCTGTAAGTTTCTCCATCCCTCCAGCCCAGGGTTTCTCAGTCTATTGCTGGGGGTGGGGACGGCTGTCCCTGCACTCTGGGGTGGTAAGCTCCTGGCCTCTTCCCAACAGCTGCCAGTAGCACCCCCAACCCCCAACTATAACAACCAAGAATGTCTCCAGACATCGCCAGATGTCCCCTGGTAGACAAAACCACCCTGTTGTAAACCACGGCTCTGGCCTTTGTGAAACAAAGAATGCCCTCCTGATGCGGCCAGGCCCCTCTTCAGCTGGGGGGCCTTCAGAATCCTCGCTGGTAGACACAGGAAAGACAAAACCAACCAAGAATTCTTAGGAGATGGAAACCCAGGTTCTTAGGAGGAAGAATACCCGGGTCTCAGAGGAAAAGAATCATGGTAGGGAGGACCCAGGCATGTGGTGAGAGCTGGAGAACTTGAACATGTTTAAATGTCCAAGAATCAAAATCCACCTTCTGACTCCCCTGCCTCTCGTCTCACCCTCCCACTCCAACTCCACACAGTGGACATGAGGTTGTGACATTAGGGCATTCCTCAGCATAAAAACCTCCTATGTCTCTTTATGTTTGTTTGTTTGTTTGTTTGTTTAGACGGAGTCTCGCTCTGTCGCCAGGCTGGAGTGCAGTGCTGTGATCTCGGCTCACTGCAATCTCTGCCTCCTGGGTTCAAGCAATTCCGAGTAGCTGGGACTACAGGCATGCACCACCACGTCTGGCTAATTTTTTGTATTTTAGTAGAGACAGGGTTTCACCATGTTGGCCAGGATGGTCTCGATCTCCTGACCTCGTGATCCACCTGCCTCGGCCTCCCAAAGTGCTGGGATTACAGGCATGAGCCACTGCGCCTGGCTTTTTTTTTTTTTTTTTTTTTTTGAGACAGAGTCTCATTGTATCTGAGGTTGGAGTGCAGTGGCATGATTTTAGCTCACTACAACCTCCATCTCCTGGGCTCAGGTGATCCCACCTCAGCCTCCCAGGTAGCTGGGACTAAAGGCATGCTGCCACCAAACGTGGCCAATTTTTGTATTTTTTTTTTTTTTTTTTTGTAGTGACAGGGTTTTGGCATCTTGCTCAGGCTGGTCTCAAACCCCTGGGCTCAAGCAATCTCCCCGCCTCAGCCTCCTGAAGTGCTGGGATTATAGGTGTGAGCCACTGCACCCAGCCAAAACTCTCCTATGTTTTAATCTGGGCACTGGGATGCTTTTTAAAAATTCACTAAGCATCATTTAAGATCTGAGCACTTTATATTTAAATATTATTGGAATTCAATTTTTTAAAGTTAAGGGCAAAAATCTTCAAAATGAACTTATCTGCCCTTGGATTAAAGTCCAAACTCTTTCACAGATTTACTAGACCCTTTGTGGTCAGGCCCCTCTCACCTCCTCAGCCTCCTCTCACCTCCTCAGCCTCAGCAATCACTGCCCCCTCCTTCAAACTCTCTTCCAAGCCATACTAAGTGCTTTCGTCTCTCCAAGAGCACCATGCAGTAGCTCACCCCAGGCCTCAGCAAAGGCTATTCTCTCTAGACAACTCCCTGCCACCTGTCCTTATGTAGTGACACCTAGACCTTCACACTGCAGCTGAGATGGAGCCACTTCCTGAGTGAATCCCTGGGTTAGCACAGTCTCCTCCGAAATGACCTTTTGGTACCCCGTACCTATCCCTATAAATCATTTACTTAGTCGTCACCTATCTTCCCAAGGAATAGTATGTCACGAGCATTGTAATTGTGTCTGTTTTGCTCACTGCTGTAACCCCAGCCCTTAATTCAGTGCCTGGCACCTAGCAGGTGCTCAATAAACATTTGCTGAACAAATGAGCAAAGCAGCATTTAAAATAAGATATTGTCTCAGCTGTTTGCTAAACTACAGGCAATGCTGGCAGAACTGGGTCATGGTCACCCTTCTTCTCACAGCACACAGAGCATGAGCCACTGACAAAGCACTTAAGAGGCCGGGCATGGTGGTTCATGCCTGTAATCCCAACACTTTGGGAGGCCAAGGTGGGAGGATCGCTTGATCCCAGGAGTTCAAGACTGCCCTGGACAACATAGTAAGTCCCTACAAAACAATTTTTTAAATTAGCCAGGCTTGGTGGCTCATGTTTGTAGTCCCAGCTACTCAGGAGGCTGAGGAGTGAGGAGGCAGGATCACTTGAGCCCAAGAGGTTGAGGCTGTAGTTCATGGAGATTTTGCCACTGCACTCCAACCTCGGCAACAGAGTGAGACCCTATCTTAAAAAAGGAAAAAAAAGGCCGGGTGTGGTGGTTCACACCTGTAATCCCAGCACTTTGGGAGGCCAAGGCGGGTGGATCATGAGGTCAGGAGATCGACACCATCCTGGCTAACATGATGAAACCCCATCTCTACTTAAAAAAATACAAAAAATTAGCCAGGCGTGGTGGCGGGCGCCTGTAGTCCCAGCTACTTGGGAGGCTGAGGCAGGAGAATGGCGTGAACCCAGGAGGCAGAGCTTGCAGTGAGCCGAGATCACGCCACCGCACTCCAGCCTGGGCGACAGAGCAAGACTCCATCTCAAAAAAAAAAAAATAAAAGAGCTTCACAGACACCATGGCCATTTATGGTAGCCTCCACTCTTTCTAGACCAGACTTTCTCAACCTGGCGGCTTGCTGCTTCGCTCTCCTTCCCACCCAGATAGCCAGAGTCCCAGCCCACTCCCCATCTGCAAGCTGACCACATGCTGGGCCTGAGCCCGCTCCAGCCATGAGCTCACCATCTTCAGGAGCATGTTGATCCCCAGCCGTGCAATCTTCCTTTTCAAGTCCACGGGAATTCCTGCCTGCTGGTAACTGGACACAGGCACACTCTCCTTCAGAAAGACCAGGGAGAGAACAGCTTAATCCCAGCCAGCCTGTGATGCTGGCTCCTCCTCCCACGTGGCACCACAGCGCTGTCTTCTCACTTATTGGGAAGTAACCCAAAGAGTATTTCCTTTCCTAGAACCCATCTGTCATTCAGCCA
The DNA here is from genome assembly GCF_000001405.40 of Homo sapiens. NCBI lineage: Eukaryota > Metazoa > Chordata > Mammalia > Primates > Hominidae > Homo > Homo sapiens. The sequence goes on along the minus strand of NC_000007.14, from coordinate 140,680,889 downwards.
TGTGCAGTGGCTCACACCTGTAATCCTAGCACCTTGGGAGGATTGCTTGAGCCCAGGGGTTCAAGACCAGCCTGGACAACATGAGGGAGAACCACCTCAACTCGGAAAGTCAAGGCTTCAGTGAGCTGAGATTGCGCCACTGCACTCTAGCCTGAGTGACAGAGACTCTGTCTCAAACAAAACAAAACAAAAATCTGTCATCCACACATTGATTTGAACTTATTTACATTCCCTTCTATAACAGCTATCAGAAGGATGACAAGTCACATAGGTTTATTGAAAAGGAAACCTATCAACTCTGCTACTGAAGATAAGAGATGTGATGTCCTGAAAAGATAGGGGTGGGCACCAGAGAGCTGGTTTCTGGGCAAGAATCAGCCAATAGGGGTCTGGGCAACGTAAGGAGACCCCCATCTCTACAAAAAAAAAAAAAAATTACCCAGGTGTGGTGGCTAACACGTATAATCCTAGCACTTTTGGAAACCAAAGCAGGAGGATCACTTGAACTTGGGAGTTTGAGACCAGCCTGGGCAACAGGGAGAAACCCAGGCTCTACAGAAAAATACAAAAATTAGTCGGACATGGGGATGGTGGCTCGTGCCTATGGTCCCAGCTACTTGGGAGGCTGAGGTGGAATGATCACTTGAGCCCAGGAGGTGGAGGCTGCAGTGAGCCGAGATCATGCCACTGTACCACAGCCTGGGCAACAGAGCAAGACCTTGTCTCAAAAAAAAAAAAATTGTCAAAACAACCCATGGAGATAGATCTTGTTATCCCTAATTAACAAATAAAAGAACCAAAGCCCAGAGAGGTTAAGCAACTTGCTCAAGTTCACACAGCTAGAAACACTGTGTGGTTCATGTCACATTCATGAGATTCCCTGAATCTCATATCACCATCTGTAAAGAGGAGGCTGGGCTGGGTGCAGTGGCTCATGCCTGTAATCCCAGCACTTTGGGAGGCCAAGGCAGGCAGATCACTTGAGGTCAGGAGTTCCAGACCAGCCTGGCCAACACGGCAAAACTCCATCTCTACTAAAAAATACAAAAATTAGCCAGGTGTGGTGGCACACACCTGTAATCGCAGCTACTTGGGAGGCTGAGGCACGAGAATCACTTGAACCTGGAAGGCGGAGGTGGCAGTGAGCTGAGATCATGCCACTGCACTCCAGCCTGGGCAACAGAGTGAGACTCTATCTCAAAAAAAAAAAAAAAAAAAAAAAAAAAAGAGAGAGAAGGCTGAACTAGAGTAGAGGATAGCTAGGGCAAGTGAGATGACACAAGGTTGTTCAGCACTTTCTCTGTGCCCAACTCCTTGTTTTGCATTCAGTGTGTCATTTACTCCTGAGACAATCCTCTAAGGCAGGTCACCAACTAATAAAATGGCAGAGCAGATTTTCAAATCTAGGGGATCGGGCCACACCCAGTGTTCTCAGCTACCTCACTCCAACACTGCCTCCCGCCGAGGCCAACACATCCCAGCTCCTCACAGTTTTACAGACACAAATCCCATCCTCTCTCCAGACTGAAGCCTTTCTGTGGGCTGGAGACGGGCCCACTGCGAGTGGCAAGTGAAAGGTATGGCCAGGCAAAGCCATCACTCTTACTTCATACGTTTCCACCAAGACTTCTCTGGTGACAAAGGGGCGCAGAGGGGTGGGGAACTTGACGGCTTTCACATTCCGGAAGTTGACCTGGAAGTGTTCTAGATTCTGAGCTTCGTAACGCAGGTCAATCTACAGAGAAATGGACAGAAAGGATGAGGGCTAGTCTGGGTACAGGCACAGTGACATCTGCAATGCCAAGGAGCTAGCAAGTCATGAGATCCACCCCACCTTCCCCACCAGCTTGCCCCGCAGAACTTGCCCAGAAACTCAGGAGGCGACATCCGTGGGCTACAGCCTGCCCCAGCAATCCCAGATCTCTGTGTGAACTCCTGGAGGCTGCAGACGGCAGGTGCCCTGGTGGGCTTTGGGCTGCACTGCTTCTCTGCTACTCTCGCCCTTGCCACCCGCCTGCCTCACACCAGCCCATGAGTCCCTTCCCCGTCTCCCTGGGGTCTGGCTTCTCCAGGCCAGCCCCCAGCCCTCTCTTTCCATTAGGGCCAGCGTGCTGTGGGCGCTTCCACACAGGGCTACCCCTTCATCTCGCGGCAGCTCTCCACCCACCGCATCGACACTGCCACTGCTACTCTCCCCAACCACCACTCACCAGACCCAAAGGACCACTTCCAGGTTTATCATCAACCTCTGTGGGCATCCAGGGCTGGTGCCGCTGCTGACCTGTCTCTCCGTGATGGCTCTTCCCCCGGCACCTGCCCTTCACTCTCCTGGCACCCCTGCTGCCTCTCGCTGTCCTGTCTTGGCTGGGTCTCCTGTGCCCCCAGGAGCTGATGTCCTTTCTCCTGACCGAAGTGAGCGTGTGTGTCCCCTTGACAGCCACCAAGCCCTCAGCCGGCGCCTCCTCTGACAGCACCTTGATCCCCAGGTCAGACCTCAATGCCAGTCTCCAGAGTGATATATCCAATGACACCTGGATGTGGCCCGGTGGGAGCCCAGAGACCCTGAAGCTCTGTGCCTAAATGGAATTTCCCTTCACCATCCCCACGCACTCAGTCACCTTTGAGTCCCCAGATCATGCCTTCTCTCTTCCCCTCCGTGCACAGCAATGGCCCAATGCCATCAAGTTTGCAGCCTCACCGCCCTCAGATCAGTCCCTGTCCCCCAATGCCACTCCCAAGGCGCATGCCCTCAGGTCCAGTCACCTGAGCACAAACAGAGGTGCCTCGAGTGTGCTCCTTGACCCATCCTTCCTCTCCAATCCATTACCTGCATGGTGAAGTCTGCACTCCTTAGAATGGCATCCAGGTGGGTCATGATTTGGCCCCTACTTCTCTGTCCAGGTCCATCTCTCATGGCACCTTCCCCTGCCTTTTACCACCCAAGACCTGGCCTCACCCAACTCCATATAGTGCTCGACATCCCAGAGTGGCTAACACCCCCGGCTCTCCTCTGGCTTCTTTACTGCCTCGAATTGGAATGTTATTCCCCCACTTGGTCCAACTGCAAACACCAGTCACCTTTCAATACTCAGCTCAAGCTAAGGACACCAACCAAGTCCTCCTCTGAGCCCTGATGAACCATGCTGAGGTTCAGCCAGGCTCAGGTTCATTGCTTCCAGGGCCTCCCTCAGATACCAGATGGCTCAGTCCCTGACATAAAATTGCACAGTATTTGCATATAACCTATGCATATCCTCCCATATACTTTAAATCAGCTCTAGATTAGTTATAATACCTAATACAATCTAAACGCTCTGTAAATCATTGTTAAACTGCATTGTTAAGGGAATAATGCAAGAAAAAAAAGTCTGTACATGTTCAATACAGATGCAACTATCACAGACCTAACTACATTTTTTATTGAATCCGGGGATACAGGACTCATGGACAGAGGGCTGACTGTCTTTCTTTTTTTTTTTTTTTAGATGGAGTCTTGCTCTGTTGCCCAGCCTGGAGTGCAAAAGCATGATCTTGGCTCATTGCAACCTCCGCCTCCTGGGTTCAAGCGATTCTCCTGCCTCAGCCTCTCGAGTAGCTGGGATTACAAGCGTGTGCCACCATGCCCGGCTAATTTTTGTATTTTTAGTAGAGACAGTGTTTCGCCATGTTGGCCAGGCTGGTCTTGAACTCCTGACCTCAAGTGATCCACCTGACGCCGCCTCCCAAAGTGCTAGGACTACAGGTGTGAGCCACGGCACCTGGCCCTGACTGTCTTTCTTAGGGATAGGAAAGCTCACTTGTTTTCTTTGCTTACTAGCGTCTAACAGAGTTTTTTGTTTGTTTGTTTGTTTGTTTGTTTGTTTGTTTGAGATGGGATCTCACTCTGTCACCCAGGCTGGAGTGCGGTGGTGTGATCATGGTTCACTGTAAACTCTGCCTCCCAGATTCAAGCGATTCTCCCACCTCAGCCTCCTGAGTAGCTGGGACTACAGGTGAGCACCACCACGCCTAGGTAATTTTTTGTATTTTTGGTAGAGATGAGGTTTCACCATGTTGCCCAAACTGATCTCAAACTCCTAACCTCAAGCAATCCACCCACTTCAGCCTCCCAAAGTCCTTGGATTACAGGCATGAGCCACCGCACCCAGCCCTAACAGAGTTTTTAGTCACTGTTACATAAACTTATAAATGAATGGAGAGACACTCACACACTATACCCAGACCCACAACTCTAAGGCTTCCAGCCTAGGAACATGATGGGACTACTGAGAGACGGACACAGGCTTAGTAGGAAGAGCTGATTTTTAAGACAAATGGGGTGTGATTCAGAGATGTGAGTTTGAAGTGATGGAACCACATGATGTCTGTCAGACTTCCGCAAGGGGAACTGAAACTCAGATGAGTGGCAGGACTGAGAGGAATTAATGCAGAGATGGTTGTTGGAATCGATGCTATTTTCTCTGTTTTAATTTGCTTTTATTATCAAATTACATTGCTCTGTAGCTATGAATGTTTGTGTCCCCCCAAAATTCCTTTGTTGAAATGCTAAGCCCTAAGGTGATGGTATTAGGAGATGGGGCCTTTAGGAGGTGATTAGGTCATGAGAGCAGAGCCTGCATGAATGAATCAGCGCCTTTACACAAGAGACCCAAGACAGACCCCTTACCCCTTCTACCATGTGATGACACAGAAGGTGCCAATTATGAACCAGAAAGTGGGGCCTCACCAGACATCGAATCTGCCGATGCCTTGATCTGGAATTTTCAGCCTCCAGAACCTCGAGAAATACATTTCTGTTGTATGTAAGCTACTTAGTTTATGGGATTCTGTCCGAACAGACTAAGAGACTTTCTAAACATTGGAATGAATCCCTAGGACTTAAAATCTTAAATCAGAGCCTCCAAACAAATACTCGGCAGGTTGCTTCTGAAAACCTCCCAATTCCTGCACTACCCAACAAGGAGCCAACAGGTACCTAAGTGGAGCCCCGACCACCCCAGTGTGTTTGCTAAGTCTGTATCCTTATACAAAGGTCCCAAGGGCCCTGAGCATGAAGGAGGTCCTTGTTGACTCAATTGCCCTGGAATCAAAGCAGAACAAAGGCACAGTATGTGACTTTGCTAATTATTTTCTCACTCTGGAGTCATTGATTATGGCAGAAATAATGCTAGATGTTCTCCACCAGAATCATTTCCTTGTCACAAAGGAAGACTGTATTTCCCAAGCTCACAGTTACACTGGGCCCAGGCAGTTACAGCTCTGATCAGTGAACAGGAAAGAAGTGATGTTTGCCACTTCCAGGCCTGGCCACAAAATTTATTACATGACCCTGCATGGCCTCTGCCTCCAATCCACACTGACCCCAGATGACACATGTTGAAGGAGGCAGTGCCAAACTTGGGAAGAAATTGAGTCCCCTGAAACTAGGGAGTAGAGCTCCCTCTCTTGACCGTACGGTGGCTTAGTTCTGTCATCTCAGCACTTTGGAAGGCCGAGGAGGGAGAATGGCTTGAGCCCAGGAGTTCAAAATCAGCCTGGACAACAATGGCAAGACCCTGTCTCTGTTTTTAAAATAATAAAATAAAGAGCTCCCTTTCTCTGCCTCAGTTCACCTGCATAGAACTTTGTTTTTTGTTTTTATTTTTCTTTTGAGATGGAGTCTCACTCTGTCGCCAGGCTGGAGTGCAGTGGCATGATGTCATCTCACTGCAACCTCCATCTTGGGTTCAAGCAATTCTCATGCCTCAGCTTCCTGAGTAGCTGGGATTACAGGCATGCAGCACCACGCCCAGCTAATTTTTGTATTTTCAGTAGAGACAGGGTTACACCATGTTGGCCAGGCTGATCTCGAACTCCTGGCCTCAAGTGATCCACCTGCCTGAGCCTCCCAAAGTCCTAGGATTACACACATGAGCCACCACGCCCGGCCAGAACTTTGATATAAGCAAAAAATTAATTTGTTGCATTAAGCCACTGAGATTTGGATGTTCTTTATCAGCTAGTGTTACCAGCTCTAACACATCACATGAGTTATGACATACCAGAAAATTATTCATTCAACATTTACTAAGTAGCAGCTAATGGCAAGAACTATGTTAGGTGCTATTTACAGCTGAGGGGAGGAGAACTCACCTGTTGGACCATCAGCTTCTCAAATTCCTCCACAATCTCAGGCAAGCTAAGCCACTTGATGCCTGGCAAAACTCCCAGGACTCGGCTGCCAATCTTCATCAGCAGCAGGTCCATATGCACCTGAGCGAGCAGGCCAGGGTGCAACACCTGTCAGAAAGAGGAACCGTGAGACAGGAGAAACCTGCTGGACACATTTTACCCAGCCAGGGCTGGGTCCCACCATCCAAGCAAGAGCCAGGTGGCTTCTTATCAAAGAAAAGAGGATGTGGTCCCGACACCCAAGCAGTTAGTTCACTCCAGACTCAGTTCATTTTCCTCTATCAGACTATTCACACCGCCACTTCAAGCCAATAAATGAAACAGCTTGCATGAAATAAGCACTCAGATATTGGTCAGGCAAATAGAAATAAACGTGGGGGCGATTTGCATGGCGGTTGTTTCTGATCTGGGATAGCTCAGTGGGTAGGTGAGCTGTGAGCTCTCACAACACTTACTTTCACTGCCACGGAGATGAGGTTGGTGGCCTCAGGTTGGTGGCCAGGGACCTGAGCCCGAGACACCCCTGCATTTGATCCAACCAGGTCAGCTTTAGGGAGGAGCAGCCTTTCTAGAAACGACTGGTCTGCGAGATTTTCTGGAGGTTTCCGGCCATTTCCAAGGTATCCAAAGAGCTCTCTCAGCCCACCGACTGCCCCAGTATGTGAGAAGGGCGGCAGACAGGAGGCCCTGCCAAGTCTCTGGACGCTGTCAGTCTCCAGGAAGGCAGTGTTGGCGTATGCTTTGTACACCTGGGCCACGCAGCCTGAGCCCACAGGTTCCCGGTTCTCAAAAGAGAGGATGCTCCCCCAGTCATCCCCAAAAGCCTGCCGAAGGAAGCGCTCAGTGTGAGTCCACGGGTGGGGCGTCACTCGGACATGCAGCTTGGAAAATTGGGCACAGAAAGCCTCCGAAAACAGATCGCGCCGGGTGCTGGCCCACTGGCCCAGTTTGATGTAGGTTGGGCCTGAGGTCTCGGTGGCTTTCAGAAGCAGGTGGAGCCAGAGGGTGGAGACGCTGGGAGCCAGGTAGGTGAGGGGGTAGAGGAGTAGGAGGGGGAAGAATTTCACCAACAGAGCGCCGGCGCGAAGCCAGAGGCGGAGATGCAGGAAGACGCCGCCCAGAGGTCCCGCTCGGGGGAGGCTCTCCGCGGGCCCCGCGCCAGCCGCCCCGCTGCAGCGGACCCTTCGCCGACTCAGAACGTCAGGGGCCCCCTCACCCACGTCCCCGCACAGGGAGACGACCTTGGGCAAAGTGCCCAGCAGAAGCCAGCAGAGCCTGGCATCGCGAGGGCACTCGGAGGGCCTCAGGAGGCTGAGTCCCTGTCTGAGCTCGAAGCACCTCAGGTGCGACAGGCAAACCCTGACGGAGACGCGCCAGGGCGCCACCATCCTCCCGAGGCCCGCGGCCCAGGCGGCCCGCCCTCCACTTCAGAGGCGCCCGCTCAGGCGAGGCTGCGGTGAAGCCGAAGCCCGGCCCTGACCCCGCGGACGGAGCTGCCCATCTGGGCCGGATCCGCGCCCCGCTCCCTCCAGCACCTCGCCGGGCCTCAGGCCGGAGGCCCGCGCCCCGCCCGACACCCGCCGCGCCGCGCCGCGCCGCGCGGAAGGGGCTGTCAGACGGCACCAACTGCGGAACGGGAGGAGCCAGGACCCACGCGAAGCCAGGCCCCGGGCGCCCGCGACCTGAGCGAGGGGGCCGCGCGGGCGGAGGCAGGGGCCGGGCAGCCGCAGGGTCACCGTGCGCCCAGGGGCCAGTATGAGATCGCTGGGGTGGCGGGCACCAGCCCAGGGCGCGGGCGCAGGCGGGGGCCGGGAGGGCGGGGCGGAGCGTGGAGGGCGGGCGGAGCGTCGGGGGCGGAGCGTCGGGGGCGGGCGGGAGTGCAGGTGCAGGGAACCGAGGCACCGAGGGCTGTGGTGGAGCGGAGGGGCGCGGGAGATGGATGGGACGGGTTCGGCCACTAGGTTGAAACCGCCATTGCAAAATTATAACAGATAATGAAAGAGATCTGACCTAACCAACTCCATCTTGCTTCTAACCTCCAAGCTGTCCTTGTTCATTCCTGGGCGTTGGCTGAACTAACTTTGGGAGGAACTTAGTTTATACTTTATAGTTTAAAACAAAGATGATAACAGCCCTTTCTGAAAACAAACCTCCTTCTTGCCTGGGGAATAGACTGTCTTTGTAGGACTAACAAATTAACCAAAAGATTAGAAAGTATGATTTAGGAGTCAGGCAGCAAGGCTACAGTATTCTGACCCTCCCTAAACTGCTAATAAGATCAGTGCTCAAGATATTTTGCAGACCCTGCACTTGATGGATCAACTGACACCTACCAGATCGATAAACCAGGTCATCTGATCTTAGGCCCCCACTCCGGAACTAACTCAGCACAAGAGGACAGCTTCAGTTCCCTAAGATTTCACCTCCGACCCAACCAATCAGCACTCTCGACTCACTGGCCTTCCCCCACCCACCAAGTTGTCCTTAAAAACTCTGCCCAGTGTCCCGCGCAGCCTGATCTGTGTGAATTACTCCTTCTCTATTGCAATGCCCCTGTCTTGATAAATCGGCTCTGTCTAGGCAGCAGGCAAGGTGAACCCGCTGGGCTGTTACAGGGTGGCCGGTGGGGGCAGAGGGCTGGGTGCTGGGCGGTGAGGGTCGGAGGGAGCAGAGGGTCGGTGGCAGAGGCCCGGGCAGCCAGGGTCCCTTGACCCGCCCCTTAAAGAGGACGGCGACCCCAGGCCAAGACCACCCTGCCCTTGAGTCCTGGGTCCTGGGTAGCAAAACGCAAAGGCACCCTCTATGTCCCCCTCCCCATGTCTATCTTCCCACTGACTTCTTCGTATCTTTCATTATTCCAAAGAGCATGGCTGAAAAGTATGAAGGCAGGTTCTGAACACAGGTCCGCTTTTCAGCGGGGGTTGGGTAGGGGGGTGGTGTTGGATGGGGGTAACTGGGCTGCAGGAGTAGGAACTGGATGCTGTGTCCTCGGCTGCATTAATTCGGCAATTGTGTTGGACCTTGGGGAAAGGCTCCGGAAAGGCCATATTCATTCATTCAATAATACTCACTGAGCCCAATAAATATTTCTTGAGCCCAATCTCATATTTGTCGAGGCTCAATAATATGTACTGATCAAGCTAGGTCATGTGCTGGACCCTGGGAAAGCGGACACAAATATCCTGCCCTTACTGGCTGAATACGTAATGAGGGGGACCCAACATGGGAACATATAAATGTGCAATTTCAATTTTTTTTAAAAAAACACCCATGATAAGAAATCAAAATGTGCAGTTTCAAAGTGTGGCAAAGCCATGCAAGAAATGACCGGGCACGGTGGCTCACACCTGTAATCCCAGCACTTTGGGAGGCCGAGGCGGGGGGATCACTTGAGGTCAGGCATTCGAGACCAGCCTGGCCAATGTGGTAAAATCCCATCTCTACTAAAAATACAAAAATTAGCTGGGTGTGATGGTGCATGCCTGTAGTCCCAGATTATTCAGGAGGCTGAGGCAGGAGAATGGCTTGAACCCAGGAGGCAGAGGTTGCAGTGAGCCAGGATGGCACCACTGCACTCCAGCCTGGGCGACAGAGGGAGACTCTGTCAAAAAAAAAAAAAAAAAAAAGCCATGAAAAAAAAAAGATTACCAGAGGCACACATAGCATGCAACTACCCTGGAGAGGAAGGGAAGGCCAGAGAAAGCCTTAGAGGAGGGGGCCAAATAAAGCCCTAAACATAGGAAGGAGTTTGGTATGAGGTTTGGCAGGTGGGGATGTTGTATAACCTCGAAGAACCAAAGGGAAGTCAGGTGGCCCTGTGACCAAGGGGAGAGGGGTGGAGCTTGGAAATCAGCCCACAGAGCCATTGAAGGGTCCCATGGTACTGCTTCTACAACCATCTTCTCTGTCCTTTGAGATTTTTGCAGCTGCCTGCCTTGAGGGACCACAGTCACCTCTACATATAGACAGGCTTTATCCCCAAGTGAGAGGCTTCCACAGAAATCTGCCCAAGGGTGGGTCTGTGGGCATCATAAGTGGAAGGGGCGCTAAGGAAAGAGAAGCAAGAACAGGCCTATGCACCCGGTTCCCACTGCTGGAAGTGTGACAGCCATCCCTTAAGGAGGTTCCCAAACTGTGGGACCTAGGCTACAGACAGGAATGCGGGGGAGGGTGACCAGTGGCTCCTCTTGCCTTGATAACTAACAATCCACTCCCCAGAAGTCAAACCTACCACCACTAGCTTGCAATAGCACCAGCCATTAATTGCCCCCTTCCCTAACTTCCTCCTGATTTATTTACCCACTCAATCTAGGAGGAAAAAAAAAAAGATGTATAGAATATTCTTGTGTGTCTCTGATTCATCAAAGGGCTAATTGAGGACTTAATTTGAAACCAGGGGCCCTAGGTTCTAGCCCCCTAATTAGGAGGTAACAATATGATTCTAGTACCGCTCTCTTCAAAGCACAAAAACAACAACAACAACAACAACAAAACAATATGATTCCAGGTACGTCTTTCTGGACCTTTGTTTCTCCTTAAGCAAAATGCTGGGGGGGAATTTAATGAAAGCTATCCAAATTCAACTAAAAGCTCTAGGCTGGGCTCAGCGGCTCAGGCTGGGCGAGGTGGCTCAGGGGCTGGGCGAGGTGGCTCAGGGGCTGGGCGTGGTGGCTTAGGCTTGGCCCAGTGGCTCATGTGTAATCCCAGCACTTTGGGAGGCTGAGGCGGGCGGATCACCTGAGGTCAGGAGTTCGGGACCAGCCTGACCAACATGGAGAAACCCTGTCTCTACTAAAAATACAAAATTAGCCGGGCGTGGTGATGTATTCCTGTAATCCCAGCTACTCAGGAGGCTGAGGCAGGAGAATTGCTTGAACCCAGGAGGCAGAAGTTACAGTGAGCTGAGATCACGCCATTGCACTCCAGCCTGGGTAACAAGAGTGAAACTCCATCTCAAAAAAAAAAAAGTCCTCCAGATGTGCATTTATGATTCTGGGAATTAGCATATCTAACAGTAGTTAAGAATGGCAAATTATGGAGCTAAATAGGTCTGGCCTCAATTCCTAGTTACTTAACCTCTCTGAGCCTGTGTTCCCCATCTGTAATCACTGAAGGCTGTGGTAAGGAGTAAGCCAGCTGTCTGTGATGTGCTTAGCACCATGATGCAATAAATGGTAGCAAATATTGTCATTTATATTGTTGGGGGACGCAGAGGACTAGAGAGACAAGTATGGGTGAATATAGGAGGATATTTATTTTAAGGTACGCACTGGCTCAGTGGATTCACATTTAAAAACCTGAGCCCCAAACAAAGACAGAGTTTAGCTTATATAGGCTAGTATACAAGAGCAAAACAAAGGCGGTAATTACATAAATTACAAGTCATGTAATTTATGGCATAACTGTTGACTTGGCATAACTTGTGGCCTTGTATAGCTAGTGACCTTCCAGCTACGTTGAAAGAAAAACAGGAATTTATAAATTTTACTAAATATAAGCATTGGCAAACATAGTCATAACTAATAGTTCAGTACAGGAGAGACAGTAAAGGAATTTGTTTTTTTTCTTTTAACCTTGCTCAGGGGTGTCTGGAGCTCATTTTTGCAGGCTAGGTCACTACAACCTGTCTACAGCCTTGCTTGCAGTAGAGGAAAACTTGTGTTTCTTACTTAACCCTTACTTTTCTTGGAGTGAATAAATGCAGTATTTATTTTTCCTTAAATTTCTGCCTCAGTTTCCCCTTTGATGCTTTTTTTATAAACAAGATTTTAATAGAAAGCATCCCTATTATTTGATTTTTTATGAAAGAGCAGATCTTCTTTTTTAGGCACAGGCTGATATTCACAGAGCCATTAGCTGAGTGGTAGTTTGCCTAGTTACAATGGCTTTTATAGTTGATTGGATGCTTTTAATAAGGAGGGGTAAGAGGCAAGGGAGTATTAAACAAATTCCTAGTATGGCTAGAACTACTCCTATTAAGGTTTTGAATCCACCGAAGACAGAAAACCAGCCTTCAAAGAAGGAATTAGAAGTCCACCCCTTCCAAGTTTGGACTGGAACATGGGCTAATTTTTTTGTTTTTGCAGTTATTTTCATCATAGCTTTCCCGTTGTTATTAATTTTTAGGCAGTAATTAGTTAGATTAAACTTTTTTCATACTTCTCCTTCCTGGGCTAGGAGGTAGTTTAAAGCTAAACTCTTTTGGTAGATGGCATTTTTTATTTTTGTGGCTTGCTGGGCAGTAAATCCAATGCGTTTGCTGTTTCATTAGTGATGATTTTAAGTACTGCCTGCAACCTTGTGATGTGGTTAAGCATGTAAATTGGGGTACGGTATCCCAACGACCCATCTTGTGCCTAGCTGGCCCATAGTACTGAATTATTCTTTCAGGGAGCCAATCTGTGTCTTTTTAATTTTCTATTTTTGTGTCTTTTTTTATGTCTCTATTTCTTTTGTGTTTTGTTTAAAATTTTATTATAGACAGGACACCCTAAAGTTTTTCCTTGTTGCAGTGGGAGTAAGAAGAAAGATGGCCTAATTGTTCCAAGTACACAAGCCCCTGTCCATTTGGCTGGCAACTGTTGGTAGGCCCATGGCCCACAGATCCAGCGGAGACCAGAGGGTGCTTGCCAGGTATTTGGAGCTTTATGCCGATACTAGGTATGGTTTAGAGAAGAGAAATGGGAGAATGGATTTGGATGAGGTGATTTGGAGTTATCTTTGCCCTGCCACAAAGTTTTCCGTAGTGTTTCATTATAATATTGCTGTCCTAAGCAGGTTAGTTCTCCTACTGGGTCTGTAAAAGCCTTTCCCCAGTGAGCAACAGAGTATCTTTCTGTAATAGAAGTTTTTAGGAGCCAGATGCTTGAACTTATGGGTGTCAGTTCAGGGTCAGAGTAAAATAATTTTGTGGCATTAACTTTTTTGCTTCCTAAGGCCATTGGTCTCCCATGTTAGTTCCTCCACAAACATAACATGAGGAAATGCCTAGGCTGCCAGCAATGTTTTCAGCCAGCTGAGCAAACAGGTTTTTGGTTAAAGGAGGAGGCTCTGGTAACTTTTAGTCTACATGCTTATAGAATGATTTAAAGACTCAGAATTGTTGCTGGGCCAGATGGGTCCGGGTTTCCTTTTTGATAACATATAGGTAGGTTGCTGGGTATGTGTGTATGTAGACATGTGTGGGGTAACCTGCAGTCCACATGGGTAGGTTTGGCCTTAGAATGGTGAAATTTATAGGATCACAGGTTTTTGTTTTACAATCTGGTTTTACCATCATTTTGGTAAGCATAATTGGCCTTTGTTGTGTGCTAGGGTGCCACGATATGCAATACTGACAATCTTTTTCTGGGGTCCCAGGGGGACGAGGTGACTTGCATACATATTTGTAGTCATTTTTATAGTCTCTTTTTAAAGGTAGGTTACGACAGACGGGTGAGTCTAGGTATGCTACCTGACAAGCATCAAAATATAGAGAAATAGGCCCTAGGTAAAAGGGAGGGACCTTGGTTTGGTTTAAGAGGGAACAGTCCTTTGACCCTGCATGGATTTCAAACCATTTACCAGGTGAAAACTTGGTGTCATAACATACATAAGGTTGGTTATTTCCTGGGTCACAAATTGAGTAGGAGGTCTGATTATAAATACAAGTTCCTAAGCGAGTCCTTGTACACTCATAATAAGTATGGCACAATAGAGTTTTAGTTATACTGTTCCCTGACCAGGTAGTATGTGTACAGTGGGGACATCCTTCTATAGGTGCTTCTTCTAGCATAGTTAGGGGGGGTAACAACAGCAAAACAATGTACAGCATATTTATATTCAGCAAGGATAGAAGAGGTCTTTACCTGGGGGAGGAGATTGGGCACAGCGACAGAACAACAGGAAAACAGTTAGTATTACAAGGAAAGCTACTAGCTCTAAGATTTCTAACCACATTTACTTGCTTGATGAGTCCTCAAGCTTCAGCCGTGGGTAGAGTAGTCAGCTTCCGGAGTGACCAGAGCAGGGCAGTCATCTTTAGCAGCAGCTTGGTCTCATCTCAGGATCAACCAGGTTGGGTGATCTGGGTCCTGCTGACTGGTCCACTTGTCCTGAGCTGCCGGTTTTAGCCAACTGTGGTGGATCCAAGGTAAAACACCTGCAACTTTAACAGCAGTGGGAGTGGACAAGATTACAGTATAGGGCCCATCCCATATGGGTCCTAGAGAAGTTGGATTCCACTTTTTAACCCAAACAGAGTCTCCAGGTTTAAAGGGGTGTACTGGGCCTGTCAGCCTTATAGGCATTCTTTCTCGTACCCAGCCATGAACCTCTTGCATGGCTATTTCTAACGCCTGCATTTGCTTTCTTAAAGTTAATTTCTCTAGTTCCCGGAGAGTACCTTTTATTTGACTTATGATTGGGGGAGGCCCACCGAACAAAATTTCACAGGGTGAATACCCAGTTTGTTTGGTGGGGGTGCACCTGACTCGGAGGAGGACCATAGGCAAGACCTGATCCCATCTTAGATGAGTTTCTTGGCAATATTTCTTCAGTAGCTGCTTGAGTGTCCGGTTCATGCGTTCTACTTTTCCTAAACTTTGTGGCCAATAGGCTGTGTGTAACTTCCATTTTAGTTTTAACAGTCTTGCTAGCGGTCTATCAATTTTGTTGATCTTTTCAAAAAACCACCTCCTGGATTCATTGATTTTTTGAAGGGTTTTTTATGTCTCTATCTCCTTCAGTTCTGCTCTGATCTTAGTTATTTCTTGCCTTCTGCTAGCTTTTGAATGTGTTTTTTTCTTTTTTTTAATTATACTTTAAGTTGCTTTTGAATGTGTTTGCTCTTGCTTCTCTAGTTCTTTTAATTGTGATGTTAGGGTGTCAATTTTACATCTTTCCTGCTTTCTCTTGTGGGCATTTAGTTCTATAAATTTCCCTCTACACACTGCTTTAAATGCGTCCCAGAGATTCTGGTATGTTGTGTCTTTGTTCTCGTTGGTTTCAAAGAACATCTTTATTTCTGCCTTCATTTCGTTATGTACCCAGTAGTCAGTCATTCAGGAGCAGGTTGTTCAGTTTCCATGTAGTTGAGCGATTTTGAGTGAGTTTCTTAATCCTGAGTTCTAGTTTGATTGCGCTATGGTCTGAGAGACAGTTTGTTATAATTTCTGTTCTTTTACATTTGCTGAGGAGTGCTTTACTTCCAACTATGTGGTCAATATTGGAGTAGGTGTGGTGTGGTGCTGAAAAGAATGTATATTCTGTTGATTTGGGGTGGAGAGTTCTGTAGATGTCTATTAGGTCTGCTTGGTGCAGAGCTGAGTTCAGTTCCTGGATATCCTTGTTAACTTTCTGTCTCATGGATCTGTCTAATGTTGACAGTGGGGTGTTAAAGTCTCCCATTATTACTGTATGGGAGTCTAAGTCTCTTTGTAGGTCTCTAAGGACTTGCTTTATGAATCTGGGTGCTCCTGTATTGGATGCATATATATTTAGGATAGTTAGCTCTTCTTGTTGAATTGGTCCCTTTACCATTTGTAATGGCCTCCTTTGTCTCTTTTGATCTTTGTTGGTTAAAGTCCATTTTATCAGAGACTAGGATTGCAACCCCTGCCTTTTTTTGTTTTCCATTTGCTTGGTAGATCTTCCTCCATCCCTTTATTTTGAGCCTATGTGTGTCTCTGCACGTGAGATGGGCTTCCTGAATACAGCACACTGATGGGTCTTGACTCTATCCAATTTGCCGGTGTGTGTCTTTTAATTGGAGCATTTAGCCCATTTACATTTAAGGTTAATATTGTTATGTATGAATTTGATCCTGTCATGATGATGTTAGCTGATTATTTTGCTCGTTAGTTGATGCAGTTTCTTCCTTGCATCGATGGTCTTACAATGTCTTTTTTTTTTTAATAGATGCAGAAAAGGCCTTTGACAAAATTCAACAGTCCTTCATGCTAAAAACTCTCAATAAATTAGGTATTGATGGGATGTATCTCAAAATAATGAGAGCTATTTATGACAAACCCACAGCCAACATCATACTGAATGGGCAAAAACTGGAAGCATTCCCTTTGAAAACTGGCACAAGACAGGGATGCCCTCTCTCACCACTTCTATTCAACATAGTGTTGGAAGTTCTGGCCAGGGCAATCAGGCAAAAGAAATAAATAAAGGGTATTCAATTAGGAAAAGAGGAAGTCAAATTGTCCCTGTTTGCAGATGACAGGATTGTATATCTAGAAAACCCCATCGTCTCAACCCAAAATCTCTTTAAGCTCATAAGCAACTTCAATAAAGTCTCAGGATACAAAATCAATGTGCAAAAATCACAAGCATTCTCATACACCAATAACAGACAGACAACCAAATCATGAGTGAACTCCCATTCACAATTGCTTCAAAGAGAATAAAACACCTAGGAATCCAACTTACAAGGGATGTGAAGGACCTCTTCAAGGAGAACTACAAACCACTGCTCAATGAAATAAAAGAGGATACAAACAAATGGAAGAACATTCCATGCTCATGGATAGGAAGACTCAATATCGTGAAAATGGCCATACTGCCCAAGGTAATTTATAGATTCAATGCCATCCCCATCAAGCTACCAATGACTTTCTTCACAGAATTGGAAAAAACTATTTTAAAGTTCATATGGAACCAAAAAAGAGCCCGCATTGCCAAGTCAATCCTAAGCCAAAAGAACAAAGCTGGAGGCATCATGCTACCTGGCTTCAAACTATACTACAAAGACGGGCATCCCTGTCTTGTGCCAGTTTTCAAAGGGAATGCTTCCAGTTTTTGCCCATTCAGTATGATGTTGGCTGTGGGTTTGTCATAAATAGCTCTTATTATTTTGAGATACATCCCATCAATACCTAATTTATTGAGAGTTTTTAGCATGAAGGACTATTGAATTTTGTCAAAGGCCTTTTCTGCATCTATTAAAAAAAAAAAGACATTGTAAGACCATCGATGCAAGGAAGAAACTGCTACAGTAACGAAAACAGCATGGTACTGGAACCAAAACAGAGATACAGACCAATGGAACAGAACAGAGCCCTCAGAAATAATACCACACATCTACAACTATCTGATCTTTGACAAACCTGACAAATACAAGAAATGGGGAAAGGATTCCCTATTCAACAAATGGTGCTGGGAAAACTGGCTAGCCATATGTAGAAAGCTGAAACTGGATCCCTTCCTTACACCTTATACAAAAATTAATTCAAGATGGATTAAAGACTTAAATGTTAGACCTAAAACCACAAAAACCCTAGAAGAAAACCTAGGCAATACATAGGCATGGGCAAGGACATAGGCATGGGCAAGGACTTCATGTCTAAAACAGCAAAAGCAATGGCAAAAAAAGCCAAAATTGACAAATGGGATCTAACTAAACTAAAGAGCTTCTGCACAGCAAAAGAAACTACCATCAGAGTGAACAGGCAAACTACAGAATGGGAGAAAATTTTTGCAATCTATTCATCTGACAAAGGGCTAATATCCAGAATCTACAAAGAATTCAAACAAGTTTACAAGAAAAAAACAAACAACCCCATCAACAAGTGGGCGAAGGATATGAGCAGACACTTCTCAAAAGGAGACATTTATGCAGCCAGCAGACACATGAAAAAATGCTCATCATCACTGGCCATCAGAGAAATGCAAATCAAAACCACAATGAGATACCATCTCACACCAGTTAGAATGGCGATCATTAAAAAGTCAGGAAACAACAGGTGCTGGAGAGGATGTGGAGAAATAGGAACACTTTTACACTGTTGATAGGACTGTAAACTAGTTCAACCATTGTGGAAGTCAGTGTGGCGATTCCTCAGGGATCTAGAACTAGAAATACCATTTGACCCAGCCATCCCATTACTGGGTATATACCCAAAGGACTATAAATCATGCTGCTATAAAGACACATGCACACGTATGTTTATTGCGGCACTATTCACAATAGCAAAGACTTGGAACCAACCCAAATGTCCATCAATGATAGACTGGATTAAGAAAATGTGGCACATATACACCATGGAATACTATGCAGCCATAAGAAATGATGAGTTCATGCCCTTTGTAGGGACATGGATGAAGCTGGAAACCATCATTCTCAGCAAACTATTGCAAGGACAAAAACCAAACACCGCATGTTCTCACTCATAGGTGGGAATTGAACAGTGAGAACACTTGGACACAGGAAGGGGAATATCACACACTGGGGCCTGTTGTGGGGTGGGGGAAGGGGGGAGGGATAGCATTAGGAGATATACCTAATATAAATGACGAGTTAATGGGTGCAGCACACCAACATGGCACATGTATACATATGTAACAAACCTGCAAGTTGTGCACATGTACCCTAGAACTTAAAGTATAATAAATATATACATACATATATATATAAAGAAAAGAAAAGAAAAAAAACAGTCTTGTTAAATCTTGCACTATTTCAGCTACAAATGCCGGCCCATTGTCTGATCCTAAAGTTAGCGGCAGTCCAAACCTGGGTATAATGTCTTTTTTTTTTTTTTTTTTTTTGAGACAGTCTTGCTCTGTAGCCCAGGCTGGAGTGCAGTGGCATGATCTCGGCTCACTGGGGTTCACGCCATTCTCTTGTCTCAGCCTCCTGAGTAGCTGGGACTACAGGCACCCGCCACCACGCCCGGCTAATTTTTTTATATTTTTAGTAGAGGCAGGGTTTCACCGTGTTAGCCAGGATGGTCACTTTGTGATCCGCCCGCCTCAGTCTCCCAAAGTGCTGGGATTACAGGCGTGAGCCACGGTGCCCGGCCGATAATGTCTTTTAACGTGCTTTAGTCACTTCTCGTGCTTTTTTTGTCCTGGTGGGGAAAGCCTCAACCCATCCTGGAAAGGTGCAAATAAGCACTAGCATATACCGATAGCCCCCAGCACGGGGCAGTTCGGTAGTCTGTAAGTAAGTTTTTACAAGGCATGGCTCCTATTTCCTGAATTCCTGGGGGCTGTGTGGGCCCCTGTGGCAGATTGTTCTGAGCACAGGTTAAATATTGTTTACAGACAGCTCAAGTGATGGCAGAGACCCGTGGCACATATAAATGACATTTTAATAACATTTTTAGTGCCCTTTTTTTCATATGAGTTCCTTGATGAATTTGTTTCACAAACTTAGGAGCTAACATCTCCGGAATGGCTGACTTTCCATCGAAGAGTTTTCACCACCCTCCTTTAATGTATTTTCCAGCTTCCTGGGCAAACCAGGCTCTTTCATTTGGAGTATAAGTTGGGTCCTCTTGGAGAGGAGGTTCTGGGAGGAGAGGCATAGCTAAGGCTTTCTCTTTAAAATGTGGCATAATCATTGCTGCCCGCTTTGCCCCTCTGCCTGTCTTTCTGTTTCCTTTGGCTTCTGGCATCCCTGCCTTTTGGTGCCCTCTGCAGTGCATTACAACTACTTTTTCTGGAGCCCATGCAGCCTCTAAGAACTGTAGAATTTTTTTCTTGTACTTTATTTATTTGCCTCCAGCTGTTAAAAGTCCTCTCTTTTTGTATATAGTTCCATGTACATGCAATGTAGTAAAAGCGTATTTAGAATCAGTGTAAATATTGACTATTTTTTTTTGAGACGGAGTTTCACTCTTATCACCCAGACTGGAGTGCAGTGGCAAGATCTCAGCTCACTGCAACCTCCGCCTCCCAGGTTCAAGCGATTCTCCTGCCTCAGCCTCCCAAGTAGCTGGGATTGCAGACACCTGCCATCACGCCCAGCTAATTTTTTGTATTTTTGGTAGAGACGGGTTTTCGCCATGTTGGCCAGGCTGGTCTCGAACTCCTGACCTCGTGATCCGCCCGCCTTGGCCTCCCAAACTGCTGGGATTACATGCGTGAGCTACCGCGCCCTGCCAGTATTGACCTTTTTGTCTTTTGCTAGCAGCAGTGCTCTTGTTGGGGCTATTAATTCTGCCTTTTGAGCTGATGTTCCAGTAGGCAGAGACTGAGCTTCTACTACTGAGTCTAATGTTACCACTGCATACCCGGCATGTTGAACCCCTTCTAGCACAAAACTGCTTCCATCCGTGAAGTACTCGACATCTGGGTCTCTGAGGGGTTGGTCCATAAGATCTTTTCAACTAGAGAATACCTCATCTACTGTTTTGACACAGTCATGGAGGGGAGCTCCTGGTTCCACTGGGAGCAGAGTAGCCGGGTTTAAGCTGTTCACTGTTTCTAAAATACTGTAAGGGTTTTCACATAGAAGCCCTTGGTACTGAGTCATCCTCAGGTTTGACAACCAGTGATGTCTTCTTTGGTCTATCGAAGTTATAACTGAGTGCAGCACCCAGATGCTTAGCTGCTGTACTGAGTGCAGCACCCAGATGGTTAGCTGCTGTCCCAGAGTTAGTTTACTAGCCTCTTGTGCCAACAAGACGGAGGTGGCTAATGTGTTAAAGCAAGCCATCCTAGCACCGCAGAGTCCAGTTGTTTGGATAAATATGCCACTGGGTGATGCCATGATCCTGTAGCTTGAGTCAGAACCCTTATAGCCACTCCCTTTTGTTCATGAACATATAGAAAGGAAGGCTTAGTTACGTCTGGTAGTCCTAAGGCTGGGGACTGGGCCAAAGCTTCCTTGATCTGTTTGAATGCTATTTCCTGATTAGTTTCCCAGAGTAGGGGCTCTTTTTCTCCCCACTTTGTGGCTTCATATAACGGCTTAGCCATCAGTGAAAAATTTGGAATCCAGATGCAGCAGAATCCTGCTGCCCCTAAAAATTCTCTCATTTGACGTCAGGTGGTCGGGGTTGGAAGTGCACAAATGGCTTGCTTCCGCTCATCGCCAAGCCGGCGTTCCCCCTGGCTCACTATGAAACCTAGATATTTAACCTCTTCATGGCAAATTGGTTTTTGTTTTGTTTTGTTTTGTTTTTGAGATGGAGTCTCAATCTGTCGCCCAGGCTGGAGTGCAGTGGTGTGATCTCAGCTCACTGCAACCTCCGCCCTCTGAGTTCAAGCAATTCTCCTCCCTCAGCCTCCTGAGTAGCTGGGATTACAGGCACCTGCCACCACACCTGGCTAATTTTTTGTGTGTTTAGTAGAGATGGGGTTTCACCATGTTGGCCAGGCTGGTCTTGAACTCCTGACCTCGTGATCCACCCACCTCAGCCTCCCAAAGTGCTGGGATTACAGGCGTGAGCCACTGCACCTGGCCAAATTTGAGCTTTCTTTTTAGGTACTTTGCAACCTGCTTTTCATAGGAGATGGAGGAGGTCTTGGGTTCCCTGATAACAGTCCTCTTGGGTTGGGGCCGCCAAAAGAAGGTCATCTACATACTGTAACGAGGCACAGTTATCATTTGGCAGGGTATAGGCCTTGAGGTCTGAGGCCAATGCTTCCCCAAAGATTGTGGGAAAGTTTTTAAACCCTTGCAGGAACCTAGTCCAGGTGAGCTGGGTAGCTTCTTTGTCCCATTGAAATGCAAAGATAGGCTGACTAACTGGTACCATGCAGATATGAAGGAAAGCATCCTTTAAGTCTCAGACTGTAAACCAGGTAGCACTTGCTGAAATGAGTTCCATTAAATTATACAGGTTGGGTACCACTGGATGGATGGTTACTGTGGCCCAGTTTACGGCATGCAAGTCCTGCACTGGTCTATATTCATCAGACCCTGGTCCTGGTAGTGGCTTTTGTACTGGCAAAAGTACAGTATTCCAGGGCAACTGGCATTGGACTAAAATCCCCTGTTTATAGAGCGGCTGTAAGTGTTTACAGATGCCCCATACAGCCTTTTGGGTAACTGGGTACTGATGAACCTGAACAGGATCTGCTCCTGGTTTTAATTCTACTACTACTGGTGCATGATTTACAGCTAACCCAGGTGGGTTGTCCTCAGCCCATACTCCAGTAATTTCTTTAACTAACTGAAATAATAATTTTTCTTCCTCTTGTGTATGAGGTTGCATTGGTGCCTGAAATCTCTTTTTATAAAGTCTCCACTCCTCAGCCTGCAGGACAGTAAAGGTTAACACCATGGCCTTTGGGTGAGTCAGATTTAAAGTTATACCTCCCTGGGGGCCAAAAGTAATCCATGTTTGCAGTTTTTGGAGTGGGTCTCTCCCTAACAAGGGAACTGGACAATTTGGGAAGTATAGTAATTTATGCTGGACTTCTCGTCCTCCTGTAACACAACTCCTTGACCGGCAGAATGGCCTCCTCTCTGAGACTTCAGTAGCCCCTACAATAGTTGTATAGTTTTTAGTGGCCCTATGGGTTGAGTTACTACAGAGTGTTCAGCCCCAGTATCTACCATAAAGTCCATTGAACGGCTTCCAACTTTTAATGTGACCATAGGCTCCTGAAGGCCCAATGAGAAGGAGTGCGGTCTGTCCTAGTCCTCATATCTTTCAGCCCCTGCCAGCCTGATCAGATCAGTATCTGGTTCTGCCAGGGTGTGGCAGCCCCTGGCCGGTGGCCTCTTTGTCTCTCCGCCTTGGCCATTTCCCTCATTGCCTTATGGACATTTATCCTTCCAGTGTCCTTTCTTTTTGCATTGTGCACATTGATCCTTCTCTAACCTTGGTCAGCTCTTGAATCCTTGTCTTGGCCTCTTCCATGTCCATGTCCACGTCCACTTCCTCATCCTCTCACATTGCTAGTGTCTCTCTCTATGAGGGCTGTTGCCAACAGATCGGCTTTCTTTTTAAGCCTCCGATCTGCTTCCTTCTTTGCCTCCTGGTCATGGTTAACATACACTTTGGTGGCTACTTCTTTTTGTTTGTTTGTTTTTTGAGACGGAGTCTCGCTCTGTCGCCCAGACTGGAGTGCAGTGGTGCGATCTCAGCTAACTGCAAGCTCTGCCTCCTAGGTTCACGCCATTCTCCTGCCTCAGCCTCCCGAGTATTTTTAGTAGAGACAGGGTTTCACCGTGTTAGCCAGGATGGTCTCAATCTCCTGACCTTGTGATCTGCCCGCCTCGGCCTCCCAAAGTGCTGGGATTACAGGTGTGATCCCACCTGTAATCCTCCACCCTCCTACTTATAGAAGTAGCCTGGTGGCTACTTCTATAAGCTGGGTGGCATTCATGCCTGCGAAACCTTCCAGTTTCTGAAGGTTTCGCTTTATGTCACCCTGGGCCTGTCCTACAAATGATATATTTACCATACGCTGATTTTCAAGAGCCTCAGGGTCAAATGGGGTGAAAAGCCAGTATATCTCAGAGTCTTTCATAAAACTGGCTAGGGCTCTCATCACTTTCCTGAAGCATCCCTGAGATCTTTTCTTATTGATTGCCCTTTTTCCACCATCTCTTAGCCCTTTCAGAAGTGTCTTCGGTACCTCTGCAAATGCTGAAGCTGGGTCGCATCTTCTGGGTCCCAGTTGGGATCTTGGTCTGGGAACTGGCCCTGAGCGTATGCCTGAGCATTCACTGCATCTGCTGGTGCATGGGCTTCTAGCCAGCGGAGAGTTGCTGGGTTACTCTCCTGCGGTCCTCAGTGTTAAACAGCGTGAGAAGAAGCTGCCTGCAGTCTGGCCAGGTTGGATTGTGTGTCAGAAAGATGGACTGCATCAGATCTACAAGAGCTTGGGGCTTCTCTGTATAGGAGGGAGTATGGTGTTTCCAGTTTAAGAGATTAGTGGTTGAAAAGGGCTCATAGATGAAAATCTGTTGCCCCCCTTGGACTTGGCCTTGGTCATCATAATAAATGGGTCCTCATGTCTCCCTGAGAGGCATTTACATGCTTGAGCACAGCCAGATCTGAGACACCCTGCTCGACTATCTTGATTTCCTTCCCTGGCCTCTCAAGGCTCTGATTCTTCCCTTTGGGGTGAAACTTGGGGTGTGCTAGCTCCTGAATTTGGTTCCTGGGGGGCTGTTGGCCTCAGTAAAGGGGGCCAGGCTGGGACATATGGAGGAGGAATCTCTGTTCCCTCTGGCAGCTCCTGCAAAACTGGCCTTTCTTGTTCCCTCTGGGACTTCCCCTTTAACTCTGTGTCTGTCGGCGAACCTGCTCTTACTTTCACTTCTGGCTCAGCTTGGGCCACAAGTGTTTTGCAATGAGCCACTAAACAGGGCTGGATCCAGGCTGGTCTTGTTTGTACTATATTTAACCATGAGTTAATGTAAGGAAATTGATCTGGATGCCCAGGCTGTCCTCCGACCCCTGTCACCACCCTAAATACACAGCCAATTATTTCCGTCTGTAGTTCCTTCGGTTGGCCATCCAACTCCAAAAGAAGTCCATTCTAGTTCACAGAGAGTTCTCAACCTTTGGGGGGTCAGCTTAACTCCATAATCCCCTGCAAAACCTTTCTTAAAGTTTTGTAACATGCACTCCAATGGAGTGGGTTTTGATGACTTTCCTCCTATTTCCTCCCTTTATGATGCAGCATACCCACTCTTCCTTTTGACTCAGACCAACCAGACCTTCTCCTATTATGGGAGTTTTCAGACACCACTTGGCTTTGGAGAGGTCCTTATTCCCACCACAATTCTGAGCTGTGGGGCAGCTCCTATTAGCCATATGTGGTTCGCCACTAGTCCAGGTTGGCCCCACACTTCGCTTGGAGCACACAGTCCACGCTAAGAGATCTGTGACTCCCCACATCACTCCCCACATTGGTTTCTCCAGGAACCATCTCTCACACACTTTCACACACCTCCCCATTCCCAGTTCCTGTGTTCCTAATTGGGATGGTGAGCCACTCTTGCCGCCTCCAGTTTCCTTTTCCTAACCAACTTAGCGAGCCACTCTCACATCCGGTGTCGGTTGGGATGTGAGTTTCATCCAAATTGGCGAGCTGTTCTTGCTGCCCCTAACCCGTCTGGGTCAGACTACCAGTTACACCCTGGGAAGGCTCCCCTTCTATCCTTATGAGACGGGTCCTGCCTTGGGCCCCAATACCTTACCGCAGTTCCTGAAGCACGCTGTTTCTGGAATTGTCCTGTAGCCCCTCTCAGGTTCTGTTGTGCTGCTGGGTAGGGGTGCTGGGTCACAGGAGAGCTGATTTCACCCCTCTAGGCTGAAGTTCTCCAGGTGGCACCTGGGGTCACAGGTCTCCCCAGGCCCGGGGCTCCAGCCCCATAGGGAAAGGAGACAGTAGATCTGCCGTCTCCACTCCTCCTGGCTGGCTCGCCAAGAAATGTTGCGGGATGCAGGGGACTAGACAAGTATGGGTGAATACAGGAGGATAATTATTTTAAGGTGTGCACCAGCTCAGTGGATTTATTTTTCCTTGAATTTCTGCCTCGATATTACCTAGATAAAGGTCGTCTTGTTTCTCTGACTACTTCATAAGACAAGCAAATTTTCACAAATTTAAAGGATACATTGTGGAAGGTCTGACTGAAAATAAGGCCCTTGTGGGCATCCTAGAAATTTATCTAGAATGGTGGCTCTCAAACTTTAGCATCCATCAGAATTAGTTGGAGCGCTGGCCCCACCCCATTGCTGACTTTTGTAGGTCTGGGGTGAGGCCCAAGAATGTGCATTTCTAACAGTTACTATATGATGCTGATGCTGTTGGTTTGGGGAAAACATTTTGAGAACCATTGACCTTGTAGATAGTGGTAGTGGTGAATATGGTGGTGGTGGTGGTGAAGATGGTGGTGGTGGTGGTCAAGGTAATGGTAGTGGGTGGTAACAGTGGTGGTGGTGATGGCGGTGACAATGGTGATGGTGGTGGTATTGATGTTGGTAATGGGGCGGTGGTTATATTGGTGGTGGTGATGATAATGGTGGTGGTCGTGGTGGTGGTGACAGTGGTAGTGGTGGTGATGGGGATGATAGTGGTGAGTGATGGTGGTGACAGTGATGATAGTGGTGACAGTAATGGTGGTGGCATTGATATTGGTAATGGTAGTGGTATTGTTGATGTTGGTGGTAGTGGTGGTAATAGTGGTAGTGATGGTAACAGTGGCGGTGGTGATGGTGATGATGTGACAGTGATGGTGGTGACAGTGGCAATGGTGGTGGCATTGATATTGGTAATGGTGGTGGTGGTGATGGTGATAATGGTGATGGTGATAGTGGTGGTGGTGGTGACAGTGGTGCTGGTGACGGTGTTGGTGGTGACTGGTGGTGGTGGTGACAAAAGTGGTGGTGATCATAATGATAGTGGTGGTGGTAACGGTGACGGTGATGGTGGCGACCTACAATCTCTGCAGAAATAGGCCCACCATAACCATCACCACCATCATTACCACCACTGTTACCATCCACCACCATCACCACCACCAAATGACTGGTGATGGTGGTGGCAGTGGTGAAAGTGTAGCATTGTAAAGAGCTAGAGTCAGCTCCCACACAGGTGAAGTTGAGAGATTATTACTGAGGCCCATGTCAGTTAGGAGAATTATGTCATACATATGAAGGCAACATGGGCAGTAAAAAACAAAACAAAACAAAACAAAAACAGTTCTATCACATATGAACCCTAAATCAAAGTTTATAAGGGCAACCATTGAAAATCACAGATGCTGGCTTGGAGTCAACCTGCTGCTCACATGGGTAACTTTATGCAATCCGTTTCAGGATTAGTAACAGGAGGGATGGATATATTTAGAATGTTGAATGAATTAAGAGACTGAATACGCAAAGGGACAATGGCCATATATAACTATGCATTTCTATGTCTAGTGTCATATATGGTCATTGACTCTGCATATTCAGAGGCTGTGACCCACAACCTTTGCAGCAACCGGGGCAGGAGCCAAGCCAACCTTCTATGGCGATAGGCCCAGAACGTCAGGATTTGCTCAATGACTGCCTGCTGCCCTAATTCTCACTGACACTTCCAACTCAGGACCAAGCCAAGAAAGCCAAAAATCCTCTCCAAACCCATCACATAAGATGCTGCTGCCTGCACTTTCCCCCTGCCAACATCTTCCAATTAGAGCCCACCTGAAACCTATAGAAGCCTTTCCCACTAGCATTTGAGTCTCCAGTTATATTTGACTCTCTGCCAAAGGCAAGTGATGGTGGCTGACTGTCTGGCCATAGAAAACGCTAAATAAATAGCCTCTGCCTTCCTCATTTGGGTGGCTTTCGTTGATCCGCATTGAATCTTCTCAACAGTGGAAAGCCAGCTAATTTTTAGGTTTCCAGGTGTATGAAATGCTCCTGCTGGTGTTGTTAACTCTATTTCCACTAGGTGGCACCATTCACTCGGGAAGGATAACACACGATTCCTGGAGGTTCCCAGACCCAACCGGGAGGCAAGGGAAGGGGAACTCTGCAAAAGCCCATCTGGCTTTGCTTCTCTTTCCACGTGAACCACATGACCGGGTTTAGCAGCTCGCGTGTAACACTGCTACCCAGCAGATGTGATGCAGGGCAAGTACTAGTTCAAGGGGAAGATGGTGGAGGTGGGGAATGGGCTGGCTCTGGGCTTCCCGGCCTCTGCATTTTAGGCATTCCGGACAAGACAATTCTTCGTTGTGTGTGGAGAGGGAGGCTGTCCTGTGCTTTGGAGGATGTTCGGCAGCATGTCTGGCCTTTACCCACTTGATGCCAGAAACAATCCTTGTCTTAGTCCGTTTGAGCTGCTATATAACAAAATACCATGAACTGTGTGGCTTAGAAACAGCAAATATTTATTGGCCGGGCGCAGTGGCTCACGCCTGTAATCCCAGCACTTTGGGAGGCCGAGGCGGGAGGATCACGAGGTCAGGAAATAGAGACCATCCTGGCTAACACGGTGAAACCCCGTCTCTACTAAAAATACAAAAAATTAGCTGGGCGTGGTGGCGGGCGCCTGTAGTCCCAGCTACTCGGGAGGCTGAGGCAGGAGAATGACGTGAACCCGGGAGGCGGAGCTTGCAGTGAGCCGAGATTGGGCCACCGTACTCCAGCCTGGGTGACAGAGTAAGACTCTGTCTCAAAAAAAAAAAAAAAGAAAAAAGAAAAAAGAAACAGCAAATATTTCTTTCTCACATTCCTGGAGGCTGAAAAGTCCAGGATCCAGGTGCGGCATGGTTGGGTTCTGGGGAGGTCCTGCTTCTGGGCTGCAGACCGCCGCCTTCTCACTGTGTCCGTGGTGGAAAGAGTGGGAGAGGGTGAGAGCTTTCTCTGGGGACTCTTTGATGAGGGCACTAAACCCATTCATGAGGGCTCCACTCACCTTCCATCACTTTGGGCGTTAGGATTTCAACATATGAATTTTGGAGGCGGACACGTTCAGACCATAGCACTTCCCTTTCCCAATTATGACAATAAAATATCTTCAAACATTGCCAAGTGTCAGCCAGGCATGGTGGCCCACATCTGTATTCTCAGCACATTGGGAGACCAAAGTGGGAGGATTGCTTGAGCACAGGAGTTTCAGACCAGCCGGGGCAATATAGCAAGACTCTGTCTCTACGGAAAAAAAAAAAAAAAAACCTGGGCACGGCAATGGGGCACACCCGTAGTTCTAGATACCCAGGAGGCTTAGGTGGAGGGATGGCTTGAGCCCAGGTGTTTGGGGTTGCAGTGAGCTATGATTGTGCCACTGCACTCCAGCCTGGGAGACAGAGTAAGACCTTGTCTCTTAAAAGAAAAAAAAAAAGAAAAATTACCAAATGTCCCCTGGAGAAGCAAAGAAGCAAAGTTGTCCCTGCTTGGGAATCACTAGTCTTAGGTCCTTTCGCACAGTTCTCTGCTGAGACCCTTTCAGCACCCCCTGACCTCCTTACCCCTCTTCCCACCCCACACTCACACTTTCTTCAGAACAGAATATAAGAGAAGGGAACGCCCTGCACTTACCTGCTGCAGCTTCAACGTCTTTGTTCCTCCTGAGCAGGCTCTAAACCAGTGTGTCTCTGGTGGGGACTTGAGCCACCTCCACCAAAAACACCTGGGCGGCTGTGCACCATGGCTCACACACCTGTAATCCTAGAACATTGGGAGGCCAGACAGAGCAGGAAGATCTCTCAAAACTAGGAGTTCAAGATCAGCCTGGGCAACAGAGTGAGACAACATAGTGAGACTCTGTCTCTACAAGCAAACACACACCTGGAGTGCTTGTAAAACTGCACGTTCCTGGGCTGCATCCCAGACCCCTTGCATCAGGATCACTCAGCGAAGGCCAGAATCTGTTCTTTTTTTTCTTCTTTTTTTCCCCCTTAAACTCAATGGGATTATCAGGCAGATAAAAAGTGTGAGAAAGGCCGGGCGTGGTGGCTCATGCCTCCACTGCACTCCAGCCTGGGGTAATCCCAGCACTTTGGGAGGCTGAGGCAGACGGATCATCTGAGGTCAGGAGTTTGAGACCAGTCTGGCCAACATGGTGAAACCCCGTCTCAGCTAAAACTACAAAAAATTACCCGGGCATGGTGATGGGTGCCTGTAATCCTGGCTACTCGGGAGGCTGAGGCAAGAGAATCGCTTGAACCCGGGAGGCGGAGGTTGCAGTGAGCTGAGATTGCACCACTGCTTTCCAGCCTGGGCAATAAGACGGAAACTCTGTCTCAGAAAAAAAAAAAAAGTGTGAGAAGCACTGGCCCTGCCCCTCCCCCCAGGTCCTGCTTGGTATCTCTGACCTGCAATTCCTTCCTAAGAGAGTCAGGCCCTGGCATGTGGATTTTGGCTCTGGGCCACCCATATCTACTCCCCAAGCTGGCAGAGGAGAAAATATCAGAAATAATACTGAAAGGGGCTGGGCGCGGTGGCTCACACCTGTAATCCCAGCACTTTGGGAGGCCGAGGCGGGCAGATCACGAGGTCAGGAGATCGAGACCATCCTGGCTAACACGGTGAAACCCCATCTCTACCAAAAATACAAAAAATTAGCTGGGCGCGGTGGCGGGTGCCTGTAGTCCCAGCTACTCGGGAGGCTGAGGCAGGAGAATGGTGTGAACCCAGGAGGTGGAGCTTGCAGTGAGCCGAGATAGCGCCACTGCACTCCAGCCTGGGAGATGGAGCGAGACTGTGTCTCAAAAAAAAGAAAAGAAAAGAAAAGAAATAATACTGAAAGAAGCAGGGAAAGGAGGAGGCAGTTGTGTGTGTGTGCCCTGCGGCAATGACCCATCCCTTCCCCGTGAGACCACGGCCTCCTCGCTTTCTCTTTTTCACTCTTCAGTTGAATTTTCTCCATTACTCCTTATCACGAGAATCTCTCCTCTAGTTCCTGCCTTCTGGTTTTCTAGGTGGCTTGCTCCAGACACCTTTCTCCCGGTGTCACGTAACTGGACTACTACTACCCACGTGCAGTGCATGTGCTAACCCTGTGTGGCCAAGGCAAGTCTCCCCTCCTTCTGCCTCGAGGGCTTGGGCTGCTCATCTCTGAGGCCACTTCCTGCTCTGACACGGTATGCCCCCACCATGCTGTGTGCAACTCTGTTGCCCCTGGACCCTGTTAACTTCTTTATTTTATTTTATTTTTGAGACGGAGTCTCGCTCTGTCACCCAGGCTGGAGTGCAGTGGTAAAATCTCGGCTCACTGCAACCTCCGCCTCCTGAATTCAAGCGATTCTCCTGTCTCAGTCTCCTGAGTAGCTGGGATTAGAGGCACATGCCACCATACCCAGCTAATTTTTGTATTTTTGGTAGAGATGGGGTTTTGCCATGTTGGCCAGGCTGGTCTCGAACTCCTGATCTCAGGTGATCCACCCTCCTCGGTCTCCCAAAGTGCTGGGATTATAGGAGTGAGCCACTGCACCCCACCAGGCCCTGTTAACTTCTCTGTTCTAAAGCCTGTCCTGGCCACAAAGCTACAGTGGTGCTGTCCTGGGCTCAGACTGCCTGGGCTCATCTCAGCCCCAGTACTCCCTGCCAGTGGCCTTGGGCAAGGCAGCCAACCCCTTTTTGGTTGCTTCTTTATCTCTAGAAGAGGCTAATATTAGAACCTACCTACTAGGTAATCTCTGTAATGCATTAACACTGCCCAGCACATATTCAGGAAAACGTAGAGTGAGAATGAGAAGAGTACTGCTCTTGCGCTTTTTTGCCTACATGAGAAGGCTGGGGCTGGGAGGGACCAGACAGCCCCTGTGATCTCCCCAGGAATCTGACACCCAAAGAGGGAAGTTGACTCACCCAAAGTCACACTCCCAGCGAGAGCAATAGTATATCAGCTGGCTTGCCTTTAGCCAATCTTTTTTATTTTGATTTGAGTTAATCTGAGAGACGTAGGAAGGGGACAGATATTAGAGCTTTCAGAAATATGTTCTCTCAAGCAAGGTGTGGCCTCTGAGAGTCAGTGCAGTGCTGTACAGTCATTTGGAGATCTGAAGGCTGACCTTGGGCCTGGGGTGGATTTTAGTACAAAGAGGGTGATCTGGCAATGAGGACACGGATGTAATGCCTAGCTCATAACCTGGTGTGATTAAAATATTTTCTTCTCAGCCGGGCGCAGTGGTTCACACCTGTAATCCCAACACTTTGGGAGCCCGAGGCGGGTGGATCACGAGGTCAGGAAATCGAGACCATCCTGGCTAACATGGCGAAACCCCGTCTCTACTAAAAATACAAAAATTAGTTGGGCATGGTGGCGCATGCTTGTAGTCCCAGCTACTCGGGAGGCTGAGGCAGGAGAATCGCTTGAACCTGGGAGGCGGAGGTTGCAGTGAGCCAAGATCACACCACTGCACTCCAGCGTGGGCAACAGAGACTACATCTCAGGATGTAGTGGCTCATGCCTGTAATCCCGGCACTTTGGGAGGCTGAGGCAGGCAGATCACCTGAGGTCGGGAGTTCCAGATGAGCCTGACCACATGGAGAAACCTCGTCTCTACTAAAAATACAAAATTAGCCAGATGTGGTGGCGCATGCCTGTAATCCCAGCTACTCGGAAGGGTGAAGCAGGATACGCTCTTGAACCCAGGAGGCGGAGGTTGCAGTGAGCTGAGATCACGCCATTGCACTCCAGCCTGGGCATGCCAAGAGTGAAACTCCGTCTCAAAAAAAAAAAAAAAAAAAAAAAAATATATATATATATATATATATATATATACATACACATATTCTTCTTTTGGCTGGGCGCGGTGGCTGACACCTGTAATCCCAGCACTTTGGTAGGCCAAGGCAGGCAGATCACCTGAGGTCAGGAGATCAAGACCAGCCTGGCCAACATGGTGAAACCTCGTCTCTACTAAAAATACAAAAATTAGCTGGGCGCAGTGGTAGGCACCTGTAATCCCAGCTACTAGGGAGGCTGAGGCAGGAGAATTGCTTGAACCTGGAAGGCAGAGGTTGCAGTGAGCCGAGATCACGCCATTGCACTCCAGCCTGGGTGACAGAGTGAGACTTTGTCTCAAAAAAATAATAATAAAATAAAATATATTTTTTCTTCTTCTTGTTTTTGTTTGTTTTTTGAGACAGGTAAGACAGGGTCCTGTTCTGTTGCCCCGGCTAGAGTGCAGTGGTGAGATCACGGCTCACTGTAGCCTCAACCTCCCTGGTGTGTGCCACCACACCCAGCTAATTTTTTATTTTTTGTAGAAATGGGGGTCTCACTATGTTACCCATGCTGGTCTTGAACCCCCAGCCTCAAGTGATCATGCTGCCTTGGCCTCCTAAAGTGCTGGGATTACAGGCATGAGCCACTGTGTCCAGCATGATTAAAATCTTTAATGAGGGCTGGGCGCAGTGGCTCATACCTGTAATCCCAGCACTTTGGGAGGCTGAGGCAGGCAGATCATGAGGTCAGATCAAGACCATCCTGGCCAACATGGTGAAACCCTGTCTCTACTAAAAATACAAAAATTAGCCAGGCATGGTGGTGCGTGCCTGTAATCCCAGCTACTCAGGAGGCTGAGGCAGGAGAATCCCTTGAACCAGGGAGTCGGAGGTTGTAGTGAGCCGAGATCACGCCACTGCACTCCAGCCCGGTGAGAGAGTGAGACTCTGTTTCAGAAAAAAAAAAAAAAAAAAAAAAAAAATCTTTAATGAAGCGTATTACCTCACTCCTTCTCCTGACTCTGAAGAGATTGCCTCGTTGGGCCAGAAAGTAGGCAGGGAAGTCTCTCAGAAGCAAGAGGTAGGTGCCTTTCATCCTGTGCACAGAAGTCCACACAGAAGAGTTGGATTCACTGGCCTGACTGTCCTGTATTCTGAAATCACAGTGACCACAAAGAGCTACAACAGCTTAAACACAGAAAGCCATGCCTCTAAAAAGTATCCAAATCACCACATTCTTGTTCCTTTTTTTTACTGTTCAAATACATCGTCCAAAAGGAACAGAAAGAATGTAAGTGTAGAGGGTACTTGGTGTGGCAGGCTTCATATTTGAGACTTTGCCTAGTGATGAATGACCTGGAAAGTTCACACCTTTATTCTTTGCTTTTTGTCATAAACACGCCAGTCTTTATGAAGTTACAGACACTTTAATTCTTTGTGTGAAAAAAAGACAGTCCAAAATAAATTAGGGTCATGAAATCAAACAGAAATGATTCTTATCTCAAAATGATATGTTGAGATGCTGTCTGCCAATGCAGAGATTCTCCCGGATTCCCCGTGGTAAGCCAGCAAAGGTCAGCCATCCATGGTAATAAACAAAGACCATCTGCCCCACAGCACCCCTAGTGGGCCTCAACAGCTGCCCATCTTATAGTCCCAGCCAAAGCGGTAGGTGTGAGAGCGTCCCCGGAAGACAGAGGGCACAGAGGCATCTCTGCCAAAGACCAGCCCTTCGCAGCCAGGGAGGATGAAAGAGCCTTAGGGCTTCAGTCTGGGCTCTGCACACTCCTGGGTGGCCTCTGCTCCCCCTCTACCCCTCCCACTCCTATCCCACACCTCCTGGATTGCATCTGATTGGGACCAATAACAAACCAAGCCTGGTTTTGAGGTTTGGGTGGGATGCTTGGCTTGGTTTTGTTTCCTCAGAGAGAGGCAGCCAGGAGGGCCTGCAAGGAACTGGCACCCAGCTGTGTCTAGGTGGGAGAATGGGCTGAGGATGGAGTTAGAGATGGAATGAGAGAGGCAGGGGGGAGGTGGCCTTCTGTGGAGGAAAGGCATCAGGTGCCAGCAAGAGACTAGAAGGGGAGCCCTGACATCTGTAAGCCCTGACTTAGAGCCTCTCTAAGATGGCTCGGTGGGCTCTGAGCCTGCAGGGCTTTGGTCTATGGATGGGAGGGATGTAGGGGAGGCTTGGCCAAGGCTGTGTCAGGGTGAGGCTGTAGACTTTTCCCTGCCCTTAAGAGAAGTTCCTTCCTTGCTCTACCTCATCCAAACTTGTCTAAGCACAGACATGTGATTCTTCTCCCCACACCAGCTCTCCAGATGATCAATCAATCAATAAACCTCTTGTCCATCAATCATCTACTGTGTGTATAGCTTTTTTCTTTTCTTTTTAAATATAATTTAATGATTATGGTTTTTATTTTTTTTTTTTTTGAGACAAGGTCTTGCTCTGTCACACAGGCCAGAGTGCAGTGGCACAATCTCTGCTCACTGCAACCTCTGCCTCCCATGTTCAAGTGATTCGCGTGCCTCAGCCTCCTGAGTAGCTGAGATTATAGGCGTGCGCCACCACGCCTGGCTAATTTTTTGGTATTTTCAGTAGAGACAGGGTTTCACCATGTTGCCAGGCTGGTCTCGAACTTCTGGGCTCAAGTGATTCACCTGCCTCAGTCTCCCAAAGTGCTGAGATTGAGATTACAAGCATGAACCACTGAACCCAGGCTAATTATTTCCAGTTTTTTTCCTACAGATGGATTCTGACTATGTTGCCCAGGCTAGAGTGCAGTGGCTATTCACAGGTACGATCCCACTACAGATTAGCACAGGAGTTTTGACCTGTTCCATTTCTGACCTGGGCTGATTAACCCCTCTTTAGGCAACCTGGTGGTCCCTTGCTCCCAGGAGGTCACCATATTGATGCTGAACTTAGTGCAGACACTGGATTGGCAAAGTGCACCACAACCCAGGACTCCCAAGCTCAAGTGATCCTCCTGCCCCAGCCTCCCATGTGTATACCTTTCACCTATGCACCTATGCAGTGAGCCAAGATCACATCATTGCACTCCAGCCTGGGCAACAAGAGCAAGGCTCCGTCTCAAAAGAAAAAAAGAAGAAACCACGGGAAATGGGAAGTACCGAGGGATATGACAAGGCTAGCCCCACCCATCAAGGCAGGGGACAGAGCCTGAGAAAGAGCCTTCGGACACTCTCTCAAATGTTTTCATTTCCACTGAGATTCCTTTTGGATGTAAATGTTGACAGAGCATCATTTTTGTCCCAGGCACTTTGACCAGTCATGGCATTAGGTCCGCCCTGCAACTCTGAACAACGAAGCATCATTCCTGCCATTTCATGGATGGGAAAACCAAGCCCCAACGGGTTATGTGCTTTATCTGAGGTCCCACAGACCCAGACCTGTCTGGCTCAACCCATGTTCTTTTTGTTACCCCATGAAGCCTGTGAGCATCGGCTCTGCCCAGGGCCAGCTCCTCTGGAGGGAGAGTTCTGGATCAAGAACCAATCCATGTCCTCACTGTGGCTCCCCCCTCTGGAAGGAACAGGCAGTGCAGTTCCTTGGGGCATCCCTGACTCAAACCATCCCCTTGAGATCTGGCTCCCCTGCTTGGGTCACTGGGATCCATTCCTTCTTGGCCTCTTGGCTGGCAGGATCTTTCTTCTGTCTCATCACCACCTGCCTGCCCTCCCAGGTTCAAGTGATTCTCCTGCCTCAGCCTCCCGACTAGCTGGGATTACAGGCACCTGCCACCATGCCTGGCTAATTTTTGTATTGTTAGTAGAGACAGGGTTTCACCACGTTGGCCAGGCTGGTCTCGAACTCATGACCTCAGGTGATCCGCCCGCCTCGGCCTTCCAGTGTGCTGGGATCACAGCCATAAGCCACCGCGTCCGGCCTGGTTTCTTTATTTTAATTTTTATTGGAAGGCAGTCAGAGCCTGGAAGAGAGAGTCTGTTCCATCCAGTGTCGGAGCAAGAGACAGAGCCGCAGGCCCATTGAATGCATTACTCCCTTGGCTTATGGCTGAGATAAAGCCAGCTCTGTTGCCTGTGCGTGCTGGTAGACGATCCTGGACCTAAAAGGGGTGGGGAGGAAGGGGGAGTTGAGCGCTGATGTAGGAGAAGAAAAACTGCCTGCCTCCCATTCTTCAACCTTGACACTCTGTGTTCATGGGGAAAAAAAAAAAGGAGATTAGGAAAATAATAACCAACAGGAGAGTACCCGTGAGTCCTCCCATGGGCCAGGCACCATACCAAACCCTCAAAACAGCGCTCTTAGGAGGCCGCAGCCATTGCCATTTCCACCCTACAGATGAAGGGTTTAAAAAGCTGGGATTTCAAGGCTGAGCAACCTGCTGCAGAGCTGAATGTGCCCCTCCAATCAAGGCCTGCGCTCCTCAGCAGGACGCTGGAGGAAAAGGAGGGAGAGGAAGGAAGAAATGTACTGCAGTGTTCCAGGGCTGCTCTGTGTGGAAGAAACAGGGTTACTATTCAGGAGGCTGAGGTGGGGAGTTCAAGGCCAGCCTAGGCAACATAGCAAGACCTTGTCTCAATATAAATTAATTGAAATAAATGTTAAAATAAAATAAAAAAGACTGGGCACGGTGGCTCATGCTTGTAATCCCAGCACTTTGGGAGGCCAAGGTGAGGGGATCACCTGAGGTCGGGAGTTTGAGACCAGCCTGGTCAACATGGCGAAACCCCATCTCTACTAAAAATACAAAAATTAGCCGGGTGTGGTGGCGCATGCCTGTAATACCAGCTACTTGGGAGGCTGAGGCAGGAGAATCACTTGAACCCAGGAGGCGGAGGTTGTGGTGAGCCGAGATTGCACCACTGCACTCCAGCCTGGGCGACAGAGCAAGACTCTGTCTCAAAAAATAAAAATTAATTAAAATAAAATAAAATGAAATAAAATAAAATATAAAGAAGCAAGATTAAAGACTCAAAAGAGAAATCAACTTTGTCCCTTTCCTCTCACTTTCACTTTTCCCAGCTTGAGGCCAGGCATGACCTCCTACCCGAAGCATTTTCCAACATGAAGAGAAGCTATGGACAGAGAAGGAGGACAGGGGACGAATATACTGTTGGAGTTGTCAGCGCCAGGAACAGGAGAAGAGGGGATGACGGAGAGGCCCTTCCAGGCTCCAACGTGTAGCACCAGCCTTGGAGGGCTATCGTGGGCTACCCTGTCTCCCTCCTCCAGGGAGCCAGCATGGGGGGGCCACAAGGTGAAGGAGGGAGGGGTCCCTATGTGGGACCCCTGTCATGGGCAGAGCCACAGGATGACCCAGCAATGGGAGCAGCCAGCTCTGAGAAGTTGGAGGGCTGGGGGCTGTGAGAGGCAGGCAAGGTTAGAAATCCACAAAGCACAGGCTGTACACAGTTCATCAGACTCAGACCCAAGGAACTAAGGCAGGAGTTATTTTCCTAAAACAGATTAGTGTCCAGAAGTCAAAGATGAGGGAGTGGAAGGCCAGGCATAGTGGCTCACACCTATACAATATAATCTCAGCACTTTGGGAGGCTGAGGTGGGAGGATCACTGGAGGTCAAGAGTTTGAGATCAGCCTGGCCAACATGGTGAAACCCTGTCTCTACTAAAAATACAAAAATTAGCTGGGCATGGTGGCAGATGCCTGTAATCCCAGCTACATGGGAGGCTGAG
Source organism: Homo sapiens (assembly GCF_000001405.40). Taxonomy (NCBI): domain Eukaryota; kingdom Metazoa; phylum Chordata; class Mammalia; order Primates; family Hominidae; genus Homo; species Homo sapiens. The sequence continues at coordinate 140,643,189 of NC_000007.14, read as the reverse complement.
GCAGGAGAATCACTCAAACTCAGGAGGCTGAGGCTTCAGTGACCCAAGACCATGCCACTGTACTCCAGCCTAGGTGACAGAGTGAGAATCTGTCTCAAAAAAAAAAAAAAAAAAAAATTAGGCCAGGTGCGGTGGCTCACACCTGTAATCCGAGCACTTTGGGAGGCCAAGGCGGGTGGATCATGAGGTCAGGAGTTTTTAAGACTAGCCTGGCCAAGATGGTGAAACCCTGTCACTACTAAAAATACAAAAAAATTAGCCGAGCGTGGCGCGGTGGCAGGCGCCTGTAATCCCAGCTACTCAGGAGGCTTAGGCAAAAGAATCGCTTGAACCCAGGAGGCAAAGGTTGCAAGCCAAGATTGCACCAGTTTGCTTTCTTATATGTTGTAGCAGCCCTGGGAATAATTAACCCTCAAGAAGCCAAGTCTTGGCCAGGCGTGGTGGCTCACATCTATAATCCCAACACTTTGGGAGGCCAAGTCAGGAGGATCACTTGAGGCCAGGAGTTCAAGATTAGCCTGGGCAACATAGCAAGACCTACAAAAAATAAAAAAGCCGACCATGATAGCATACATCTGTAGTCCTAGCTAATTGGGAGGCTGAGGTGGGGAAATTGCTTGAGCCCAGGAGTTCGAGGCTGAAGTGAGCTATGATAGCAACACTGCACTCCACCGCGGGTGAGAGACTGAGACTGCCTCAATCAATCAATCAATAAAAAAGAAGCCAAGCCTGGGAGGCTGAGGCAGGTGAATGGCGTGAACCCAGGAGGCGGAGCTTGCAGTGAGCCGAAATCGCTCCACTGCACTCCAGCCTGGGCGACAGAGCGAGACTCCGTCTCAAAAAAAAAAAAAAAAAAAAGCCAAGCCTCTGATCTTTATTTAGAAAGTGAAAAACTTACTGAATAATGCTTCAACAAACAAAACAATAATTTAAATGCTTACACTTTAAAAAAAAAGCTTGCACTTTGCAAATGTGGGCTCTAAAAGTTGACTATGCTTAGTTAAAATGGGTATGTCATGAGGAGTTTAAGGAACTTAAGCCCTAGAAAAGCTTCAAAGAGTTCCCAGAAAGCATAAAACCCTCAGCTGAGAAGAAAACAGAGATTTTTTTCCTGTGACTTTGAACAAGTCCCTCAAATCTCAAGCTCCCAGTCTATAGGCACTGCCTGGGCAGTATTACGTCATTACACCCATCTTTTATTTTTCACTGTCTCCCTCCTGCCTTTCTCTCGCGCGCACACTCCTTCTGTGGATTTGTGAGGCTAAGCCTCTCTTCTCTCTTCCCCCTTGCTTGAACTTTAGGCCTCTTTGCTGTCCCGCAGGACCATGGCTCCCAGCCCTTCTGAGCTAAAGATGAGGATGACCTTCCTCTGGTGTGGAGATGGACCTGAAGCCTGCTCCCACCGCGCGCAAATCACCCCGCCAGACCCCCCTCACTCTCATCAGGGCATTCCTCTGCTCAAAAACTTTCCGTCCCCCGCTTGAAATCTGGCTAAGCCTACCCATCAGACCTGATTCACCACTTGGTCCTCACTCGGCTGTTTCTGAAATGCCTAGCCTCTGCTTCCGGCCTCCACTGGTGCTGTTCCCTTCACTCAGAACCCTTTCCTTTCACCCACTTTCCTCCACCTATGCAAATGCTATTCAATGTTCCCGGCCCGGTCAAAGCTCCAGGGAACTTCCTCGAAGGCCCCAGCCTGTATTCCAGACCCGCCTTCCCCGCAGCCCACGGCATTTCCCTGCGGACTTCTGCTGTGCAGCCTGTGTTCCTTGACGGTGTCCTGCGTGAGTGGGGGCAGCGGGTCTATGAAGTCACTTCTCCTCTTGGAAGCTTTTCCTGACCACCTCCCTTCCCGCCCGGTCTGGGAGCCCTTCTGCAGCGCGCTCGGCCCTGGGCCCTCCCCGGCCCCCATCACCTGCATCGCCGGTCTCATGACTGTCATTACCCCGGCCCGACGGCAAGCTGCCTGGGGCAAGGGTGGTGCCTGACTCACTGCCCGAGGTGCCCCCGGCCCCGGCCCGGTGCCGAGAGTGTGTTAACTGCCTAGAGTAAGCGGGGCCGGGCACGCGGCCGCCGTTCCCCAGGCTTGGACGTCCAGGTCTAAGCCTCAGGCCGGAAGCACCTCGCGAATCCGCCCGGGCCTGGGTGGAATGGAGCCCGCGCGCGGCGGGCGTCCTCCCAGGAAGGGTTAAGCCACCTCTCCCCCACCCCGAGAGGCGAGGGGGCGAGTCCGGCAGAAGGTCCTGTTTACCGCAGCTCCGCGCGGGGCCGGGCCCTGGGAGAGGGGTTGCCGTGGCAACCGGCCGGGCGCCCGCCAGCTGCGGATTAGCTCACTGGGCCGGGCGGGATGGGTCGGGAGGAGGGGGCGCGCGTCGCGCAGATCGTCGCGGAGCCACGGCAGGAGGAGGCAGGGGCCGCGGGCGAGCCTGCGCTGGGCCGGCCGAGGGAAGCGCGCCGCTGGGGCCGGGGGCGGCGGGGACCCCACGGGAGCGCGCGCGGCGGGGACCCCCAGGGGCTTGCGGGCGGCCGGGGGAGGCTCGGCGGACAAAGGGGCGGAGGGCGGAGGGCCATGGCGTCCCCGGCACCCGCCGCCGCCCGCCCCCGAGCCGCGCCGCCAGCCGTCCCGGCCCGCCCCGGAGCCCCCAAGATGCGCCCCAGAGCCCGCGGAGCCGCCGCCCGCGGGGAGGTAGGGCCGGGCCGGGCCAGGGGGTGCAGGGTCGAGCTGGGGAGGGAAAGGGGACGGAGGAGGGGACGCGCGGGGGAGGGAGGAAACGGCTCGCGCGGCCTGAGCCCTGACGGGGGAAGCGGCTCTGCAGACGGGAGTCTGAGTTCCCGCCTGGTCCCGGGACTGTGCAGAGCGCGATCCAGGCGTTCCTCCCGGGCTCGGGCTGACTCCCAGGACTGAGCCCGGACGCCGCCGTCTCGCGCCTCGGGGACCTGCAGAAAGCCGGTAGACCCCCGCCCTGCGCCGTGCTGGGTCCCTCGGGGCGCGAGTGTGAGTGTGTGTGTGTCCGCGCGCGCGCGTGTGTGTGTGTGCGCGCTTGTGTGTCTGTGTGTGAGTGTGTCTGTGCGAGTGTGTGTGAGTGTGTGCGTGCGCGTGCAAGCGCGGGGCATCGAGGCGGCTGAGCAGCCGGGCCCCCCTCACAGCGGTCAGCATTTGCAGTCTTGGGAAAGCAAGAAGGTAAAGATGATTGAATGGTCTTACTTCTTCCACTTTGTCCCCAAGGGTGGAGTTGGGAGCAGATGGAGCCCAGGGGAAGTCTGGACACAATCGTATTAGGAGGGTCACAGAGAGCTGGGTGAGACCACGGAGTAGAGCCAGACCTCAGCCGTGGAATCTTGTCATGGGGGGCCTGGGACAGGAAGCAGGAAACTGGTCAGGGCTCTCCAGGGGCGTAAATTGGGCAAGGGAAGTGCAGTGACCCTGCCTTAACCAGCTGGTGCTGACTTCCAGCTGCTGTTCAGATGCGATTCAGGAATGTGACTTCCCCAAGGTTCCAAATGACATCGGACAGTAATGGGCTGGGGGTAACAGAGTTGTAATAGGCGTGCTACAGTAATCTTGTTAGTAAACTCTTAAACCCTCTGTGGTTACCACATAAAAGAAGAGAAAGAAATCCCTTCTCCTTACATCATCAAATATCAGATACCAAAAGAGTGGAGTAGAAAGTCTGGGTGGGCAGCGTGGGACGGAGCAGAACTCCGAGAGGAAGTATGTGTGAGTGTGCGAGTGTGTGTGTGTGTGTGTGTCAGAGACGGTTTCTGAGGCCTGGTAATGAAAAGGCTGGCGGGAGGCTGGCCTCCAGTCCTTTCGTTTGTTTTTTATTTTTATTTTTTTGAGACAGAGTCTTGCTCTGTCACCCTGGCTGGAGTGCGGTAGTGCAATCTCGACCCACTGCAACCTCAGCCCCCGGAGTTCAAGCAATTCTCCTGTCTCAGCTTCCCGAGTAGCTGGGATTACAGGCGCCCACCACCACACCCAGCTAATTTTTGTATTTTTAGTAGAGACGGGGTTTCACCATGTTGGCCAGGCTGGTCTTGAACTGCTGACCCCAGGTGATCTGCCCGCCTCGGCCTCGCAAAGTGCTGGGATTACAGGCTTGAGCCACTGTGCCTGGCCTCCAGTCCTTTCATTCTGGAAGATTAATAAAATCCTGTGTCATGTATTCTATTCATACCCTTACACAGCTCTGTGTGCTAGGCATGCGTGCTAGACATCAGTGGCACAGCGAGGAATGAGACGTCCCCCTTCCTTCCAGGAACACCATCCTAGCTGGGTAGTCAAACAAAAAAGTAAAACCAGTCCTGCCCAGCCTGGCTGTGAGGGCTGCATGGCATAGAACTAGGGCAGCCCAGAGAGGAGCCGGTGCAGGGAATCCCCACAGATTAGGTGATGCTTGGGCTAAGCCCTGAAAACCGCCTCACCAAGGAAACAGCAGGGAAGGTTGTTTCAGGCTGAAAGAACAGAATGTGCAAAGTCACCAAGAGAGTCTAGGAGAGGCCAGTGAGGGGAATTCAGTGTGGCTGCGGGTTGCAGTATGTGAGTGCATGCCGGGGAGAGGTGAGGCGGGAGCTGTCAGGGCAGAGGCACAGGGAAGGAAGGATCTGCCAGAAGGAGGCAGGAGTATGCACTGAAGCAGGAGTGATGCGCTCCTTCTAGTTGTTGGGTGGGGAGGCCTGGAGGAGGAGGAGGAGACCAAGGCTTTTTGCAACACCCAGGCCAGAATTACTGAGGAGCAGGAGAAACTGAAAGGATGCCAGGATCAAGAGGCAGGACCTGGTGACTGGTTTGGGCACAGATTATGATAACTTAGACTAAAAGCAAGTATGTACACAAATGCTCAGGAGAAAACAAAGCAAAGCAAAAGGAATGTGGACCTTCTGAGTGGCCTGCATTTAGCAGATTACAACACTTGGATAACGCATTTGGCTGTAAGTTTTCTGGCAGCTTAGGGACAAACAAAAATACACTGGGTTGCATAGTTTGGGATTTTGGACAACAGAAAGCCTACAAATTAATTCTCAGAACAAAATTTTTCCTGGAATTGAACTCAGCTGGGAATTTATCATGTGGAACTTTATGTAAAGACTGAAGAGTGACATAGAAAAAAAAAATCTTCGTTGCTGGTGTTACAAAAGATGGAAAGATAAAACTCCCCGTTACTGCCTTCCTCTACCATCCTGTTATGTCTAGGGGAGTGAACTGCACTTCTGTGAGGACTGGGTGTCATCTCAGAGTATGGGGCCAGGGAAATCCTATACAAAGGAGACAATGGTACCTTAAGTGCAGGAAGAGCTGACACCCATCTCTGTGAATGTAGAGAGCAAGGCGTCCGGGGTGCTCAACCATAAAGGGAAGGAGGCTTATCATAGTATAGCCCAGAGAGGGGTGGGCTGAGACTGTGGTCTGAGAAGGGGACAGGTAGGGCATAGCACGTTGGAAGGGCCAGCATCCAGGAATCCTGACCCCCGGGGAAGCAGGCAGGGAGTTCACACAGCATTATAGGATTCCATTCATATGGGCAAGTCCACTTCCCAGGGCGGTCCTGGTCATTCTGCCTCCAGACTGGATGTAGAGCCTGCCTCTAAAGGGGTAGGAAAAGGGTGGGACTCAGCAGACCAGAGATCCTCTTCAGGAGACCAGAGAGGCCCAGGAGGGTGGAAATCTTGTTTGCTACAACACAAGGAAGTTGCAGAGGAACCAGGAGTAGGAGCTGAGAACTGGGAGGTCCTGCAGACTCAGGCACAGATCTCCTGGCCAGGCTCTTCCCTTTGGTTTCTGCAGAAGGCAGAGAACCTGCAGAATCTATGTCCATACATTGCTAATGTGCCCTTTAAACTTTAAACTATTTCTTGCCAACTATAGCTGTCGTAAATTGACATTCAGTAGGAGTGGGATTCTACCCCTCCAATCAGATTTCTTAACATTTTTAATCTTGGGGTGTGCATTAGAATATACATTTAAATGCTGGGGAGGAGAGTTTGAGACTAGCCTGGGCAACATGGCGAGACCCCATCTCTATAAAAAGTAAAAGAAATTGGCCAGGCACAGTGGCCTACGCCTGTAATCCCAACGCTTTGGGAGGCCGAGGCAGGCAGATCACTTGAGATCAGGAGTTTGAGACCAGCCTGGCCAACCCTGTCTCTACTAAAAATACAAAAATTAGCCAGGCGTGGTGGCGCATGCCTGTAGTCCCAACTACTTGGGAGGCTGAGGCAGGAGAATCACTTGAACCCAGGAGGCGGAGGTTGCATGAGCCAAGATTGCATCACTACATTCCAGCCTGGGCGACAGAGCAAGACTCCATCTCAAAAATAAATAAATAAAAGAAATTAACCACACACAGTGACACACACCTGTAGTCCCAGCTACTCGGGAGACTGAAGTGGGAGGATCACTTGAGCCTAGGGAGGTTGAGGCTGCAGGGAGCTATGATTGTGCCACTTCACTCCAGCTTAGGCGACAGTGAGGCCCTGTGTCCAAAAAAAAAAAAAAAAAAAAAAAGGCTGGGGAGGGAGATTCAAAACAACTGATACTTAGGGCTCACTGCCTGGCATCAGTATTTTTTTGAGATCCCCAGATGATTTTAAGGTACAGCTGAGGTTGAGAGTGGCTGCTCTAGCAGTCACGTATAGAGAGCCCATCACAGGGCGGGACGGAAACTCAGATTCCAAAAGATCCCAGGTGGGACACATGGGATGCCTCGCAGGTCCTCAGAAGTGGACAAGGCTGGCCCTGCTTGTTCCTGGCGTTCCGCACAGTCTCCTGGACTCCTGTATCGCTGCTTCTCCCCCGAGGTCTTTACCAGCCCTCCTCTGTTCCTTCTGGCAGTCACCTTGCTGAAGACTGGGGGTTAGGAGTTGCTTCCCTGGAGCTGCCCTGGATTGCTCTTTCTTGGAGAGATTTTAGTGAAACTGGTTTTCCATGGGTTCATTGTGCAGCGCCTTTCGGGCTGTGACCCCTCACTGCCCTCACCACTGCCTCTCTGCCCACACGCATTGTTGCTTGTTACCCCAGGAGCCTGGCCCTGAACACTGGCTATCAGCCTCATGTGTCCAAGCATAGACCCTTCTTCTGCCACCTGAATCAGACAGCCTCCACTTGTACCCCAGACTCTCTTGAAATTCCCTGTGCTGGTTACTCAGGGAAGAGTGCCAGGCCCCGCTGGCCCCTTTAATGATAGGAGGCAAACACTGCCTGGAACTAGGGCAAGTGATGAGCTAAGTTCTCTACTTTTCATATGCAAAAGACAGCGACATGCTGGGAAGCCAGAGTCAGACTCTTCTTTACCCTGGCCTTAAAATCAATGTCTGACGTGGGCAACAGTTTACTCCGTCAGCCCTCAGTTTGCCTAGAAGTTAAGTTCTTTGCCAGCTGGGCCTAGAATTGCGACTCTACCTTCAGCTTCTCTTTGGCACGTTTGTCCCTGGCTTGCAGTTCAGAGGGGCTAAAGAACAGATAAGCCTGAGACCCACTCTTCCAACTGGCTGAACTATGGGAAACCAAGTGATCGTTTTTTCCCCTGGCCTTGGGGAAGGAAGGGGTGGGTCACCCTTGCAGCAAGCTTAGGGAAGAGGTTAGCTTCCCTCAGTGGTAGGGAACCAGGAGGTCATAGGCATCCCTTCAGAAGGAAATGAAAGCAGGGATCATTGGCTGGAGAGTGGGGCCAGTACAGGGAGCCGCAACCTTGGCTGTGACCCCTCCTCCCGGGATCCCCAGGCCTTCCGTACACTGCGGATCTTATCTGAAGGGCTTATCAGACCACTTCAAGCAGAATGCCAAATGCATTTCCTTTTGTTGTTTTGTCTTCTAAAAAAGTACACTTAAAAATTGTAGGTTTACTTATAAACTTTATATGTAATCTATGAAAGTTATATTTGTCATAAAACATTTACTTATTTATTTATTTTTATTATTATTTATTTTTAGACAGCGTCTTGCTCTTTTGCCCAGGCTGGAGTGCAGTGGTGTAATGATGGCTCACTGCAGCTTCTACCTCCTGGGCTCAAGGGATCCTGCTGCCTCAGCCTCTTGAGTAGCGGGGACTATAGGTGCGCACCACCACACCTAGCTAATTTTTGTATTTTTGGTAGAGACAGAGTTTCCCCATGTTGCCCAGGCTGGTCTCAAACTCCTGGACTCAAGCAATCCACCTGCCTCGGCCTTGCAAAGTGCTGGGACTACAGGCATGAGCCACTGCACTTGGCCAAAATTTTTTTTTTTTTTTGAGACGGAGTCTTGCTCTGTCACACAGGCTGGAGTTCAGTGCCGTGATCTTGGCTCACTGAAACCTCCACCTCCTGGGTTCAAGCAATTCTCCTGCCTCAGCTTCCCAAGTAGCTGCACTGGAGTGCAGTGGTGCGATCTCAGCTCACAGCAACCTCTGCCTCTCAGCTTCAAGCAATTCTCCTGCCTCAGCCTCCCAAGTAGCTGGGACTACAGGCGCCCACCACCTCACCTGGCTAGTTTTTGTATTTTTTAGTAGAGAGGGGGTTTCACCATGTTGGCCAGGCTGGTTTGGAACTCCTGACCTCAAGTGATCCGCTGGCCTTGGCCTCCCAAAGTGCTGGAATTACAGGCATGAGCCACCACGCCTGGCCAAAAATTTTAAATTTCTAATTTTAATACGTTTTCTTTTAAAAGTTAACAAAACTCAAAATATAATACATTGCCTCTATGCATGTGCCACAGTATGAATTTTAATGTTCATATTAAATAGAAATTCATAAAATATTCGGGGCAAAACCAGTGTGGGTACAATTGGGTTAAGGAACAGAGAGGTACTATATCTTATTATTGTTTTAAAAGGGAGTATTAGAATCTCATTTTCAAAATAACCATCACTTGGCACAAATAGATTCATTAAGTATGTGGCTTTGAAATGTATTTTAGGCCGGGCGCGGTGGCTCACGCCTGTAATCCCAGCACTTCGGGAGGCCAAGGCAGGCGGATCACGAGGTCAGGAGATCAAGACGGTCCTGGCTAACACGGTGAAACCCCGTCTCTACTAAAAATACAAAAAATTAGCCGGGCGTGGTGGCGGGCACCTGTAGTCCCAACTACCCGGGAGGCTGAGGCAGGACAATGGTGTGAACCCGGTAGGTGGAGGTTGCAGTGAGCCGAGGTCGCGCCACTGCACTCCATCCTGGGTGACAGAGCGAGACTCTGTCTCGGAAAAAAAAAAAAAAAGAAATCTATTTTAATCTCGCAATTCCATTTTTAGGAATTTATCTTAGAAAAATATTAGAACAAGTGTTGGAGAGTATTTGTGGCAGCATTGTTGGTAGTAGCCGAGGTTGGAGGCTGAAGTGGGAGGATCACTTGAGCCTGGTGGGCAGAGATTGCAGTGAGTCGAGATCACACCACTGCACTCCAGCCTGGGCAACAGAGGTCTCAAAAAAATCTTTATAGATTGTCTTCCGTGTTGTCCCAAGTTCGTCTCTTGCTGTTGGTTTCGTGTTTCCATAACCTTGATGGCACATCACCATGATTCCACATGTTGTGTAGGCTGAAACCTAGGATGGGTGGACCGAGTGACACAAAAGAGCCAACCTAGCAAAGCAATTTCAAGGGCCTCTCTCTCTCCCTCACACTTCCCCACTTCTCAGCAGAGAAGATGCAATAATGGTCAAATTTGATTCAGCACTAAATTCTCTGCAAGTTTATGGTAGGTAAAATATAGGGTAACCATATACACAAAGTAGGACTGTAGAGAAAGTAAAAAGAGAGCATTAGGCCAGGCGCGGTGGCTCACACCTGTAATTCTAGCACTTTGGGCGGCCAAGGCGGGTAGATCACTTGAGGTCGGGAGTTTGAGACCAGCCTGGCCAAACCCCATCTCTATAAAAATACAAACATTAGGGCCAGGCACGGTGGCTCACGCCTGTAATCCCAGCACTTTGGGAAGCTGAGGCGGGTGGATCACGAGGTCAGGAGATGGAGACCATCCTGGCTAACATGGTGAAACCCCATCTCTACTAAAAATACAAAAAATTAGTCGGGCATGGTGGCAGGTGCCTATAGTCCCAGCTACTCAGGAGGCTGAGACAGGAGAATGGTGTGAACGCGGGAGGCGGAGCTTGCAGTGAGCCGAGATTGCGCCACTGCACTCCAGCCTGGGCGGCAGCGCAAGACTCTGTCTCAAAAAAAAAAAAAAAAAATTAGCTGGGCATGGTGGCACACGCCTATAATCCCAGCTACTCAGGAGGCTGAGGCAGGAGAATCGCTTGAACCCAGGAGGTGGAGGTTGCAGTGAGCTGAGATTGCGCCACTGGACTCCAGCCTGGGCAAAAGAGGGAGACTGTCTCAAAAAAAAAAAAAAAAAGGCCAGGCATGGTGGCTCATGCCTGTAACCCCAACACTTTGGGAGGCTGAGGTGGGCCGGATCACCTGAGGTCAGGAGTTGGAGATCCGTCTGGCCAATGAAACCCCATCTCTACTAAAAATACAAAAATTAGCCGGGTGTGGAGGCAGGCGCCTGTAGTCCCAGCTACTCAGGAGGCTGAGGCAGGTGAATCACTTGAACCCAGGAAGCAGAGGTTGCAGTGAGCCGAGATCGCGCCACTGCACTCCAGCCTGGTTGACTAGAGCTAAACTCCTTCTCAAAAAAAGAAAAAAAGCACTAAAAGTAAGTTGTTAATTGATGTACAATAGGCTTAATTAACCTGGACTGTCCCTGCAAACTGCACCTTGTGGCCACGCTGGTAAAGGCTGAGAGTTGGATATGCTCATTCATTCTCCTTGCTGGGACAGGTGTGTTGACCCAGCCAGAAGTGATTTGGTACCACCCCTCTGTCTATCTCCCACCACCTTTCTTATCCACATCTAGAGTTGAGGCTTGAGTTTAGGGAAGGGGAGGAAGCCAGGTGGGTAGTCCAAGGTTGCATATGAACTTCCTTCTTGCTCCCATTCAATGAATCAGAGGAGTCAGATTCTACTTTCACTGCCTCTCCCAGCTCACCATGGAAAAATAGTAACTGCCTGTCTTCTTCCAGCAAACTTTGAAGCATTAAAACAGGACACTTCTATAATTTTATTTGGCATTTCATGTGCCTGGTAAATATAGGCTAAACCTCCCCAGATGACCAAGCAGAGGCATTTGTAAGGGATCACACAGCAAATCACAATTCAGACTGACCCGGCATGGTCCAGGTTGAACTTGGTTGGGGGAGAAGCTATATGCTCTAGTTTGGTTACTAGATAGAAATGACAGGACAGCCTAAGACATAGAACTTGCATCTCCCGAGCTTGGAGTGAGACTAGTCTCTCAGCCGCAGATTTGGTCGGGGTGGTGACCGCGAAGATAGAAAGGAACTTCCCGAAGCAGCTTGCCTCGTGCTCTGGGATCTTCAGCCAGGGCAATGTCTCCAGCACCCTGGAGACTCAGAGGGATTCTCTACTTAATACTCT